>NC_000023.11:3387488-4012488 GCF_000001405.40 Homo sapiens | reverse complement strand
TGAGAAATTAAAGGTAGCAATCTCCACTGTATTCCACCTACACAGTTGAAATCGAATTCACAAAAATATAGCTTTTTCCCAGATTTTTATGGAGCATTGAGATGTTACTGCTGTTTTTCTAATGACTTGCTGAACTAAGGTACAAGAAAGTACTCTTTCAAACACAGTGTAAAATTATATAAAATCATAAATTCATACCTTAAAACCCAAAATATTTTGGGGGAGAAAATCAAATACATTCATTTTTATTTATACTATTTTGTTGTTTTGATCCCATTGGGAAGGTTTGAGGTGAAAAACTGACTGAGTAGACATATAATAATTTTCCTATTCATGAATATGTAGCAACTAAATTTTAATGACCAAATCATACAATGCAGATAAAAACATAGTGTATATAGACTTATATTTCTGGGCATTTTCCAGGGTTTTTAATATTCTTGCAGGCATTGTAAATAAATCCGATTTGAACGATAATGCAAATAGTTGAAAAACCTCACACGAAGAGTGTAGATTAATTTGATAAGATTGTGGATACATTTGATAAGAGTGTAAAGTTATTTGATAAAGCCAGTTTGTCCACTTAGAGGGCACCATTTCTAATCAGGAATTGATGACATTTGCAGTATTTTTAAATTAGATCCTCAAATGAGACACAATAAAATGGATTAACTAATACAACAATCAGAATAATAATGATCCTGTCTTTACCTTTAATTCTCTTCTATGAAGTTAAAAATTGTTTTGCTTATCTTGTTTATTTTCCTGTGGTGCCAAGTATATGTCAAGCACATAGTGGATGTCAGAAAAATGAAATGGGGAAGGAGGAGCAGGAAGGAGAAGGAAGGAAGGAGGGGAGGAAGGAAGGAGGGAGGAGGGAGGGAGGGGGCAAAAAAGAAGAAAGGAAGGGCAAAAAAGAAAAGAAATATCATCTGTTGTCTATGCTTGTTATTAGCCATTTTTTCATAGATTTCCCATTAATTCTTGTCTCTCTGATAGTGGTAAAAATTTACCACCACAACTCAAAAATGTTTTGTTGATAGATGCCTAAATGAATTAGGGCCACTATCTGCATGATATAATAATTTCCTCTCTTTGTATGGCTCATGAAAAATCTAAATCTGGTAGAACACAGTGGTAAAATATGATACCCTCCATCATTCAACCTGGCAAAAAATGTTTCAAGAAGCAAAAATAAGATTAACAAAACCTCCTGAAAATTTATGTTTTCCAGAGAACTTCATGGGTAGCAGAACACTTGCAATCCTGAGGAAAGTGTAATTTATACAGAAACAGGTAGATGCCATCAAAATATTACATTCAGAATAAACCACTACTCTGGTTCCATTCCAGACCTCCAGCTGGGCCACACAGTTTCATGATAATGGATTATTAATTACAATGATATCTGCATATTAACTGACACCATGGAAATATTTCCATTACAAATGGTTGTTTGTAAAAACCTGCAGCATCTTAACTGTGTGGCTACATTCAGCAAGAAAGAGAATTTTCCTGATCTTAGATGATTTTGTCTATGAGTAAGAAATAAAGATAAACATCTGCTCAAGGAAGATAGAATTGAAGGTATCCCTAAGAGATACTACAAAACTCTTAACAATGCAGGAATATCAAGGAGTAACTGTCATTGCAACATGTTCCAATGATATTGTCATGTTCTATTGGAAGCCACAGACAGACATTTCCTCCATGTGTGTGTCCTACCCAGTGTGGATGTGATGGATGATTTCATGTGTCAACTTGACTGGGCTCAGAGATGCCCAGATAGCTGGTAAACACTATTTCTAGGTGTTTTTGTGAGAACATTCCAAGAGAGATTAGAAGTCGAATCAGTAGACTGAAGAAAGAAGATACCCTTACCTATGTAGGTGGGTATAATTCAATCCATTGAGGGCCTGAATGGGAGCAAAAAAGTTGAAGAAAGACAAATTCACTCTGTTATTGAGCTGGGACATCCATTTTCTCTTGCCCTTGGACTCAGAGCTCTTGGTTGTCAGGTTCTCAGATTCCAGGACTTAATACCAGCAGCCATGCCTGGTTCTCAGGCCTTTAGACACAGACTGAAGTACACCACCAGCTTCCTGGGTCTCCAGCTTTCAGGTGGCAGGCCATGGGACTTCTCAGCTAATTCCTATAATAAATCTCTATTCTCTCTTTATCTCTCTTCCTCTCTCTCTCTCTCTTTCTCTCTCTCTCTATATATATATATCATATATCTATCATCTATATATCCATCTATCATCTATGTATCATCTGTCTACCTATCATCTAGCTAACTAGTTATTTTATCTATCTATCTGTCTGTCTGTCTGTCTGTTTATCCTTCCAACATTTTGGTTTTGTTTCTCTGGGGAACCCTGACTAATAGAGAGTAACATAAGTTTAACCTGTGGGCTTTCTACCCTCAACAAGCTTATCACTGAGTTGAGTAGAGGAAACAATGAATGCTAAAGTAAAGCTTAAAACTCACCAGTAGAATAAAGAACACTGCCTCTCTGGTAAATTATGCCTATGGTTTGAAAGACATATTTACCACTTTTGCATATTTTGAAATGTTTAATCTAATTCCCTTTGCAATATCTAACCCCCTCACTCCAAGACAATCTACTCTGAAAACACCAGATTGACATGGCACCCAAGCATCATTTAATCTAAGTATCTTTCTTTAGAATTTTGTCTTCTAGCATGAGTTTTCAAAAACTAAAGTGAATACTGGGCATTGTATATTTCTGGTAGTTTTTGAGTGAGAGAAAGTGGTTTCTTAATGGAATTACAATAAGAGGGCTTCTACAATATTTCAGGATTTCATAGATTTGTGGTACTGAGGCCATTCTCCTGGGCTTTAGGAGCCAGGAAATAGCGCCCTTTAAGAAGTAGAGGATTTATTTTCAAGGTTTGAGCTCTATCAGTGCTGGAGGACATGACAAAATTTGAGCTTTTTTTCACTTCTAAGGAGGGCTATGAGTGTCATCAGAAGAGATACTTTTCTGGAGCCTAATCTTTGTTTGAATGTCATGGAGGACTCATATTCTTTGACTTGGGTGTCATATTGATCTAGCATTTTTAGTGTACATTATTGTGGAGTTAGGGCAATGGATATTGCAACTACATATTTTAGATAATTTCCAAGTTTTGTGGTTTTTATACAGAGCAGTGGCCCTCAAAAGGGATAACTCTACCCACTGGGGGACATTTGGCAATATCTGAAGACGTGTCTGGTTGTTACAATTGAGGAGTTGGAACTGACACCTAAGGTATGAGGCCAGGGATACTGCTCTGCTCAGTCTCCTACCATATACTCCCAGCCTGTGGCGCACTTGAGAGCTCCCACAGGAGAGAATGGTCAGAGTGTAGAGTCCAGGGGTGTCCAAGGGAGAATTTACAGTCATGGGTTTTTAGTTTCTGTTTCTGGCTGGGCCAGTAAAGCCCCTTCCTTATCTCTCTTTTCCACTTATCACCAGAGACAGAAACTAAAATCCATGGCTTCAGGCTGCTAAAAGCCTAAAACAAAACAGAACAGAAAAACAACAAAATAAAGTGGGTTGGACAAGCTTAGACTAAACCAAAATATCAACCATGCCAAGGTTACAAAACCCTGAAATAGAATTGACATACCCATTGGAGAAGGGTAATTCCTCTTTTTTCTTACTATACTTCAGTATCATTCTGGTTAGAGTTTACTTTTAGGGGCTCAGCGCTCTCTGGGGTGCTATTTCTTCCTTTGTAAAATGAGAATAATTTCATTTCTGTTAGAGACTGTAATTGCATTAATAACATGGGATACTGTGCATGGGGCAAGTTCCTGGTGTATAAGTAGTGTGTTTGAAATGGTAGCTATGTATTACAATATGTCATAACAATTGGCTATGGAGCCCTTTTATGCATCTAAATTTGTTTCTTTTCTTTTTTTTTTTTTTTTTTTTTTTTTTTTTTTGGCGACACAGTCTCACTCTATCACCCAGGCTGGAGTGCAGTGGCGCAATCTCAGCTCACTGCAACCTCTGCCTTCTAGGTTCAAGCAATTCTCCTGACTCAGCCTCCCGAGTAACTGGGACTACAGGCGCATGCCGCCACACCTGGTTAATTTTTTGTGTTTTAGTAGAGACGGGCTTTCACCATGTTGCCCAGGCTGGTCTCAAACTCCTGAGCTCAGGTAATCTGCCCGACTCGGCCTCCCAAAGTGCTACGATTTCAGGCTTAAGCCACAGCTCCCGGCCTTTTTTTTTTTTCCTATAGCATAAAAATAAGGCTCTTTAAGCATAGTTTGAGATCCAAATGAGATCAGGTACAAAATTACTGTCTTAGAATGGGTGAAAGAAGACAGAGGACATCTGTTGGCCATCGGTTATTTTTTAAAGATTGGCATCACTTATAAATAGAATCATAAATAAATTATAGCATTATATTATGTTATTAGTACTTAAAATTAAAATATATCCATTCAATATTTATTAACAGAGAAAAGATACCTATGTTGCCTACATAAACAATTCCTTGTGGTCACAGAATTGTTTTGTAAAATTCAGCCAATGTCTTTGATGTGGAGAGGAGCAGAAAGGTATTACCTGGGGCATGTTTTCCTTATTTAAAACTAGTGTTCTTTCCTGAATTTGATAAATAAAAGACCAGGAGTGGGCAAGCATCATATGGACTCAGCTGAATCAGTTTCCAAGAACCCCGCATTTCAGCCCGAGCACATGCAAAGCTGGTCACCACAGTGGCAGCTGGAAAAGAGATAGGTGTGGCCATTGGTCATGAATGAATGCATGTGTTGGGCGTACTGGCTAAAAGCAAAATTCTATTGTGTGCCTGTCTACCCAATGACCTCATGAGTTGCAATGACCAGCTGCTAGCCTAAGCTCCAAATTCAGCAAGACTATTAATCTCTTGGTGCTAGAATTCCTTTATTGGATATTAAGTTTTCTATACAACGGGGACATGAAGCAAAAATTGTAGAAGGAGGTTGTTGAGTATCTGGAGATGTTCCATCTTCTATTCTATTACTTAGTTCCCTGACTCATTTATTCTAGCTAAAAGAAGAACTGCATCATATATTGACCTGGTTCAAAGAATATTCTTAATCTTACAGGCAGCACTTTATATTGAAAGCATTTATTTAACTGGAGGTACGAGTGAAGTATATTAGGTCATTCTATTATTCTATAAGGCCAGTTGTTTCTGGGTGTTGGGTATCACACAACAAGATCAGTGATTCTCATCTGCAATAACCCATTATCTAGCATGGGTTCCTTGGTTAGAAGCAATGTTGTGCAAGATACTATGACCATTTATAAGGCTTCCAGTAAGTCCCCAGATGGTGGCTCTAGCAAAGAAAAAAAAAAGAACCACACATTATAGTAGCAAGAATGAATTCTGTCAGTGAGGCACACACATCCATTACCTAATCTAAACTCTACAAAGTCTCCCAATGAGGACCCCGAGTGCTGACTGTGAACAGTGTGGACCCAAGTGAATCTGAATGTCAGCTGCTTTATCCAGATATGACCCCAATAACTGGACAATGAGATTATAACCACACAGCGATCCTCCCCAAGAAGCCTGTCTGAAGTTTGGACTTAAATATAATATAAACCCAGTATTGTCTTATTTACTTTAAATATAAACTCTTCCGTGTGCATCCCAGGGAATCAGGTTTTCAATGGCTCCTGAGTGTTCATTTTTGCAGAAGAATATTAATATTTTGTCCTACACTCAGTTCAGTTGCTACTTTTTCTTCAATGGGAGCATCAGCAATATCAGCTGCAGGAGTGGCAGATTCTCTCCAATTTTGCTTTCAATTAATATTTTTGAAACAACAGAAATAAACTCTTGAGAATAAATAAGTCATTAGGCTCTTGAACAATTTGACCTGGGAAGTCCCAAGAAAATAATACCAAGTGCGGTAAGAAGGATTAAAAAATGGCTCCTAAGATTCCTGCCTCCTGACATACACACAGATTATCCAATCAAACACTAATGTAGATGCTGTGGTGAAGGTATTTTGCAGATGTAATTAAAGTCCCAAATCAATTAATCTAAAGATAGAGACACTATGCAGTTGAGCCATGAGCATTTGAAAGCAATTTTCTCTGGCTAATAGCAAAATAGGAAGTTGGAGATGTGAAGTATGACCAGCATTTAATGTGTTGTTATTGGCTTAGGGATTGAGGAGACTATCTTAAAAAGACTGTGGACAGACAGCCAGCAAAAACACAGGGACCCCAGTCCTACAACCACAAGGAACTGAGATTTTCCAATAAAAAAATTGAGCTTGGAGGTGCATATTTCCCCAAAACTTCTGGGTAAAAATTCAGCCTAGTCAACACTTTGATTTTAGCTTTGTGAGACCATGACCAGAGAATCCATCCACACCATGCTGGTGTTCTGACCTGCAAAACTGTGAGCTAATAAATGAGTATTTATTAATAAGTGAATGTTTTAAGCAGCTGTGTCTGTAGTCATTGATTACATAGCATAGAAAATTGATATACATTTGATGTGACTATCACTTATATCCCCCAATAAATATTTTCCAAATGATACTACCTTTGCTCAGAAATTGCTCATTAAGTAAAAAGAGCAAAAATATTACCAAAACTTCCAGGAAACTAGATCACAATTGAAAGTCCAAATTCATGGAACCTATGTCAGCGGTTGACTGTGCCAATCCTATTGGTAGGAACTGGCTGCTGTTGGTACCATGGCAAGCAAAAAATTAATCCCATAGAAATGCATTAAAATTTCTCATTTTGCCTTGAGTTCACTCTGATAATCACAGTGGATGCAGCTAAACAAACTGGAGAAAACTTCATTAGTAATTATTAAGCGTTTCGAGGGAAAGTTCCCATGATACACACAGAGTTCAGCAGACAGAGGCTGAGTTCCAACAGCAAGTACATCTATAAATCAAAAAAATCCCATGAGTTGGTGGAGTGGTAATAAAGAAACCAGTGTGAATTACTGCTTAACGGGAATATTGAATCCTTAAATGAACTGCACACTCTCATTTTAATGGGGGCAAGCAGTAGCCAGGCATAATAAAAATAATTGAAATGAGGGTTTGGATCCATTAATCTACTGAAAAGTGTCTTAAAAAATTAGTGAGGCAGAAAAACAGCCAAATGTGGATGACAACTTCCCGATAGATGTCATTTGTGCCTAATGGTCTCCATGGCCGTCAATAAAAGAGTGAATGGTATGGATAATGGCAAGTAAAAGTTTAAGACAAATTCTTCCCTAGAAGAAGGATGTAATGGAGACTAGGAAGAGTGATGGATGGAGTAAATGTGCCTCCCCATTGCTTCATTGGAAAATAAGAATGAATCATTATATCCACATACTACATATAATTAATGAAGTCACAGGAGTCCAATTGAATGAACAAAACTCTTTTTTCATCTCTCTCTCTCCCCTGTCATGTATGTTATATGAGATAATGTCTGAATCAGTCTTGCAAGAAACACTGGGGATTGCCACAGGTTTTATCTGGGTCCTTTCCCTGGAGTCTGAAAGTATGTGCCTTCCCACCATATATTAGTCTATTCTCACATTGTTATAAAGAAATACCTAGGACTGGGCAATTTATTTTTAAAAAGAAGGTTTAATTGGCTCATGGTTCCACAGACCATACAGAAAGCATAGCTGAGAGGGCGTCAGGAATCTTACAATTGCGGTGGAAGATGAAGGGGACACAGGCACATCTTTCATGGCTAGAAAAGAAAGAAGAAGAAAAGGGGAAGGTGTCACACAATTTTAAACAATGAGATCTTTTGAGAACTCACACACTGTCATGAGAACAGCAAGGGGAAATTCCACCCCCATGCTCTAATCACCTCCCACCAGGCCCCTCCTCCAACACTGGGGATTACAATTAGACATGAGATTTGGGGTGGGATACAGAGCCAAATCATTTCACGCCATATTTAAAGGTTTCACAGGCTGCCAGAAAAAGGCACAAGGAGTTTGCCTTCATACAAGATGCAGGTAGGTAATGTGAAATGCAGGATGGTATGTATTTTTTTATGTTTTAGCAGATGAATTTGACAACTAGAAGCCCATGTTGGACCACTGGTGAGGGTAACTGTTTTGGAATGACCCACAGACCAGTCTTTGATCTCCAGTTTACATCAGCATAATACATAATATGCTGTTGATTTTGGGAAGGTGATAGCATTTACATGACAAAACGATTATTTAACGTGGTTATGCCATCAACACTGTGCAGAAATGTGTGTAAATATTGAGTTATGCTTTTTGTGATTATTCCTTAAAAGCATACATTTAGGCCACCCTATGACAGTTCTCACTAAATAAATTGTCACCAGAACTATTTTGCAAAATATAATTCAGGCTCCAATCCCCTCATATAGCTTCAAGAAAATAAATCTCAATATATGTGAAAAGACTTGCCCAGTGGAGAGACAACAGGTCTCAAGTTGCTCAGAGCCTACCCAAAATAGGTTGGACTTACCAAGAGGAGAATGAAATAGAGAATTGCAAGTATGGGAACAACCACATTGCTCTTTATTTTGTGAATTAGATGCAAATTTTGATTTCTCAGAACACACTAGTGTGTTTGAGAATTTCTGAAAGGAGAAAACATTCTTTCTCTCATTCCCTCGATTATTCTTGAGTTTCTTCTTCACAGAAGGCCTAGAAATGGTTAGGCCACTTCCTGAAGGCTGGTGGCATTATTTAATCCAATTATAAAATCCTCACTGAGGGTTTTATTGCCAAGAACTTTACACAGATGAGTTATATAAATTCTTGTACAGAAGACAGAACACAAACCCACTATATCATCACATACTATAACATATTTATATCATCATGCGATATACTTTACAATATACCATGCATAATAACATAAAATATTCAAAGTTAGGGTTTCAGTCTGTTTCAGCTGCTATAACAAAATACCTTATTTATAAATAAAAGAAATTTATTTCTCAGAGTTCTAGGGTTGTGAAGGTTGTGTAGGTTGTGAAGTCCAAGCTCCAGGTGCAAGCAGATTCAGTTTCTGATGCGATTTCACTCTCTGCTTCCAAGATGGTGCCTTCTTTCTGCATTCTCACATCCAAGAAGAGAGGAACACTGTGTTCTTAAATGGAAGAAGGGCAAAAAGGGCCAAGATGACTCCCTCAAGCCCTTTTATAAGAGCACTAATCCCATTTGTGAGGGCAGAGCCTTCATGACCTCATCACCTCTACAGGCCCTGCCTCTTAATACTATTGCATTGTGGATTAACTTTCGACATGAATTTTGGAAGACACAAAAACACTCAAACCATACTAATTGAAAAAGTTGAGTCCCTGCTTTCAAGAAACTCACCATCTAAAAGGAGTGGATGAAACACGGGTCAAAGATTAGTCTAAAATGGATAAAGGATAAAATATATCTATGCAATGGTTATAATAGGAGCCCCTAAACTTCTCCATCAACTTAAAATCTTTCATGGAAGGAGTCATTTTATTGGTGAAAATGTGGGAAAAGGCATTCAGAGTAGTGAAGAACCAGGCAGTTAAGTGTGACCTGTTTGAGAAAACACAAGAATTTTAATTCTTGAAGCAAAATGAGTCATGAAAATATGTCCACAGGTGAAGTCAGAAAGTAAGCTGAAAGTTTTGGTGGCAAGACTAAGAAATTTGACGCTCACTCTAACATTCATAGAAGCCATTGTAGGCTTCCTAAGAAAGAGTGACCAGCTTATCTTGGTTTTCCTGGGGCTCTTTAGTTTTAGAACTGAATGCCCACATCCTCAGAACACCTTAGACCTGAGCAACTGAAGATGACTGGTCACTGTAGGCATAAGAAGATGGTGTCTCTCAATCTCAGAAATGCGTTATAATGACAACCAAGAATAGAATTGGGTTCCAGCTCTGGGATTCTATAGTAGCAATTATGGCAATGTAATGTTTGTATGGACATAAATCAATGGCTGTGGAAACATAAAGAATGGAATCAACTCAAGAGAGATCAAGACAAACCCAACAGAAATTGGAGGCTAAATCAGATGTTTTGAGAGGTGAGAGGGAAAGAGAAATGTCAATTATGGCTCACTGTTTCTGGTTTGAGGGAAACAGTGGACATTTACTGAGTGTGCCCAGATAGAGATTACAGGGATATAGATCTGCTTTTCCCCAGACAGCAGCATTAAATGCAGTGGATGTGTACATACAAATCCATTATTAGGGGTTCGAACCCAGAGATAGGAGTAAGGAGCAAGAAGAGTAAGACAAAACATGTGGGAGAATCTATGCACTGATGGCCCTGGGTGCTGCTAGTTGGCCAACCTGCAGGAAAACGCCACTAAGATGCATACAACATGCCTTGGAATTGCACCTTTGGAACGGAAGAAAGCAGCAATAAATTATTCACTTGCTTCTTCTATTAGTTAAAGATTGGTGCCACAAGGCATTAACTTCTTGGACTTCCTGGTAGCACATATCTAGACAAGGGCAGTACACAAGGCTCTCCGTGCAGTCTCTTGGCATAATGTCCTTCAACATCAGAACTGCAATAAACTTCCAAGCACAGATGACTCCTATTGACCAAAAAAGACAACAAATAGCAATTACAATGCGTGTCAATACATCCTTATCATTCACTGGACCAAGACTTTATCTCACCAATGACCAGGTGATTGGTTGCACTAATTGATGAGCTGTTTTAACAGTGCTGGGTTCTCTGCTGATTATAAATGTTCAATTAATCAACATTGATGCTGTGTGTGGGAATCTGCTCCACAAGCATTTTCTCTGGTCCATGGACCAGGGCTCTGCAACTTTTTAAGTATAGTTAAAACTCCCAATGCATCCTCCAAGGTAGGACAGGTGTAGAAGGACAAAAAGTAGGTGAAGCTTTTACAGGTTTTATTGTGTTATTGTGAACAGCAGGAGAAGCAAGTCATAACTTAGGGATCCTTTCTTAAACTTTGGAGAACACTTGAGACATACACTTTTACATTCAGGGTTAAATAGCACCCTTAAATGCAAATGACGTTCAAGTGTAAATTACCTGCATCCATCATGGCCATTGTAGCAATCAGTCAAAACCAACTCTAGCTAATTTAAGCTGAAAGGCATGGATGAAATAATAAAGAACAGGGTTCCTGAACGTCAACACTATTGATATTTGGGCTACACAATTCTTTATTGTAAGAGGCTGTTCTATGCATTATAGGACATTTATCCAGAAGAGGACAATAGAACACTTTTTCTTCCTACCCGACCAGTTGTGACAAACAAAAAAGTCTTCAGATATTGTCAAATGTCCCCTCAGGAGAAAAATCACCCCAGTTGAGAAATACCGATAGCTCAAAAAATTGCCATGAAAAGGGAGAGGAATTAAGATCAACAAATAGCTGAGCCACAGCCAAAATCAGTGCTAGAGCCATCTGGTTGGTACAGTAATCCAGGTACCAGGATTTATTGCCAAATACCATGGACTACAGCATTGCTAATACCCCACAGTCTTATTATTGCCCTACTCTCACACTACCTCTGCATCTGTGGCTACCTCTGGTCACCTCCACCATGGTCTGTCAAGATTCTCCATCATCCCTTCATATTAGAGTCATCCTGTGAGGGAACAAAATGTTGGTGAATAGATGGTAACAGAATGCTTAAGGGGTAGAGAGTTGGGGCATTTAATTTAATGTCTATAGGGTGTGTGAGAGTGTGTGTGTGTGTGTGTGTGTGTGTGTGTGTGTGTGTGTTTGACATACGAAGATGGGTGAAGAAGCAAGAATGACTAGGGTGAAGATAACACTCACCAGTATGACTTCAGATGTAGGAATAACGTCTTCTGGTAGATACTCATTGGGTGACAAAGAAGGTGGACAGTTTATGCTGTCCTCCATTAAGGAAGCTTGAGCAAACTAATTCAAATAATGCATATCTCTCCTGAGAATGGTGAGGCCTTGCTCAACAACCCTAGACACCTGTATTGTGACTCTCCCAACATGGCTTGCCAAGGACTCTATGTACCATCCTTTCCCTCCACTGACACCTCCAACACCATAGGGTTTGCCAGATTATTTTACCTACGTGACAGGGTTATTTTCATCAAAGACTGGACAATTTCAGAGCTCTTTTCTACTGTGAGTCCCCATAAACTGGCCACCTTCTTTGTCACCCAGTACATGGGTCAAGGCATAAGATTACAACCTCTGTTTCTGTGTTATTTCCAAAACCCAAAAAAGGGCTACCGGGTTTTGTGCTGCCTTTTACATGGTGAGATATACAAGAAGCAACTATTTGTTTTCTACCTCAGATAGGACACCTGAAAGCCTAAAATTTTTTTCCTGATATAGGAGACCCCTGAATCCTTACACACTCCACAAAACATTTTACACCAAGGTTCCCAGTATGGTGACCACCTCTTGCACATCCTGCCTGATCAATCTGCTGTCATCAATATAATAATTTGATGTGATCTTCCAATGATCCGATTTCTTTTGTCTTTTTAATGGCAGGGTGTCTTCCCAGGGACCCCAGTATCTCTTCAACTATTAGGTTCTAGTCTTGAAAACAAGCTCAGACCTGGGAACAAAAAAGGGCTTGTGGCTATTGTGGAAAAGAGTGCCTGTTCTCAGCCTCTTTGTTTTCTATCATGATTCCTTTCACTGGCATATGCTGAAAAATTCTTCTGTTAGATATCCACACAATTTGCTCCACACACATGTCCATGCCTGTCTGATCTTCATGCATGTGGCCCTCTGATCTTCATGATGTGTGCCCTGAAGATCAAAAGGAGAAGCAGAGACACAGCCTGAGGGGGCACCTGTTGCCTTGTGGGGAAGCAACCTCTACCTTGTCTTCTATCACAGAGGGACATCCAGCTCTTACTGGTGAAATTGGCTCCTTATGCAGGCTCAGAAATTTCAGGCAAGTCTGGGCAGGCAATTCACCCAAATGTCTCTATCCCATGGGCCAGAATCCCAAGTCTTCATAACCAGTGCCCTGACCTTGGTCTTAGAGATGGGCTTTGATTGGGGCATTTAATTTTCTTTGAAGTTCAGCCAGTTGTACTGTTGGATCCTTGAGGTGGTCTTAGCTTTTTTGCCTTCTCCTAGTGAAAAAGAGAACTTATTTGCTTGCCACCAAAGAGCATCTCTTGTTTCATAGCACCCCTCAACTGACACTATGATGTTGCTAGTCATTGAGATATATCTGACCGACTCACTACAGGCAGATAAAAATGTCCACAGGGTCTCTATGATTTCAGGTCTTATCATCTCCTTTGTTATCAGCAAGACAAATGTTATTACTGCTTCTCCTCCTCTCAGGCCTGGTCCAAGAGAACACCACCTCTGAACCGCTGAGTGATGTTGCCATCCTCTCACCAGCTCTTTGTCATTACCTTCATGCATCCTTGCCCTGATGCATTTTGTTTTCCTTGCTATGGAACAGAAATATCAGGTAGCTCTTCCATGACAGCACATCAGCTTCTCTGAGGTTTTGTTCCCATCTACTACCATCTGCCACAGCAGTGCTGATATTTCTGCTCCACTCAGTGTAAACCATAGTGTTTTCCATGCATCTAATGACCATCTTAGTGGAAGGTCACACCATCTACTTGGGCACTGTCTAAGGTGTTAAATTCTGGGTCTCAGAACACTCTGAGATCAACAAACTCTTCCAAATTTGGTTTGAAATTTGGTTTCCTAATTTACGAAGGGTGTGATTGTCAATAATTTATATCCACTCTGGGTTTAGCCAGGAGCCTTGCAATAAGAAATCAGTAGGACAACTATTTGGTAAACAAAATCCTGCTCTCAGGAAATTGCCCTCATCCCAAGACATGAACAGACATTTCTCAAATGAAGACAAGCAAGCGGCCAACAAATATATGAAAAATGCTCGACATCACTAATCATCATCATTTGCAGAAATGCAAATTAAAACCACAATGAGATACCATCGCACACCAGTCAGTATGGCTATTATTAAAAATTCAAAAAACAACCAATGTTAGCATGGACACAGAGAAAAGGGAACATTTATACACTGTTGGTGGGAATATAAATTCGTACTACCTCTGTGGAAAACAGTATGGAGATTTCTCAAATAGCTAAAATAGTAATCCCACTACTGGGTATTTCTCTAAAGGAAGGGAAATCAGTATATCAAACAGATACCTGCACCCCATGTTCAACGCAGCACTATTCACAATGGCAACGATATGGAATCAACCTAAGTGTCCATCAACAGTGGATGGGGTATAGAAAATGTGGTACATCTACAACATGGAATACTATGCAGCCACAAAGAAGAACAAAATCATGTCCTTTGTAGCAACATGGATGCAGCTGGAAGCCGTTATCATAAGTGAACTAACTCAGAAACAGAAAGTCAAATATTGCATGTTCTCACTCATAAGTAAGAGCTAAACATTGGGTACTCATGGACATAAAGATGAAAACAATAGACACTGGGGACTCCAAAAAGGGGTAGGGTTAGAGGGGGGCAAGAGTTGAAAAATTACCTATTAGGTACAATGTTCACTATTTGGGTAATGGATACACTAGAAGCCCAAATCCCCCATCATTAGGCAATATACCCATGTAACAAACCTACACATGTAACCCCTGAATCTAAAATAAAATTAAATTTAAAAAAAGAGATTGTCCTAATCCCTTCCTAAGGGTATGCTATAGGTCCATGTTCTGGAGGCTGTCTGATTTTATATAGATATCCATTTAAGGCTGATTTTATATAGATATCTATTTAAATAATATAGACATTAAATATATATTATATATTAAATATATATTAAATATACATACCATGTATTTTAATATATAATATATATTTAAAATATATAATATATTAAATATATATACTATGTATTTTAATATATACTATATATTTAAAGTATATAATGTATATTATATATAAAATATGTAATATAACAAAAATATACAATGTATATTATATAAAATATATAATATATTAAAATATGTATAATGCATATTGTATATAAAATTTTATTTCATATGTAATATACATTATACATTATATATTATATATTATACATGTATATTATAATATATGTTATACTTTTTTTTTTTTTTGAGACAGAGTCTCGCTCTGTCGCCCAGGCTGGAGTGCAATAGCGCAGTCTCAGCTCACTGCAACCTCTGCCTCCTGGGTTCAAGTGATTCTCCTGCCTCAGCCTCCTAAGTAGCTAGGACTACAGGCACGTGCCACCACACCCAGCTAATTTTTGTATTTTTCGTAGAGATGGTGTTTCACCATGTTGGCCAGGCTGGTCTCGAGCTCCTGACCTCGTGATTCGCATGCCTTGGCCTCCCAAAGTGCTGGGATTACAGGCATGAGCCACCATGCCCAGCCAATATTTTTATACTTTGTATACTTATTTTTATATATCAGTATATAATAGAATATAATATGTGTTATATATTATATAACATTCTAATAGAATGTATTATATAATATTCTATATTATATAATATAGAATATATATATTATTATATAATATAGAATATATATAATATAGAATATTCTATATTATTATATGATATAGAATATTCTATATTATTATATGATATAGAATATTCTATATTATTATATGATATAGAATATTCTATATTATTATATGATATAGAATATTCTATATATAATATAATATATAGAATATTCTATATATTATATAATGTAATATATAGAATATTCTATATATTATATAATACAATATATAGAATATATTATATAGAATACAGAATATAATATATAGAACATATTATATATTATATAGAATATAGAATATAATGTATAGAATATATTATATATTATATAGAATATAGAATATAATATATAGAATATATTATATATTATATAGAATATAGAATATATTATATATTATATAGAATATATTATATATTATATAGAATATAGAATATAATATATAGAATATATTATATAGAATATAGAATATAATATATAGAATATATTATATAGAATATAGAATATAATATATAGAATATATTATATATTAGAATATAGAATATATTATATATTATATAGAATATAGAATATATTATATATTATATAGAATATAGAATATATTATATAGAATATAGAATATATTATATATTATATAGAATATATTATATAGAATATAGAATATATTATATATTATATAGAATATAGGATATAATATAGAATATATAATATATAGAATATATATTATATAATAATATAATATAGAATATATATTATATTATAATATAATATAGAATATATATTATAATATAATATAGAATATATATTATATTATAATATAATATAGAATATATATTATAATATAATATAGAATATATATTATATTATAATATAATATAGAATATATATTATATTATAATATAATATAGAATATATATTATAATATAATATAGAATATATATTATATTATAATATAATATAGAATATATATTATAATATAATATAGAATATATATTATATAATAATATAATATAGAATATATATTATATAATAATATAATATAGAATATATATTATATAATAATATAATATAGAATATATATTATATAATAATATAATATAGAATATATATTATATAATAATATAATAGAGAATATATATTATATAATAATATAATAGAGAATATATATTATATAATAATATAATAGAGAATATATGTTACAGAATAATATAATCTAGAATATATTATATTATATAATAATATAATATAGAATATATTATATTATATAATAATATAATATAGAATATATTATATAATAATATAGAATATATTATATAATAATATAGAATATATTATATAATAATATAGAATATATTATATAATAATATAGAATATATTATATAATAATATAGAATATATTATATAATAATATAATATAGAATATATTATATAATAATATAGAATATATTATATAATAATATAATATAGAATATATTATATAATAATATAATATAGAATATATTATATAATAATATAATATAGAATATATTATATAATAATATAGAATATATTATATAATAATATAATATAGAATATATTATATAATAATATAGAATATATTATATAATAATATAGAATATATTATATAATAATATAATATAGAATATATTATATAATAATATAATATAGAATATATTATATAATAATATAATATAGAATATATTATATAATAATATAATATAGAATATATTATATTATATAATAATATAATATAGAATATATTATATTATATAATAATATAATATAGAATATATTATATTATATAATAATATAATATAGAATATATTATATTATATAATAATATAATATAGAATATATTATATTATATAATAATATAATATAGAATATATTATATTATATAATAATATAATATAGAATATATTATATTATATGATAATATAATAATATAGAATATTCTAATATATTCTATCTAATAATGTATTATACATAATATAATATATTCTAATATATTCTATTATATGTATTTTCACATAAATTCTATTCTAATAGAATTCTAATAGGGAATGTATATACTATTCTCTATGTATTATAATATATTCTATTCTATAGATTATCATATATATCCTATTCTATATATTCTATATGTATTCCATACATTGTATAATTATGTAAATATGTAATCAGAGTTAGTAAAATAATTATTGATTAATTATTATAATAAACAATATAAATATTATTTATCTTTATATAATAATAATATAGATATTGCAAATATTTTCCTCACTGCATTGGTAGGAGATATGTAGCATGGTACAGAAAGCAAGAAAGGTCATCCTGCCTAGGCACATACCTAATTTCTTCCCTCCACTGTGGCCTAGCAGATTACAATTGCTATTTGAGATGTTTCCTTCACCACCTGGGGTAGGTGAGAGATTATTTTTATCCCATCCAAAGGTCTGCTTACAAATACCATGTAGCTCTGTGCTGTTTATGGGCGCATTCAGTAAAGCATCATATTTTCAAGTACTGTAGAACATTACTGCTGGAATAGGTGTCTAAGCTCTTTTGCCTTTTTTTAATCTAGCAGAAACTTTCTGCTTGCTTTCTATTCATGATACAATCACTGTTACTTCCACTCTTTTTAGTTCTGATTAAATGATTTGTGTGTGCAATGCTGGCATATAACTCTCTAAGTGACACGTTGTCTACATATCTCATGTTATTGAAAAGGCAGAAACCAGAAAGGAAGTATCCTATAGAGGAGAACTCTATTTTGGCCGGGTGTCTGATATGATGGGGCACAACCAAATACAGGCAAAGGACAGAAAAAAGCAGGAGTGGTCCAAGCAATCTATCACAAGCCTATGACTTTTACCTTGGAGGAAATGGGGCTGTTAGCCTCACACCTTTATCAGGCAATAACACATAAAATCAGAACAAAGATGAACTATGGTGGGGAGGCTTGACAGTCGTGAAATTTAATGACTAAGAAAAGAATGAGGAGAAAGAGGGAACACAGTCATCCAAAAAATTATTAAAACAATGAGGTCTGAAAGCATTCGGGTTTGCTGAAACAGCCCTTAGGTGCCACAAAGACTGTTGCTATAATGACACCTACTTCAGTCTTCTCACTTTGTAATCACAGCCACAAAGAGAAACAGGTTAAGCAATGTTGTATTATTTTTAAGAATGTAGAGAAGGTATCGTTTTCTTTTTAACTTTTAAGTTCCGGGGTACCTGCACAGGTTCGTTATTCCGGTAGACTCGTGTCATGGGGGTTTGTTACATGGATTATTTTATCACCCAAGTATTAAGCCTAGTACACATTAATTATTTTTCCTGACCCTCTCCCTCCCCCAACCTTCCACTCTCAAGTAGACCCCAGTGTGTATTGTTCTCCTCTATGTGTCCATGTGTTCTCATCTTTTAGCTCATTTTTTATGGCTGCATAATATTCCATGATGTATATGTACCACATTTTCATTATCCACTCCACCATTAATGGGAATTTGGCTTGATTCCATGTCTTTGCCACTGTGAATAGTACTGCAATGAACATTCACGTGCATGTGCCTTTATGATAGAATGATTTAAATTATCACATGTATCCCCAAAATACATACATTGATTGTGTATCTTTTTTTAATTGTGTAAATTCAACCAGGTATAAATAACACTTATATTTATCTCATTTTTTAAAAAAGAATGTAGAGAAGGAAAGACACGTTGGGAGCTTGGAAGAGCTCCCAATGTCCTAATCTGGGAAAACTGGAACAAGAAAATAAATACTAATAGTTAGAAATTATACTCATAAAATTATTCCTTAGTCCATGGTGATGCGAGTAATTAATTGAATGGATAAATGAATGAGAAAGAAGATAAACCTCTCCATGAAAGTAGACTTCCAATGGATAAATGCAGAAGGAATGGTGGAACCAGAAAATCATAATCATTATTTCAGGCAAGAGTTGCCCTCAGAGGCTAAAAGAAACAGTTAGCTATATGAGGAGAAACAAGATACTTGCATAGTCTCAAAGTAACCGCAGGGTACCTACTAGTTGCAAATGAGAAAATAGTGGCTTCAATGAAGCAGCTGAGAAGGTACCACATTTAACCAGATAATCAAAGTTATCACCAATAATGAAACATATCTACATCATTGGTATGATGCTCTGAGAAGACCTCAACATCGCCTCTGTGGTATTCCAGCCAAATATGTGTAACCTCAACCTAATCTGATGGGTAAACATCAGACGAAGATGAATTGGATGCTATTCTGCAAAATAACTGGTCTGTATCCTTCCAAAAGTTCAAGGTCATCAGAGACAAAAACTAAGGACATGGCCCAGATGGAAGTCCACTGTGGAGGCATGATAGTGAATGCAAGGTGGGTCCTGGAAGGACATTAAAACAGAAAAACCACATTAGCGGGACAATCAGAGAAATCTGAACGTCTATGGATTAGTTGACAGTGTGACAACAGTGTTAATTTCCTGGTTTCAATAGTTTTCCTGTAGTTATTTGAAACACCAATGTTAGGGGACGCTGTGCAAAGGGAATACTAGAATTCTCTGTGCCATTTTTGTAACTTTTTTGTAAATCTAAAGTGATTTCAAAATGAATAAAAATTAAAAATAATAAAAAAGAACACAAATACATATGACAAAAAATAATAAGAGAAGGAATTAATGCATTTTAAAAATACTCATGTCATTTCCAATCAACAGTAAATATTCAAGAAACGTTGCTAATATTTAAGAAAAGAAAAAAATGTGAACTAAAGATGTTCTACTAATGTTACTATCTATTTATGCCATTTTCTAGAACATAGCTATAATTTAACAGATCCTAACTTCATGTATTTCTTGCTTTGCCAAAAATATATCTACTTTTTTATCAGTCAAAATTCTAGCCATCATCCTACAGAATGGGAGAAGATATTCACAAACTATGCCTCCAACAAAGACCTAATATCCAGAATCTATAGGGAATTTAAATCAAGAAGCACAAAACAAATAACTCCATTTAAAAATGTGCAAAGGACATGAACAGACACTTCTCCAAAGAAGACATACAAGTGGACAACAAACATATGAAAAAAATGCTTGGCATCACTAAACATTAGAGAAACGCAAATCAAAAACCACAATGAGATGCCATCTCACACCAGTCAGGATGGCTATTATCAAAAAGTCAAAAAGCAACAGATGCTGGTGAGGCGATGGTGAAAAGAGAATGCTTATACAATGTTAGTGTGAATGCAAATTAGTTCAGCCACTGTGGAAAGCAGTTTGGGGATTTCTCAAAGATGTTAAAACAGAGCTACCATTCAACTAGGCAATTCCATTACTGGGTATCTACCCAAAAGAAAATAAATCATTCTACCAAAAACACACATGCATTTGTATGTTCATTGCTGCAATATTCACAATAACAAAGACATGGAACCAGCCCAGGTACCCATCAATGGTAGATTGGATTAAAAAATATGGTACATATACGTCATGGAATACTACACAGCCATAAAAAAAGAATGAAATCATGCCCTTTGCAGCAACATAGATACAGCTGGAAGCTATTTTCCTAAGCGAATTAATGCAGGAACAGAAAACCAAATACTGCATGTTCTTTCTTATAAGTGGGAAGTAAGCATTGAGCACACATTAACATAACTATGGAAAAAATAGATACTGTGGAATACTAGAGTGTGACTGGGGGGCGGAAATGAAAAAACAACTTATCAGGTACCATGCTCACTACCAGGGTATCGGGATCCTTACTCCAAACCTCAGCATCACTCAATATTCCCATGTAACAAATCTGCATATGTACTCCCTGCATCTAAAAAGTTGAAATTTAAAACAAAAACAAAAAAGAATACAATTTCTTAGAGAAGAGAAAGCGTTATTAACAAAAAAAAGTAAAATCCTGGTGATACTTCTACACTCATTTCAAGCTTTGTGTACTTCGTAAAATCTTTCAGATTTTCCCCAACTAATAGGGCATTTGTGTCTTTCATCACTCTGTGTTGCACTCTGAGGACAAAACTATCATATTCCATTTCAGTATCTTGGGATAGAAGGAAGATGTGAAGTCTTCCAAATGCTAGTCCATTTGTGGGCTTACAGGTGGAATCCCTCATGCCATATCTCCTATCCTAGGAATGTTTTGGAGACCCTGGGTGGGGTTTTTACAGTGGATGGAGAGTAGGACCTTGGACAGCTCCATGGTTTCAATCCTGGTTGATACCTACGCTACTCATGAACTATCAGCAAATCCCTTACTCAGAGAGCCATCTTCTTTCTGAAGGGCATATCAACAGCAATGCCCTCAGTTGCTACCACCATCTCTCTCACAAATACAGAACAGGGCTTTGGCTCACAACTTTCTTTCAGCAGAAACAGTAGCTAAGGTGACATTAGGCTATGACAAAAGGAGTGAACCAGGTATTCTAGGTGCTTCATGAGTCTATTTTAGGAAATGTTTTCTCCGGCAGGTGCAGCGTCTCATGCCTATAATCTCAGCATCTTGAGGCCGAGGTGGGAGGATCGCTTGAGGCCAGGAGTTCGAGACCAGCCTGGGCGCCATCTCTACAGGGAAAAATAAAATAGCCAGGCATAATGGTGCACACCTGTAATCCCAGCTACTCAAGAGGCTGAGATGGGAGGATCACTTCAGCCTAGGAGGCTGGGGCTGCAGTAAGCCATGATTGCACCACTGCACTCCAACCTGGGTGACAGAGTAAGACCCTGACTCCAAATTCAACAACAAAAAAGGAAATGTTTTCCCTTTGTGTTTATTTTCTACACATTGATGATATGCTCAAGGGAACCCACAGAAAGAAAATCCCTCTTAGCCAACTGGCAAGTGATAATGGGTGTTTTTCTTTCAAAGAGCTAGAGAACAGAGATCACTATCCCTACAAGGACAACCATCAATCCCCAAGCAGCAGTTCGTCTTTATATTCTTTTATATTCTTACTTCTTCCACTGACCTTTTATTGTTTCCACTTGGCCTGGGATCATTGACATGATTGGGAATTGAAATAAGTAAGGGAAAAAGAGAAGAAATGCTTCCTCAGCTAGATGATGAAAAGTCAGGGGTGAGGGTGCAGGGAAAAACAACCACATTTGCCAAATGGTAATGCATCCTTCTGCTGGGAGGTAGCTTCCAGATTTTCATGTCAGATGTACACCATGTTCAAGGGATTACACTCAATATCCCAAAATGCATCCAGCAAGGTCTCTGATGTGTTTACATTGTTGACACTGCTTCCCTATGGGGGCAGGATGTGAATGGGTTTTACGGCATCCCACGCAATTCCTCACTCCTTCCCCAGTGATCAGTCTAATTGTGATAAACACCCTCACACTCTGTGCAGAACGTGTGAATCAAGCACTCTATGTTTTATAGCACTGTGATTCCGTGTTGCTGCATGAAGATATAAACACTTCCACTCTGGGAGCAGGGGTAGCCAAATTTTGCTGTACTGCATTTTTCTGTTTTAATCCTATTCCGAAAGTAGTACCATATCCCCTGGCAATGCTCTCCTCTAAGTTGGCAGCCTACCTGCTTGCCATTTGAAATTAAGATCTAAATGGTGCTGGAGGTTTTTACACTGTTGGTGGGAGCATAAATTAGTTCAACCATTGTGGAAGACAGTGTGGTGATTCCTCAAGGATCTAGAACCGGAAATACCATTTGACCTAGCAATCCCATTACTGGGTATAGACTCAAAGGATTATAAATCACTTTACTGTAAAGACGCATGCACACATAAGTTTATTGCACCACTATTTACAATAGCAAAGACTTGGAACCAACCCAAATGCCCATCAATGATGATAGACTGGATAAAGAAAATGTGGCACATACACAACATGGAATACCATGCAGCCATAAAAAAGAATGAGTTTATGTCTTTTGCAGGGACATGGATGAAGCTGGAAGCCATCATTCTCAGCAAACGAACACAGGAACAGAAAACCAAACGCCCCATGTTCTCACTCATAAGTGGGAGTTGAACAATGAGAACACATGGACACAGGGAGGGGAACATCACACACTGAGGCCTGTCAGGGGGTGGGGGGCAAGGGGAGGGAGAGCATTAGGACAAATAGCTAATGTATGCAGGGCTTAAAACCTAGATGACGGGTTCCTAGGTGCAGCAAACCACCATGGCACATGCATACCTGTGCAACAAACCTGCATGTTCTGCACATGTACCCCAGAACTTTAAGTAAAATATATCTATATTTCTCTAAAAAAGATTAAATCACAAATTGACACAGAGGTGATTTGTAAACATTTTAAAGATTTCTATGAATATTCATTTGTACTATTCTTACACTAGTGAGGCTGGTTTCCATTGTAGTGGATCAGAGAAAAAACAGACCAGAATTTATTTTCTATTTATTGCCTTTCCATCTTATTCCTTCTGACATCTGTCGCTCATTGCCTCAAGTTCAACCATACCTGATGTATAGTCAGCCCTTTGTATCCATGGGTTCCATATCTGTGAATTCGACCAACCAGGGATCAAAAATCTTCAGAAAAAAAAAAGGGTCTGTAATGAATATGTATAGACTTTTCTTTTTCTTGTCATTAATCCCTAAACAACACAGTAGCTTTTACATTGCGTTTGGTCTTTTAAGGAATCTAGAGATGACTTAAAGTATACAAGACAATGTGCATAGGTTATATGCAAATATCATGTCATTTTATAAAAGAAACTTGAGCATCCTCAAATTTTGATATTCATGAGGAGTCCTAGAACCAATTTTCCATGGAGACTGAGAAATGATGGTATAAAAGAAATAGGACATAAATAAGTAAATTATGTTTCAACTGCATGACAAGATTGGAACATAGCCCATAGATATGTGATATGGATAATGCTTTTTATTGCTATTGATAGTCATGATTGGCCCCATAATACCAAAATATTTAGTTTCATATAAGCTAGTTTTATTTTCTCAGATGTATTTTAAGTTCTTTGGTTTCTTAAACCTGTCTTCCACAATTCCCTGTAAAGTATCGGTACACAAAAATACTGAATAGGCTGGGCACAATGGCTCACGCCTGTAGTCCCAGCACTTTGGGGGCCAAGGTGGGAGGATTGCTTGAGGCTAGGAGTTCAAGACTAGCCTGGTCAATATAGCAATACCTATTCTCTACTGAAAATTTCAAAATTAGCCGGCCGTGGTGTTGCATGCCTGTGGTCTCAGCTACTTGGGAGGCTGAAGCAGGAGGATCACTTAAGCTCAGGAGTTTGAAGATGCAGTAAGCTCTGACCATGTCATTGCACTCCAGCCTGGGTGACAGAGCAAGACCCTGTCTCAAAAAAAAAAAAAATACTGAACTAATACTTCCTGGACTCTACTGAACATAGACTACTTAACAATATATAAGATAGACCAAGTAAAACTGGGAAATAAGTTACTTGGATTCAAATTAAAGAGGAGTTAATTCTGCTATTTGTTTTGCCTGTAAAACCACAATGTCGGGGTGTGTGGCTATTTTGAAAAGTAAATAATAGAATGCAATTAAAAATACAGGAGGATGTTGGGGGTTGGTTATCAAAAGGCAAAATGAGAGACCCTTGTAATGCGACTGCCCTGTTTCTTGATTGTAATGGTAATTATATGAGCCTCTAAGTAGTAAAACTGTAAAGACATAAAGACACACAAACACATAAAAATTATTATCAGTGAAACTGATGGAATAAGGTCAGTGGATTGTATCAGTGTCCCTTTTCTGGTTGTGACAGTGTACAACAGTTATGCAAAATGTTACCATTTGGGAATTAGGATGGAAGGTACAGGCAACCTCTATGTATCATTTCCTACCACTGAATGTGAATGTACCATTCCCTCAAAATTTTTAAAAATAAATTTCATTTTTTTAAAAAAACAATGCTTAAAACAAAGTAAAATGAAACAAATGAACCTAATTTTGCATACAGGTCTTAACCACACAGAGGATAAATAATCCATGGGTCTTTAACACATAATCATTCGACTCTACATCCCTAATGAGGTAGACTTAATGACCAAAACAACTTGAACAGTCAAAACAGGAAAGTAAAGCAGTCCTCAGGAGGGAACCTTAATGTCATTATCTCCATTGTGCCTAATTGATACTCTAGTTGTGATCTATAAGTTATTTTATAATATTACCTATTTATGTGGATTTTTTTAGAGGCAGGGTCTCACACTGTCACCCAGGCTAAAGTGCAGTGCAGCAGGCATAGCTCACTGCACCCTTGTACTCTTGGGCTCAAGTGATCCTCCCACCTCAGCCTCCCAAATAGCTGGGACTAAAGACACATGCCACCACACCATGTGGCAGCTAAGGCTTTTAATTTTTTGTAGGGATGGGGTCTGGTTATGTTGCCCAGTCTGGTCTTGAACTGCTGGTCTGAAGCTATCCTCCTGCCTCGACCTCCCAAAGCATTGGGATTACAGGTGTAAGCCACAACACTTGGCCCTCAGGTGGACGTTACACCTTTACACAGGAGGCATTGTTCATTCTCCCTGATGCAATTTAATTATCCCCAAAATCTAAAGCTTAGAATCCCTGAAACATCACTGTGTACCCTAGACACTCTGCAGTTTCCTTCCTTCCTTCCTTCCTGGAAGTGGGTGCCAGTGTCTGTTAATAGTTAAAGCATTCCACAGACACTGACTATGACCATCAACCCTTCCCCAAGTGCAGCTAGACATTTCTTGTGCCAGTATCATCTTTGTCCAATCAATGCATCTTATTAAGGGGATGGGATGATGCCTATAGCCTTTGTATTCATTGCTCTGGCCATATGTATGAGGTGTTATGCTGGAGTTTTCTGTGACCAACCCCTTCCAGGAAACCACAATAATATTCCCCTTCAGAGATCATTTCTCTTCTGTGAATTACTTCAGCCTTAGAAAACCAGAGAAGTCACGAAGGAAAGGGAAATTCTTCTACTCCAATCACAGAGTAATCTTTGCCTCTCAAGAGTTAAGGAATATATGAAGACTTGAAAATATATTTTATTTCAAATACATCGTCTTTTGTTTCCTTGTTAATTGTTTGATGGGAAGACACCATAAACATACAGCTTAGTTTCTCGAATTTCCTTCCAGAAGAACTTCATATTTTGAGCTGAACCTGTTTTATACTGAGCAGTTCACAAGGAAAACAACTATTCTTTGTGGCTCATGCCTGTAATCTCAGTGCTTTGGAGGCTAAGGTGGGAGGATTGCTTGAAGCCAGGAGTTCGAGATCAGCCTGGGCAAGATCACAGGACCCTGTCTCTACAAAAACTGGGAAAAGAAAATAATTTTTTAAACAAACAGCTATTTCTTTATAGCCAAAGAATCCCCCACTTCACATTTCCAGGTGTAGGATACCTATGACCCTCTCTTGTCTAATTAATAGCTGTTTCCTCAGAGAATGAAAAAAAATATATTACTTATAAAGTAAAATTAATTAAATTAAAGGGAAAATATTCCATGAGGAACAAATCATTAATTGAAGTATTAATAAAGATAAAATCAAACTAATGTTTAATTAACCATGCGGTAACATCTGCAGCTCCATTTCTCTTCATTAGCATAAAGAATAGTTGTCTATATTTGAATACGTATTTTCATGTTGCAATTTTACCTACAGAGGCTGGGTGCCATGGCTCACACCTGTAATCCTAGCACTTTGAGAGGCTGAGGCGGGCAGATTGCTTGAGCCCAGGAGTTCAAAACCAGCCTGGGCAACATATCGAGACCCCATCTCTACAAAAAATTAGCTGGACATTGTAGTGTGCGCCTATAATCCCAGCTACTCAGGAAGCTGAGTGGGGAGCATCACTTGAGCCCGGGAGTTTCAAGGCTGCAGTGAATTGTGATCTCAAGATTCTTCCCTTAATGACATCTGCAAAGACCCTATTTCCAAATAAGGTCCCATTCCCAGGTTCTGGGGGCTAGGATGCAGATATAGCGTTTGAGGGGACTATATAGTTCAATCCACTACAATTGTAACCAGTTTCCTCTGGAAGGAGCCTTCCCTACAGCCTCCAGAAAGAACTGGATACAACTTCAATGGGTTGAATTGTGACCCCAAAACATATTCATATCCTACAACTCCGAACCTGTAAATGGGAACTTATTGAGATGGAGTCTTACTCTGTCGCCCAGGCTGGAGTGCAGTGGCACAATCTTGGTTCACTGCAACCTCCGTCTCCCGGGTTCAAGTGATTCTCCTGCCTCAGCCTCCTGAGTAGCTGGGACTACAGGTGGCCACCACCATGCCCGGCTAACTATTTGTAGTTTTAGTAAAGACGGGGTTTCACCATATTGGCCAGGCTGGTCTCGAACTCCTGACCTCAGGTGATTCACCTACCTTGGCCTCCCAAAGTGCTGGGATTACAGGTGTGAGCCACTGAGCCTGGCCCTAGACTTCTGTTTTAATAATGAATGATGACCATTACGTGTGACCAGAGTTGGATTCGAAGGGGATAACAAGAAAGCGTGTGGAGGGATGAATTGCAGACAGGCAATCCTTCCTAATTGGTCATGGGCTTCCCCTCTGCCTTGCAAGAAGGTGCACTTACTGACAATACTCTCAAAGGCTTGAGGGGTCTTGTAATCCACTTAGAATCTGTGCAAGATCCTGCAGAGCCAATGCATTCTATTTCTCTACATTTTAAACTTTTAATAGAAAGGCACTTTGTGGTTTAAAACAATGAGTTGCATTGGCTTCGTTTCTCAAAGCTGAAAATGCACAGTGCATTGCCCCGTGGTCTTGCTTCTGTAATTGGATCTGTCTCAAAACAAACAGAGCTGAGCAGCATCAAATGTTACTACAACTGAGTGGGTTTCCCTTTACAGGTACACGCTTATTGTTTATTTTCCTCTCAAAATATTTCTCCATCTCTGTTATTTGTCAAAAATACATACAGAAAAGGATCAGTGGAGAATTGAACTTCAAAAGAACAAACAAGGTAGATCTGAGTTTTTCTGGCGTCTGCCACCCTGGAGGCGCTGGAGAAGGATTGTGGCCACAGGTAGTGTCACGCTGGTATTCTCTGAGGTCGTTTTGTCACAGCATAGGGGCACCATTTCTTCTTTAATGCATTTGTCAAAACTGCATCCAATTGTTTCACCAATGCAGCCAATAAACCAACTCTTTCTTTTCTCCTCTTATTTGTACCTATTTTAAGTACTTTTCTGAATAAATAACTTGATGGAGAAATTCACAGCAGGAGACGGCTATTTAAACATAAAACAGAGAGATGCAGGTAATTCTATATGAATTTTTGGCAACACCTAATTTAATAGTCTAGAAGATTTAATACATTCACATGATTTGAAAGTATTATTTTAAAAGTTAAGGCACTCATCTATGAGTAAATTTTCCTTCCTTCCTTCCTTCCTCCCTCCCTCCCTCTTTCCTTTCTCTTTCTTTCATTCTTTCTTTTGTTCATTCATTCATTCTTTCTTCTTTCTTTCCCATATTTCTTGGAGGCTTTGTTCGTTCCTTTTTGTTCTTTTTTCTCTAATCTTGTCCTCTCACTTTATTTCATTAAGTTGATCTTCAATCACTGATATCCTTTCTTCCACTTGATGGATTTGGCTATTGTTACTTGTGTATGCTTCATGAAGTTCTTGTGCTGTGTTTTTCAGCTCCATCAGGTCATTTATGTTCTTCTCTAAGCTGGTTATTCTAGTTAGCAATTCCTCCAACCTTTTTTCAAGGTTCTTAGCTTCCTTGCATTGGGTTAGAACATGCTCCTTTAGCTCAGAGGAGTTTGTTATTACCCAACTTCTGAAGCCTACTTCCGTCAATTCGTCAAATTCATTCTCCATCCAGTTTTGTTCCCTTGCTGGCGAGGAGTTGTGATCCTTTGAAGGAGAAGAGGCATTCTGGTTTCTGCAATTTGCAGCCTGTTTGCACTGGTTTCTCCCCATCTCTGTGGATTTATCTACCTTTGGTCTTCGATGTTGGTGACCTTCAGATGGGGTCCTTGAGTGGACATGCTATTCCTTTCTGTTTGTTAGTTTTCCTTCTAACAGTCAGGCCCCTCTGCTGCAGGTCTGCTGGAGTTTGCTGGAGGTTCACTCCCAATCCTATTTGCTTGGGTATCACCAGCAGAGGCTGCAGAACAGTAAAGATTGCTGCCTGTTCTTTCCTCTGGAAGCTTCGTCCCAGAGGGGCACCTGACACATGCCAGCCAGAGCCCTCCTGTATGAGATGCCTGTCGGCCCCTACTGGGAGGTGTCACCCAGTCAGGATACACGGGGTTAAGGACCCACTTGAAGAGGCAGTCTGACCCTTAGCAGAGCTCGAATGCTGTGCTTGGTGGTCCGCTGCTCTCTTCAGGGCTGTCAGGCAGGGACATTTTAGTCTGCTGAAGCTGTGCCCATGGCTGCCCCTTCCCCCCAGGTGTTCTGTCCCAGGGAGATGGGGGTTTTATCTATAAGTCCCTGACTGGGGTTGCTGCCTTTTTTTCAGAGGTTCCCTGCCCAGAGAGGAGAAATCTGGCAGTCCAGCCACAGCAACCTTGCTGAGCTGCAGTGGGCTCCGCCCAGTTTGAACTTCCTGGCAGCTTTGTTTATACTGTGAGCGTAAAACCGCCTACTCAAGCCTCAGAAATGATGGATGCCCCTCGCCCCACCAAGCTCGAGTGTCCCAGGTCCATCTCAGACTGCTGCTGTGCTGGCAGCAAGAATTTCAAGCCAGTGGATCTTAGTTTGCTGGACTCCATGGGGGTGGGACCCGCCAAACCAGACCATTTGGCTCCCTGGCTTCAGCACCCCTTTCCAGGGGAGTAAGTGGTTCTGTCTCGCTGGTGTTCCAGCTGCCACTGGAGTATGGAAAAAACAAACAAACAAACAAGCAAAAAAACTCCTGCAGCTAGTTCGTTGTCTGCCCAAATGGCCACCCAGTTTTGTGCTTGAAACCCAGGGCCCTGGTGGGTTAGGCACCTCAGGGTATTTCCTGGTTTGCGACTTGCGAAGACCATGGGACAAGCACAGTATCTGGACCCCGGTTCCTCAGGCTTGGTCCCTCACAACTTCCCTTGGGTAGGGGAGAAAATTCCCTGACCCCTTGTGCTTCCCAGGTGAGGCGACGCCCCACCCTGCTTCAGCTCGCCCTCCGTGGGCTGCACCCACTGTCTAACCAGTCCCAATGAGATGAACCAGGTACCTCAGTTGGAAATGCAGAAATCACCTGCCTTCTGTGTCCATCTTGCTGGGAACTGCAGACCAGAGCTGTTCCTATTTGGTCATCTTGATCAGGATCTCTGGAAGCTCTTCCTTTTAAGCTGGAAATTGAATCACGTATTCTAAAATTAGACTTCTGGCCGGGTGTGGTGGCTCATGCCTATAATCCTAGCACTTTGGGAGGCCAAGGTGGGCAGATCACTTGAGGCCAGGAGTTTGAGACCAGCCTGACCAACATGGTGAAACCCTGTCTCTACTAAAAAAAAAAAAAAAAAAAAAAATTGGTCTTCTGCTCATTTAGGCCTCATAAAGAGAACATACTTTGGGATTGCAAAGTCAGAACAAAAACTTTGTGTTCTGAGTCATGGCTGTGCTCAGCTTTATTCTACTGCTGGAAGTCTGGTTACAAATAGCCCTTTGTCACCTAACATTAGTGAGAAGCAAGAGCTTTTTCATCACTAAACCAAACCCTAGGGTCAACATTGGCACCCACACTTCAGATTTCACATGCATGACAAGGCCAGCCTTAGAAAGAAAGTTCAAGAAAAAGTAATAGAATTTTTACGTATTTAGCTTGAAAATGAGGAGTTTAAAGATTATTAGCTGAATTACTTTCAAAATATTTTAATTGCATAAAGAAGAGAATAATACATTATCTTAAGTGTAAAATGGAGAAATAAACAGGAAGCTAAAACATGTCCAGAAAGTATTTGGGTGTTTTGGTTTTTTTGATTAAGGAACTATTTAATGACTTCTAAGTCAATATAATTACAAATTCAGGATATATTAGGCAAGGCTAATAAGAAAGATTGATTTCACAATCTTCAGGTATAGGAATAAGTTTTTTTTGTTTTTGGTTTTGTTTTCTTTTGTTTTTGAGACAGAGCCTCACTCTATCACCCAGGCTGGGGTGTAGTGGTGTGATCATGGCTCACTGTGGCCTCCACCTCCCAGGTGCAAGCAATCCTCCCACCTCAGCCTCCTGAGTAGCTAGGACTACAGGTGCACACCACCACACTCAGCTGATTTTTATGTTTTTTGTAGAGACAAGTTATCCCTATGTTTCCCAGGCTGGTCTCAAACTCCTGGCCTCAGCCAACTCTCCTGCCTTGGCCTCCCAAAGTGCTGGGATTACAGATGTGAAGCACCGTGCCCTGCCTGGAATAAGTTTTTTTTAAAAAAAAAAAAGAAAGAAAGAAAAGAAAAGAAAATGTTATCTGTCCTGAAAAACTTAGATGTCCAGCCACCTACAAAAAAAAGAAATTAGACTAGATGACCTATTTAGGTTTTATACATGTATGTGTGTGCATGTATAGATATATGTTACTGTAAACAAATATTTGAGTTCCTACAAGAATATGGCATGTTTCTATGAAACACAATTAGTTTCACAGCATTTTTTCCATGAAAGAGTTGACTAATCATCTATGAGATCTTCTTTTCCATATTTTACTTGGCTTTCCAAAAATAGAAGAGAACAAAACAGAGAGTGGTAACTTGAGAGCATCAAGTCTGAGACCCAGCCTACACACCCGTGTGGATGAACTATGACAGCCAGGTAAAGGTGATGCACACCTGTCTTTAGAAGAAGGATCTACACTTGGCCTTTGAACTGCATTGGGGATCTACTTACACATGAATTTTCTTCCACCTCTGCCATCCCTTAGATAGAGAAACCAACCTCTCCTCCTCCTTCTCCTCCTCAGCCTCCTCAACGTGAAGACAATGAGATGAAGACATTTATGACGATGCACTTCTACTTGATGAATGGTAAATATATTTCCTCTTCTTTATGATTTTTCTTAATAGTATTTCCTTTTCTCTAGCTTACTTTATTGTAACAACACAGTATGTAATACATATACATACAAAATATGTGTTAGTTGACTGTTTATGTCACCATAAGGCTTCTGGTCTTCAGCAGTTTATTAGCAGTTAAGTTTTGGGGGAGTTAAAAGTAATACATGGATTTTTGACTGAGTGGGGGGGTCAGTGCCCCTAATCCCCACATTGTTCAAGGGTCATCCATATATTGAAAATATAGGGCCAGGCACAGTGGCTCATGCCTGTAATCCCAGCACTTTGGGAGGCCGAGGTTGGCAGATCACGAGGTCAGGAGATCGAGACTATCCTGGCTAACACTGTGAAACCCGATCTCTACTAAACATACAAAAAAATCGCTGGGCGTGGTGGCACACACCTTTAGTCCCAGCTACTCGGGAGGCTGAGACAGGAGAATCACTTGAATCCGGGAGGCGGAAGTTGCAGTGAGCCGAGATAGCGCCACTGCACTCCAGCCTGGGCGACAGAGTGAGACTCTGTCTCAAAAAAAAAGAAAAAAGAAAATATAAACTAGTCTTCTTGCCAATTAAAATCACTTTCGGGTACTGATGCAAGATGAATGTGCTTTAACTACGTTTTACTCCTTAAACCAAGACATATATAGACTTGGAAATTGTGAGTATATGGTATTGCAATACCTAACCCACAATATATTGGCTCTTATAAAAAGTTTCTCCTGCCTGGCATGGTGGGCTGATGCCTGCAACTGCAACACTTTAGGAGACCCAGGTGGGAGTATCCCTTGAAGCCAGGAGTTTGAGACCAGCCTGGGCAACATACGGAGACCCCATCTCTACAAAAAGATTTAAAAATTAGCCAGGCTTGGTGGTGCACTCCTGTAGTCCCAGCTACTTGGGAGGCTGAAATGGGAGGATCACTTGAGGCCAGGAGTTCAAGGCTGCAGTGAGCTATGATCACACCACTGCACTCCAGCTTGGGTGACAGTGGAAGACAAAAGAAAGAAGAAAAAGAAAGAAAAAGAAAGAAGAAAGAAAGGAAGAAAGAAAGAAAGAGAGAGAGAGAAAGAAAGAAAGAAAGAAAGAAAGAAAGAAAGAAAGAAAGAAAGAAAGGACAGAAAGAAAAGAAAGAAAGAAAGAAAGAAAGAAAGAAAGAAAGAAAAAGGAAATTTTCTCCTGAATAATTATTTTTACTATAGCCCAAATAGAGAGACCAACTATAAAGAGAAGACAGAAAATGGTATCAAGACTTTTTCTCCCCTTTAGAGATAAAATACCCATGTTGGCACAGCCTGTTCTTTGTTTAAGTGTGTTGTCATTTTGTATTAGAAAGAGAAATTTAACGTGTGGAGTTTCTCCTGGAAATTTCCTTTGACCTGGCCTCGCTTGGGTTCATTTGATAAATCCACATCTGTTTATTTTTTTATGCCTCCAAATATAGACACACAAATACCAATTTAAACCATAGGTTCTGTCTCCGTGGTAGTCTGAGGTGCCTCAAATCCTTATTTTTCACATGAATAGCTTTTGCTGTAGCCAATTTCCTACCTTTCCACAGTAAACAGCCAAGACACATGATCAGTCTTTGAAAGTTTTATCGTGTTTCTTTAATACTAAATGACACAATTTAACACCACCCAGGCCTGCAGCTCTCAAAAAAATTGAATGTGATTTTGTTTGAAATGAAAGGATCCACCATTGCCTTCAGCAGCCTTCTATGTGTCCGAGGTCAGGAAGTTGTCTTAAAGAGGATAAATCCCACCTAAGGGAAAAAAATAAAATAAACGTTTTTGAGTTTTATATCTACACAGCTGTACTATCAAAGAGAAACATGAAGGATAAAGAGAAAAAAATCTACCAGCTTCTACACACCAGATGACGAAAATCTGAGAGATTCTGAATATTCAGCTACTACAGGACAAAAACGCAGCTAAAATACAATGAAGTGTGCTCCTTTTCATTTAAAAGACATAAAACCACTCTCGTAAAAGGTTAAGGCTTTACAACTATCTATTAATGTTCAAAGCTTTTAAATAGCATCTTGAGTTGTTGAAAAGCATCTCAAGGGATTTTTGCTTTCTACCACAATTTTTCCTTGCAAGGTCAAAAGCATGATCAGTCACTTCTTCGGAGTTGCTCAAGAGTGCATAAAACCTTATTGTTAACTCTAGGCACTGTGACGTACAACAGATCTCTAGAACTTACTCATCTCCAATAACTGAACTGTCGATCAACATCTCCCTTTTCCCTCTCCTCGCCTTTCCTAGCAACGACCATTCTGTTTCCTGCTTCTCTAAGTTTGACTGTTTTAGATACCTCATATGAATGGCGTATAGGCAAAAACTCACCTCAAACTGTGTCTTCCCTCTGCTGTCACACCACAAAAAATCATCAACACAGAAGACTTCTGTGACCAAATGTGTGGGGGGTTTTCCCCCAAACACCAAGCAGTGGACACCATCCAGGTGTCCTCCAATTCGGTTCCAACACCATCTACCCAAAGATAGAGATCATCAGAACTCACAGGGTGAGGGCTCTGTTCCCAAGACTGCCCCCCTACACACATTAGTCACAAGTCCGGGCTTCTAGAACTTCTGGCTGACCACCTTCGAGTTGGGGTTCCTGCAAACCCCTCTTTGGGTTCAATTAATTTGCTGGAGCAGCTCACAGAACTCAAGGAAATGCTTAATTACACTTACTGGTTTATTTTAAACGATATTGCAAAGGATACAGATGAGGATGTGTAGGGCAAGATTTGGGAATGGGAACCAAAAATAAAATTCTGAGGCCCCCCCACCCATCTGAATGGACTTTCTCCTGGGTCAGGGGACTCTAAAATTTAACCCGAAAGACTATTTCAGACCATGATGGGAAGTGGGGGTTGGACATGCCTAATTCTATCCCTCCAGCTTTAACATCAACACAGACAGACCTTACATCTGATAAGAAACATTTACAATCTATTCTCTCTGAAGTCTGCTACTTGGAGGTTTCATCTGCATGATAAAACTTAGGTCTCCGCAGCCCCTTATTTTAACCCAGACATTTCTTTTTATTGATAATAACTCTTTCAACAAATTGCCAATCAGAAAAAATTTAAATCTACCTATGACGCAGAAGGTCTTCTCCCCCTTTGAGCTATCCCGCTCTTCCAGATGAAACCAATGTGTTTCTTAAATTTATTTGATTGAAGTCTCATGCCTCCCTAAAATATATAAAACCAAGCTGTATCTCAACCACCTTGGGCACATGTTCTGTTGATATCCTGGGGCTGTGTCACGGGCCATGGTCACACATATTTGGCTCAGAATAAATCTCTTCAAATATTTTACAGATTTGGACTCTTCTTGATGGCAGGGGAACAGGCACAGAGCTTCCATGCCCTTCCTGCAGCACCACCCTCCAGGAACCTACAAGTGTTCAGCTCTCTGGAAGCTCCCTGAACCTTGTCATCTTGGGGTTTTATTGAAGCTTCATGACATCAACATTTTCTCCCTCAAGGAATAGAGTGGGACTCTCTCATGAGAGGGAAATGGACAGTTTCCTGACCCCCATTCACAGGACATGTGACAGGTGTGTGGCTCATCTGTTCAGTCACTGCTGCTGCTCAAACCCCTTACAGGAGAGGGAGCACACAGATGGACAGGTGCAGGGGCCCAAGTGGGCATGTGTTACAGTGTGCTCCTTTAGCCTTGCCATCTGCGGACGGCTTAGGTTAACCTGTTAACCAGCTCAGTGGACCCTCTGCCTTTTTGCAAGGATGGAAGGCCAGTGTGACAACTTTCTGTATCCCTGTAGCAGGACAAGGTGCAGACAAAACCTCTCAGACACTGAGTTAAAGAAGGAAGGGCTTTATTTGGCCAGGAGCTTTGGCAAGACTCACGTCTCCAACAGCCGAGCTCCCTGAGTGAGCAATTCCTGTCCCTTTTAAGGGCTCACAGCTCTAAGGGGGTCTGCATGAGAGGGTTGTGATCGATTGAGCAAATAGGGGGTACATGACTCGGGGCTGCATGCACCAGTAATTAGAACAGAACAGAACAGGACAGGGATTTTCACAGTGCTTTTCTATACAATGTCTGTAATCCATAGATAACATAACCGATTAGGTCAGGGGTCGATCTTTAACTACCAGGCCCAGGATGTGGTGCTGGGCTGTCTGCTTGTGGATTTCATTTCTGCCTTTTAGTTTTTACTTCTTTCTTTGGAGGCAGAAACTGGGCATAAGACAATATGAGGGGTGATCCCCTCCCTTATTCCCCTTCTTTGAGAATCTCACTTAATAGTGGGAGTTCTCACTTTCATTCTCGCTACCCATGTCTTCTTGCAAGACACGTCGATAGTGATTCATATAGTACACTTGTGCTGAAGCATTTTGGTGAACTAAGATAGCAATGAAGCTTTTTATCATTTGAAGAAGTACAGTTAGCAAACAAGGGAGCAGTAAGCAGGTTCCTATTACTATTATAACTCCTATTATAACAGTTTTAAATCCTCCTAGCACTGGGAACCATTTTCCAAACATGGCCCCAGGATCAAATCCATGCCACACTTGCATGGGCACATGTGCCAGTTTTGTCATATCTCTAACTATGTCTTCAACTACTTGCCCTTGATAATCGATGTGTAGACAGCAATTACTAAGGTTAAATTTCCCACAGATGCCTCCTTCAGCTGCTAGCAAGTAGTCAAAAGCCAATCTATTTTGATAGATAGAATTTCTCATCTGAGTTTCTTGCCGGGCCAGAATAGTCAAGGCTCTGACAGTTTTATTAGTGATTATTTCTAAGACAGCTTGTAACCGTATGATTTGGTTGATCATGTAAATGGGGATCCAGTATCCCCATGAGCCGTCTTGCGTCCAAGTAGCAGGCCCATAATAGTGTATGATTCTCTGAGTGGGCCATTCATCATCTTTCCAATTTCCTACAGCTATGCTTCTCTTTTCATGGGAAGCATAGACAGGGAAGCCCAGGAGTTCACCTGTCTTTATGGGCAGTGGGAAGAAAGATGGTTTAATAGTGTCAATAACACAACTACCTGCCCACTGGTCGGGTAATTTTGTGTAAGCTCTATGCCCATATATCCAGTATAATCCAGTGGGGGCTGTCCAGTCCCGGTGGGACTCTGGGTGGGTCCACACAGTTTGCAACTTTGGGAATTTACTAAATGGAGTACTCTGTGTGATTTGAACTCCACCAAGTGACTGTTTTTGTGGTACCATTATACAGTTTCTGTCCCAGACAACTAAGTCGTCCTATGGGGTGAGTGAATTCTTTTCCTTCTCTAGCTATGCAATATTGTCCAATAATTGAGGCTTTTAGGACCCAGAAATTATCAGGGTGATTCTTTTGAGTTGGAAAGTCATCAGGAACTGGGTCTGTAGGTACTAATTCTCGGGCTTCCCATGGCCATTGATCTCCCATTACAATTCCTCCACATACATAACATGAAGTGACATTGAGAGACTGGGCTACATGCTCGGCTAATTGCAAAAACAAATTTCTTGTTTTTCCTGGAATTTCTGGTACTGGCACATTTAGTTCATCATAGAAAGTTGGAAACACTGGCTCAGGAGAGCGTCTGTAAACTTCTCCTCGAACTAAGATATTTAGTCAAGGATCCAGTATGGCCCCATCGATTCCTAAGGTCACACGCTCCCCTTTTTTCCAGCAAGGATCAAGGGGATTGGTTATTACTAGCTCTAAGGGGTTACATTTTCCCTTAGTATAGGAAGGGCCATTTTTTCCTTTCTGAAGGTGGACTGGATCCTTTTCATTTTTTTTAATCCAAGTGGCGCAAATGACGCAAGACCAGTATCCACATTCATTTCCACACAGTCCTAATTCATGACAAATGTACTTATTTTCGGTCATATAGCCTTTTTCCCAACTAAAACAGCCACATCCCCTTTCTAACTTACTGCTATTAATGACAGCACAGGCATCAAATTTCAAGGTTATGTGTTTGGGCACCCCTTTTTCCTCTGTTCTGACTAATACTTTACTTGTATCATTTATGAGTCCCCACCAGCCTTCAGTCCTTAATCTCATTTCAAAAACTGTGGACATGGGAAGCTGACAGGGGTCATAACACACATCTGGTCAGTCGTTTTCTGGGCTACATACCTTGTACTGAGTGTCATTATATAAACATGTTCCTTTTAAAGTTCTTAAGCATTCATAGTAACTATAGAACAGAAAGATTGTTTTAACTTCTTGCCCTACCTAGGTAACCTGATGTATACACTGAGAGCAGTCCTCCATGTGGGGAAAATCAGTGGAAGGTTTTACTATACAAGTTGAAATTATAAGGAAAATGAGTCCCATGATGATCCTCCTCATGCTTCAGCCATGCGTAGACCAGTCAGCTTCTGGGTGTGACTGGAACAGGGCTTGTCGTCCTCCTCAGAGTCACTTTGCAGGGGTTGTCCGGGCTCGGTTTTGCCTCCCAGGTTTCATTGGCTGCAGGTTTCACACAGCTGTGGTGGATCCATGCTGGGATTCCTTCTATCTTTGCAGCCGTGGGGGTGGTCAGGATGATGGTCTGAGGTCCTTTCCACCGTGGCCGCAAAGGGGCTACGTTCCAGTCCTTGATCCACATGCGATCACTTGGAGAGAAAGGGTGAACTGGGGAGAATAAGCAGATGGGACACCTCTCATTTGCCCAAGTTGAGATTGTCTGTGTAATTTTTCCCAAAGCCTGTAGCTGACACTGTAATTCAATTCCACCTAACTCTCAGGGAGTGCCTAGAAGTCCCCATAGTATAGGAGGAGGCCTATGATACAGTATTTCATAAGGGCAGTATCCTGTTTTCTTATAAGGAGTGCATCTAATTTTAAACAATACCATAGGAAGGGCCTGTATCCACTTTAATCCTGTTTCCTGGCATACTTTCCCTAAACTATTTTTGATAGTCTGATTCATTCGCTCCACCTTTCTGGAACTCTGAAGTTGGTAGGCGGCATGTAGCTTCCAAGTGATTCCTAATGCCTTTGCTGTCTTCTGTACCAAGTCAGCCACAAACGCCAGCCCGTTATCTGAGTCGATTCTTAAGGGCAGTACAAACCTAGGAATAAGATCTCAGAGAAGCACACGGGTTACCTCGTAGGCCTTTTCAGTTGGTGTTGGATAAGCCTCCACCCATCCAGAGTAAGTACACACACGAACCAGCAAATACTTGTTACCTCCACATTTTGGCATTTCTGTGAAATCCACCTGAAGATCCTCAAAAGGAGCCACTCCATAAGCTTGTATGCCAGGTGGAACACTGGGGCCTTGCCTCTCATTGTGCTGTTGGCAAGTAACGCACTGTTGTGCTACTGCTTTGGCAAGGGCTGGCAAGTGTGAGATGTAGAAGTACTGGCCTAACAATTTTTCAAGTGACTCTTGACCTAGATAAGTGGTTTCGTGCATGGCCAATATGAATGTGGCTCCCAGCAACTGCGGCACAGCTACTCTCCCATCTGGCAGTCTGATCCATCCTCCTTTTATTACTTACCTCCCTCCTGCATGGAAAAAGTCTTTTTCTTCCTTAGAATAGGTAGGTACCAGGTCAGGTGTTTAAGGGAGTAAGGGGGCTGCTACCAATGCCCGGTAAGGGGTAGACGCTGCTTTTTGAGCTTCTGAATCAGCTCGAGAGTTTCCTAAGGCCACTGAGATGGAGGCTCGCTGGTGTCCCCTGCAGTGCAAGACTGCCACCTTCTGAGGTTTCCACACTGCCTCTAGTAATTGTAGAATTTCTTGTTGATATTTTATGTCCTTTCCCCCAGAGTTTAACAGGCCCTTTTACTTATATAATGCTCCATGCACTTGGAGGGTTAGAAAGGCATAGTGAGAGTCAGTGTAGATGTTTACAGTCTTACCTTCACTGAGCTCTAGAGCCCGAGTTAAAGCAATGAGCTCAGCCTTCTGGGCTGAAGTGCCCTGTGGCAACGGTTTGGCTTCAATGACAGCATCCAAAGTTACCACCGCATATCCTGCACATCTTTCTCCTTGTGGGTTGATGAAGCTGCTCCCGTCCACGTACAACTCCCAGTCTACTGATGCCCATGGCTGGTCCCGAAGGTCAGGACTGCTGGAATAAACTGAGTCCAACACCTCTACACAGTTATGCTCTACCGGGCTCTCTGATACTGGGAGCAGGGTGGCGGGATTTAGGGTGTTACAGACTTCAATGGTTATGTGGGGATTTTCACATAGCAAGCTTTGGTACTTGGTTAATCTAGCATTTGTTAGCCAATGATGTCCTTTGCTATTCATCAAAGTTACCACAGCATGGAGGGCCTTTATATTCAGGTTTTGCCCAAGGGTTAGTTTATCTGCTTCTTGTGTTCAAAGGGCTGTTGCTGCCAGGGCCCTTAGACATGGTGGCCAGCCTTTGGAAACCCCACCTAGTAGTTTTCAGAGATAGGCCACTGGCCTTGGCCAGGGCCCCACAGTCTGGGTTAAAACTCCAACTGACATTTTTTCTCTTTCTGACACATAGAGTGAAAAGGGCTTTGTCAAATCTGGTAGTCCTAGGACTGGGGCCAACATAAGTTTTTCCTTTAACTTACAAAAGGTTTGCTGTTGTAGAGGCCCCCATTCAAAGAGGCTCATAGAGGCTCTCGGTCATCCCCCTTTGTAACCTTGTACAAAGGTTTGGCTAGCACTGCAAAGTTTGGAATCCATAATCTGCAAAACCCCACAGCTCCTAGGAATTCCCTTACTTGCCTTCTGGTTCTAGGTTCTGGTAGGCTGCAGATGACCTGCTTTCTTTCTGACCCCAGGCTGCGCTTCCCTTTCTGAATAGTGAATCCCAAGTAGCTTACCTGCTGTCTGCAGATCTGAGCTTTCTTCTTGGACACCTTATACCCACAGTCCTTCAGGTGCTGAAGCAGGGCATCCGTCCGTTTTGCGCACCCAACTGCCGTGGAGTGTCCCAGCAGAAGGTTGTCCACGTACAGGAGCAAGACGCAGCCCAGGTCTTTAGCAGGAAACTTTTGCAGGTCTCGAGCCAGGGCCTCCCCAAAGCTAGCAGGGGAGTCCTGGAACCCTTGGGGAAGCTGGGTCCAAGTGTACTGAGTAGTGACACCTGACTCCGGATCTTCCCACTGAAAGGCAAACAGCTTCTGGCTCTCAGGAGCTATTCTGATGCTAAAGAAGGCATCTTTAAAGTCCAGACAGGTAAACCAGCTGTCCTCAGCTGGCAGCAGCAATCCTAACAATGTGTAAGGGTTAGGAACTGTCGGGTGCACATTCACTGTAGCTTGGTTGACCAAGCGCAAGTCCTGTACGGATCGATAGTCCTTGGTCCCTGGCTTAGGGACAGGGAGGAGGGGGGTGTTCCATAGAGACTGGCAAGGAGCTATAATTCCAAAGGCTTTCAAGCGCCTGAGATGAACCTGGATTCCTTCGAGAGCTTCCCTGGAAACTGGATACTGCTTTTGTCTAATTAGTTGGGCCCCAGGCTTAACTTCTATGAGTACGGTGGCTTGGTTGACTGCCAGTCCCGGAGGATTATCCTCCACCCATACTCGGGGCCATCACTTAGCTAGAGCTGGTTTTATCTCTTGGCCTGGCTTAGTTAGAAAAAGTCTCCATTCTTCTTCCCGAGGGACTATAAGGGCCATAATTCCTGTTCCCGGTAACTTTAGCTGTAAAGAGCCCTGTTTTGTAAAGGGGATGATGGCTATCATCTTGCTAAGCAAGTCTCTTCCCAGCAAGGGCAAAGGATAGTCAGGCATGTACAAGAACTGAACTATTTCATGTCCCCCCACCAAGCAGGTCCGCAGTAGACAGAAAGCCTGCTTAGTGGAAACTCCTGTTGCTCCCATTATATCAATGGTTTTCTTGGATAAAGGGGCGACCGGAGTGGTCACTACTGAATGTTCGGCACCAGTATCCACCAAAAACTTAATGTCCTTGCCCCCAGTTGTAATCCTGACCGTGGGCTCCTTGGGGGCACTTGAGCCCGGTCCCCTTCAGTCCAATAGCCCTTCAGCCAGATTGAACAAAGCTCCCTCATCTTTATCTGAGGTCTTTTGTTCTAAATCACCTTGCTTTTCCTTCAGTTGGGGACACTTATCTTTCCAATGTCCTATTTCCTTACAGTAGGTGCATTGGTTGCGTTGCAAGCGTGGGCGATTAGACTGGGTATTCTTCCCGGAACCTCCCTTTCCCACTCCCTTCGGGGGAATTCCCCTAATGGCCGTGGCCAGTAAGTCGGCGTTCTCGCCTGGCCTGGCGTTCGCCTTCCTTACGGCTTTCTCTGCGGCTTGTTGCATCTCTATTCACAAACACTTAATTGGCTATTTCCAGTAACTATGAGGTATTCATACCCACAAACTCAGGCTGTTTCTGCAATTTTCTCCTGATATCTTCTGTGCTTTGACTAACTAAGGCCATGTTGATCATGTGCTGATTTTCAGGGCTATCTGGATCAAAAGGAGTGTACATACGGTAAGCCTCACACAGTCTTTCATAGAATTGCGCTGGACTCTCCTCTTTTCCTTGGATGACCTCAGAAACCTTATTTACATTTGTAGCCTTTTGAGCCCCTTTCTTTAGACCTTCTATTAATGCCTCACTGTACCGTCTTAGCTTCTCCATGTCTGGTCCCTCGTTTGGGTCCCATTGGGAGTCTGTTCCTGGCAGCTGAATTCTTATATATTCTTGGGGGTTTCAGTAATTGGTTGGGACGTGCTCCTCTAGCCACTTATTGCCGCCCGGAGCACCCTTCGCTTTTCATCTGTATTAAAGAGGTACATGAGTAGCTGGTGGTGATCAGCCCAAGCAGGATTATGAGTCTGTATAATAGCTTGCAGCAAGTCAATTAAAGCTTGAGGCTTTTCGGTGTAAGATGGAGTACTAGTTTTCCATTTGAGGAGGTCAGCAGAGGTGAAAGGTTGATACACAAAGGCAAGCCTTTCCACCATGTGTCCCTCCTCATCTACCCCAGTATATTGCTGCTCTCTCAGGTGCATTTGGATTCCAGTCTTGGGCCGTAAGTGAGCCACCAAGGCAAGAGTTTCTCCCATGGCTTCACTTCCTCTTTTGTCTACTCTGGATGGTCTAGGAGTGTGGCTATCTAGTGGAGGTGGAGATGCTGTGGGCTCAGGAGTGAGGAGCCCTTCCTCTCAATAAGAAGGGGATACTGCTGGTACCAATTCCTGCCATGATTCTTCTGGTGTTGGCTTGGACAAGACTTATGGTGCTGATTTCCCTCGGCGGGTGGGGCGAGAACCTTCCTTAACTAACTCTCCCTTTGCTACTAGTACTGCTGCTGCCTGTCCTCTTAACCACTGTGGGGGGTCCAATTAGGCAGGAGAAGGAAATAAAGGGTATTCAATTAGGAAAAGAGGAAGTCAAATTGTCCCTGTTTGCAGATGACATGATTGTATATCTAGAAAACCCCATCGTCTCAGCCCAAAATCTCCTTAAGCTGATAAGCAACTTCAGCAAAGTCTCAGGATACAAAATCAATGTACAAAAATTACAAGCATTCTTATACACCAACAACAGACAAACAGAGAGCCAAATCATGAGTTTACTCCCATTCACAGTTGCTTCAAAGAGAATAAAATACCTAGGAATCCAACTTACAAGGGATGTGAAGGACCTCTTCAAGGAGAACTACAAACCACTGCTCAAGGAAATAAAAGAGGATACAAACAAATGGAAGAACATTCCATGCTCATGGGTAGGAAGAATCAATATCGTGAAAATGGCCATACTGCCCAAGGTAATTTACAGATTCAATGCCATCCCCATCAAGCTACCAATGACTTTCTTCACAGAATTGGAAAAAACTACTTTAAAGTTCATATGGAACCAAAAAAGAGCCCGCATCGCCAAGTCAATCCTAAGCCAAAAGAACAAAGCTGGAGGCATCACACTACCTGACTTCAAACTATACTACAAGGCTACAGTAACCAAAACAGCATGGTACTGGTACCAAAACAGAGATATAGATCAATGGAACAGAACAGAGCCCTCAGAAATAACGCCGCATACCTACAACTATCTGAACTTTGACAAACCTGAGAAAAACAAGCAATGGGGAAAGGATTCCCTATTTAATAAATGGTGCTGGGAAAACTGGCTAGCCATATGTAGAAAGCTGAAACTGGATCCCTTCCTTACACCTTATACAAAAATCAATTCAAGATGGATTAAAGATTTAAACGTTAGACCTAAAACCATAAAAACCCTAGAAGAAAACCTAGGCATTACCATTCAGGACATAGGCGTGGGCAAGGACTTCATGTCCAAAACACCAAAAGCAATGGCAACAAAAGCCAAAATTGACAAATGGGATCTAATTAAACTAAAGAGCTTCTGCACAGCAAAAGAAACTACCATCAGAGTGAACAGGCAACCTACAACATGGGAGAAAATTTTCGCAACCTACTCATCTGACAAAGGGCTAATATCCAGAATCTACAATGAACTCAAACAAATTTACAAGAAAAAAACAAACAACCCCATCAAAAAGTGGGCGAAGGACATGAACAGACACTTCTCAAAAGAAGACATTTATGCAGCCAAAAAATACATGAAAAAATGCTCATCATCACTGGCCATCAGAGAAATGCAAATCAAAACTACTATGAGATATCATCTCACACCAGTTAGAATGGCAATCATTAAAAAGTCAGGAAACAACAGGTGCTGGAGAGGATGTGGAGAAATAGGAACACTCTTACACTGTTGGTGGGACTGTAAACTAGTTCAACCATTGTGGAAGTCAGTGTGGCGGTTCCTCAGGGATCTAGAACTAGAAATACCATTTGACCCAGCCATCCCATTACTGGGTATATACCCAAATGAGTATAAATCATGCTGCTATAAAGACACATGCACACGTATGTTTATTGCGGCATTATTCACAATAGCAGAGACTTGGAACCAACCCAAATGTCCAACAATGATAGACTAGATTAAGAAAATGTGGCACATATACACCATGGAATACTATGCAGCCATAAAAAATGATGAGTTCATGTCCTTTGTAGGGACATGGATGAAATTGGAAACCATCATTCTCAGTAAACTATCGCAAGAACAAAAAACCAAACACCGCATATTCTCACTCATAGGTGGGAATTGAACAATGAGATCACATGGACACAGGAAGGGGAATATCACACTCTGGGGACTGTGGTGGGGTGGGGGGAGGGGGGAGGGATAGCATTGGGAGATATACCTAATGCTAGATGACGAGTTAGTGGGTGCAGCGCACCAGCATGGCACATGTATACATATGTAACTAACCTGCACAATGTGCACATGTACCCTAAAACTTAAAGTATAATTAAAAAAAAAAAAAAAACTGAAGTGCTGGTACAGGCACACTGTGGGTGATCAGGCCACACTTCCACTCAGATGGAGTGGGGCAAGTTCCAAAGACTAGTCTTACCAAGTTTCAGATGTCCAGACTCCAAGTGCCAGTTCCTTTCCAGTGTTCAACTGCTGCATTGATCCTCCACGGGGGCCTGCCACGCACTGCTCTGGCAAGGCATTCCACCGGGGCAATTGCCTACCTGGGAGCACACTCAGGATCTGCGTCACTCAAGCTGGCCGCAGTCTCCCACAGGGATGCTCCACGGGGCAGGCCTAAGCCGCCTAAGGGGCTGCCTCAACCGTCCGTTAATCACCTCACTTCCCGGTCAGGGAACCAAGAAATGTAGCAGGACAAGCCACAGACAAAACCTCTCAGACACTGAGTTAAAGAAGGAAGGGCTTTATTTGGCCAGGAGCTTTGGCAAGACTCACGTCTCCAACAGCCGAGCTCCCTGAGTGAGCAATTCCTGTCCCTTTTAAGGGCTCACAACTCTAAGGGGGTCAGCATGAGAGGGTCGTGATCAATTGAGCAAGCAGAGGGTACGTGACTGGGGGCTGCATGCACCAGTAATTAGAACGGAACAGAACAGGACAGGGATCTTCACAGTGCTTTTCTTATACAAATAACCGATTAGGTCAGGGGTCGATCTTTAATTACCAGGCCCAGGGTGTGGTGCGGGGCTGTCTGCTTGTGGATTTCATTTCTGCCTTTTAGTTTTTACTTCTTCTTTCTTTGGAGGCAGAAATTGGGCATAAGACAATATGAGGGGTGGTCTCCTCCTTATCCCGAGCTCTTGTCCAGCATCCCGGAACAATTAGGTCACACAAGGACTTAAAAGATGAGTGTGGGGGTTGTATTGAGTGGTGGAGGTGGTTCTCAGCAAGATGGATGGGGAGCTGGAAGGGGGGATGGAGTGGGAAGATGGTCTTCCCCTGGAGTTTGGCTGCCCATGGCCTATCTCCTCTCCGACCATCCCCAGCTGAACTCCTCTCAGCGTTCAGATGCCTCTTTTCTTCTCTCTGCCATACCGTTCTGCCACTCCTCTGCTCTTCTGTTCGTCTCTCATCTCCTTCTGGAACCGGGGGTTTGGGATTTATATGGGTACAGGATAGATGGGTGTGGTGGGCCAAAAGGCAACTTTTGGGTGCAAAAACGGGAATGCCTGTTCCCAGTTAGGGTCACAGGTTTCCAGGCTTGAGGGTGACGCATTTGCAGGGGAACCGCCCTCTTCTACCCGATATTTCCCTGTTTCCTGTCTGTATCAGGAGGGTCTTGAAACCCACACTCAGAAAGGCAGGGGAACATTAGAATGAAAGGAATGCAGGAGAAGGTGAAAGACGTGCCCCTGAGGCCTGAAAACACCCAATATTATGAAAAAAGACTGTAACCAGGGCTATGGGAGTTATGGGCCAGGACCAATGAACAAAAACCAACATATATCATAACAAAACAAATGGAATCATGCAGTATTTTTACACTTAAAAACTTGTTAAGAGGGGGATAAATCTCATGTTGTGTGTTCTTATCACACACGTTGTCAACAAAAAGAGTCAAACTCTGTAAAGTATTTGAAAATATTTATTCTGAGCCAAATACAAGTGACCATGGCCCATGACACAGCCCTCAGGAGGTCCTGAGAACATGTGCCCAAGGCGGCTGGGGCGCAGCTTGGTTTTATACATTTTAGGGAGGCATGAGACATCAATCAGATACATTTGAGAAATACATTGGTTTGGTCCAGAAAGGCAGGACAATTCAAAGTAGGGGGCTTCCAGGCTATAGGTAAATTTAAACATTTTCTGGTTGACAATTGGTTGAGTTCATCTAAAGACCTGGGATCAATAGAAAGGAAATGTTCAGGTTAAGATAAAAGACTGTGAAGACCAAGGTTCTTTTGAAGTCTCATAGTGGCTGCCCTTAGAGATAATAGATGACAAATATTTCCTATTCAGACCCTTTAAAACGTGCTAGACTCTCAGTTAATCTCTTCAGCATTAGGAGGGCCTGGAAGAAAAAGATCTAGCTATGTGAATAGAGATTCTTTACAGATGCACATTTTCCCCCGCAAAGGATGGCTTTGCAAAGCCATTTCAAAATATGGCAAAGAAACATGTTTTGGGGTAAAATATTTTTATTTTCTTCTTTGTCATGTAACATTATGCCAGAGTCATATTGGAAGGTAAGTCACAATATATAGGGTTAAATGAAACCATCTGATGAGAATTTATGGTTTGTAGGGCATGGCTCCCCAGACTCTTGAGATAGGAATTTGGGCAAGATAAGAAATCAGAGTTTAGTCCTCACATATACACACACACACTCAAGAAAAATCCGAAAAAGAAAAAGGGACAGAAAAAGCTTTTGGAGGTAATGGGTATGTTTCTTATCTTGATAGTGACGATAGTATTAAAGAAAGTGACCGTGTCCTCGGGACACAGCAACTCTGGTGACCATACAATCAACACAATAAACCTCAGCATTTGCATTGTCATTGAGCTCATTCAAGCTAAGCTATCTTCAGTAGGGACTTTCCCTTCTAGAGACCACGTGCATTTTTATTTTACCTGTCCTCAAACTGACCCTTTGCTCATTTTAATAGTTAAAAAATACCCCTCGGTAGAGATATAAGATGCTAATGAGACCTGCAGTCCATGAACAAGCATGTACAGCTACTGGGCATGTGCACCCAGAGGACCACCCAGAACATGCTTACTAGCAACACCTCTCCCATCCCCTTATGAATCACCATGTAACACTCCCATAAAGGGAGTTTCTCCAGCAATAATCAATACTGTCTCACCCTTATGAGAAGCCTGCCCTGAAATTTCTCTCTCTCAGGGTGTACTGTCTATTCTGCACCAAACTTTCAAAATATTCTTTTTCCTTTACAAGAAATTGCTCTATGCTGCATGTCCCTTGCTGTGTGTCTCTTGTTTAAATTCTTTGAAACTAAGAAGACAAGAACTGAGGTTTCACAACAGCAGTCCCAACAGTAAAATGGGTGCACACATGTGTCCAAACTCATCAAATTGTATACATTAAATATGTGCCTCTTTTGCAGATCAATTATACCTCAATAAAACTTAAAAAAAAAAAAAAAGAGCTACTCAAGAAAATGTCCCACCAGATGTAAGGATAAAAACACAAAGAACAAACAAAAACAGTTCATTTATATGCACTTGCTAGAGTTTCGAACACTTGGCTAGAACTAATATTTTGTATCAAGTGTCTGACGGCAATGATGTCCTTTTCCCCAAAGTGCGGGGAAGACCATGCCTTCATTTTGATGCACGGGTGCACACATTCTAGAATCTATCAGCAAACGAATGTTGCTGCAGCGTGCAGAAAATTTGAATAGATAAGACGTATTGATTGGAAGGTGGTGAAACAGGTCTGCCAGGTTTGTTTTGCCTTTGATGATGGATGTCCAAGTTCTTTTCCTTCCTCATCTCACTCTCTGACACATGCAGACCCATGCACTTACCCCTGTTTGCTCTGCCCTCATTTTGCCTCAGCGTGAACACATGCGTCTGGCTTCACCCTTGCAGCTAATGAATAAACCCAAAGGTTCCCACTGAGCCTGCGAGATTAATTAGGCTGCTGACTTGGGCAGCTCAGCCCTGCACTGCTTGCTCCCTGAACACTAATGGCTCCAGCAAAGCAAACCCACAGAGCCTTTCCCAACCTCAGCAGGGTAGGCTGTGATCATCAAGTCACCGAGAATAAAAGTAGCTCTTCTTTTCTAACTGTCGGGGTTTGTTTTCATTCTTATTTATTTTTGTCCAAGTGGGAAAGAACCATGCAGGACTGCTTTGGTATCTATCTTCCACAGGGCAAGAGCTCCCTCTATCGCTCCCAATTTTTTTTTCTTTCCCAACCTCAGCAGGGTAGGCTGTGATCATCAAGTCACTGAGAATAAAAGTAGCTCTTCTTTTCTAACTGTCGGGGTTTGTTTTCATTCTTATTCATTTATTTTTGTCCAAGCGGGAAAGAATCATGCAGGACTGCTTTGGTATCTATCTTCCACAGCGCAAGAGCTCCCTCTAGCGCTCCCATTTTTTTTTTCTTTTTATCGAAGGCAGACGCTAATCAACCCTGTGAAATATTTGTTTGCTTTTTGGCTGTTTGAGAATGCACATGCATTAAAACAATCTGGCGATGCCACAGAGAGGAGTGTAGAGTTTCTAATTCACACTTTTGCAGAATTTTTCTCTGTATCAAAGATTTTAACGCTCCATCCCCAAGAGACTTTTTAAAAATGTATCTCCCTATTGGATTACCTCAACTATGAAGTTGCTGATGCTTGAAGAACATCTCACATAGCTCACAATTTTCCCTCACCTTGATATCATTAATATATCTATTAATCTCACTATCATAATGAGATCATTAATATACATATTAGAATTTTTTAGACTGTATTAGGATAATATAATATCCTAAGTATTTCAGCCATCGTGAATTACTTGAGAATTCAGTTTTCATGGCTCTTTCTTACATATTTGTTCCATCTCTTTATTTTTAGGGGCCCTTAATTTTCGCAGTCTCACCCTGCAAAATTGTCCAGTCAATGAACAAGTATTTGTGAGTTGTACACAATTTTTCTGAGCTACATTTTAGCTTCTGTGATCTGCCAAAGAAACACAAGGAATGTTTCTACCCTCAAAGTAGCAAGGGAGAAAAACAAACATACGTGACTCAATTTATTGTGAAAAATAAACTTTTAAATAATTGAAGCCAGTGTAAGTTGGGGACTCAAGAACAGCTTAGAGATAGAGGGTGACATCCTTTCAAGAAGAGTAGGGGGAGACTCCTGGGAGCATTGAAGGATGTGAATGCATTTTGTGTTTGGAAAGGATGTATACCATTAGTGGTCAGAGGTGGACAGTGGTCGGAAGAGTTTTTAAGATGCTCCCCATGATTTCTACTTCCTGCTGTGGATGCTAAGAATATAATGGTCTAGTCAATCCTTTGATTAAGGTATATTATATGGCAAAGGTAAAGAGATTTTACTGGGGTTTTTTGGTCGGGGATGGCATATGGTAATAGTATGTTTGTTATTTTTTTTTAACTTTTATTTTAGGTTCAGGGGCATATGTGAAGGTTTGTTATATAGGTAAACTTGTGTCATGGGGTTTGTTTTACAGATTATTTCATCGCCCAGGTTCTAAGCCTACTATCCATTAGTTATTTGTCCTGATCCCATTCTTCCTCCAACCCTCCACCCTCAAGTAGGCCCCAGTGTGTGTGTTGTTCCTCACTATGCAACCATGTGTTCTCATCATTTAGTTCCTACATATAAGTGAGAACATGCAGTATTTGGCTTTCTGTTCCTATGTTAATTTGCTAAGGATAATGGCCTCCAGTTCCATCCATGTTCCTGCAAAAGCCATGATCTCAATCTTTTTTATGGCTGCATAGTATTCCACAGTGTATATATACCACATTTTCTTTCATCAGCCTACCATTGATGGGCAAGTAAAGAGATTCTGAACATGTAATTAAGGTCTCTAATCAAACTGACTTTGAGTCATGACTTTAAGATGATTTTGAGTGGGCCACACCTAATCAGGTGAGTCTTTAAAAACAGTTTCAAGCCTTCCCTGAGGGAGAGATTCAAATTAATTAAGATTCTCTTGCTGGTCTTTCTCTTGCTGACTTTGAAAAAGCAAACAGCCATGCTTAGAACTGCCTGTGAAGGGGTCCACAGGGCAAGGACCCGGGGGCAGCCTCTAGGGAGGAACTGAGTGTGGTCCCCGGCCAACAGTCAGCAAGAAAACAGAGACCTCAGTCTTGTGCTTTCTTGCTGACTGTTGGCGGGGGACCACACTAAGCTCCTAGAGTGGACTTTTCCCAGTAAACGGACTTTTCCGACTACCTAAGGGAGCTTGAATGCAATCCTTTCTTCAGTTGGGTTTCCATAAAAGACATAGCCTGGCAGGGCATGGTGGCCCACACCTGTAATCCCAACACTTTGGGAGGCTGAAGCGGATGAATTGCTTGAGTCCAGGAGTTTGAGACCAGCCTGGGCAACATTGCAAAACCCCATCTTTACAAAAAATACAAAAATTAGCCAGGCGTGGTGCCACATGCCTGTAGTCCCAGGCCTGAGTAGCTACTCAGGCAGCTAGGGCAGGAAGATCACGTGAGTTCGGGAGGTCAAGGCTGCAGTGAGCTGTAATCTTGCCACTGCACTCCAGCCTAATTGACAGATCAAGACCCTGTCTCAAAAAAAAAAAGTGTGTACATTTCCAGATATTTGACATACAGCAACAGAAGAGCAATACAATGTAAAGATATCACAGTAGAAGATAGAGGATGTATATGCCTAAGATAGTATTAGGGTGGATAGTAAGAAGGGTGGGATGGCTCAGTAGGGTTTCAGTTTACAGAAGGTTTTGAAAGACCAGAACAAAACTTTAATTTACATCTTCTGCCTTTTCTAACCATTTAAACTAGCTCAAACCATCAATGGCACTTGGTCTTCTCTGTTTAAACAACAGTGGTGATGAGTTTGAATCAAATTCCCCACTCACTCTGTTTTGACCAACAAAACACAGCGGGATGGGGATATCTGGTCTTGTATCTAACACCATTGTCTTTGAGTGGAGAAAGTACTGTACACATTTGTTTTTAGCTCTATCTTGGCTACTATTACACATAAAAGGCTTCACATAAATGCCTCCCACTCCATTATAGGCATTTGTTTCCAAAAAGATCTCATGTTCTATTTTATATTTTGGCACATCTCAAGATCTCATAGCACTATGTTAGCACCATGATTGCATTTGAATGGGAATAAGCCTAAATGCCCATCAACATGGACTAGATAAAGAAAATGTGGTACATATACACCACAGAATACTATGCAGCCATAAAAAAGAACAAGATCATGTCCTTTGCAGGAACATGAATGGAGCTGGAGGCCATTATCCTCAGCCAACTAATGCAGGAACAGAAAACCAAATATCACATGTTCCCACTTATAAGTGGGAGCTAAACTATGAGAACACATGGACACATAGAAGGGAGCAACACACACTGTGGCCTTTCAGAGAGTGGAGGGAGGGAGGAGGGAGAGGATCAGGAAAAATAACTAATGGGGACTAAGCTCAATACCCAGGTGATGAAATAATCTGTGCAACACACCCACAAGACACAAGTTTACCTATGGAACATTCACATGCACCCGTGAACTTAAAAGTTTTCAATAAAATAATTTTTTTGTTTTGTTTTATTGCCACAGCAAATTATTTGATGTTCACCATTGCTGAGTTTATTGAATGTTGTGCTTTCTCTATAGCTCTGAATTAAGTGGCTTTTTGAGGTTTCTTTTAAACAAGCTTGGTTTGACATAGAAAATGAAACCCCATAACCCTTGTGTTCTATAACATAAGGTTATTCTATTTACTCAAAAAAAAAATTCTTTGATATAAGCTCCTTGTCCATTCAGATTTGGGAATATTTGGGTGTTTTGTTTTGTTTTGTTTTGTTTTGTTTTGTTTTGTTTTTGACAGGGTTTTGCTCTGTCTCTCAGGCTGGAGTGCAGTAGCGTGATCTTGGCTCACTGCAACCTCGACCTCCTGAACTCTAGCTATCCTCCCACTTCAGCCTCCCGAGTAACTGGGACTACAAGTGTGTACCACCACACTTGGCTAATTTTTGTATTTTTCTTTAGAGACGAGGTCTCAGTATGTTGCCAAGGCTTTTCTCAAACTCCTGGGCTCAAGCAATCCTCCTGCCTGGGCCTCCCAAAGTGCTGGGATTAAAGGTGTGAGCCACCATGTTTGGCCCAGAGGTGTGATTTTTGAAGGCAGTGGATTGGCTTCATTTTAAAGAGACTAGATTGAGATTTCCAATGTATTCTGTTGGAGCCCAGATATTAGCAGGACTGACATTGGCCACCTACCATATCTTGTAGCAAGACTGAGAGAATGACTGCTTCACTTGATTTGTCTATAGATATGTATGTTGTGTGGGCCCACCCATCAACCCTGCTTGGTAATGTCTTCAGTGCCTTCCATTTGTGGCTTTTGGACCATAGCTTTTATTCAATATTTCATTTGCTACCTACCAACCCACCCCCTGATAACAAGCCTGCCGTCCAGTTTGCTCATGAAGTTGACCGCTCCAATTTTTAGTTTTATTCAGTTGCTATTGTTGGCTGTTGAACTGCTAGGTTTTATAGTAAAGATGGAAAAATTAACATCATCTTCCAATTTTGGGTTAGCAGGTCCCAAAGTTCTTATATATTTCATAACACCCAAGATCTACGTTTTGGAGATTTCAGGGGATGATAAGTCAAGGGGTCACATTGCCCTTACACACACATACACACACACACATATGCACATACACACACACATACACATATACACATACACACACACACACACACACACACACACACACACAAACACCTAGACAGACCTAGACAGATGAAGAAATGATTAATGTCTCCTCACACCAAGAATGGGAAAACTTCTGGCCAGGCACGGTGTCTCACGCTTGTAATCCCAGCACTTTGGGAGGCCGAGGCGGGCGGATCACGAGTTCAGGAGATCGAGACCATCCCGGCTATCACGGTGAAACCCCGTCTCTACTAAAATTACAAAAAATTAGCCGGGCATGGTGGCGGGCGCCACCTAGGAGGCGGAGCTTGCAGTGAGCCGAGATCGCGCCACTGCACTCCAACCTAGGCGACAGAGCGCGACTCCGTCTCAAAAAAAAAAAAAAAAAGAATGGGAAAACTTCTAGTGGAAATAACACTAATCTATGTGTCAGGAGATCCAAGTTAGTCCCGACTTAGACACTTTCTAGATATATGACCTTGAGCAAGTCAGTCATCCTTAATTATGCTAAGGTTTTACATTTGTGGAAAAAAAATTATAATATTAATATGGCCAGGCATGGTGGCTCACGCCTTTGATCCCAGCAAGTTGGGAGGCCCAGGCAAGAGGATCACTTGAGCCAGAGGTGGAGACCAGCCTGGGCAACATGGTGAGACACTGTCTCCACAAAAAATAAAAAAATAAAAAAATTAGTTGGGCCTGATGATGCACCTGTAGTTCCAGCCACTTGACGGGCTGTGGCAGGAGGATCACTTGAACCCAGGAGGTAGAGGCTGAAGACAGCTATGACTGCACCACTGCACTCCAGCCTGAGCAACAGAGCAAGACCCTGTCTCAAAAAATATATAGATAGTTAGATATGATGATGAAGAAGGAGCAAGTGGTCATGTGGACAAATTACATATCAATTAAATGGGTAAACAGATTCAACATGTCAACACATTTTGTACAATGCTAAGCCATATAAAAAATGTAAGATTGTGGCATCATTATTAAATAATGGCATTTTATTACCCATATTAAAGCTCACAAAATGTTGCCAATCTGGAGAAAAGATGTACTATGATGTGTCTGTCAGTTAAAATGTTAAGACATTGAATGAAGGGATATCTCAGTCATTCTCACAACAGAGTTTAGCCTTGTAATCTTTCCAAAGTAGAACATAATTTTCTGGTCTCATAAATTTCCCATGAAACTATTTTACTACTTTCACTGAAAAACAACATATCCTCTAAATGTATTAGCAGGATCTGTTTTGAGTCATTTATTATGCTTCAAGCTAGAAATGATGTGTAGGTTGATCATTCAAATTTCTGGCAGTCTGTTCACCAATTAAGATGCTTAACATGTAATTACTTTCTACTTTGAGTAATGAAATATTTCAATTGCACAGAGTTGAGTCAATGTAATAAGAAATTTGTTTGAATGTCATCCTTAAAACAATACATATTCTTCCAATTTTTTTTAATCTACTGAAATTTGCCTTTTTCCCCCTGCTATTCTAAGATGTTCAGTTTGCCTTTATCTGTTAGTTTTAGCTCCCTGTTTGTATTTAATATTGTTTACTGGTCTCAGCATTCTTATATTCTTGCTTAATCTTGCCAGAGTTTTCTATTTCATTGGTAATTTTTTAAAATGGCTTTTGGTTTAATTATCCACTCTATTTTTTCAAGTTTTAATTTCCTGTTACTTTTGTCTGTATATCTTTTTTTAAACTTTTATTTTAGGTTCAGGGGGTACAGATGCAGATTTGTTACATGGGTAAATCACATGTCATTAAGGTTTGGAGTACAAATGATCCCATCACCCAGGAAGTGAGCATTGTACCCAATAGGTAGTTTTTCAACACCCCCTAACCCCTCCCCCTCCAGTAGCCCCCAGTGTCTATAATTCCCATCTTTGTGTCCCTGAGTACCCAATGTTTAGCTCCCACTTGCAGGTGAGCCCATGTGGTATTTGGTTTTCTGTTCCTGTGTTATTAATTTTCTGTTTGTTGTGTTGTATTTTATTCATTTGTTTTTATTAATTTGCTTTGTTGTGATAACTTTTGTGGATTTTCTTGTTCACTGCTTTAAAAATTCTTGAGTTGAATATTTAATTCATTAACTTTCAGCAGTTCTTATTTTCTAGAATATGCATTTAAAGTTATACATTCCTTCCCACTATCAAGTTATCTATTTGGGTACAAGGTACTTTCACGTGATGCTATGCTAAACAGTTTGTCATTTTGTTTGTAGTTTTAAGTATTTAATGAGTGAATTATTTATAATTTTGATTTTACTTTCCAAATGTGTGGGTGGAAAAGGCTACTTCTTATAACTTAATTCTATTTTTGCATTTTAATTAAAGAATGCTATCTCAATCACATTTAAAATTTGTAAAAGAAAAACGCTATTTAACATAGTGTGGTAGTCACTTAAAGGATATGTGCCATATATACTTGGAAAGATATATATTCTCAATGCTTGGTAGTTTTAATTGCTCAAATCCTATACCATTTGTCTCTGTGCTTGGAAAGAACCTGATTATCTATGTGTTGATATCAGTGTTATTCTTTTTTAAAAAATCCGTTTGACATATTTCAAGAGAGCATTAAATTTTTTACACAGTTGTGATTTTTAATTTCTCTCTATAATTACGACAATTTGCTTTCTACTTTTAGGGCAATTTTGTTAGATTCATATAGGTTAAAGATTATTATATTTTCCTAGTAAATTGTTCCTTTTTTTAAGCAGTGAATCCTGTAATCCCCAATAATGATTTCTGCCTGGAAGTTGTTTTTCTAATACATTATTATGCCAGCTTTATTTGTGTTATTTTCTCTGTTTTTAATATTTATTTTCAAACTTTTATGTTTTTTATGCTTCACTTGTGTCTCCTTAAATTTTTAATTTTTTGTTCACTCTTAGAAAAAATCTGTCTCTTAAGAGGTGAGTTTAATCCATTCACATTTATTTATCTATTTATTTATTTATTTATTTATTTTTAAGGGGACATTTTAGTACCCAAAAGTTATCAAGCATAGCTCTACATTCAAGTTGGGTATGATTTTATTTTCCCAGTAATTTCCTAAATATAGCATAATATTGTCTATACGAAAAAAGAGAGCTTTTCCCCCAAGCAAAATCTTAACATTTTGCTTTTATGAGCAAAAGTCTGTATTACCTTGCTTTTTTTTTTTTTTTTTTTTTGAGACGGAGTCTTCCATTGTCGCCCAGGCTGGAGTGCAGTGGCATGATCTCAGCTCACTGCAACCTCGGCCTCCCTTGTTCAAGTGATTCTCCTGCCTCAGCCTCTCGAGTAGCTGGGATTAAGGCATGTGCCACCACATCCAGCTAATTTTTGTATTTTTAGTAGAGAAGGGGTTTCACCATGTTGGCCACGCTGGTCTTAAACTCCTGACCTCAAGCGATCCACCTGCCTCAGCCTCCCAAAGTGCTGGTATTACAGGCATGAGCCACTGCACCCAGCCTTACATATTTCTTATGTTGATTTTACATATGGTTTCCATTTTCAGGTTCCCAAAGGGACTTACTCATTTTATCTGCAAAACTTAGATGTCTGAATGTAACATGCACTAGAATGAAAAATTAATTCTATCACCTTGGAAAGAATGGGAATGGAGGAAAATGTTGACATTGACTATACCCTCACCTAGTGTTCTGATGTTTCCTGAAAGAGCACTGTGATTTGTCCACTGTTGTATCCTTGCAACTTGGCACAGGCTGGCAGGTTAAAAACGATCTACTTTCTGTAGAAGGACAAGCCTATGCTTTACATGTAAGTCATGATTACTACTATTTTATCACATCTTCAATATACATATCTCTTGAATATCAGCAGTTTATTCAGACATTTTTGCAATTTAGCATGGCTCTGGCAAACCCCCAGCTCAACAAACTACTCCAGGAGTCTAGCTAAGGATACTCTTTACTCAAGCAGCCATGCTTTTCATTTAGGCATATTTTCTGTAAGCAAGAGCAGATTAATACAGCTGATAGTTTTAAGCACCTTCAACTCACCTATTAGCAAATGATAGGCAAGATACCAATGGCTACAAGGCAAACCCAATATAAACTAAATTTGTCTATCATGGGAAAAAGTAATTTAACTAGAAAATAGTCTAAAAAGTACATCCTTTTTTTTTCATTTTTGAGACAGGGTCTCGCTGTCACCCAGGCTGGAGTGCAGTGGTGCAATCTTGACTCACTGTAGCCTCGACCTCCTGGGCTCATGTGATCCTCCCACCTCCACCTCCTAAATAGCTGAAACTACAGGTGCATGCCACCATGCACCTGCAGTTCATTTTTATATTTTTTGTATTTTTTGTAGAAACAGGGTTTGTATTTTTTGTAGAGACAGGGTTTTGCCATGTTGCCCAGGCTGGTCTTGAACTCCTAAGGTCAGGCGATCTGCCTGCCTAGGCCTCCCAAATGTTGGGACTACAGGCATTTGTCACCGAGCCAGGCAAATCCATGTAACATCCTAGTACTTACAGCCATGGAACATCCTAGTACTTACAGCCATGTAACCAAAAAGTTAAGACAAAGAAGTTTTTGTAATGTGCCCGACACACCCCAGCTAAGCAAATAGACTTTTTAATAAAATACCTACCTCTTACATTCTTAACTTTATTAGTTCACCTATGACCATGTAAGGCCCAACATGCCTATTATGAGAATAAAATCTCCAGCACAACCTAGAGTTATAGTCCAATCTTTACTTTAAAATCTGATCTGTCGGCTTAGCGTTTTCCACCAACTTGGGGAGCTGAAACTTCCACAGGCTTTGCAATTGTCTGCCTAGGTGCTGCCTTTGGCAAAAACGCAATTACTTTTGCACCAACCTAATAGGTGTCTTAGCAGCAGCCATTGCGGTCTTTTTAGCTGCTTGCTTAGCCTTTTTTGCTTCTTTATGAGCCCTGATAGCTTGTTCTCATTGAGCCTTTCTAATGTCAAGTTTCTCATTCCTCTTGGCCATTATGTCAATGAGAGATTGCACCATTAAGGGCCCTCTGCAATTTGCTCAGCAGCTTCTTTTCTGTTGAATTTCTTCCAATTGTCCTTTTTTGTGCTTCCTTCTGTAGAGGACAGTCCAGTTTACCTGCCAAGGATTCCTCTTGGCAAGGAACGCCAACTCGCATTTTGCATTAAGACACTGGAAAACCTTCTCGTCATTGGTCCTGGCATAGCACCTCCCGTGTCCGGGGTAGATCTTGTACCCTCTGAAACTGCAAACCTCGACATTCATGGCAGCAGCTCCACGGGAGGAGAAAAGATGGCAAAGAGAACTCCATTTATTCTTATATCTGATATATCGGATCTTATTTTCTCCTGCTTATTTTGTGTTTTCCATTTACCAAACGCTCTTCATTTTCTTCTTTGCTGCCTACTCTTGAATTGATTGAGTTAAAATCTATTTCTATATTCCCCCTCTCCTTATATGAAAGTTACACGCTCTATTTTATTTCACTCTTTTCCCTTAAAAACGTGAGTGTGCATTATTAAAGGGCTAGAGTTAAGTGATACTTTAGTGATACATCTCTATGGCTCTCAGTTAAAGTGCTTCTGTTTGACAATCCCTACTATCTGTTCCTGGATTTAAATACTTTATATAATGAATAATGGAAGCACACCATTAAAAAAGCTATACTGTGCTTTGTTTGTTAATTTCCAAGTTAATCCAATAGTTTAATTTTTTGGTATCATCATAATCAATATGAAAGCCTAAAAATCTAGCTATAAGGTCTTTTCTAGAGAGATTTCAACACTACTCTTAGATTGTTTATTTTTTTAGATGAAATATAATATACTTTTAGAGAGCTCAACAATAGTATGTTTTACTATTTGTGGTTCATTGCAAACTGGCCACCTGCCATAGCCCCTCCCTGTCCACACCCTATGTAAGACGACTTTGTCACTCCTCCCATTAACAAGTGAAGTGCACTAGCCCTCCCCATGAATCTGCATTGTCTTTCTTTAGTCAACAGCATGCAGTGGAAGGGATAGCATGATAGTTTTAAACCTGGGCTTCACAAGGTCTTTCATGTTTCAGCTCTTGGACCTCAGCCCAAGTCCCATGTATACAAATCAGAGCCAAACTACTGGAGTTCATTCAAATCACTAGGAGATGAAATGAGTTGTCACCTTGCCTGAGTCTGTCCTAGACCCTCCAGCCCCCAGCCAACCTGTGAACTGACCACAGATACATGAGGGAGCCCAGGCAAGAAAAGAAGAGCCACCCAGCTGAGCCCAGTCCAAATTACAAAACCAGAGACACTCTTGTGCCAAACAATGAGTATTTGTTTTTTTTAGCCACTAAGTTTCGGGGCAGTGTGTCACGTCCTCATGCTTGCTTGCTTTCATCATTGTGGCCTGAATTTTAAAAATTCATAAATGTGAAATAATCCCCATATCTCTTCCATTTAAATAACAAAAGATACACATGTAGAAAATCACACTTCTCTGTATTAGAAATTGCAATGCATTTCTCCATAATGAAGTATTATCCTAGAAAGTTGACAAAGCCCTCATCCATCCCATCTCAATTACAAATTTGTCCCCTTTCCTTCAAATAAATTGTTTTGGACCATAAAAATGGAAACTGCATTCTGCAAATGTATTTTGAATCATACTATGTTCATAGCCAGTTTTTGAGAGTCTAGCTGAGAAATTTTGTGACATTGCAAATCAATATCAAAAAAGGTCCAGAAATAAATTCTATGACTCTGAATTATGAAAGATGATCTGATTATTACTATAAGTTGAAAAACAGATGGAAAAGAAATGTAAAAGACCCCAAAGTGATACATCATTGGTTTCATAGGAAAAAAAAAAATATATATATATATATATTCTCAGTGTTTTGGTGTTTCAATTTTTTTGGTTGGGTTTGGGGTTTTTTTGTTTTGTTTGTTTGTTTGTTTAGATAGAGTCTTGTTCTGTTGCCCAGGCTGGAGTGCAGTAGTGTGATCTCAGTTCACTGCAATCTCTGCCTCCTGGGTTCAAATGATTCTCCTGCCTCAGCCTCCCGAGTAGCTAGGATTACAGGTGTCTGCCACCACCTCCAGCTAATTTTTGTATTTTTAGTAGAGATGGGGTTTTACCATGTTGGTCAGGCTGGTCTTGAACTTCTGACCTCAAATGATCCTTCAGCCTCGGCCTCCCAAAATGCTGGGATTACAGGCATGAGCCACATTGTATGGATTTCAAATTTCCAGAAATTTACAATGTAGAACAATTGTTATCTATGTAACCACCTCTGATTTTTTTTTCCCTGCTTACAGCATGTTTTTAAACAAAATGTACCTTACATCATTAATTTCAATGTATTTAAAGAGCTTAATGAAGTGGCATGTGAACACCACATTTCAAATCTGAACTTGGGCTGACAGGGTCTAGACCCACTCAATTTCATAATTTCCACTTCCTAAGAAATTGTCCTGTCCCCACTCTTTCTATAAGCACTTGCACACACAATTCCAGCAGCCGCATTAAAATATTACAACCTCATGTTTCCTTCAGAAAAGAGAATTGGCTTTAGTTTTGATGTCTTTTAAAACACCATCGTTTTGGCTGTTCTGTAAGTATATTTATCATTTAAGCAATGAAATTTCCATCTCAGGAAAAGAAAGTGTCTATATTTTTTTCTGTCTCTCTGACTCATAGTTTCTCATGCTGAACTCTTTATGAACCAGAAAAGGGGACGCATGGCCAGTGTCTTTCCATGAAACATTCTCTGCTGATAGATGTTATTGCCAAGGCAGCTTTCAGAAGGCTAGGACTCATTGTCAATGCCAAGTGTGCAGTCATCCATCATTTGGAACCATTTCTACCTTGCTAGCACACCCGCTTCTCTTTGGGGAAGTTCTATTGTTGGTAGAATGAGAAAACCCTCTTTGTTCTCCTGAAAAACTGGGATGTTTTTCAGAAAGGCCCAGGCGGGCTGGGCATGGTGGCTCATGCCTGGTATCCCAGCACTTTGGGAGGCTGAGGCAGGAGGATCACTTGAGCCCGGAAGTTCAAGAGCAGCCTGGGTAACATAGCAAGACTCTATCTCTACAAAAAAAAAAAAAAAAAATTAAATTAGCCGGGTGTGGTGGTGCATGCCTGTGGTCACAGCTACTTGAGAGGCTAAGGCAGAAGGATCAATTCAGCCCAGAAGGTTGAGGCTGCAGTGAGCCATACTCATGCCACTGCATTCAAGCCTGGGTGACAAAGAGAGGACCTGTCTCAAAAAAAAAAAAAAAAAAATTGCTCAGGTGCATTGATGTTTAATAATGGAAGAAAAAGATTAACTCTTTTTTGTTTTGTTTTGTTTTGAGACAGAGTCTCGCTCTGTCGCCCAGGCTGGAGTGCAGTGGCGCAATCTCGGCTCACTGCAAGCTCCGCCTCCCGGGTTCACGCCATTCTCCTGACTCAGCCTCCCGAGTAGCTGGGACTACAGGCGCCCGCCACCACGCTGGCTAATTTTTTGTATTTTTAGTAGAGATGGGGTTTCACCATGTTAGCCAGGATGATCTCCATCTCCTGACCTCGTGATCCACCCACCTCGGCCTCCCAAAGTGCTGGGATTACAGGCGTGAGCCCCTGCGCCCGGCCATTAACTCTTAAAAGATTAAGCATATGTGGATTTTAAGTTTGCTGTGAGAAATAATTTACAACGTTAGACTTTCTCCCTTTAACAATAAATCATGTGTTAACTGCTCAAATTACGGTTTTTGACTTCTTTTCATGTCAAGATTAAACACCAATGAATAAATACATTTGTTTCTCATAGCAAATAGTTGGAGTCTAATTATTGCCATATATTGTTATATGTCTGGTAAAGTATTCTGAGGGACAAACAGAAGAATCAGGTAATCAAAAGGCGAAATGATATGTTAATTTTTTTAATACATGGCTCTGGAATAAGGGAAAACAGAACTTTAAAATGAAGAAGGATTCCTCCCTGAAGGAACTCTGGCTCTAACTTCTTCCAGGCAGGGCAAGGTGGCTCACGCCTGTAATCCCAGCACTGGGAGGCTGAGGTTGGAGAAGCACTTAAGCCTGGGAGTTTGAGACCAGTCTGGACAACATAGAAAGACCCCACCTCTACAAAAAATAAAATAAAATAAAATAAGATAAAATAAAATAAATTAGCCAGGCATGGTAGCACAGTCTGCAGGCCCAGCTACTCAGGAGGCTAAGGCAGGAGGATCATTTGAGCCCAGGAGGTGGAGGCTGCAGTGAGCTGTGATTGCCCTGCTGCTCTCCAGCCTGAGCAACAGAGCAAGACCCTGTCTAAAAAAAGACAAAAAAACTTCTCCCTCATAAGGGGCACATCTTTAAAGGTCAATATAGTGCAAGTATTTAACAAGTTGTTCTCAAGAAGTAGGAAAATGAGAAAATATCAAGGCCTTCTATTCATGCACTCTATCTAAATTTCTTTGAATGTCTTTTAAATTCAAAGAGAAAAATTATTGATCTATGAGTATACACTCATTCTATTTGGCAAAACAACCAAAATATTGTTGCAGATAATATTGTATTGCCTAGTTATGCTTCTCACCCAGTTATTTATGTACTACAGATATACAGTTGCTCAAATTTGTGGAATGAGAAAGCAAGCCATGTGTACAGGCTAAAAAATGAAAATTTAATCATCAATTAAACATTCATAATTGGCTTTTTTCACTTAGTGACTTTTGATACTTTATAGATACAGCTTAATTTTGTCTTGTGTTGACTTCTTGTGCTATTTTCTCTGTAGAAAGTTTATGTGATCCCTTGAACCTGAGTTATTATTTATTTATAAGTATATAACTTTATCTTCCCCAGGAGATCACCAATTCCAAAGGGCGTTCATGTTATTTTCATAATAAAGAAAAAATAAAAATATTCTTAAAACTTTTGAATTTTTAGGGGGCCAGAAAAAAGTTATACTACCTAGCTTAGACCTATGATCAACATATTTGTACATAAAAAAAGCAAGTCATTAATTCAGAATAATTCAAGCAAATTCAATACATAAAATACTTTTGGGCAATGAAAATAAAGAATGCTTTATTTATCCCCAAATAAAAACCAACGACAAACACAAAGGCATCTGATTCTCCAGCATATTTTTATTGAAGGATTGAGTAAAGAAAATGAAGTGTCTTCATTTGCCATTTGGTAGTATGAGATGAAAAAAAGAATGCAGAAATATATTCGTTTAAACTTCCTTTTTTTGAGACAGGGTCTTGTTCTATTGCTCTGTCTGGGGGGCAGTGGTACGATCATGGCTCACTTCAGCCTCAACCTCCTGGACTCAAGCAATCCTCCCATCTCAGCCTCCATGTAGTTGTAGCTGAGACTACAGGTGTGCACCACCACATGCAGCTAATTTTTTAAATGTTTTTTGTAGAGACAGGATCTCCCTATATTGCCCAGGCTGGTCTCGAGCTCCTGGGCTCAAGTCATCCTGCTGCTTCAGCCTCCCAGAGTGCTGGGATTAAGGGTGTGAGCCACTGCACCTGGCCCCAAAACTTTCATTTTAAAGACCTGTGTTTTCTGCACATAGAGCCGCAGAAACTATTAGTACTGGGGAGTACCAAGCATGATATTTAAGGGCAACACTGACTATTCTAAAATGCACGTGTTTTATTTAAGTCTGTGAAAGTACACAGATAAAGAATCTTACTCTTTCAAAGTAATCTCCTTAGAGCTATCCGTATACTCATAGGTGCTCTTCTTGATCGAACACAATTGTGACTTCTGGAAACACTTTCAGAACCTAGAGTGTGTTCTTTCATGCCTGAGCTTCTTTCCACGAGACTGTTGCTTCACTAAATGCATTACTGAACATCTCCACAGATACAAATCGTCACCCTTTCCAAACTGATTTGGATTTTGGCAACATTTTGAGTGAGTTTTGTTTGTTTGTTTTGTTTGGTTTTTTAGGTATGGGGTCTCACACTGTCACCCAGGCTGGAGTGCAGCAGTGCAATCTTAGCTCACTGCAGCCCTGGACTACCAGGCTCAAGGGATCCTCCCACCTCAGCCTCCTGAGTAGCTGGGACTACAGGCACACACCACCATATCTGGCTAATTTTTAAAAATTTTTTTGTAGAGATAGGATCTCACTATGTGGCCCAGGCTGGTCTTGAGCTCCTGGCCTAAAGCCATCCTCCTGCCTCAGCCTCCCCAAGTGCTGGGAGTACAGGCATGAGTCACCATGCCTGGACATGAGTGGCTGTTATACAAGATACAGTAAGTAAGATTTATGATGCTGTTAGGGAATTGAAAAATGATTTTCAAAAGATAATTTTTAACCAATGGATCAGAAAGAATAAGAAAATGAAGCTTTGACATTGTCCTTTTATATTCTTCCTCATAGCAACAAAAACTTCAGTTGACCATTTTCAAACTCCATCTGCATACTCTAAAAAGATATTCTCAAAGGGCAATTGAAAGGGTCAGTTGAATGACTTATATTTACACTTCACTAATCGATTGTTTGAGAAGACACTTGGCTAGGGCCAGCCAGGAAAGAAGAAATAGAGAAGACACTTAACCAGTTAACCCAATTGACAGGTGGCTTTGGGATGGTATACGGAGAGCCTTCTGTGTTTTAGAAAATTTGAGTTGTTCCAAGAACAGAATAACAGCTGATCTCTCAAATGATAAATGTGGATCCCCTGGCTAATGGCAGAGGAGTGATTTGCCCATTAAATTGCTGAGGGCTATTGTTTGATTTAATACTGGCCAGGCAGAAAGAGGAAGTTTTCCTTGGAGTGGAGCAGGTCACTCCGTCTAAGGCTTGAAATCATTGGCTGTTGTTGCTGGTCAAAAAGCATAGGCCAAGCCGGGCAGTGGCTCACGCCTATAATCCCAGTAGTTTGGGAGGCTGAGGCAGGTGGATCACCTGAAGTCAGGAGTTTGAGACCAGTCTGGTCAACATGGTGAAACCCCATCTCTACTAAAAATACAAAACTAGCCAGGTATGGTGGCTCATGCCTGTAGTCCCAGCTATTCTGGAGACTGAGGCAGGAGGATTGCTTGAACCCAGGAAGTAGAGGTTGCAGTGAGCCGAGATCGTGCCATTGCACTCCAGCCTGGGCAACAGAATGAGACTTCATATCCAACAAAAATAATAATAATAAAATAAAATAAATAAATTAAATCTATAAGAATAAAAAAATTGAAAAAGAAAATGTGGTATATCTACACAGTGGACTACTATTCAGCCATAAAAATAAATGAAACCATGACTTTTGCAATAACATGGATGGAACTGAAGGCTATTATCTTAAGTAAAATAACTTAGAAAGTGAAATGCCAGACGTGCTCATTTGTAAGTGGGAGCTAAAGAATGCGCACTCATGGATATAGAGAGTGGAAAAACAGACATTGGAGACTCCAAAGGGTGGGAGAGTGGGAGGGGGTGAGGGATGAGAATTTCTGTCATGAGTACAATGTGCATTATTCAGGTGATGAATACATTGAAAGCCCAGAAGGCAGTAGGTAATATATCTATAACAAAATTGCACCTGTACCTCTTAAACTTATACAAATTATTAAAAAGCATAATGATATATCTCTTGACCACTTAAGGAAGCAGAAATGTTAAAAAGTAACTGTACGAGTTATAAATTGCTTTGTCATAACATCCACAAACTTGAACACACCCACTTATTGAGAGACTGAATAAACAGTGGCCAGACTATCTATAAAACAATGCTTAACCTCAATAATAATGAGAGAAATGCAAATTTCTTAAAAAATTGCTTGCCAACAGATGGCAAAAATTAATAGTCTGGCTGCACCAAGTATTGGTATGAATAGAAAGCAGTCAAGTTCTCATATACATTTTTTTGGTGAGAATAAAATAGTCCCGCAACCACCTTGGAATCAGTGAGAATTTTCTAGTAAACTTGAACATGCTCATTCTCTAGGGCCTTGCAATTAAAAAAAAAATGCCAAAGCCCATGAGCAAATATTCATACCCACGTTGTCCACGACCAGAGAATACTGAAAACAACCTATGCACTCATCAACATTGGACTCGATGAATAAAATAGGGTAGATTCACACAATAAAACTGCAGTGAATATGAATAAACTCCGTGTACATGTATCGACATGAATGCATTTCAAAATCATAATAGTGAGAGAACCAAGTCAGACAAAACTATATGCCCTATGATACCATTTATGTGAAGTTCAAAAACAGGCAAAACTAAACAATGTATTGTTGAGGGATATTTACATAGACAATAAAACAATACAAAAGATAGAATGACTGGACATCTCATTATTGGGTTGGCGTTTTTTGTTTTGTTTTTCAACCTGGGTAATGGATATTAATTTTATAAATTATTCTTTAAACTCAATCCATTATATGTTTTATGCATGCTTCCCTATGTGTATGTACAAAGACAGACAAGGGGTGGGGGAGAGAGAGAGAGAGGAAGGCGTGGAGGGAGCAAGGAGGGGAGGGAGGGAGGAAGGAATGAAAAGGAGAGAGTGCAATAAGCAAAATCATGAAGGAGAGAGTATTGGAAATACCGAAGAAATAAATAACATGTAAAAAATAAAGAAAACGCGTGACTCCATTTCACAGGTCCTTTTATTTCTATGGGCTTTCTGGGTATTGCATGCAAATCTCCATGGTCTGCAAGCAATCACACATCACATGTGTGCTTTACACACATCACCATTCAGCCATTGCTGACTTTTCATTGGTCTGTCTGCCTGCTGTGTTCTTTAGTTTCGAAATCTCGTAATGGAAGACTCTATTCAATTTTGCATCCTCGGCACCTCGCATGGTGCCTGGCAAACAGAAGAATAAATATAATTAAATTTAAAAATGCATAAAAACGTTAAAAATGGACCAAAATAATGGGAGGAAATGTTGCCTTATTTTTAAACTCTAAATTAGTCCATGGGGAGTGTCCCACCCCACACCACCCACCGCACTCCCCACACACACTTATAATAGCCTCTCTTCAAGACACAATCTTAATTTGCACATAACCAAACTAAAAGAAAACACAACTCTGAAAACGTGAAAAAACTATGCCCCCTCTTCTAGGTCTTATTATGTTCTTTTCAATGTTCAAACACAAATTGATTTGGCAACCCACGTTTTCTTAAAATTCCTAAGGGCATTTATTTAACCAAACCACAATAGCATGCCACTTGCATATATTTGTATATTTGGATTCAGATAATGTTTTCCATTTACTTTTAAATGATCCCATATAATGTGCATTATTCAACTGTACCCCCACTGAATATAAATAATTTAATGTTCACATTTCCAATGCTTGCCAGCGGAAGCAATTTTTTCCCTCAAAATGTGTAAGACAGAGTAGGTTCTCATGCTTAATGCAAACAAAAATGGCCTGAAACTATTTATTTTTCATTTTAGAAATATTATTGCAACATAGACAGAACATAAACTCAGTACTTAACAGAAAATTAATATAATTTTAATGTCCTGTTATGATGATTTCTATTCTCCATTGCTTTTGCACTTACGAAGAGTTTGGAATAGACTTTCCATAAAATGTAAGTTCTCAATTTGATCCTAAAAACTATTCAAAGAATCGACCAGCATTATATAATAGCACAGATGTGACAGTCCAATTTTTTAAAGTTACAAAAAGAGACCAGAAATCACTGAAAAGAGGCAAAAATAATACTATTTTAGTTTTAAATCGCTGATTTTTCTTTTTTTCTTTTTTGATTTAGACAAAGGTTCCCATTCCATAAATAGTTGATTTTTACTACAATTCAGGAAGAAAGCTAGTTCTAAAATTCCTGATACTTAAAATAGCTACATTTTATGCTTAAACGTTAACATACATTACTAAAAGTTACAAAGAGCTGGTTAACATATGAAATTCACAAATATAACCTTTCTGATTTTCTCCTTCTTTATCAAGAAATCCTCTTATGTCACCAAGTCAGCCCCATTGCTAAATGGAAACAGTGTAAGTATTTTTACATCTTCACCCACTATTCCTAGCTGACTCAAGACCTTGTTACTAAAATGCTTATTTAAGAGAAATATTTCTGGTTAGAAATGGTGTAATAAAGTCCATCTTGAACTCTCGTCTACTTGGAAATCATTTCAAAAAACACAATAAAGGTGAAAAACAGAAACACTGCTTTCCTTTTTATGAGAATAAGAGATAGAAGATATTCAGAATCACAAGCAGTAGAAGCCACACAAGGCTGTGGAAAAAGACAGAGAAAATAACCCTGGCTGCAAATTCTAATATCCAGGAAAAATCAGTTCTCCATGTAAGGAGAAACCAGAAGTCCAAGACAAATATTTCTTGTTGGCAATAATGAGGAAAGTGTGCTATGGACTCATGGTAAGAGCTCCTCTGCAACCAGTCTAAATTCAACATTTAGAGAAAATGGTGTTGAATGAGAAATCACAGAGACAGCCATATTTGTAGGAAGCACCTCATGACTGAGGCAGACCAAGGATGAAACACGAATGCAGGGTGCAGCTGCCTAGCTTTTTGGGTAAAACAAAAAGGTTAAAGATAGTACTGGGAATCCTATTCAGTGGAAGGAAGGAAGGAAGGAAGGAAGGAAGGAAAGAAAGAAAGAAAGAAAGAAAGAAAGAAAGAAAGAAAGAAAGAAAGAAAGAAAGAAAGAAAGAAAGAAGAGAGGGAGGGAAGGAAAGGCATATATTGGAATGAAGTAAAATAGTTTTTATTCATAATGACATGATCTTGCATGTAGAAAATTCTCTAGCATCTGCAGAAAAGCTACCAGAATAATAAATGGATTTAGAAGGTCACAGAATACATGGCTAATTTTAAAAATTAAATTAGGCTGGGCGCGATGGCTCAAGCCTGTAATCCCAGCACTTTGGGAGGCCGAGGCGGGCAGATAATGAGGTCAGGAGATCAAGACCATCCTGGCTAACACGGTGAAACCCCATCTCTACTGAAAATACAAAAAAATTAGCCGGGCATGGTGGTGGGCACCTGTAGTCCCAGCTACTCAGGATGCCGAGGCAGGAGAATGGCGTGAACCCGGGAAGCAGAGCTTGCAGTGAGCCGAGATTGCACCACTGCACTCCAGCCTGGGCAACAGAGCAAGACTCCATCTCAAAAAAAAAAAAAAAAATTAAATTATACCAGTAACAAAAAGTTGGAAAACAAATTATTTTAAATGTCATTTACAATAGAAAGTAGTACTGAGAGACAGATTTAGCAAATTTATGCAACACCTGAACACTGAAAGTTTTTAAATATATATGTTGATGAGAGAAATTTATGAAGACCAATACATAGAGAGATATATCATCTCTATTATTTGAAAGTATTGGCATTGTTAAGCTGATAATTTCCTCTTACTTGATCTACTGATTCAATGAAATGTCAATCAATGTTTCATTAGGATTTTTTTTATATTGACAAGCTAACTCCAAAATTTACCTGCAAATGCCAAGGACCTAGAATAGCAAAGTAATTTAGATAAAGAACAACAAAATTAGAGCACATATGCTTCTTAAGTTCAAGATTTACTAGAAGGCAACAGTATCAATGTCATGTGTCACAGGCAGTAGGACAGACAGGGAAAACAATGATATAAGATAGAACCACATATCCATGGTCAATTGACTCAATGTGGAAATAATAAGCTTTTCAAGAAATGGTGTAAGAATAACTGAGTATTCTTCTAGGAATTTTTAAAAAACCCTTTTTTCATACTATTTAGAAGGTTTTATCAAAATGTATCATAGACGTAAATGAAAAAGCTGAACTATTAAGCATCTAGGTGAAAACACATGAACAACTCTTCTTGAACTTGGTATAGAAAAGATTTTTTAGGGCTGAGCATGGTGGCTCATGCTTGTAATCCCAGCAATCTGGGAGGCCGAGGCAGGCAGATTACTTGAGGTCAGGAGTTTGAGAACAGCCTGGCCAACAATGATGAAACCCCATCTCTACAAAAAAATGCAAAAAAAAAAAAAAAAAAAAATTAGCCTGGCTTGGTGGCGTGCACCTGTAATCCCAGCTCCTTGGGAGACTGAGGCAGGAGAATTGCTTGAATCCAGGAGGTGGAGGTTGCAAAAAAAAAAGAAAAGAAAAGAAAAGAAAAGAAAAGGTTGTTTAGATAGGACACTAAAAGCATGAATCATAATATTTTTAAAAATGGATGAAGTGGACTTTATCAAAATTCAAAATTATCTTTAAACAACATCATTAATAAAAGAAAAGATAAGCTGCATACTGGGAAAAAACATTACATAAAATATATTTATTATATATTCAGAATATATAAACAACTCAATTACAAAAGACAAGCAACTCAACAGACTACTGACAAAATATATGAACAAATACTTCACAGAAAAATAATACACACACACACACTCTCACACACACGGAGCCAATAGGTATATAAACAAAGATACCATCATTATTAGTGATCAGAGCACTGCAAATTAAAGACACAATGAGATATCCCTACATGACCACGAGCATAAATAACATTTTCAAGCTTGACAATAACAAGCACTAAATATAAAGCAACTACAACCCTCCTACATTCACAGTGCAAAGTGAAACGACAACTTTTGAAAAACAGTGCAGCATATGAACCTAAACATGTAACCAAGAAAAAAAAATAGAAATAGCCTATAGACAAAGACGTGTCCACTGATACCATGCATTTTTATTCATAATAGCTCAGACAGGTAAATACCTCCATTGTAAAAATAAATAAATAAATAAGCTATTCCACTGGGATTATGAAATTTTTTAAAAATTTGCACAGTCTCATTATCCCTGTGTATTTAATTTTCTCCTCTGGGAGCCTGCAGCATTTACCTTGGAAGTGCCCCAAGCAGGTGACTGAGCCAGTTTCACTCACCTTTGGTTGACCTCACCTGGAAATAATGGGGAAATTGTATTTTTCTCACATTCTAAGCACACCTGGTTGACCTATGATGCAATAATAATTACATAGTTGGGTTCTCTGCACCAGATAGCTCCTTCCATTGCAAAAACATTGCCATTCATGCATTTTCACCCCCCAGCTAAACCTCACATGAAGGTCTAAGAAAGAACAGTAGATTGTGTCAAAAATCATTGATTTCTGAGTTGCTGTTTTTTTTAAAAAATGCTAGTGTTTGGTGCCATCTAGTGGGTTCAATTTGCTATTTAAGCCACACAAGAAAATCACCATAACAGAGGGAAGAGAGAGGATCCTTTTAAAATAAATGAAATCAAGAATTGCTTTTCAAAAATAAGTGTGGGCCGGGCGTGGTGGCTCATGCCTGTAATCTTAGCACTTTGGGAGGCCGAGGCGGGTGGGTCACTTCAGGTCAGGAGTTCAAGAACAGCCTGGCCAACATGGTAAAACCCCGTATCTACTGAAAATACAAAAATTAGCCGGGATGTTGGCGGGCGCCTGTAGTCCCAGCTACTCAGGAGGCTGAGGCACAAGAATCGCTTGAACCCGGGAGGCGGAGGTTGGAGGGAGCCGAGATCACGCCACTGCACCCCAGCCTGGATAAGAGAGCGACACTCTGTCTCAAAAAAATAAAAAACAAAAAACAAACAAAACAAAAAGTGTGGACTAGGGCTCAAAATTCTGATGCCTTTTTTTTTTTAATAATTAAAATTAACTTTTGCTTGATGAATATGGGGGTGATATTCTTTTTTGAGGGTGATAAAAATGTTCAGGGAGATGGAGATGATGGTTGTACAATATTATGCATGCTGTGTACTAAATGCCACCGAATTCTATGCTTTGAAATAGTTAAATATATGTTAGAATAATAACATTCTAAGAAAACATGAATTTAAAATGGGAGGCATGGTAGATAACATGACTGCCCACACATAATCTTTAAATCTGCCCAATATGGTCCAACATTGTTTCTTCAGGTGGCTATACTTTATTTTACCTTGTATTTTATCTACTATGTCACTTTTTTCCCCACTTTCTCACCTCAGCTATTCAAACAGCTCCCCCCCTGCCCAGCCTTCTAGCACTCAATCCTGTCTCCCGGGATAAACGGCATCCCTCCCAAGCCATCCAAGACATGGTTTCACTGCACTTCTGAATGTTCCTGGGTTTTCCCCAACTTTTCCCAATGGAAAAGCCCTGTAAGGGTCTCTATGGAAGTTTAGTAGGGTTAGGGGCTAGCACCAGCTGTCCCCACTGTTGTAAGCCCTCTCATCCCTCTGGGTGGCAATTGGGGGGGTGGGTGATGGTCTGTGGACCAGCTATGGGGAGCTACCCCTGGAGTGCAGAACCTACGGATGCAGAGAAGAGGTACCTCCTTCTTGTACAGAACGGGTGTGCAGGGATGCCTGAAATGGGGGAGGGCAGAGTGCCCGGAAGGAAAGCCAGCACTCTTATGGGGTACACTGTAGGGATGGCAGGGAAGGAGGTGGGAAAGATGATTTCAGCAGGGGACAGGAGTTAGTGGGGGAGGCTTGCACCCTTCCACGCTTTTGAGAGTGCACTCACACAGGCACATGCACTCACTCCCATGCACACACTCCCACTCATTCATGTACACACACTTGCATTCTCATGCCCTTTACACTTGCCCTTGCACACTAGCACACTCAGGTCCACACCCAATACACATACACAGTCATATACTGAAAAACACAGCCACACTCACACTCATGCATCACAACCCTACACTTACACCATCACACGCACCCTCATACACTTACATGTATGCACCCACATACACATGCATACTTTCACATGCTGTCATTCATAAACACTGACACGCAGCCACACAATGTCACAGTACACACACACTGTCACACTACACACACACTTTTACATGCTCTCACACTCATACCCACTGGCACACACTCATAAACACACCCACAAGCAGTCACACTAACTCACACGCTCACCCTCCCACACACATGCACTGCACACTCACATACTGACATACTACATGCCTTCATAGTTTACACACACACTTCCATGCACATTCACTCCATACCTTTTTGCACACTCATACACTCATTCACACTTCCATCATCACAACACTGACACACTTCTGCCTGTCCTCACACACCTACACACTTGCCACACACACACTGACAGTGTTCCATGCACACTCACACATCCTGCGCATTCAGTCACTAACTTGCCCTCATGACCACACACACACACACACACTCAGGCTTTCAAATGCACTCATCCACAGACACATATTCTCATATGCATACATACTTGCACACACACCCTCACACGCTTGTTCACACTCCCTTACATGCAGTCACACTAGCCATCACACTCACATGTGCTCACACACATACACACTCACACCCCCTTTGCACACACACTCCCCCCACCCGCTCACCCCAAGCCCACCTGACAGGTGACACACTTTACCTGTGCGACTGGGATGGCTGGTCCTCTGCCTGGGCTTTGAGGTTCCTTGGGGGCAGCGGCTTATGCTGGTTTTCCCACTGCGGTGTCTTCTGTGGCTTCAGCGTTGCCTAGTGCAGGCTGCCATTCAACAAACGCATTGTCAACAGTCAACCAAAAGAAACCCATTGGCCACCATGCCCTGAGGACTAACCCTGACACAAATGCCCTTCCAGATGCCCTCAATAGTCTGTTTCCATCACCCCAGCCTCGGAAGAGAAGCACTGCTGCCTATGCACTCCATTTACAGGTGAGACTGGGAGAGGTTTAGGGAGTGGCCAAGTCCCCTGCCTACACAGCTGTCTCCCAATCTATCTTCTCATCCTCCCCCTTCTCAGGCTAAAATCACACTCAGTGTTTCTGTGGGATCATCTGATCTGGACATTGTCAGAAAAAATTGTACCAGACAAGTTAAACCTTCAAGGAAGGACTCAGTCAGGACTACTGCAATACGGAAGAGAGAAGGAGCTTAACTTTGTTGAAACAAAAGGCTGGAGAGTTTTTAAGTGCCGGGGTGAGATGCTGAGAAGGAACTGGAGACATCAGGAAGAGGTTAGGAAATGCTGTAAAGCTATCTGCGTTGGCTCATTGGAATTTTTCAAAACTAGGAATCTGCCCTTCTACAAAAACTGAGACACAGATGTATCATCTCCTTCAATAATTGCATTTTAAAGGGATGGCTCTGAAGTCTTGAGAAAGGCATTCCTGGGTTGCAAAACTAGGAAGAGGCTAGAAGAAAATTTGGGAGAAGATTTGCATCTCAAAGAGATAGAGAAAGAACTCACAATTGCAAGTTTCCTAAAATAAATCCTCCGTGAAAAAAGGAGGCCTGATGGATGGAACTGGAGGTCATTATGTTAAGTGAAATAAGCCAGGCACAGAAGAAAAATACTGCATGTTCTCACTCACATGTGGGAGCTTAAAACCTGGATCTCATGGAGATAGAGAGTAGATTGGTGGCTACCAGAGGCTGGGAAGGGAGCAGAGAAGGGAGATAAAAATAGTTTGATTAATGGATGCAAATATCTTAGGTTTTTTTGGTTTTTTGTTTTGTTTTTTTGGAGACAGGATTCTGCTCTGTTGCCAGACTGAAGTACAGTGGTGCAATCATAGCTCACGGTAACCTTGAACTCCTGGGCTCAAGCAATCCTCCTACCTCAGCCTCCCCAGTAGCTAGGACTACAGGTGCATGCCACCATGCCAGGCTGGCTTTTGTGTTTTTTTTTGTAGAGACAGGGTCTCACTAGGTTGCCCAGGCAGGTCTCGAGCTCCTGAGCTCAAGAAATCCTCCCACTTTGCAAATATACACTTCGATAAGAGAAAAAAGACATAGTGTTCAATAGATCAGCAAGTGACTGTAGTTTACAATAATCTATTGTACATGTCTTTTCTTCTTCTTTTTTTTTTTTTATTTTTTTTTTTTGAGACAGAGTCTCGCTCAGTCACCCAGGCTGGAGTGCAGTGGCATGATCTCCACTCACTGCAGCCTTGACTTCCCAGGCTCCAGAGATCCACCCACCTTAGCCTCTTGAGTATGGGACTACAGGTACACAACACAACACCTGGCTAATTTTTGTATTTTTTGTAGAGACAGGGTTTCGCCATGTTGGCCAGGCTAGTCTCAAACTCCTGGACTCAAGTGATCCACCCACCTTGTAGCAGGATGAGCCGCAGACAAAACCTCTCAGACCCCGAGTTGTAGAAGGAAGGGCTTTATTCAGCTGGGAGCATCGGCAAGCTACTGCCTTAAAATCCGAGCTCCCCGAGTGCACAATTTCTGTCCCTTTTAAGGGTTCACAACATTAAAGATTTCACATGAAAGGGTCGTGATTGATTTGAGCAAGCAGGGGGTACGTGACAGGGGCTGTATGCACCGGTGGTCAGAGAGAAACAGAACAGGGCAGGGAGTTTCACAGTGTTCTTCTATACAATGTCTGGAATCTATGAATAACACCGGTTTCTAAGTCATGAGTTGATTTTTAACTACTGGGTGTAGGCCAGGCAGGCCCAGGCCTGGTTTCAGGCCTGGCACCGAGCTGCCTGTCTTTGGTTTTACTTCCTTGCTGTTTTTGCTTAAAACAGGTACTGAGTATAAAACAATATAAAATAATATGAGAGGGTCTTTCTCTTCCTTCAACCTCGGCCTCCCAAAGTGCTGGGATTACAGGCCTGAGCCACCGCACCCAGCTATCTTGGTGTTTTTAACCTTAATAACGACAAAGTGCATCCTCGATATGGTCTCATCCCCCTTGCTGTAAGCACGTTAAAATGCTGTTATGACGTGCATTCAAGCGATCAAATGGTGCTAACATCAATGCCTTTGCCTGCAGAATTAATTCAGGGGTTTATTTGAAACTCAATAAAAAAGGCCTAATGTGCAACATTCGGCAGACAAGAAGCCATATGCAGATACTTTCTTTTAAAATAACAGGTCATTATTTGGTTCTTTCTCATGTGAGAGTCAGATGACTCAGAGCCAACATAAATTCCAAGTGGTATGCAGAAAACCAGTGCATAGCTGGAGAGGGGAATGAAGGTTAGTATCTGCAGTAAGGCTGAGTCGATGCAAACGGCCACACGGTCATGGATTCACAATGATCTGGGTCTCCATCATCCTGCAAACCAACACCTTGCACAGCCTTCAAACACCAGCTGGGAAATCAAAAGTAGCATGTGCAGTAGCAGGAGATCTGTTCACCCTCTATTTCCTCTCATCTCCATGCAGCAATCTGTGAACGGAGAGAAGCCTTTAAGCTCTGGGGTCTGCTGCTCTGCAGAGACAATTTGCATTTCTCTCAACACTCCTGGAATTCTTACTGGGAAACCCAGGGTACCTGGGAGCTCAGGCCATCCTGTGTCCTTTGGGATGTTAGGAGGAAGCAGAATAGCCAGCTCCCAAATGGAATACTGCAAAATGCTCACTTCTCAAGGGTCTGTTTTGGGTTTTGTGTTGTTTTTTTTTTGAGACAGGGTCTCTGTCACACAGTCTGGAGTGCAGTGGCATGATCCCGGCTCACTGTAACCTCCACCTCCCAGGTTCAAGGGATTCTCCCACCTCAACCTCCCAAGTAGCTGGGACTACAGGCACGCACCACCACACTCAGTTAATTTTTGTATTTTCATTTTTGGGGGTTTTTTGGTAGAGACAGAGTTTCACCATGTTGGCCAGGCTGGTCTCAAATGCCTGACCTCAAGTGATCTGCCCACCTCAGCCTCCCAAAGTGCTGGGATTACAGGCATGAGCCACCGCGCCCGGCCTCCTTCAAGGGTCTGAATCCAGCCAGTGAGCTTGCCCTACATCATGCCTGCTTCATCCTATGCAATGGAGAGAGGCTGAGATTTTATTTTAATGAGAAAATCTATTGAATTGCATTACATTAAACTAAAATGGAGAGACACAAACATAAAAAATGAAATAAAAATCCAGAAATTGCAATAGTAGGTAACCCTCCAAAATGTGGCAAAGCTCTGTGTATATTAAAAGTGTACTGAGGTCGGGCGTGGTGGCTCACACCTGTAATCTCAGCACTTTGGGAGGCCAACGCAGGTGGATTGCCTGAGCTCAGGGGTTCAAGACTAGCCTGGGCAAAACAGTGAAACCCCATCTTTACTGAAGTACAAAAAATTAGCCAGGCATGGCGGCATGCACCTGTAATCTCAGCTACTCGGGAGGCTGAGACAGGAGAATTGCTTGAACCCAGGAGGCGGAGGTTGCAGTGAGCTGAGACCTCGCCATTGCACTCCAGCCTGGGCAACACAGCGAGAGTCCATCTCAAAAACAAAACAAAACAAAAAATATACTGAAACATGCAACATCCACCTTTTCATAATAGTTCCCGTGGCCTACACAAGTGAGTATGAAATGCTTAATATTTTGCTTGCCCTACATTTTCTTTTGCTGGAAGGGTGGTTCTGGATAAAAACTTTTTATTTTCCCATTCTTTGCTTTTTCATTAATGCTATTTTCTTTGCCCCAAAGTTATAGAGTGGAAAAACTCCCAATCTCTTTTTCTTCTCTCTTGTATTTTCAGGTAGATGCATTCTATTACTATATTCTATCTATCCGTTCATTCCATCTATAATCTATCATCTATTCCATATATCTATCCACCATCTATCTATCTATTCCATCTATCATCTATCTACCTACCTATTATTGTCTATCTGTCTATCTTTCTATCATCTATTCATTATCTATCTATTCTATCTACCTATCATTAATCTGTCATCTATTCCATCTAACATCTATCTACCTATTGTCTATCTTTCTATCATCTATCGTCTATCTACATTTACCTATATTGTTCTCTCTGTCAATCATCTATCTATCCATCTATGTATATATGTATTTATGAATGTATGTGTGTAATTTTCTATCTTCTAGTTATCCATCTGTCTATCTATCCATCCGTCCATCTATTTCTCTTATGTATACAGATAAATATATAATCTATATATCTTACATCTGTAACATGTTCTTTTTACTTTTATACATCAGTGACATTAATTAAATCCCACCTAATAAAAATTGTATTCTAAAATTTGGTGTAGTAGGAGGCTGAATAACCTGACCCTAGATCAAGGTACACATTGTGTGGCTGAAAATCACCTGGCTTTGTTAGACTTCATCTTTCTCCTACATAGGACTTGGTAGCCAGCCTAGAAAATCTCAAAGGTGCCTTCAACCTTTGAATGCATTGGTTCCATGGAAGCAGGAGGCTTAAGCTCTAGACCCATGGCTGTTGTAATTACACATAACTCAGACATTGCCATAAGGGACCCTTAGGATGGCAGTACGACACTTGTTCCTCAGAATACCCTACATGCAAATTTGCCCTCCCAAGAGCCATATTTTACAAAGTGATAATCTTGGGAACATGGTCCACCCAAATGCCTCTGCCTGCAGTGGATTTCTGCAGACTTCAGACAATCTGGGCACCATCAAAGCCAAGCACTCCCTGGTGTAGTATCTAATAGGGACCATGTAATTAGGGCATGTTTTATGTGAGATTCTGCTCAAGAGATGTAAGTACAAGAAAAAGACAGCTTTTCACGGCAGAGATAAGATAATTGAGCTGTCTGGCATAGTGACTCAAAGCCATTGAAGGTTCTAGTCAAATGATTCCTCTGGTTTTGACTTTTTAAATGGCTCTTTCACTGTTGTTGCCTCTGGCAACTACCATTATAATTGGAGGAAATTTTGTTCCGCTAAGAGGCTACTCCATTTACGGACTCAAGCCAGACCAAAATAATGAAGCTCTCTTATAATCCCGGTATGTTTCCTGATCATTCCCATTTCCCTCTCTGGCTGTCCAGAAATAGACTCTCTTCCAAGGTATCACTTTTATTTATAGCCAATATGAAGGTCTTGTAGAAAAACACTGACTTCCAAAAACAACAGACGCATGTTGGCAAGAGTACAGAGACAAGGGAATGCTTATACACTGTTGGTGAGAAGTAAATTGTACAACCTCTATAGGAAACAGTATGTAGATTTCCCAAAGAACTAAAAATAGATCTGCCCTTTGACCCAGCAACTCCACTAATGATTATCTATGCAAAGGAAAAGAAATTATCAAAAAAGATGCCTATGCTTACATTTTTATTGCACCTCAATTCACAATAGCAAAATCGTGGAATGAACCTGAATGTTCATTGGATGAAGAAAATGTGGTATACACACACCAAGGAATACTATGCATCTATAAAAAAGAATGAAACTGTATCACTGTATCTTTTGCAGCAACATAAATGGAGCTGCAGGTCAATATCCTAAGTGAGATAACTCAGAAACAGAAAATCAAATACCACATGTTTTCACTTATAAGTGGGAGCTAAAAATGGGTACACATGGACCTATAGAATGGAATAACAGGCACTGGACACCTTTAAAAGGGGGAAGGTGGGAGAGGATGAGGGTTGAAAAATTACCTATCTGGTATTATGTTCACTGTTTAGGGGACAGAAGGCCAATCCCCACCACTAGGCAACATATCCATGTAACAAACCTGCACCCTTATGCCCTGAATCTATTTGTTTTTTCAACATTGACTTCCATGGTCACTATTTGTGAAATCACTCCTCATGAACCAGGACTTGCATGTTTTTTTGTTTCTCAGGTGAACTGTCACCCCTACAACTCAGCTTGCAACCAGCCCTGGCCACCACCAGTTTCCCCACACTGAGCTGAATATTGGACATGCCCATCTTAGACATTCCAGCCCATTCTGAAATTCCACATCGATTCACCCGACAAAGTCTGAAGTTCCAGGGCAATTTATCTGGAAAAGCTCACCTGGAATCATGTGTCATTTCAACCAACAACTGTCGAAGAGGACGTGGCATCAAAACCAAGGTTATCAATTATTTATAAGGGTTGTGTGGTGGTTGGTCCAAGCATCTCTCCTTCATGCCATCACTCCTTTCAAGAGCTGCCTCTATTTTCTAATTTAGCACAGGAATTTAGATGCCCCTAAATAAGTAGGCATCCAGTATCTGCCCACACCAGTTTTAGTGAGAGTACATATGGAGACACTACCACCACCCCTGCTCTCCTACTGCATACCCCACCATGCCAAAGCATGGTGGCTCACACCTGTAATCCCAGTGCTTTGGGAGGCCAAAGAGGAGGAACACTTGAGGCCAGAAGTATGAGACCAGCCTGGGCAACATAGTGAGACCTCATTTCTATAAATAAGTTAAAAAAACAAAAAAATAGGGCATAGTGGTGCACATGTGTGGTCCCAGTTACTCAGCAGGCTGAGGCTGGAAGATCACTTGAGCCCAGGAGTTTGAGGCTGCAGTGAGCTAGGATTATGCCACTGCACTCTAGCCTGGGCAACAGAGAGAGACCCCATCTCTAAAAAGAGGGAGAAGAAGGAAGGAGGAGGAAGAAGAGGAAGAGGAGGAGGAGAAATACTGCTCTTTCTCAGGCCCAAGGTAAAAAGGTTTTTGGTCTCATGTTGACCAGAAAGACATTGATATTTAATTAAGCAATATAAAAAGGCTCATTGTTAGGATTAAAGAGTAAGTAAAATCAATATTGAGATAGGAGGATGGAGGACACCAACTGAGTTCCGATCCCAATGAAGAGGAGAAAAAGCTACAACTATCTAGGTGAAATATCTACTTATCCTAGAAGAAGCCTTTTGACAGCAACATAAAATTCATACCTATAGGTTTTTAATTCCTATGGATGCCGTAGCAAATAACAAAAACTTGGATGGCGTAAAGTAACAGATGTTTACTCTTTTCCAGTATTGGAGACCAGGAATCTGAGATCAAGGTGTGGGCAGGGGTGCGCTCCCCCTGGAGGTTCTAGGAGAGGATCCTTCCTGCCTCTTCCAGCTCCTGGTGGCTCCAGGTGTCCCTGGGCTTGTGGCCACATCACTACATTCTCTGCCTCCATCTCCACGTGACCTTTTCCTCTGTGTCTGTGTCTCCTCTTCTGTCTCTTAGAAGGACACTGGTCATTGGATTTAAAGGCCACCTGGGTAATTTATAGTGATCTAATCTCAAGAATCTTTCCTTAATTACATGCAAATACTCTTTATCCAAATTAGTTTGCATTCACAAATTCTGGAGCTTAGTACTTGGACATATATTTTGGGGGGTTGATGGTTGGAGGGGCTTTTATTCAACTCAGTACATCTTAATAAGGAATTAATGCCCCCCAACTTGCCTTACAAGTCATATATTAAAAACAATGTTGGCCTGGCACAGTGGCTCATGCCTGTAATCTCAACACTTTGGGAAGCCAAGGGAGGAGGATCACTTGAGCCCAGGAGTTGGAGACCAGCCTGGATAACAAAGGGAGACCCAGTTTCTACAAAATATTTAAAAATTAGCCAGGCATGATGGTGCATGCCTGTGGTCCTAGCTATTCAGGAAACTGAGGTGGGAGGATCACTTGAGCCTGGAAGTTCAAGACAGCAGTGAGCTATGCTCACACCACTGCACTCCATCCTGGGCAACAGAGCTGGACTCTGTCTCAAAAAACATAACACTAAAACATCAAAATTAAAAAAAAAAAACACTGAAAGTAGCCTCCACTTACAAACTAATTACTCTTTCTTGAAAATATTACACTTTTTTTCTTCTATATCTCTACTCCTAGCTCTCAACACCTTTCTTAAGCCCACATCATAACCTGTCTTGCATAACTTTGTGAGTGCCCAACGTTTCACTGTACAAGATTGTAGAGCTGCATGCTTCTTAAGAATAAATCCACACTTTAGGTACCAGTAAATCCATGCAATGCCTCAGACGTTATAACCAAATAATGCCTGGAAAATCGACATGAATTTATGTGAAGCATAAGCCTTTAATTTTTTTAAAGAAAAGTAGATTGCTGTTTTTCCACATCATTTCAGAGCCGTTCTCTAGTTTTGCATGCCCTTTACTGCAGAACCATACAGATTTTGTTCTCCATTTCATACATCATTTGTTGAAATGCCCTTTAAAATGTAACGGAATATAGAGCTTTATGGGAAAAAATGCTGTAGAAAATAAATTATCTTCTCTCTTTGTATTGGGAACCAAAAGGTCTCACCTTATTAATGACCACAGAGACTCTCCTAAAGCAATTCTGGAAGTCAAAACAGCTGGAGTCTAGTTTAATGGGAACCCTCATTAATTAGACAAGAACACCAAGGCTATGACCACAGCAGCTGGTAGCAGCAGCCCTGCAGTGAAGTAGACTCTCAGAGGACACAAGGAAAGAGTGTATTGATAAGAAATCTACAGCAAAGGTGTAGCACATCATCATTTGATCTTGATACACTTGACTGTGGGCAAAGTACCTGTTATGTAAAACATGCTTTGTTAGTTAGGGCCATGATAAGCTGCTTAAGCTGATGAATGAACACCAAATCTCAGTGTTTTTTTTTTTTTTTTTGGTTTTTTTTTTTGAGACAGAGTCTCACTCTGTCGCCCAGGCTGGAGTGCAGTGGGGTGATCTCAGCTCACTGCAAGCTCCGCCTCCCAGGTTCACGCCATTCTCCTGCCTCAGCCTCCCGAGTAGCTGGGACTACAGGCGCCCGCCACCATGCCCAGCTAATTTTTTTGTATTTTTAGTAGAGACGAGGTTTCACCATGTTAGCCAGGATGGTCTCAATCTCCTGACCTCATGATCCGCCCGCCTCAGCCTCCCAAAGTGCTGGGATTACAGGCGTGAGCCACCGCACCCAGCCCGTATTTTTTTTTCTAACAAATACCTGGTGTTAAGCCCAAAGTGTGTGTTTCTGGTTGGCTGGTGATGCTCTTTCAAGTCCTGAATCAGGGACCCAATAACTTTCAACATTGTGGCTCAGCTCTCTTCAACAGCTGCCTCCAAGTTCTCTTGAGATATTGGTATTTATCAGAGGAGAGGGGATGGAGAAGGTATATGCCTTTGCTAGAGCTGCCATAACAAAGGACTGTAGACTGAGGGGCTTAAACAACAGAAATTTATTTCCTTACAATCCTGGAGGTCGGAAGTCTGAGATCAAGGTGTGGGCAGGGCTGGTTCCTCCTGAGGCCTCTCTCCTTGGCTTGTAGACTCTGTGTTCTCCCTTTGTCCTCATACAGTCGTCTCTCTGTGTGTGTCTGTGTCCTCATCTCTTCTTATGAGGTGTCTTAGTCCATTTCAAGCTGCTATAACAGAACACCATAGACTGCAGGGCTTAAACAACAGACATTTATTCTCCCATTGTCTTGGAGGCTATCTATCTACCTATGTAGCATCTATCTACCCATCTATCTATCATCTGTGTATAATCTACCTATTATCTATCTATCTACTTATCATCTACTTATCATCTACCTATCATCTGTCTATTTTTCTATCTATCATCTATCTACCATCTATGTATCTACCTATCATCTAGCCATCTGTCATCTATCATCTATCACCTATCATCTATCTGTCTCACCTATCATTTATCTATGTATTTGTGTATCATCATCACCCAGCTATGAACTATCTATCATGTATGATGTATCTATCATCTATGTATCTACCTATCTGTTATTTTGGTCAAATATACATAATATAAAACTCACCATTTTAACCATTTTTAAGTGCACGGTTCAGTGGCATTAAGTGGATTCACACTGTTATGCAACCATCACCACCACCTATCTCCAGAACTTTTTTAATATCCTCAGTGAGATTCTGTCCCCATTAAACACTAACTCCTCATGTTCCCTTCCCCCAGTGCCCAGTGCCCACCATTGTCTCTATGCATTGGATGACTCTAGAGACTTCACATGAATGGACTCATAGAGTATTAGTCTTTTTGAGCCTGGCTTATTTTACTTAGCATAATGTCCTCAAGGTTGATCTACGTTGCAGCACGTGTCAGAATTTCCTTCTTTGTTAGGGCTGAACAATGTCTCATTGTATGGATGGACCACACTTCGTTTATCCATTCCTCTGCTGATAGACACTTGGGTTGCTTCCACCTCTTGGCTACAGTGAAAAACAGTGTTACGGACATAGGTTTACAAGTATCTCTTTGAGACCCTGCTTTCAATTCTTTTGAGTATATACCCAGAAGTGGAATTGCTGGATCCTATGCTAACTCTGTGTTTAATTATTGGAGAAACCACCACACTGTTTTGCACAGGGGCTGCACCATTGAGCATTTTCACCAACAATGCACAAAGATTCCCATTTCTCTACATCCTGGCTGACACCTGCTATTTTCTGGATTTTGTGAATCGTAGCCATCCTAGTGGGTGTGAAGTGGTACAGCTTTTATTTAACACTGAAGGACACAGCACAGCAAGAGAGAGAAAAAGTGTGTGCGCAGGCCAGCATTGGGATACAGAGAGACCCTTGTGCAAGATCCCAGGGTTCGTATTGATGCATGAATTGAACCACCTAAATATAGTGAAGCCATACTGACTTCACAAGTGGTTAGGCCAGTTGCAAGCCATCAGTAAAGAAATTGACCCTCAAGGGATTTCTTTCTTTTTTTTTTTTTTTTTTGAGATGAAGTTTCCCAGGCTATAGTGGCATGGCATGATCTCAGCTCACTGCAACCTCTGCCTCCTGGGTTCAAGCAATTCTGCTGCCTCAGCCTCCTGAGTAGCTGGGACAACAAGTGCGTGCAACAACACCTGACTAATTTTTTTGTATTTTTAGTAGAGACGAGGTTTCATCATGTTGGCCAGGATGGTCTTGAACTCCTGACCTCAGGTGATCTGCTAGCCTTGGCCTCCCAAAGTGCTGGGATTACAGACGTGAGCCACTGAGCCCGACCAAGGGATTTCTTAATTGTACATTTTAAAAGAACTTAAAGAATGTCATTGGATTGTTTGTAGCTGAAAGGATAAGTGCTTCAGGGGATGGATATCCCATTCCCCATGATGTGCTTCTTTCACATTGCATGCCTGTATCGAAACATCTCATGTAAGGCTGGGCACGGTGGCTCATGCATGTAATTCTAGCACTTTGGGAGGCCAAGGCCAGCGGATCACTTGAGGCCAGGAGTTCGAGACCAGCCTGCCCAACATGGTGAAACCCCATTTCTACTAAAAATACAAGAATTAGCTTTACATGGTGGTGCACACCTGTAGTCCCAGCTACTCAGGGGGCTGAGGCAGGAGAATTGCTTGAACCCAGGAGTCAGTGGTTGTAGTGAGCCAAGACCACATTACTGCACTCCAGCCTCGGTGACGGAGCCAGACTCTGTTTCATAAAAAACAAAAACAACTCATGTACCCCATAAATACATACACCTACTATGTATCTACAAAGATTAAAAATTAAAATTAAAAATTTTAAAAAAGAAATCTTATCCCACCATGCAAAGCAAAGAACCACTCTATTCTACAATTACCAAGCCCAGTATGAGACTTTAAGCAACATCTCATAAAACCCACTGACCGTGGGTCAAAGACCAGACCTCTAGTAGTTGCAAGAGATAGATAGAGCTTGTCCAGTTCAGCTATAAATCAATTTTATTTCCACAGAGGGTCACACAGCCCTTTCAAAAACAACCATATTGGATCAAACACAAAATTCGTAAAAAATATTCCTCCTGTTCCCCCAACCTCAAAATATATGTTGAAGGTCATATGGCCAGGGGCAATGCAGATTCAAAGCCACTATTGTGAGCTGCATTGACTATACCACCATGTAATTCATAATGTGTTGAAAATCAAATGCTCATGATAAATGATCATTGATTAGGGCCCCTAGTTGTGAGTGTACCTATATTTTTTCATTCTATAAAAGCAAATATTAAATCAACATGAAGAGTAAATAATTACCCATATTATATTGAGAGGGTGAAATTGGTTTATATTCCATATGGAGTTCAATTGATCATTATTTTCATCCTTGACACTTGGGTTTATCCATTCTCCAAACCACCACTTTGGAAGAGCAAGTTAATATACAATTACTGCTAAAAAAGGTACATACCTCCAATTTTGTGTTGTGTTGACAATTCCACTTGTTTGTTCTGTCCTTCTGATTGGGAGTATTATTTTCCTAGGTCTGTTTTAACAAAGTTCCATAAATTGAGACACTGAATGAGTCTCAATAAATGTGCATTCTCACATTTCTAGAGACCAGAAGTCTGAAATCAAGGTGCGGTCCGAGCCACACTCCCTCTGAAGGCTCAGCCTGGCCAACATGGTGAAACCCCATCTCTACTAAACATACAAAATTTATCTGGGCATGGTGGTGCGCACCTGTAGTCCAAGCTACTTGGGAGACTGAGACAGGAGAATCACTTGAACCCAGGAGGCAGAGGTTGCAGGGAACAGATATTGTGCCACTGCACTCCAGCCTGGATGACTGAGCAAGACTCCATCTCAAAAACAAAAACAAAAACAAATACAAAAACAAAAACAAAAACAAAAACAGAGACTGATGCTCACAGATTGTGTATTCCAGACCACCAAGTTAATTCAGCATTGGCAGTGACATCATGTTCTTCCAAACAGCATCCCCTTTCTCCTTCTGGGTACTGAATTTTTGTAAATGGCAAATGAATTCCTTCATTAAGCCACAAACAGTGACATGACAGCTGCAAATTCAGCCATCTATAAGGTTTCCAGATAAAAGACACAACACCAATTAAATGTGAATTTCAGATAAATACTGAATAATTTTTTAGTATCCATATGCCCCCAGTGTGACATGGGGCATACTGATACTCAAAAATCTGTTACTTGGCCAAGTGCAGTGGCTCACACCTGGAATCCTAGGACTTTGGGAGGCTGAGGTGGGGGGATTGTTGATCCCAGGAGTACAAGACCAGCCTAGGCAACATGGTGAAACCCTGTCTCTACAAAAATACAAAAATTAGCTGAGCGAAATGGTGCACACCTGTAGTCCAACTACTCAGGAGGCTGAGGTGTGGGGATCGCCTGAGCCCGAAGAGGTAGAGGCTGCAGTGAGCCGTAATCACACCACTGTACTCCAGCCTGGGCCACAGAGTGAGACCCTGTCTCAAAAAATAAAAATAAAAAAGTAGAATAAATATAATTAAAATTTAAAACATTTTAAAATGTGTTATCTGAAATTTAAATTTATTACAATTTTTATTTGCTAAATGTGGCCACTCCAAGTGTATGGAGTATTTATTCTACCATGCAGTTTTTAACACTTGCATCTCTGCATCTGCTTCTGTTCCAGGACAGAGAAAAACTAACACATTTCTGCTGTATCTAAGAATATGTAGATATACCTGTGTTTTGATTCTTTCTGATTTCAGTACTAAACATCCCTCATTATCATTCTCAGGGAAAAGATGAATGTAGAATCTCTGCTGAGCTAGTATTTCCTGACACCCTGTTTATGTGCCTTGTGAATTGTGGGCATTGCCATGTGGGTTATTTCATTTCATCTTCACAATCACCCTCCAAAAGTAAAAAACAAAGACTGCCTCACTCAAATGTCCACTGCCATCAGTGCCCCATGAGTATATATACGGTGCCAAGCTCTGCCATGATCTCTCCAGAGAAGAGGAGTAAAACCAAAGAAGTGAAGACGTGTCTGACTGGAAGGGAACATCTGTGACACCTTCTTTTCCAAATGTTCTTAAAGTTTAAGCAGATTATTGTAAAGGAAATATGAAAGAGTTAGTACTTAAAAAAAAACCTCCTTGTATCAAAATGTCCCATTCCCAGCCTCTATTCAATTTCAATCTTTTAAATGTTTGTTTTCATATTTACAATCATGGTGCTATGTAATATTCTTACACTACAGTTTCAAGATTTGTCAATTTTACGCCTTATGGTTATTGGGGATTTGGTCTTGAAACTGAGATTGCAGAATTATAAGAAATGTGAGAAATCTTGGCTGGGTGCGGTGGCTCATGCCTGTAATCCTAGCACTTTGTGAGGCTGAGGTAGGCAGATCGCTTGAGGTCAGGAGTTCAAAACCAGCCAGCCAACATGGTGCAACTCCGTCTCTATTAAAAAAAAAAAAAATTAGCCAGGCATGGTGGCGGGTGCCTGTAATCCCAGCTACTCGGGAGGCTGAGGCAGGAGACTCACTTGAACCCAGGAGGCAGAGGTTGCAGTGAGCTGAGATCACGCCATTGCACTCCAGCCTGGGCAACAACAGCAAAACTCCATCAAAAAAAAAAGGAAAAGAAAAACAAATATGAGAAATCTAACGTGACTGACTCCATCTTCCATCAGACCTCACAGGCTAAATTGTTTTGTTTTTGCTTATTCTAGTGTGGCAGCCAAGATAACTGCGTGAGGAAGTTAGTTTATAGTTAAAATTTGAAGCCAGGTGTGGTGCCACCCAGCACCTTGGGAGACCGAGGCAGGAGGATTGCTTGAGCCCAGGAGTTGGAGAACAGCCTCAGGAACATAGTGAAACCCCTTCTCAAAAAAAAATTTACAAAAATTAGCCAGGCATGGTGGTGTGCACCTGTAGTCCCAGCTACTCAGGAGGCTGAGGTGAGAGGATCGCTTGAGCCCAGGAAGTTGAGGCTGCAGTGAGCCAAGATCACACCACTGCACTCCAACCTGGACAACAGAGCAATATTGTGTCTCAAAAAATAATAAATAAATAAATAAATAGTAAATAATTGTGTATATATATTTATACACACACAGAGAGAGTGAGAGAGAGAGAGAGTTAAACTCTGAGGCAAGGAAACTGACCCCACTCCTTGACTGCAGATTAAAGCCACATTCAGAAAACAAGGTTAGAATTACTGTAGGGGCTTGAACTTTGCTAAAGAATAGGCATAGTTAATCAATGACCTGCCATCACTTAGTGTGTTTTCATGTAAGTTGTTCACTGCACCAGAGTCATGTAACCAGGGATCACAAGATGTATAACTTCCCAAACTACTCTTGTAGATAACATTACTATTGTAAAACCTAAACAATGGTCTTTGAAATATTTTTCAGATTTAGCATTTTGGCAGACCAAGAGATGCCACCTGGTCCTGAGATACCCTCTCCTGGGAACTAACTCACCTGCAGAAAGACAGTTTTAGACACCCCTGAGATTTCATCCATAGTCTATCAGTTGTTGCAGTTCCCCAGGCTTCTGCCCACAAAAGTACCATGAAAAACCATAGTTTCCAACTTTTTAGGGAGACAGATTTGAGAAACCTCTCCTATTCTTCTCAATTAGCTGTCCCTGCAATTATTAACCTCCCTCTTTGCTGCAACATCTGCTGTTCTCAGTGCACTGGGTTTTTGGGGGGCAGCAGGAAAGAAGAACCCCTCAGACTGTGACACTCTCCTGCCTGCCTTTCCATCCAATCACAAATGTCCTTTCCCTCCTACCACATTCTTGTAAACATTTAGGTCACAATATTTGGTTTAAGAAATCATCAGTGTTTCCATTATAATGACCATTGCAATGATATTCAAAGATGAACCAGTGACTACAATGATTATGTTTTCTTTCTTTCCTTTTTCCTGGAGTTAGTAATTGCCTTTTTATTTTTTGGAGACAGGGTCTGTCACCCAAGCTAGAAGGCTGGAGTGCAGTGGTGCAATTATAGCTCACTGCAGCCTCAAACTCCTGAGCTCAAGTGATCCTCCCAACTCAGCCTCTGGAGTTGCTGAGATTACAGGCATGAGCCACTGCACTGGGCTGCCTTCTTTTTATATAAAATTTACTTAGTGCCTGAAACTATTTTATCCCAGTGCTCCAAAAGGCCTACCATGTGCCCCTAAATTCATCAGTTTTTCTAACTCCCATACTTTTTGTCCATTCATTCCTGCTCTTTCTTCCTGGACGGCTCCGTCTAGCATCTCTTGAACCCCATCTCCAACATGAACTGTTTGTCTATGGAACCTGGTGAATGGCTGTCACCCTGGCCACCAACTACACTTCTCTCCTCCACCGGATCTCCTAACTTTCTGAATCCACCTCTTACTTGTTCTCAGTTTGCGCCGTCCATTTTCTGAAGAACATCTTGTAGTAGCTGTCTAAGAAAAGGTGTCAACAAAAAGAGTCAAACTCTGTAAAATATTTGAAGAAATTTATTCTGAGCCAAATACGACTGACCATGGCCCATTACACAGCCCTCAGGAGGTCCTGAGAACATGTGCCCAAGGTGGTTGGGGTGCAGTTTGGTTTTATACATTTTAGGAAGGCATGAGACAGCAATCAAATACATTTGAGAAATACATTGGTTTGGTCCAGAAAAGAGACAAGTAGAAGTGGTGGGTGGGGGCGAGGGGGTGGAGGAAAGGGGGTTCCAGGCTGTGGGTGAATTTAAACATTTTCTGGTTGACAGCTGGTTGAGTTTATCTGAAGACCTGAGATCACAGAAGGGAATGTCTGGGTTGTGATAAGAGGTGGTGGAGACCAAAGTTTTACTATGCAGATGAAGCTTTTAGCTAGCAGGCTTCAAAGACAAGAGAGAACAGGTTGTAAAATGTTTCCTCCCTCCTGAGTAGCCGGGTCTGGACCTGTGCGCCTCTGCGCCTAAGAGGGTCGGGGCGGTAGGTCGCGGTGAGAGGTCGTCCTGGGTGCCACCCGAGGGGCGCCTCGGGCGCGGAGGGGGCGTGAGCACCTCCCCAGGGCCGCGCCTGCCCACGGTGGCGGGGCACGCCCAGGTCTCTGGCTCCTGGGCTGGGTCGCGGCAGGGGCGGAGCGCGTGCGAAGGCGACGCCCCCAGCCCCTAGGCCTCGCCCAGGCGGCTTCCGCCCGCCTCTTCAACGCGCACGCTGCTACCGAGCTGCAGGAGGCCGCGGGCGCGAGACTGGGAATGCGCAGGGCCCCCGCCTGGCTCTACAAGCCCGGGCCGCGGCCCCCGCCTTCCCCGCCGCCTCCCGGCGCTCCGTGCCCGCCCCACGAGGCCGGCGGCTGCTGCTACCTGGGGCCGTTGCTGCTTGTGCCGTGAGCGACGGCCAGCCATTGTCCCCGCCGCTCCGTCAGCCGCGCCCGGCCGCGCGCGCACCGGAAGGCGCATTGGCGTCTTGCGGGCTCCGGGCCGGGTGGGCAGGATGGCCTCCACAAGCCGCATGGCGCGCATGGGGAGCCTCCGTTGATGCCGCCGCGCCGCCCTCCGAGGCTGCATCCGCGGAAGCCCGGCTCCCCGAGCGCTCCGGCCCGGCCCGGCGCCCCGGACCTGAGTGCGTCCCCATGAAGGCGCCCGGGCTGGCCCAGGCGGCCGTGGCAGAGGAGACCCCGGACTGGGCGCCCGAGCTCTGCCCCAGCCCCGAGTCGCGGTCGCCGGAGCCGCCTGCCAACCGCCTTCAAGACTTCGACACGCTGGTCACCGTGGGTGAGTGAGTGCGCGCGGGGACTCGGCCCACAGGGGCGCGCGGCGCGGCCGGGACGCTGTCGTAGGACAAAGGGCCCCGGGTGCCCGCCTCCTGGGGAGGGCCCTGCCCCGCCGCTGCGGCTCGGGATCCCAGCGCGGGGCTGCCCCTGCGCCCTGGGTCTCCCTGGGGGGCGCTCGGAGAAGTAGAGCGCACCCCCCAGCCCCGGCGAGTCCCCCGACCGACCGGGTGCCTTCCCTGGAACGCCGACGGCTCCTGTCGGGGACCACCCTCCACCCCCAGCACACACAGCACTCTGGGGCCTGGGCCATCCGACGTCACCAAACTTCCTGTGGGTCACCTCGCCTGGGGTAAATCGTGCGCTCTCCCAGGCAGCGGCCCCAGGGACACGGGCGCGGGGTCCCTCAGGCCAGCCTCCCAGTGTGCCCAGCGGCAGGGTCCTCGGCGGGGAATGTACAGATTTCTCCAGGGGCTGCAGGAGCAGCTGGGCTCCGGGGTACAGGTGTTCCGTGGCTTTGTGGGGATGAAGACGGCGGAGTTGGGGACGGATCCTAACATGTCCTGACACCGCCTGTGCTCTTCGTCTTGTGCGTCTGAAATGGGTAATTCTTGTATTGGACGCTTTATCTCGTTTCCTTTGTCCTCTTTGAACTTAACTCCCAATGGGCAGCTTGACAGAGAGGTTTCGAGTTCTCGGTGCGCTTGGATCCGGACCACGCGCTGGTTTATGGGGCAGCCCTGAGTGGGTCAGAATATCCCAGCCGAACGTGGGCGCTGGATTTAAACAGTTGTCAGTGGTCAGCCTGTGCCTTCTTAGGGGGGTGTGTTGCTGGGACAGGTCTTCTCAGGCTCTCTAACTCCTGTTTGTCCTCTCATTTTGGACAGGAGGAAGCTAGGCTGGGAAGCCCAATGGCTCAGGGTTATAGCTTCTGGCTTAGGAAGACCAGCAGCCATAGCCCAGGAGCCTTCAGGCCTGCTGAGGAAGAGGGGACTGTGCTTCCTTCAGTGACCTTTTTGGCACCTAGGCCTTGAGGAAGGGGTCATGAGGAAACCCTGATTTTGGAAGGATAGTGGGAAGAGGGCCCTCTCTTTTTCTCCTGTCCCTCCCTTTCTCCTATTACATTCTCTCTCTCTCTCTCTCTCTTTCTCTTTTTGTCTCTCTCCCTCTTTCTGTGTCTTTATGCATTACTCTCTGTATTAGTCGTTTTTACGCTGCTGATAAAGACATACCCTAGACTTAGAAGAAAAGGAGGTTGAATTTCTTTTTTTTCTGAGACGGAGTCTTGCTCCTGTCGCCCAGGCTGAAGTGCAGTGGCGCGATCTAGGCTCACTGCAACCTCTGCCTCCCGGGTTGAAGTAATTCTCCTGCCTCAGCCTCCTGAGTAGCTGGGATTACAGGTGCGTGCCCCAACTCCTGGCTAATTTTTGTACTGTTAGTAGAGACGGGGCTTCACCATGTTGGCCAGGCTGGTCTGGAACTCCTGACCTCAGGTGATCCACCCACCTCACCCTCCCAAAGTGTTGAGATTACAGGTGTAAGCCACCATGCCTGGCCAGGAGGTTTAATTTGACTTACAGTTCCACATGGCTGGGTAAGTCCCATAATCATGGCAGAGGGCAAAAGGTACTTCTTACATGACGGCAGCAAGAGAGAATGAGGAGGAAGCAACAGCAGAAACCCCTGAAAACCCATCAGATCTCGTGAGACTTATTCACTATCATGAGAATAGCACGGGAAAGACCCGCCCCTATGATTGCAGTTACCTCCCCCTGAGTCCCTCCCACAACACGTGGGTATTCTGGGAGATACAATTCAAGTTGACATTTCAGTGGGGACACAGTCAAACCGTATAATTCCACCCCGGCCCCTCCAAATCTCATGTCCTCACATTTCAAAACTAACTGTACCTTCCCAACAGTCCCCCCAAAGTCTTAACTCATTTCAGCATTAACCCAAATGTCCACAGTCAGACAAGGCAAGTCCCTTCCACCTATGAGCCTGTAAAATCAAAAGCAAGCTAGTTACTTCTTAGATACAATGGGGATACAGGTATTGGGTAAATACAGCCATTCCAAATGGGAGAAATAGGCCAAAACAAAGGGGTTATAGGGCCCGTGCAAGTCCAAAATCCAGTGGGGCAGTCAGATCTTAAAGCTCCAAAATGATCTCCTTTGACTACAGGTCTCACATCAGGTGCAAGAGGTGGATTCCTATGGTCTTGGGCAGCTCTGTGCCTGTGGCTTTGCAGGGTACAACATCCCTCCCTGCTGCTTTCACAGGCTGACGTTGAGTGTCTGTTGTGTTTCCAGGCCTATGGTGCATGCTGTTGGTGGATCTACCTTTCTGGGGTTTGGACGACAGTAGCTCTCTTCTCACAGCTCTACTAGGCAGTGCCCCAGTAGGGACTCTGTGTGGGGGCTCCAACCCCACATTTCCCTTCTGCACTGCCCTAGCAGAGGTTCTCCATGAGGGCCTCACCCCTGCCACAGACTTTTGCCTGGACATCCAGGCATTTCCATACATCTTCTGAAATCTAGGCGGAGGTGCTCAAACCTCAATTCTTGACTTCTGTGCATCTGCAGGCTCAACACCACATGGAAGCTGCCCAGGCTTGGGGCTTCCATCCTCTGAAGCCACAGCCTGAGCTCTACGTTGGCTCCTTTCAGTCACAGATGGAGCAGCTGGAACCCAGGGTACCAAGTCCCTAGGCTGCACACAGCACAGAGACCCTGGGCCCAGCCCACAAAACCACTTTTTTCTCCTGGGCCTGTGATGGGAGGGGCTGCTGTGAAGGTCTGTGACATGGCCTGGAGACATTAGACTCCTTCCTACTTATGCAAATTTCTGCAGCTGGCTTGAATTTCTCCCCCCAAAAATGGATTTTTCTTTTCTACTGGATCATCAGGCTGCAGATTTTCAAACTTTTATGCTCTGTATCCCTTTTAAAACAGAATGCTTTCAACAGCACCCAAGTCACATTTTGAATGATTTGCTGCTTAGAAATTTCTTCCGCTAGATATTCTAAGTCATCTCTCTCAAGTTCAAAGTTCCACAAATCTCTCGGGCAGAGGCAAAATGCCACCAGTCTCTTTGCTAAAACATAATAAGAGTCACCTTTGCTCCAGTTCCCAAGAAGTTGCTCATGTCTATCTGAGACCACCTCAGCCTGGACCTTATTGTCATAATCGCTATCAGCGTTTTGGCTAAAGCCATTCAACAAGTCTCTAGGAAGTTGCAAACATTCCCACATTTTCCTGCCTTATTCTAAGCCCTCCAAACTGTTCCAACCTCTGCCTATTACCCAATTCCAAAGTCGCTGTGACATTGTTGGGTATCTTTTCAGCAATACCCCACTCCCGGTACCAATTTACTATATTAGTCTGTTTTTATGCCACTGATACAGACATACCCAAGACTGGGAAGAAAAGGAGCTTTAATTTGACTGACAGTTCCACAGGCTGAGGAAGTCTCGTAATTATGGCGGAGGGCGAAAGGCACTTCTTCCATGGTGGCAGCAAGAGAAAATGAGGAGGAAGCAAAAGCAGAAACCCTGATAAACCCATTAGATCTCATGAGACTTATTCACTATCACCAGAATAGCACAGGAAAGACCGGCCACCATGATTCAGGTACTTCCCCTGGGTCCCTCTCACACCACGAGGGAATTCTGGGAGATAAAATTCAAGTTGAGATTTCAGTGGGGACATGGCCAAACAATATCATTTTCTGTTTCTCTATTTCTGTCTTTCCCCGTCTCATTTTTTTTCTTTTCTTTTTTTTGAATGAATCATTGAAAATGACATTTGCAATTATTTCGGGATATACTTAATGACAGACTATTAAATGCAAAAAGGAAGACAGAATACACTTTTTCAAGCAAGGCTTTCCATTCCATTCATTTATTTATTCATCCCGGAGTGCTGGGATTAAAGGCAAGAGCCACCACTCCTGGCGCAAGGATTCCGTGTATATATATAGAAATACATGTGTACAGTGAAAGGAAATAAAAATGGACAAGAAGGAAGTCGAGACCCCTGCAGCCGTTATTTTTTGGGCAATAGGGAATTCGGTGGTTCTTTTGGCCTTTGGTTTTCTGGGTTTTCTGAGCTAGATTTAACCATGCTGAAAGGCTCTTGATACACGAAGTTGCCAGGCCTCAGGATTCTCAGAGTTAAAACCAGCATTGAATGGGAATGTTTGAAAACCTCACTGCAGAGCCAAGCCTCCCATGTGCAATTTGCATTTTCCCTGTGGAAGCCTGCGGTTCCCTGTAGGAAGCCGCCTCCCTTCTCCTTGAAGTCTCCTAGGTCTCAGTTTCTGCATCCACCCAATGGGGATGACAGTGAGGCGGTCAGAAGTCGCAGCTGGGGCCAAGCGGGGAGGCAGCCAGTGGCGCGGGCTCTGCAAGGAAATCAGTCGCGGGCCGGCGCGAACACGGAGCCCTTTCAGACGCTCGGGCAGCACTAGATGGTCGGGCGGTCGGTTATCTCAGTTGGTGAGCGCGTGGTGCTGATACCGCCATGGTCGCGGGCTTGATCCCCGCACCGGCCCTAGTCCCAGTTTTTTGTTGGTTTGTTTCTTTGTTTTCTCCCCATGAACTGTTTCTGCAACTCTTTTTCAAAATGCGCCTTTCAGGTTCTGTAAGCCCCATGCGGGCAGGAGCGACTTGCGGGATCTCTTGGACTCGGCCCAGAGGTTGTCGAGGACAGCCTGGCAGGGAGGAGCGGGAGAAACCCGGCCAGCGCTGGGGCGGTGGCTCCTCCCCGGAGTCCCCGCGGCTGGGGCAAAGCGGAAGGCAGCCAGAGGCGCGCGGGCTTGGCGAGGAATCGCTCGTGGACGGGCGCGAACGTGGAGCCCTTTTATACGCTCCAGGGGCACTGTGCCGTCGGGCGGCCGGTTAGCTCAGTTGGTAAGAGCGTGGTGCTGATAACACCAAGGTCGCGGGCTCGACTCCCGCACCGGCCACGGCGTTAGCTTTTTTTTTTTTTTTTCCCCGCCGCCACCCCGCCATGAACTCTTTCTACAACAGTTTGTGAAAAATGCGCCTTTCGGGTACTGTGAGCGGCGTGCGGGTAGGAGCGAACTGCAGGATCTCTTGGTCTCCCCGCCCAGAGGTTGTCGAGGGCAGCCTGCTGGGGAGAGCGGGAGGTACCAGGCATGCGCTGGGGCGGTGGCTCCGCACCCGAGTCCCTGCACCCTCCGCCACCTGCAGGCCACTCAGGATATCCAAAGCGATCCACATCTCCGGCCCTCAGCCCCCACCCCTGCCGCCCCCGCGCTTCCTGAGGCTGTGGCTCCCCTGGAGGAATCGCCCAGTGAAGACGGGTGCTCCCAGATGTCACCGCCTCGTGTTCCCTTGGCCGCCTTGCGGGGAAGTCTTAGGGTTGAAAATCCAGGTCTGCAATGAATGCATTCCACAGATGGTGTGTAGGGCTACTGCATGCCCAGCACCGTTCTAGGCGGGGAGCAAAACGGTAAGTGAGACACAAATCCCAAGCCACGTGGAGAAAGTGACCAGCCAGTAGATGCCTGCCATGTTTTTAGAGAGGCGTTCTGGTTGTGGAAGCCTCTGGAAACCTTCTCTTGCTCTTCCCCCCCACCCCCCGTTTCTTTTCAGAGACATCTTAGGCTTCACATTTCTTCCTCTTGGTTCTGCATTTTGCAGCCAGAGCAAGTGGATGAGTTTCTCGCTGGTGGTTCAAGTTTCTGGGGTGGTCAGGTGTGCTCCGTTGAACGAAGCCAGTTGTGTAGGGTCAGTGCCATTTTCTGTCACGATCCAGCAGGGGCTCCACCTGCTTTTGAAAACTCTCCAGTGGAAACATCTACTAACTCTGACCTAAATCAGTAGCTGCTCAAAATCTACAGACTACTGGCTTAAAACCTTGGTAAGTGCCCAGGGTGTAGTGAAAGTTCTCAATAAACGCCGGCTGGTGGCGCTGCTGCTACTATAAGCAACGTTAGGAGAGCCTGGGTCGGCTGACACCTGCAATAGAAACCTGTACGCAACAAGTTGGATGTCACATCTTGCAGTAGTCGTGCCGGGTTAGATGCAGGGACAGAGCACGGAGGAGTCGGTGGAGGCTGCTGCCCTCAAGTTTCCTGAACTTGAAGGGGTTTAGAATGTGCCACGGTGGCGTGAAAATTATTTTGAGCAGAAGGCATTTGAATTCCTGAAATTTCTTGTCTGCTGAAAAGCAGAGCTTCCCAAAAGATCTCAAAAGAACTCAGTTGTCATAAATCCCTTCTTGGGAAGGAACTAGGAAAGATTGACTTGGGCCAGGCGCAGTGGTTCACGCCTGTAATTCCAGCACTTTGGGAGGCCTAGGCAAGTGGATCATCTGAGCCCAGGAGTTGGAGACCAGCCCGGGCAACATGGTGAGATCCTCTCTCTATTAAAAAAAAAAAAAAAAAAAAGAAACGAAAATTAGCTGGGCATGGTAGCGCATGCCTGTAGTCCGAGCTACTCCAGAGGCTGAGGTGGAAGGATCACCTGAGCCCGGGAAGTCGAGGTTGTAGCGAGCTGAGATGGCGCCACTGCACTCCAGCCTGGGCAACAGAGTGAGACCCTGTCTAAAAACAAACAAACAAAAAAAAATGTGGTAAGATACCCATCATATGAAATTCACCATTAAAAAATAGCAGGGAGCATCGTGAATGCGAAGTATTGATGAGGATGATGGTGATGTTCCAGAACCTTCTCTGACACCAGCCTGGCGCCCCCCCCCCCCCCCAGCCTTACCTTTCCTGGCTTCATGGTGCTCATCATACTGTACTGCAAATGCTGGTTTCCTCCTTCTCGCCAGCTAGACCCGTGGTACCCCACAGGGAGGGAATGGCGACTCACCTACCAGGCGCTTAATAAGTGTTTGTTGGCCAGTGGACCTCCTACGCTCCCTGGGGAGAGGGACTGGGACTGGGACTGGGACTGGGACGTGTGTACACACCTGCAGCTACAAGACTCGGTGGGGAGGGTGCACAGAGCCTCGACCCTGTAAGAGAGGCGATCGGGCTGAGGAAGACGGGGCACTGGGGCTGGATGGATGGGACGGACATGTGGAGAGGGTGGGTTCGTGGATTTGTTCACCCGTTCATTTATTGGTTTCTATGCATCCATCCATCTTTCACGCCTTGAGCGTGCGTTCTGGGCAGGGCCTGTAATGGGCACCGAATGAGTAACATATCGTCTCTCCCTTCAAGGTACACGCAGCCTGGGTGGGTGAGGGGAGAGACGGTAGGGTGACATGGGAACAGTTTGGGGGTTGGGAAGCGCTCTTGTTAAAAATTCAAACTTTGGGTCCCCTCTCAGATTTATAAACCTAAACGTTTGCTGGTGGACCTAGGACTCCGCGTATCCAGGCAGGATCCTCCGCTGATTGGGGTGCACGATGACGTCAGAACACGTGGATAACGTGATAACTTGTGGGCCAGGGGCTTTGGAACCTCAAAGAATGTGATAACTTTTGGGTCAGGGGCTTTGGAACCTCAAAGACCTCCGCCTGGGAGATCGGGGACAGCTCCCGGAGGAGGTGACATCTGAGTGTTAAACACATCCGTGACAGGCAATGAGAAAATAAGGTGGGTCCGCTGTGCTGATCGGCCCTAGGGGCCGCGGCGGCTGTCCCGGCCGGGCAGCGTCGCCTTCCGAGGTGTCTTGGCCTGCGGGGCACTCGTAGCCCGCCGCTTTCCCAGGTGAGGCACGTCGTCGCCCAGCGACCCAGGTTGGAGTCCCCGCTTCAGCCGCCGCGGCGGATGCGGCGGCCAGGCTTCTCCGGGCCAGGGCAGCGTTGCACGTGTGGCCCCGCTGGGCCCCGAGCAGCTGCGGCAGGTCCTGAAGCGGGTGACGAAGGCGCAGCTGCTGCCGCCGCGGCCCATCAGGCCGCCCTCCAGCGGGACCCTGGCGCCGAGCCCCCGTGCCCGCCACGCCTGCTGCCGCCCCAGGTGAGGCTCCGGGAGCGACGTGGGGAAACTGAGGCCCGGAGGGGGCCGAGGCCCCGCGGCGGGGTTAGCTGCTTGGCCGGGGTGGCCAGTATCCGGCCCCAGTCAAGACTCAGGGTGTCCCGAAGCTGAGCCCCTTAGGGACGGCGTTCGGCCCCCACCTGCCACCACCCTGGCGTTTTCACCCCAGGAGCCTCACTTGAGGAGCCGATGCTCACGCTGGGCCCTCTGCCTGGGACGCCGTCGTGCCCTCTCTGCCTCCACAGCCCTGCCCGGGGCTCCCCTGTGCTGCCTAGCTCGTCTGACACGCCTTTGACCACTCGTTCAGCCTCTGTGGGGCACTCAGAGACGGGGTTGCCCGCACTCCCACCTAAGTGCAGGAGGTGCGGCCTTCAACACACTCGAAGAACGAACATCAGGCAGGTTCTGGGAGGGACAGGGGGCCGCTTTAGAGTGGGTGGGCCCGTAGGCCAGACGCTGCCCCTGAGACCTGAATGAATTAAAAGGAACCAACTGAGCTTTTCAGGTCTCAGGCACAGCAAGTGCCACGGCCCAGCATTTTCTTCTCTTCATTGCTGCTTCTCAGCATTTTCTTTCTCTCTCTCTCTCTGTCTCTGTCACTGTTTTTGCATACAGATACTATGCTTTTGGGGTGGGTACTCTCATTGTCCTTCCAGGGGTCCTACACGGCGTCTGTAAAATTCCATCTCATTTCATTGCTGGCGCTGTAAATAAAATTAGTCTTAACCCAAAATTGCCAAAAGAAGAGGGCTTTTTCCACTAGAAGAGATGCGTTAGAGAATAGAATCAGCGATCTTCACTCCTGAGTTTTTTCGACTTCACTCGTGATTTTAGCTGCCTGGGGTTGTTGTATCCAGTTCATCATCAAGAGTGGAGAGTTGTCTTGCTAAGGTTTAGGAAGGCAAGTATGATTCTGCCCAAATGCCACACTATCTAGAGGTGTGACCTTGGGCAACTCGACCTTTTTGGACTGTGGTCTGGGTCCGAAGGCTGCAAGACGCCATCCCGGGACAGCCATCTGCTGAGCCTCTGCTCTGTGCCGGGCAGTGTTCTGGGTTGCTTAGCTCGCAGTAGTGTTTTTGTACCAGCATTTTGCAGGGAGGTTGAGTGGCTTTGTCCAAGATCCCTCAGGTGTGGCTGCTCTCCAGAGCCCTTGTTCTCCCCAGCACACCCTGCTGTATGTGGCCACAGCTTTTTGGGTTTGGAATGGAGTAAAAAATGACATACTTTTCATAAAGTAAAAGCAAACTTAGTCAAGATCAGGCAGCATGATGGGACTTATTCTGTAGCTAATCTGATGGAGACGTATAAATTCTACCTCCAATAATGTACCTTTGTAGCACATTCTGCTAATACTTTTTCAGCCCCAGCTGTGTCGTGGAAGCCACGAAGTCAAACCGGATGTGTACTTTGCCCCTCAGTAGCTGATGAACTAACAGGAGATAAAACATGACCCAGATACCTGCTAATCAAGGCCTGAAAGCTAGTGATGAAGAACTAAATGTAGTTAGAGAAAGGGAGATTGTTTCTGGCCGAGGAAATCACAAGCAGCTTTGTTGAAGAAGTGGTATCTGAACTAGATTTGAAAGGGTGAGTCTGAGTTGAAAATGCAGAAGAGGAGAGGCAGGTTCTGGAGCAGGTGGCGGGGTGCATTTCAACAACCACAGCAGACTGCCCAGTGGTTCGCTGTGGGGGATGGTGTGGATCAGAAGCACAGACCAGTGGACACACTTGGGTCAGATGGAGGCCCCTGTCTCTCCGCATCTTCCCTCTTCCCACCCCCCAGAAATGTCCAGTTCCATCCAACATGCCAACCCCTTTTCATGCATCCATGCATGTACACATTTTTCTTTGTACTCAGAATGCCCTACCTGGCAAAAATTCCCAGCCTTCAAAACGCCCCTCAGAGATCACTGCTTCTGGTCTGTTCTGCCTCTTTATTGCACCTGTTGTACCATGATGACATTTTTCCCGTCTGCCTCACCTGTCTGCATTCCTTAGGGAAACTTGTCTGCCTTCGAAATCGTCAGCGGAGCTTTTGAAAGGGCAGATCGGGTCTCCGACCCAGGAGATCGATTCAGCAGGTCTGCGGGGACTGAGGCATGGCAGGGAAACTGCCCACCATCTCAAGGGTGAGGCTAGGAGTTGGCTAGTGTGTATGTATTCCATCCAGAAATATTTAGTAAATGTTCACCAAACAAAATAAAAACACACAAGAAAGCATGAGGCGTAATACCCACGGGGTAAGCCAGTCAGGATAGAGGATGAATACATTATTAGGCCGGCTTTGCTGCTGTGGTTATCCTAAAACAATAGGGTTTAGGTTGTGTGTCTGTGTGTATATGTATTTTGTTGTTGTTTTGGGGTTTTGTTGAGACAAGGTGTTGCATTCTCACCCAGGCTGGACTGATCACGGCTCACTACAGCCTCAAACTCCCAGACTCAAACGATCCTTCCCCCTCAGCCTCCCGAGTATCTGGGGCTACAGGCATGTACCATCAAGCCTAATTTTAAAATGTTTTGTAGGCGGGGCTCGGTGGCTCACCCCTGGAATCCCAGCACTTTGGGAGGCGGCGGCGGGTGGATCACCTGAGATCAGGAGTTTGAGGCCAGTCTGGCCAATGTGATGAAACCCCGTCTCTACTAAAAATACAAAAATTAGCCAGTCACGGTGGCGCATGCCTGCAATCCTAGCTACTAGCGAGGCCAAGTCAGGAAAATCGCTTGAACTCGGGAGGCAGAGGTTTCAGGGAGCCAAGAATGCACCACTGCAGTCCAGCCTAGGCAACAGTGAGACTCTTTGTTTTGGGTTTTTGTGTTTTTTTTTAACATTTTGTAGGGACAGGGTCTTGCTCTGTTGCCCAGGCTGGCCCTGAACTCCTGGCCTCAAGCAATCCTCCCACCTCAGCATCCCAAAGCACTGCTACTGCAGGTGTGATTTGTGTTTGGCCCTTAGAGAGAGATTCTGTGTGATTGGTAGTAAAATGAAACAGACATCGTTCTTGAAGGATATGCACAGCCAATCTAGTTGTCATTTGATTTGCACGTAGCCCAGGAATGGGGACTCCCAGGGTTGTGGTGCCACCTCGGTACACTTGACCTCTGTTATTTGTACTAGTGTATAACAAGAGCCAGACGAGAGACACACTCCAGCCTGATCTCAGTGAGGGTCTTTATTCTGTCCTGTTTGACATTTTTATTGACTTTCTACTGTTTGAGGGTCACACCAGAAGGTTGAGTCCAAAGAGGGCCAGTTGGTGGTCCCAAATAAGTGGTTCTCAACCGAGGACAGTTTTGCCCCACAAGGGGCACTTGGCAATATCTTGTCAGGACTCGGGATCACTACTAGCATCTAGTGGGTAGAGGCAGAGATGCTGCTGGGCATCCTCCAGCCACCCATGTCAAAGGATTATGTTCTGAAATGTTGGTTGTGAAATCATGCTCTGGATGACGAGGTTTGCCTCTTTTTCTCCCTGGAGGAAAATGCTCATTATTTCTGCTCTGTGAGGGCAGGAGCCTTGTTTCTTTTGCTTCCTGACCTTCTCCCCTAAGCTGTATGAGAACTGTTTCTCTGACACCTGTAGCAGTGTCTCATGCACATGGTCAGTACTCAATAAATATTTGTGGGATGTTGTCGAAGGTAGCTCTCCCCTTTGGTAGGTGTTTTGCTATTACAGACAGTGCTGCCTTGAACCTCATAGAACATAACATCTTTATGGCCATCTAAGTTTTTTTAATTTTGGAATCCAGGAAGTAGAATTACTGGGTCAAAAAGCACATGTATTTGAAATTTTGTTAGATATATTTGTAAAAAGTTGTTGAGGATATTCAGCCCGGCCGGGCACGGTGGCTCACGCCTGTAATTCCAGCACTTCGAGAGGCTGAGTGGGGCAGATCACTTGAGGTCAGGAGTTTGAGACCAGCCTGGACAACATGGTGAAACCCTATCTCTACTAAAAATACAAAAATTAACCAGGCGTAGTAGCACGTGTCTGTAATCCCAGCTACCCGGGAGGCTGAGGCAGGAGAATCACTTGTACCTGGGAAGCGCAGGTTGCAGTGAGCTGAGATCATGCCATTGCACTCCAGCCTGGACAACAGAGCAAGACCTTCTCTCAAAAAAAAAAAAAAAAAAGAAAAAGATATTCAGCCCTACTCCTAGATACATGCCCCTGGAGAAACTCACACATGTACACACATACATCCGTGGAGATTCAGAGCAGACCTTAGAGCAGAAGGTTGGAAAGTACCCATCCATCAATAGGAGATTGGTAAACTCATACTGCAGAGAAAATCAACCCCTGAGAGCTACACATGTCAATGAGGGTAAAATTCACAAAGCAAAATGGAGTAAAGAAACCTGAAAAAAGCCCTATCAAGTTGCAGGAGATGATATCATTTCTATAAAGTTTTAAAGCATTTCAGAACTGAACTGTATGTTTTTAGAAATATCTGCATATGCCATGTAAATATTTAAAAAGCATAAGAATGCTGAACAGCACATTCAGGACAGGGTGAAGAAACGGGCATGCAGGTTGGGCAGGAGGATCCTGGGTAACATTGTCCTTTATGGCTTTTTTGTGGCTTCTAGAATTTCATTAGAAACTTTTTTAAAAACATGGTCCCACATTATGAATTACATCTGATTTTAGAGTACTAAAAACTCCAAGCAAAAACACATGGGTGAAACTGTTGAGAAGGCTCTTATTATCTCTTAATTCATCATGAAATCAACTTAGTGGATTATGACTAGTATTTTTTTTAAAGTGATGTAGATTAGGGTCAGTGCGGTAGCTCACACCTGTAATCCCAGCACTTTGGGAGGTCGAGGCGGGCGGGTCACTTGAGTTCAGGAGTTTGACACCAGCCTGTCCAACATGGTGAAACCCCGTCTCTACAGAAAATACAAAAATTAGCCAGGCATGGTGGCGTGTGCCTGTAATCCCAGCTATACAGGAGGCAGAAGCAGGAGAATCACTCGAACCTGGGAGGCGGAGGTTGCCATGAGCTAAGATCGCGCCACTGCACTCCAGCCTGGGCAACAGAGTGAGACCGTCTCCAAAAAAAAAAAAAAAAAAAAAAAAAAAGGTGATGTAGAAATGAAGAATAGATACAATCAGCAGGCATTTACATAGGAATGCTAAGTAGTTCCATCAGCTTTTCATTTATGTATGCAAATATTTATATACGTGCATACTAGGTCATAATGTAAAATGTGTCACTGTGGTCTGTTTTTGTTTTTTGTTTGTTTTTGAGACTGAGTCTAGCTCTGTCACCCAGGCTGGAGTGCAGTGGCAGGATCTCGGCTCACTGCAGCCTCTCCGCCTCCCAGGCTCAAACAATTCTCCTGCCTCAGCCTCCCAAGTAGCTGGGAGTACAGGAATGTGCCACCACACCCGGCTAACTTTTGTATTTTTAGTATAGATGGGGTTTCACCATGTTGACCAAGCTGGTCTGGAACTCCTGGCCTCAAGTGATTCAGCCTCCCACAGTGCTGGGATTACAGGCGTGAGCCACCGTGCCCGGCCATTTTGTTTGTTTTTTGAGATGGAGTCTCGCTCTGTCACCCAGGCTGGAGTGCAGTGGCGCGATCTTGGCTCACTGCAACCTCGTCCTCCCAGGTTCAAGCGATTCTCATGCCTCAGCCTCCAAAGTAGCTGGGATTACAGGTGTGCACCACCACACCCTGCTAATTTTTGTATCCTTAGTAGAGAAGGGGTTTCACCATGTTGGCCTGGCTGGTCTTGAACTCCTGACCTCAAGTGATCTGCCCACCTTGGCCTCCCGAAGTGCTGGGATTACAGGTGTGAGCCACTGCGCCCGGCCTGTATCACTGTGGTTTCTGGTCAGAAAGGTCTGAAAAACAGTTAATACAAACACGTTACATAAATTGTATATGTAAGACGTAATTTAGAAAAAATGTCAGTAGTGGATTTACTATGAGAGCAGAATTGCAGACATGTTGATAAGCACAATGCTTCTTTTCCCTTTCTTGTCTTTCTGTAGGAAAGCAACTAGAAGCCATTTGTGTCAAGGTAACGTCTGGAGAAACAAAAGGTCAGGAACGGCCAACGTCCCTACTGGCCACAGTCCAGCCCCAATCTGCAAGACAGAGCCAGCCGCCCCGGGGGAATTCCCGCCTGGTGGGACTCCACGTCACCAGCCCCCAGCTGCTCAGGGTACAGCCCCTCGTGAGAACCGAGCCACAGTCATGTTTCCTACATCAGCCTCCTGCTCAGGGGTTTGTACAGAGACCACTGCCAGCCCTCTAGGTGGTCCCTGCAAAGAGAGTCCCAGCTCCCAAGGCTCCAAATGGACAGGGCACCATGTTGACCCCTTCGTTGGCCTCCAGTTCGCCGACTGTAACATGTTTCATCCAGTTCAGGACGTTTATTTATTTCCAACTTGCATACAAAACATACTGAGAAACTAAAACCATCGTTAAAAGTGAAGACACGTTGAGACAGGTATCTCGACCTGCCAAGTATACAGCTAAAGCTGAGTTCATAAAAAGGGATGATTTGGCCGACGGTCATCTGCCAGATTCTGATGATGATTCAGAACTCAGTGTGGAAGAACATCAGAGGGAGAGGCAGGCGCTCTTTGACTTATCAAGCTGCTCCCTGAGGCCCAAAAGCTTCAAGTGTCAGACTTGTAAAAAGTCATATATAGGGAAGTGGGGACTGGCCCAGCATTTTAAACTTAATCCAGGCCATGGCCAGCTGGACCCTGAGATGGTGCTATCTGAGAAAGCCAATGGGAGCACCCTCCGTGGGTGCACAGAGGAAAGGACGCTCAGCCTGACCTTCCCGGGGCTGTCCGTGCCAGCGGCTCCGCGTGAGGGAGGGGCCCGCTCCTGCTTGGTGAGAGAGTCAGCACGCGGTGGCCTGGGTAATGTTTGCATCTGGGTGTCGTTTTCGGCCATTCTCACACTGTTATAAAGAAATACTTGAGACCAGGTATTTTATAAAGAAAAGAGGTTTAGTTGGCTCACAGTTCCACAGGCTGTACGGGAAGCATGGTGCTGGCATCTGCTCAGCTTCTGGGGATGCTTCAGAATCAGTCACGGTGAAGGCAGAGTGGGAGCAGGCATGTCACGTGGCCACAGCAGGGACAAGGGGCCGGGGTAGGTGCTGCACACTTTTTTTTTTCCTTTTTTTTTTTGGAGACGGAGTCTCGCTCTGTAGCCTAGGCTGGAGTACAGTGGCGCGATCTCGGCTCACTGCAAGCTCCGCCTCCTGGTTTCACGCCATTCTCCTGCCTCAGCCTCCCGAGTAGCTGGGACTACAGGCGCCCGCCACCGCGCCTGGCAATTTTTTCTATTTTTAGTAGAGACGGGGTTTCATCGTGTTAGCCAGGATGGTCTCGATCTCCTGACCTCATGATCCACCCACCTCAACCTTCCAAAGTGCTGGGATGACAGGCGTGAGCCACCGCGCCCGGCAGGTGCCACACACTTTTAAACAACCAGCTATCATGAGAGCAGCACCAAGCGGATGGTGCTAAAGCAATGAGAGATTCAACCATATCAGTCCTTATTCCTGCCTCTGCCTGCCCATCATCCTTAAGTTGACCTTTACAATGCCTGATGGGGACTCAGGCGAAGGCTCAGGCAGAACCAGAATCATTCTTGTGGAAGATCTGAGACCCCTCATGTTGTCTGCACTGCTGCCGAACAGGCTGGAAGATGCATGTCTGTGTGTCGGCATGATTTAGTGAGCAAATCTGATGGGAACGCAGCCGTTTCTTTAGGTTTGGTCAGTAAAACCAATGGCAGTGCACTCTTGGCTGACGCTGCCATTACAGAGGGTGATGTTGAGAAAGGCAGTCCCTGGGGATGCTTCCGGTGTGTCAATAGCCTCTGGCTGCTTAGCGTGTCCTCTCCCTCCTGCCCCTTCTGAAACTCCCGATAAAGCAGGTGTGAGTCGCTGTAAGTTTGCATTATCACATCAAAATTTTTTTTCCAACATATTTTATTGTAGTAAAATATACATAGCATAACATTTACCATCTTAGCCATATGTAGGTGTGTGGTTCAGGGGCACTAAATACATTCACGATGTTGTACGGCCATCACCCCCACACATCTCCAGAACTCTTTTCATCTTGTACAACTAAAACTCTGAGCTTCAAGTTGGGGTAAGCGGGGCAGTGGGGGGACTAAAACTGTCCCCATAAACACCAACTCTCCATTCCCTTTTTCCCCAACCCTGGCAGCCACTATTCCACTTTCTGTCTCTATGATTTTGACTACGCTGCTTTCTTCACAGAAGTGGAATCACAGAATATTTGTCTTTCTGTGACTGGCTTATTTCACCTAGCACAGTATTCTCAAGGTTCATGTTGTAGAAAGTGTCTCAGTGTCCTTTAAGGCGGAGTAAAATTTCACTGTGCATACCACATTTTGCTCATTCATTCATCTGTCAATGGACACTTGGGTTGCTTCCACCTTTTAGCTATTATGAATAATGCTGCTGTGAACACGGGTGTTCAATTACCTCCTTGAGGCCCTCCTTTCAATTTTTTGGGGTATATATCCAGAAGTAGGATTGCTAGATTTTAAGTGGAATTTTCATTTTCTTTAGTTCCTTTTCAGACTGTTCATTGTTTGTTAGTATTTAGAAATGCAGCTGATTTTTGTCTATTGACTTTTTTTTTTTTTTTTCCAGTCTCACTCTGTCGCCCAGGCTGGAGTACAGTGGAGCAGTCTGAGTTCACTACAACCTCCACCTCCCAGGTTCAAGTGATTCTCCTGCCTCAACCTCCCGAGTAGCTGGGACTACAGTCACGTACCACCAGTAATTTTTTTATATTTTTAGCAGAAACGGGGTTTCACCACGTTGGCCAGGCTGGTCTTGAACTCTTGACCTCAAGTGATCCATTCACCTTGGCCTCCCAAAGTGCTGGGATTACAGGTGTGAGCCACCGCACCTGGCCTGTGTATTTACCTTGTATGCTACTACATTGCTGATTTCATTTATTAGGTTTTTTTTTTAATTCTTTTTTAAAAAAGAAAAAAGAGACAGAGTCTCGCTCTCTTGCTCTGTCGCCCAGGCTGGAGTGCAGTGGCACAATCTTGGCTCACTGCAACCTCTGCCTCCAGGGTTCAAGTGATTCTTGTGCCTCAGCCTCCCAAGTAGCTGGGACCACAGGTGCCCACCACCATGCCTGGCTAATTTTTGTATTTTTTTGTAGAGATGGGGTTTTGCCAGGTTTTGCCATGTTGGTGAGGCTGGTCTCGAACTCCTGACCTCAAGTGATCTGCACACGTCTGACTCCCAAAGTGCTGGGATTATAGGCACAAGCCACCATGCCTGGCCTCATTTATTAGTTCTAACGTGTGTGTGTGCACACACGCCCTTTAGGCATTTCTACTTATAAGATCCTATCTGCAAATAGAGATAATTTTACTTCTTTCTTTTCAATTTTGATGCCTTTTATTTCCTTTTCTTGCCTAAGTGTGCCGGTTAGAACTTCTAGCACTGTGTTGCATAGAAGTAATGAATGCAGACATCCTTGTCTTGTTCCTAATTTTAGAGGAAAAGCTTTCAGTTTTCACCATTGAGTGTGATGTGGCTTTTTCATATATGACTTTTATTATGTTGAGGTAGTTTTCTCTATTCTTAGTTTGCTGAATGTTTTTAATCATGAAAGCGTGTTGAATTTTGTCAGTGCTTTTTCTCCATTAACTGAAAAAAATCATACATTTTTGGAAATGGAAATGCAGCCACAAATAATGGCCAGCCTGGGCTCTCCTGGTGCCCACTTGCCCCAGCCGGCCTCTTACACCCCGGGCTCTGCTCCGCTCTGAGGCTGCAGCCCAGACTGCCTGTGCCCCACACTTACCATGGATGCAGGGTCAGTGCGCCCCTCTGGAGCTGACAGCCCAGCCTGTGCCCAGGACCTTTCTGCCTTCCCTTCCCGCCGTGTCCTGAGAGCTCACCGTGCCCTCTGTGGCCCCGACCCCAAGGCTTGTTTGTTTCTTGGCCTGCTCCTCCCTGCCCTGCGCCATACGGAACACACAGTAGGTGCTCACTGGGGAGTGAAGGAAACGCCCACCACTGAGTGGCTGCTCAGGGGCTGAGAACCGAAACTTTGTTTAGGTTTTCTTCTGTGTTTTCCTTGCCTCAGGTTTAAACTTTTTTCTTAATCTTTATCTTCACAAAGGTTGAAAAAGATCATCTAGCAAAGCCTTTTTTCCCAGCTACATATAAGGAATTTGAAAGTCGCATAAAATGGTTAAGAAAATGTGCCAAGATTACCTCAGTAATTCTGGTCTGTGTTCTCAGGAGACCCTGGAAATAAACAATGGTAAGGTACAATCTCCCATGGCAGAAAGAGTTTCCCTCAGAGTTAGCCAAAACAAGGGCCAGGCGCAGTGGCTTACACTTGTAATCCCAGCACTCTGGGAGGCTGAGGCAGATGTATCACTTGAGGTCAGGGGTTCAAGACCAGCCTGGCCAACATGACAAAACCCTAATACAAAAATTAGCCGGGCATGGTGGTACATGCCTCTAATTCCAGTTATTCAGGAGGCTGAGACACAAGAATTCATTTGAACCTGGGAGGCGAAGGTTGCAGTGAGCTGAGATTGTACCACTGCACTCCAGCATATGCGACAGAACGAGACTGTCTCAAAAAAAAAGTCCATGAATGAAGGAGAATGTTTTTAGTAATGATATTTTCCTAGTCAGCCTCATTTTAGCTTCTTCCCATCAAGTGAAATTTTTTTTTCTTAAAGCAATAAATGCGACCGGGCGCGGTGGCTCACGCCTGTAATCGCAGCACTTTGGGAGGCCAAGGCAGGTGGATCACAAGGTCAGGAGATCAAGACCATCCTCCTGGCTAACAAGGTGAAACCCTGTCTCTACTAAAAAAAATACAAAAAATTAGCCGGGCGTGGTGGCATGTACCTGTAGTCCCAGCTACTCAGGAGGCTGAGGCAGGAAAATCGCTTGAACCCAGGAAGTGGAGGTTGCAGTGAGCCAAGATCATACCACTGCACTCCAGCCTGGGCGACAGAGGGAGACTCCGTCTCAAAAAGAAAAAAAGCAATAAATGCTCTTCCAGAAAACTCAAAAATGAAGATAAGCTAAAAGAAAATGGAAAGCACCAGAATACCAGAATCTTTCCACTCACTGATGATCAGAGTTAATACCTCAGGTACCCTTTTCGTCTTTCTGTTTTTGAGACAAGGTTTCACTCTGACTCTCAGGCTGAAGTACAGTGGTGCAAATACAGCTCACTGTGGCCTCGATTTCCCAGGCTCAAGCAATCCTCCCTTCTGGGCCTCCCAAAGTGCTGGAATTATAGGCATGAACCACTACACCCAGCCCTGTTTTCTTCTTTACGTGGGTTTTTGGGGATGGGTTATATAGGAGCCATTTCATTATTGTTTGTGGTTTTTCTGACACAATTCTCATTTCAGTGTCACTGTTATCATCAAACTGCTTTTAGCTACATTGGATTTTTTGGGGTTTTTTGCATAGAGTCTCGCTCTGTCGCCCAGGCTGGAGTGCAGTGGTGCAATCTCGGTTCACTGCAACCTCGGCCTCCCGAGTTCAAGTGATTCTCCCACCTCAGCCTCCCCAGTAGCTGGGATCACAGGCACCCGCTACCATGCCCGGCTAATTTTTGTATTTTTAGTAGACATGGGGTTTCACCATGTTGTCCAGGCTGGTCTTGAACTCCTGATCTCAACTGATCCACTTGCCTTGGCCTCCCAAAGTGCTGGGATTACAGGTGTGAGCCACTGCGCCCAGCCCCTGCTGCGCTTTAAGCAGAGAGAAAAACACTGTAGTCATAAGAGCTATTAAATACAGTACATAATTTTAAAACATTTTTGAAACACAGAAAACACATACTTTTTTGATCTCAGGAAGGAGGAGGAGTTAGTAGGGGAGGCTTGCACCCATCCATGCTTCTGAGCGTGCACTCACACATGCATGCACACTACCACTCATTCACATACACTCACACACACTTGCACTCATGCCCTTTACACTGTGCACATTCAGATCCACACCATGTACACTCATACACTGGCAAACCCACACATGCATCACACCCCTACACTTGCACTGTCACATGCACACTTAAGCACGTTCACACCCTCATGGTTACACTCACACACACAGCCTCACATATGCACACTCACTCAACACTCATACATACACATTTACATGCTCTCATTTATACACACTGATACATCCACACACCATCACACTACACACACTTTTACATGCTTTCACACATACCCGTTGGATATGGACACACCCACAAGCACTCATTCCCACACATGCTTGCACTGCACACACTGACACACTACATGCCTTCATAGTTGACACACACTTCCATGCACATTCACTCACCTTTTTGCACACTCATTCACACTCCCATCACACTGACACACTTCTGCCTGTCCTCACACGCCTACACACTTGCCACACACACTGAGTGTTCCATGCACACTCACACATCCTGCGCAGTCACTAACTTACCCTCATGACCACACACACACACACACAGACTTTCAAATGCACTCATCCACAGACACATATTCTCATATGCATACGCACTTGCACACACACCCTCGCACGCTTGTTCACACTCCCTGACATGCAGTCACACTAGCCATCACTCATGCTCACACGCATACACACTCACACCCCCTTTGCACACACACTTCCCCCACCCACTCACCCCAAGCCCACCTGACAGGTGACACACTTTACCTGCAGGCTGGGATGGCTGGTCCTCTGCCTGGGCTTCGAGGTTCCTTGGGGGCAGCGGCTCATGCTGGTTTTCCCACTGCAGTGTCTTCTGTGGCTTCAGCGTCACCTAGTGCAGGCTGCCATTCAACAAACGCATTGTCAACAGTCAACCAAAAGAAACCCATTGGCCACCATACCCTGAGGACTAACCCTGACACAGATGCCCTTCCAGATGCCCTCAGTAGTCTAACTGATTCCATCGCCCCAGCCTTGGGGGAGAAGCACTGCTGCCTATGCACTCCATTTACAGGTGAGACTGGGAGAGGTTTAGGGAGTGGCCAAGTCCCCTGCCTACACAGCTGCCTCCCAATCTATCTTCTCACCCTCCCCCTTCTCAGGCTAAAATCACACTCGATGTTTTTATGGGATCATTTGATCTGGACATTGTCAAAGAAAAAATTGCACCAGACAAGTTAAACCTTCAAGGAAGGACTCAGTCAGGACTACTGCAACACGGAAGAGAGAAGGAGCTTAACTTTGTTGAAACAAAAGGCTGGAGAGTTTTTAAGTGCCGGGGTGAGATGCTGAGAAGGAACTGGAGACATCAGGAAGAGGTTAGGAAATGCTGTAAAGCTATCTGCGTTGGCTCATTGGAATTTTTCAAAACTAGGAATCTGCCCTTCTACAAAAACTGAGACACAGATGTATCATCTCCTTCAATAATTGCATTTTAAAGGGATGGCTCTGAAGTCTTGAGAAAGGCATTCCTGGGTTGCAAAACTAGGAAGAGGCTAGAAGAAAATTTGGGAGAAGATTTGCATCTCAAAGAGATAGAGAAAGAACTCACAATTGCAAGTTTCCTAAAATAAATCCTCCGTGAAAAAAGGAGGCCTGATGGATGGAACTGGAGGTCATTATGTTAAGTGAAATAAGCCAGGCACAGAAGAAAAATACTGCATGTTCTCACTCACATGTGGGAGCTTAAAACCTGGATCTCATGGAGATAGAGAGTAGATTGGTGGCTACCAGAGGCTGGGAAGGGAGCAGAGAAGGGAGATAAAAATAGTTTGATTAATGGATGCAAATATCTTAGGTTTTTTTGGTTTTTTGTTTTGTTTTTTTGGAGACAGGATTCTGCTCTGTTGCCAGACTGAAGTACAGTGGTGCGATCATAGCTCACGGTAACCTTGAACTCCTGGGCTCAAGCAATCCTCCTACCTCAGCCTCCCCAGTAGCTAGGACTACAGGTGCATGCCACCATGCCAGGCTGGCTTTTGTGTTTTTTTTTTGTAGAGACAGGGTCTCACTAGGTTGCCCAGGCAGGTCTCGAGCTCCTGAGCTCAAGAAATCCTCCCACTTTGCAAATATACACTTCGATAAGAGAAAAAAGACATAGTGTTCAATAGATCAGCAAGTGACTGTAGTTTACAATAATCTATTGTACATGTCTTTTCTTCTTCTTTTTTTTTTTTTATTTTTTTTTTTTGAGACAGAGTCTCGCTCAGTCACCCAGGCTGGAGTGCAGTGGCATGATCTCCACTCACTGCAGCCTTGACTTCCCAGGCTCCAGAGATCCACCCACCTTAGCCTCTTGAGTATGGGACTACAGGTACACAACACAACACCTGGCTAATTTTTGTATTTTTTGTAGAGACAGGGTTTCGCCATGTTGGCCAGGCTAGTCTCAAACTCCTGGACTCAAGTGATCCACCCACCTTGTAGCAGGATGAGCCGCAGACAAAACCTCTCAGACCCCGAGTTGTAGAAGGAAGGGCTTTATTCAGCTGGGAGCATCGGCAAGCTACTGCCTTAAAATCCGAGCTCCCCGAGTGCACAATTTCTGTCCCTTTTAAGGGTTCACAACATTAAAGATTTCACATGAAAGGGTCGTGATTGATTTGAGCAAGCAGGGGGTACGTGACAGGGGCTGTATGCACCGGTGGTCAGAGAGAAACAGAACAGGGCAGGGAGTTTCACAGTGTTCTTCTATACAATGTCTGGAATCTATGAATAACACCGGTTTCTAAGTCATGAGTTGATTTTTAACTACTGGGTGTAGGCCAGGCAGGCCCAGGCCTGGTTTCAGGCCTGGCACCGAGCTGCCTGTCTTTGGTTTTACTTCCTTGCTGTTTTTGCTTAAAACAGGTACTGAGTATAAAACAATATAAAATAATATGAGAGGGTCTTTCTCTTCCTTCAACCTCGGCCTCCCAAAGTGCTGGGATTACAGGCCTGAGCCACCGCACCCAGCTATCTTGGTGTTTTTAACCTTAATAACGACAAAGTGCATCCTCGATATGGTCTCATCCCCCTTGCTGTAAGCACGTTAAAATGCTGTTATGACGTGCATTCAAGCGATCAAATGGTGCTAACATCAATGCCTTTGCCTGCAGAATTAATTCAGGGGTTTATTTGAAACTCAATAAAAAAGGCCTAATGTGCAACATTCGGCAGACAAGAAGCCATATGCAGATACTTTCTTTTAAAATAACAGGTCATTATTTGGTTCTTTCTCATGTGAGAGTCAGATGACTCAGAGCCAACATAAATTCCAAGTGGTATGCAGAAAACCAGTGCATAGCTGGAGAGGGGAATGAAGGTTAGTATCTGCAGTAAGGCTGAGTCGATGCAAACGGCCACACGGTCATGGATTCACAATGATCTGGGTCTCCATCATCCTGCAAACCAACACCTTGCACAGCCTTCAAACACCAGCTGGGAAATCAAAAGTAGCATGTGCAGTAGCAGGAGATCTGTTCACCCTCTATTTCCTCTCATCTCCATGCGGCAATCTGTGAACGGAGAGAAGCCTTTAAGCTCTGGGGTCTGCTGCTCTGCAGAGACAATTTGCATTTCTCTCAACACTCCTGGAATTCTTACTGGGAAACCCAGGGTACCTGGGAGCTCAGGCCATCCTGTGTCCTTTGGGATGTCAGGAGGAAGCAGAATAGCCAGCTCCCAAATGGAATACTGCAAAATGCTCACTTCTCAAGGGTCTGTTTTGGGTTTTGTGTTGTTTTTTTTTTGAGACAGGGTCTCTGTCACACAGTCTGGAGTGCAGTGGCATGATCCCGGCTCACTGTAACCTCCACCTCCCAGGTTCAAGGGATTCTCCCACCTCAACCTCCCAAGTAGCTGGGACTACAGGCACGCACCACCACACTCAGTTAATTTTTGTATTTTCATTTTTGGGGGTTTTTTGGTAGAGACAGAGTTTCACCATGTTGGCCAGGCTGGTCTCAAATGCCTGACCTCAAGTGATCTGCCCACCTCAGCCTCCCAAAGTGCTGGGATTACAGGCATGAGCCACCGCGCCCGGCCTCCTTCAAGGGTCTGAATCCAGCCAGTGAGCTTGCCCTACATCATGCCTGCTTCATCCTATGCAATGGAGAGAGGCTGAGATTTTATTTTAATGAGAAAATCTATTGAATTGCATTACATTAAACTAAAATGGAGAGACACAAACATAAAAAATGAAATAAAAATCCAGAAATTGCAATAGTAGGTAACCCTCCAAAATGTGGCAAAGCTCTGTGTATATTAAAAGTGTACTGAGGTCGGGCGTGGTGGCTCACACCTGTAATCTCAGCACTTTGGGAGGCCAACGCAGGTGGATTGCCTGAGCTCAGGGGTTCAAGACTAGCCTGGGCAAAACAGTGAAACCCCATCTTTACTGAAGTACAAAAAATTAGCCAGGCATGGCGGCATGCACCTGTAATCTCAGCTACTCGGGAGGCTGAGACAGGAGAATTGCTTGAACCCAGGAGGCGGAGGTTGCAGTGAGCTGAGACCTCGCCATTGCACTCCAGCCTGGGCAACACAGCGAGAGTCCATCTCAAAAACAAAACAAAACAAAAAATATACTGAAACATGCAACATCCACCTTTTCATAATAGTTCCCGTGGCCTACACAAGTGAGTATGAAATGCTTAATATTTTGCTTGCCCTACATTTTCTTTTGCTGGAAGGGTGGTTCTGGATAAAAACTTTTTATTTTCCCGTTCTTTGCTTTTTCATTAATGCTATTTTCTTTGCCCCAAAGTTATAGAGTGGAAAAACTCCCAATCTCTTTTTCTTCTCTCTTGTATTTTCAGGTAGATGCATTCTATTACTATATTCTATCTATCCGTTCATTCCATCTATAATCTATCGTCTATTCCATATATCTATCCACCATCTATCTATCTATTCCATCTATCATCTATCTACCTACCTATTATTGTCTATCTGTCTATCTTTCTATCATCTATTCATTATCTATCTATTCTATCTACCTATCATTAATCTGTCATCTATTCCATCTAACATCTATCTACCTATTGTCTATCTTTCTATCATCTATCGTCTATCTACATTTACCTATATTGTTCTCTCTGTCAATCATCTATCTATCCATCTATGTATATATGTATTTATGAATGTATGTGTGTAATTTTCTATCTTCTAGTTATCCATCTGTCTATCTATCCATCCGTCCATCTATTTCTCTTATGTATACAGATAAATATATAATCTATATATCTTACATCTGTAACATGTTCTTTTTACTTTTATACATCAGTGACATTAATTAAATCCCACCTAATAAAAATTGTATTCTAAAATTTGGTGTAGTAGGAGGCTGAATAACCTGACCCTAGATCAAGGTACACATTGTGTGGCTGAAAATCACCTGGCTTTGTTAGACTTCATCTTTCTCCTACATAGGACTTGGTAGCCAGCCTAGAAAATCTCAAAGGTGCCTTCAACCTTTGAATGCATTGGTTCCATGGAAGCAGGAGGCTTAAGCTCTAGACCCATGGCTGTTGTAATTACACATAACTCAGGCATTGCCATAAGGGACCCTTAGGATGGCAGTACGACACTTGTTCCTCAGAATACCCTACATGCAAATTTGCCCTCCCAAGAGCCATATTTTACAAAGTGATAATCTTGGGAACATGGTCCACCCAAATGCCTCTGCCTGCAGTGGATTTCTGCAGACTTCAGACAATCTGGGCACCATCAAAGCCAAGCACTCCCTGGTGTAGTATCTAATAGGGACCATGTAATTAGGGCATGTTTTATGTGAGATTCTGCTCAAGAGATGTAAGTACAAGAAAAAGACAGCTTTTCACGGCAGAGATAAGATAATTGAGCTGTCTGGCATAGTGACTCAAAGCCATTGAAGGTTCTAGTCAAATGATTCCTCTGGTTTTGACTTTTTAAATGGCTCTTTCACTGTTGTTGCCTCTGGCAACTACCATTATAATTGGAGGAAATTTTGTTCCGCTAAGAGGCTACTCCATTTACGGACTCAAGCCAGACCAAAATAATGAAGCTCTCTTATAATCCCGGTATGTTTCCTGATCATTCCCATTTCCCTCTCTGGCTGTCCAGAAATAGACTCTCTTCCAAGGTATCACTTTTATTTATAGCCAATATGAAGGTCTTGTAGAAAAACACTGACTTCCAAAAACAACAGACGCATGTTGGCAAGAGTACAGAGACAAGGGAATGCTTATACACTGTTGGTGAGAAGTAAATTGTACAACCTCTATAGGAAACAGTATGTAGATTTCCCAAAGAACTAAAAATAGATCTGCCCTTTGACCCAGCAACTCCACTAATGATTATCTATGCAAAGGAAAAGAAATTATCAAAAAAGATGCCTATGCTTACATTTTTATTGCACCTCAATTCACAATAGCAAAATCGTGGAATGAACCTGAATGTTCATTGGATGAAGAAAATGTGGTATACACACACCAAGGAATACTATGCATCTATAAAAAAGAATGAAACTGTATCTTTTGCAGCAACATAAATGGAGCTGCAGGTCAATATCCTAAGTGAGATAACTCAGAAACAGAAAATCAAATACCACATGTTTTCACTTATAAGTGGGAGCTAAAAATGGGTACACATGGACCTATAGAATGGAATAACAGGCACTGGACACCTTTAAAAGGGGGAAGGTGGGAGAGGATGAGGGTTGAAAAATTACCTATCTGGTATTATGTTCACTGTTTAGGGGACAGAAGGCCAATCCCCACCACTAGGCAACATATCCATGTAACAAACCTGCACCCTTATGCCCTGAATCTATTTGTTTTTTCAACATTGACTTCCATGGTCACTATTTGTGAAATCACTCCTCATGAACCAGGACTTGCATGTTTTTTTGTTTCTCAGGTGAACTGTCACCCCTACAACTCAGCTTGCAACCAGCCCTGGCCACCACCAGTTTCCCCACACTGAGCTGAATATTGGACATGCCCATCTTAGACATTCCAGCCCATTCTGAAATTCCACATCGATTCACCCGACAAAGTCTGAAGTTCCAGGGCAATTTATCTGGAAAAGCTCACCTGGAATCATGTGTCATTTCAACCAACAACTGTCGAAGAGGACGTGGCATCAAAACCAAGGTTATCAATTATTTATAAGGGTTGTGTGGTGGTTGGTCCAAGCATCTCTCCTTCATGCCATCACTCCTTTCAAGAGCTGCCTCTATTTTCTAATTTAGCACAGGAATTTAGATGCCCCTAAATAAGTAGGCATCCAGTATCTGCCCACACCAGTTTTAGTGAGAGTACATATGGAGACACTGCCACCACCCCTGCTCTCCTACTGCATACCCCACCATGCCAAAGCATGGTGGCTCACACCTGTAATCCCAGTGCTTTGGGAGGCCAAAGAGGAGGAACACTTGAGGCCAGAAGTATGAGACCAGCCTGGGCAACATAGTGAGACCTCATTTCTATAAATAAGTTAAAAAAACAAAAAAATAGGGCACAGTGGTGCACATGTGTGGTCCCAGTTACTCAGCAGGCTGAGGCTGGAAGATCACTTGAGCCCAGGAGTTTGAGGCTGCAGTGAGCTAGGATTATGCCACTGCACTCTAGCCTGGGCAACAGAGAGAGACCCCATCTCTAAAAAGAGGGAGAAGAAGGAAGGAGGAGGAAGAAGAGGAAGAGGAGGAGGAGAAATACTGCTCTTTCTCAGGCCCAAGGTAAAAAGGTTTTTGGTCTCATGTTGACCAGAAAGACATTGATATTTAATTAAGCAATATAAAAAGGCTCATTGTTAGGATTAAAGAGTAAGTAAAATCAATATTGAGATAGGAGGATGGAGGACACCAACTGAGTTCCGATCCCAATGAAGAGGAGAAAAAGCTACAACTATCTAGGTGAAATATCTACTTATCCTAGAAGAAGCCTTTTGACAGCAACATAAAATTCATACCTATAGGTTTTTAATTCCTATGGATGCCGTAGCAAATAACAAAAACTTGGATGGTGTAAAGTAACAGATGTTTACTCTTTTCCAGTATTGGAGACCAGGAATCTGAGATCAAGGTGTGGGCAGGGGTGCGCTCCCCCTGGAGGTTCTAGGAGAGGATCCTTCCTGCCTCTTCCAGCTCCTGGTGGCTCCAGGTGTCCCTGGGCTTGTGGCCACATCACTACATTCTCTGCCTCCATCTCCACGTGACCTTTTCCTCTGTGTCTGTGTCTCCTCTTCTGTCTCTTAGAAGGACACTGGTCATTGGATTTAAAGGCCACCTGGGTAATTTATAGTGATCTAATCTCAAGAATCTTTCCTTAATTACATGCAAATACTCTTTATCCAAATTAGTTTGCATTCACAAATTCTGGAGCTTAGTACTTGGACATATATTTTGGGGGGTTGATGGTTGGAGGGGCTTTTATTCAACTCAGTACATCTTAATAAGGAATTAATGCCCCCCAACTTGCCTTACAAGTCATATATTAAAAACAATGTTGGCCTGGCACAGTGGCTCATGCCTGTAATCTCAACACTTTGGGAAGCCAAGGGAGGAGGATCACTTGAGCCCAGGAGTTGGAGACCAGCCTGGATAACAAAGGGAGACCCAGTTTCTACAAAATATTTAAAAATTAGCCAGGCATGATGGTGCATGCCTGTGGTCCTAGCTATTCAGGAAACTGAGGTGGGAGGATCACTTGAGCCTGGAAGTTCAAGACAGCAGTGAGCTATGCTCACACCACTGCACTCCATCCTGGGCAACAGAGCTGGACTCTGTCTCAAAAAACATAACACTAAAACATCAAAATTAAAAAAAAAAAACACTGAAAGTAGCCTCCACTTACAAACTAATTACTCTTTCTTGAAAATATTACACTTTTTTTCTTCTATATCTCTACTCCTAGCTCTCAACACCTTTCTTAAGCCCACATCATAACCTGTCTTGCATAACTTTGTGAGTGCCCAACGTTTCACTGTACAAGATTGTAGAGCTGCATGCTTCTTAAGAATAAATCCACACTTTAGGTACCAGTAAATCCATGCAATGCCTCAGACGTTATAACCAAATAATGCCTGGAAAATCGACATGAATTTATGTGAAGCATAAGCCTTTAATTTTTTTAAAGAAAAGTAGATTGCTGTTTTTCCACATCATTTCAGAGCCGTTCTCTAGTTTTGCATGCCCTTTACTGCAGAACCATACAGATTTTGTTCTCCATTTCATACATCATTTGTTGAAATGCCCTTTAAAATGTAACGGAATATAGAGCTTTATGGGAAAAAATGCTGTAGAAAATAAATTATCTTCTCTCTTTGTATTGGGAACCAAAAGGTCTCACCTTATTAATGACCACAGAGACTCTCCTAAAGCAATTCTGGAAGTCAAAACAGCTGGAGTCTAGTTTAATGGGAACCCTCATTAATTAGACAAGAACACCAAGGCTATGACCACAGCAGCTGGTAGCAGCAGCCCTGCAGTGAAGTAGACTCTCAGAGGACACAAGGAAAGAGTGTATTGATAAGAAATCTACAGCAAAGGTGTAGCACATCATCATTTGATCTTGATACACTTGACTGTGGGCAAAGTACCTGTTATGTAAAACATGCTTTGTTAGTTAGGGCCATGATAAGCTGCTTAAGCTGATGAATGAACACCAAATCTCAGTGTTTTTTTTTTTTTTTTTGGTTTTTTTTTTTGAGACAGAGTCTCACTCTGTCGCCCAGGCTGGAGTGCAGTGGGGTGATCTCAGCTCACTGCAAGCTCCGCCTCCCAGGTTCACGCCATTCTCCTGCCTCAGCCTCCCGAGTAGCTGGGACTACAGGCGCCCGCCACCATGCCCAGCTAATTTTTTTGTATTTTTAGTAGAGACGAGGTTTCACCATGTTAGCCAGGATGGTCTCAATCTCCTGACCTCATGATCCGCCCGCCTCAGCCTCCCAAAGTGCTGGGATTACAGGCGTGAGCCACCGCACCCAGCCCGTATTTTTTTTTCTAACAAATACCTGGTGTTAAGCCCAAAGTGTGTGTTTCTGGTTGGCTGGTGATGCTCTTTCAAGTCCTGAATCAGGGACCCAATAACTTTCAACATTGTGGCTCAGCTCTCTTCAACAGCTGCCTCCAAGTTCTCTTGAGATATTGGTATTTATCAGAGGAGAGGGGATGGAGAAGGTATATGCCTTTGCTAGAGCTGCCATAACAAAGGACTGTAGACTGAGGGGCTTAAACAACAGAAATTTATTTCCTTACAATCCTGGAGGTCGGAAGTCTGAGATCAAGGTGTGGGCAGGGCTGGTTCCTCCTGAGGCCTCTCTCCTTGGCTTGTAGACTCTGTGTTCTCCCTTTGTCCTCATACAGTCGTCTCTCTGTGTGTGTCTGTGTCCTCATCTCTTCTTATGAGGTGTCTTAGTCCATTTCAAGCTGCTATAACAGAACACCATAGACTGCAGGGCTTAAACAACAGACATTTATTCTCCCATTGTCTTGGAGGCTATCTATCTACCTATGTAGCATCTATCTACCCATCTATCTATCATCTGTGTATAATCTACCTATTATCTATCTATCTACTTATCATCTACTTATCATCTACCTATCATCTGTCTATTTTTCTGTCTATCATCTATCTACCATCTATGTATCTACCTATCATCTAGCCATCTGTCATCTATCATCTATCACCTATCATCTATCTGTCTCACCTATCATTTATCTATGTATTTGTGTATCATCATCACCCAGCTATGAACTATCTATCATGTATGATGTATCTATCATCTATGTATCTACCTATCTGTTATTTTGGTCAAATATACATAATATAAAACTCACCATTTTAACCATTTTTAAGTGCACGGTTCAGTGGCATTAAGTGGATTCACACTGTTATGCAACCATCACCACCACCTATCTCCAGAACTTTTTTAATATCCTCAGTGAGATTCTGTCCCCATTAAACACTAACTCCTCATGTTCCCTTCCCCCAGTGCCCAGTGCCCACCATTGTCTCTATGCATTGGATGACTCTAGAGACTTCACATGAATGGACTCATAGAGTATTAGTCTTTTTGAGCCTGGCTTATTTTACTTAGCATAATGTCCTCAAGGTTGATCTACGTTGCAGCACGTGTCAGAATTTCCTTCGTTAGGGCTGAACAATGTCTCATTGTATGGATGGACCACACTTCGTTTATCCATTCCTCTGCTGATAGACACTTGGGTTGCTTCCACCTCTTGGCTACAGTGAAAAACAGTGTTACGGACATAGGTTTACAAGTATCTCTTTGAGACCCTGCTTTCAATTCTTTTGAGTATATACCCAGAAGTGGAATTGCTGGATCCTATGCTAACTCTGTGTTTAATTATTGGAGAAACCACCACACTGTTTTGCACAGGGGCTGCACCATTGAGCATTTTCACCAACAATGCACAAAGATTCCCATTTCTCTACATCCTGGCTGACACCTGCTATTTTCTGGATTTTGTGAATCGTAGCCATCCTAGTGGGTGTGAAGTGGTACAGCTTTTATTTAACACTGAAGGACACAGCACAGCAAGAGAGAGAAAAAGTGTGTGCGCAGGCCAGCATTGGGATACAGAGAGACCCTTGTGCAAGATCCCAGGGTTCGTATTGATGCATGAATTGAACCACCTAAATATAGTGAAGCCATACTGACTTCACAAGTGGTTAGGCCAGTTGCAAGCCATCAGTAAAGAAATTGACCCTCAAGGGATTTCTTGCTTTTTTTTTTTTTTTTTTGAGATGAAGTTTCCCAGGCTATAGTGGCATGGCATGATCTCAGCTCACTGCAACCTCTGCCTCCTGGGTTCAAGCAATTCTGCTGCCTCAGCCTCCTGAGTAGCTGGGACAACAAGTGCGTGCAACAACACCTGACTAATTTTTTTGTATTTTTAGTAGAGACGAGGTTTCATCATGTAGGCCAGGATGGTCTTGAACTCCTGACCTCAGGTGATCTGCTAGCCTTGGCCTCCCAAAGTGCTGGGATTACAGACGTGAGCCACTGAGCCCGACCAAGGGATTTCTTAATTGTACATTTTAAAAGAACTTAAAGAATGTCATTGGATTGTTTGTAGCTGAAAGGATAAATGCTTCAGGGGATGGATATCCCATTCCCCATGATGTGCTTCTTTCACATTGTATGCCTGTATCGAAACATCTCATGTAAGGCTGGGCACGGTGGCTCATGCATGTAATTCTAGCACTTTGGGAGGCCAAGGCCAGCGGATCACTTGAGGCCAGGAGTTCGAGACCAGCCTGCCCAACATGGTGAAACCCCATTTCTACTAAAAATACAAGAATTTGCTTTACATGGTGGTGCACACCTGTAGTCCCAGCTACTCAGGGGGCTGAGGCAGGAGAATTGCTTGAACCCAGGAGTCAGTGGTTGTAGTGAGCCAAGACCACATTACTGCACTCCAGCCTCGGTGACGGAGCCAGACTCTGTTTCATAAAAAACAAAAACAACTCATGTACCCCATAAATACATACACCTACTATGTATCTACAAAGATTAAAAATTAAAATTAAAAATTTTAAAAAAGAAATCTTATCCCACCATGCAAAGCAAAGAACCACTCTATTCTACAATTACCAAGCCCAGTATGAGACTTTAAGCAACATCTCATAAAACCCACTGACCGTGGGTCAAAGACCAGACCTCTAGTAGTTGCAAGAGATAGATAGAGCTTGTCCAGTTCAGCTATAAATCAATTTTATTTCCACAGAGGGTCACACAGCCCTTTCAAAAACAACCATATTGGATCAAACACAAAATTCGTAAAAAATATTCCTCCTGTTCCCCCAACCTCAAAATATATGTTGAAGGTCATATGGCCAGGGGCAATGCAGATTCAAAGCCACTATTGTGAGCTGCATTGACTATACCACCATGTAATTCATAATGTGTTGAAAATCAAATGCTCATGATAAATGATCATTGATTAGGGCCCCTAGTTGTGAGTGTACCTATATTTTTTCATTCTATAAAAGCAAATATTAAATCAACATGAAGAGTAAATAATTACCCATATTATATTGAGAGGGTGAAATTGGTTTATATTCCATATGGAGTTCAATTGATCATTATTTTCATCCTTGACACTTGGGTTTATCCATTCTCCAAACCACCACTTTGGAAGAGCAAGTTAATATACAATTACTGCTAAAAAAGGTACATACCTCCAATTTTGTGTTGTGTTGACAATTCCACTTGTTTGTTCTGTCCTTCTGATTGGGAGTATTATTTTCCTAGGTCTGTTTTAACAAAGTTCCATAAATTGAGACACTGAATGAGTCTCAATAAATGTGCATTCTCACATTTCTAGAGACCAGAAGTCTGAAATCAAGGTGCGGTCCGAGCCACACTCCCTCTGAAGGCTCAGCCTGGCCAACATGGTGAAACCCCATCTCTACTAAACATACAAAATTTATCTGGGCATGGTGGTGCGCACCTGTAGTCCAAGCTACTTGGGAGACTGAGACAGGAGAATCACTTGAACCCAGGAGGCAGAGGTTGCAGGGAACAGATATCATGCCACTGCACTCCAGCCTGGATGACTGAGCAAGACTCCATCTCAAAAACAAAAACAAAAACAAATACAAAAACAAAAACAAAAACAAAAACAGAGACTGATGCTCACAGATTGTGTATTCCAGACCACCAAGTTAATTCAGCATTGGCAGTGACATCATGTTCTTCCAAACAGCATCCCCTTTCTCCTTCTGGGTACTGAATTTTTGTAAATGGCAAATGAATTCCTTCATTAAGCCACAAACAGTGACATGACAGCTGCAAATTCAGCCATCTATAAGGTTTCCAGATAAAAGACACAACACCAATTAAATGTGAATTTCAGATAAATACTGAATAATTTTTTAGTATCCATATGCCCCCAGTGTGACATGGGGCATACTGATACTCAAAAATCTGTTACTTGGCCAAGTGCAGTGGCTCACACCTGGAATCCTAGGACTTTGGGAGGCTGAGGTGGGGGGATTGTTGATCCCAGGAGTACAAGACCAGCCTAGGCAACATGGTGAAACCCTGTCTCTACAAAAATACAAAAATTAGCTGAGCGAAATGGTGCACACCTGTAGTCCAACTACTCAGGAGGCTGAGGTGTGGGGATCGCCTGAGCCCGAAGAGGTAGAGGCTGCAGTGAGCCGTAATCACACCACTGTACTCCAGCCTGGGCCACAGAGTGAGACCCTGTCTCAAAAAATAAAAATAAAAAAGTAGAATAAATATAATTAAAATTTAAAACATTTTAAAATGTGTTATCTGAAATTTAAATTTATTACAATTTTTATTTGCTAAATGTGGCCACTCCAAGTGTATGGAGTATTTATTCTACCATGCAGTTTTTAACACTTGCATCTCTGCATCTGCTTCTGTTCCAGGACAGAGAAAAACTAACACATTTCTGCTGTATCTAAGAATATGTAGATATACCTGTGTTTTGATTCTTTCTGATTTCAGTACTAAACATCCCTCATTATCATTCTCAGGGAAAAGATGAATGTAGAATCTCTGCTGAGCTAGTATTTCCTGACACCCTGTTTATGTGCCTTGTGAATTGTGGGCATTGCCATGTGGGTTATTTCATTTCATCTTCACAATCACCCTCCAAAAGTAAAAAACAAAGACTGCCTCACTCAAATGTCCACTGCCATCAGTGCCCCATGAGTATATATACGGTGCCAAGCTCTGCCATGATCTCTCCAGAGAAGAGGAGTAAAACCAAAGAAGTGAAGACGTGTCTGACTGGAAGGGAACATCTGTGACACCTTCTTTTCCAAATGTTCTTAAAGTTTAAGCAGATTATTGTAAAGGAAATATGAAAGAGTTAGTACTTAAAAAAAAACCTCCTTGTATCAAAATGTCCCATTCCCAGCCTCTATTCAATTTCAATCTTTTAAATGTTTGTTTTCATATTTACAATCATGGTGCTATGTAATATTCTTACACTACAGTTTCAAGATTTGTCAATTTTACGCCTTATGGTTATTGGGGATTTGGTCTTGAAACTGAGATTGCAGAATTATAAGAAATGTGAGAAATCTTGGCTGGGTGCGGTGGCTCATGCCTGTAATCCTAGCACTTTGTGAGGCTGAGGTAGGCAGATCGCTTGAGGTCAGGAGTTCAAAACCAGCCAGCCAACATGGTGCAACTCCGTCTCTATTAAAAAAAAAAAAAAATTAGCCAGGCATGGTGGCGGGTGCCTGTAATCCCAGCTACTCGGGAGGCTGAGGCAGGAGACTCACTTGAACCCAGGAGGCAGAGGTTGCAGTGAGCTGAGATCACGCCATTGCACTCCAGCCTGGGCAACAACAGCAAAACTCCATCAAAAAAAAAAGGAAAAGAAAAACAAATATGAGAAATCTAACGTGACTGACTCCATCTTCCATCAGACCTCACAGGCTAAATTGTTTTGTTTTTGCTTATTCTAGTGTGGCAGCCAAGATAACTGCGTGAGGAAGTTAGTTTATAGTTAAAATTTGAAGCCAGGTGTGGTGCCACCCAGCACCTTGGGAGACCGAGGCAGGAGGATTGCTTGAGCCCAGGAGTTGGAGAACAGCCTCAGGAACATAGTGAAACCCCTTCTCAAAAAAAAATTTACAAAAATTAGCCAGGCATGGTGGTGTGCACCTGTAGTCCCAGCTACTCAGGAGGCTGAGGTGAGAGGATCGCTTGAGCCCAGGAAGTTGAGGCTGCAGTGAGCCAAGATCACACCACTGCACTCCAACCTGGACAACAGAGCAATATTGTGTCTCAAAAAATAATAAATAAATAAATAAATAGTAAATAATTGTGTATATATATTTATACACACACAGAGAGAGTGAGAGAGAGAGAGAGTTAAACTCTGAGGCAAGGAAACTGACCCCACTCCTTGACTGCAGATTAAAGCCACATTCAGAAAACAAGGTTAGAATTACTGTAGGGGCTTGAACTTTGCTAAAGAATAGGCATAGTTAATCAATGACCTGCCATCACTTAGTGTGTTTTCATGTAAGTTGTTCACTGCACCAGAGTCATGTAACCAGGGATCACAAGATGTATAACTTCCCAAACTACTCTTGTAGATAACATTACTATTGTAAAACCTAAACAATGGTCTTTGAAATATTTTTCAGATTTAGCATTTTGGCAGACCAAGAGATGCCACCTGGTCCTGAGATACCCTCTCCTGGGAACTAACTCACCTGCAGAAAGACAGTTTTAGACACCCCTGAGATTTCATCCATAGTCTATCAGTTGTTGCAGTTCCCCAGGCTTCTGCCCACAAAAGTACCATGAAAAACCATAGTTTCCAACTTTTTAGGGAGACAGATTTGAGAAACCTCTCCTATTCTTCTCAATTAGCTGTCCCTGCAATTATTAACCTCCCTCTTTGCTGCAACATCTGCTGTTCTCAGTGCACTGGGTTTTTGGGGGGCAGCAGGAAAGAAGAACCCCTCAGACTGTGACACTCTCCTGCCTGCCTTTCCATCCAATCACAAATGTCCTTTCCCTCCTACCACATTCTTGTAAACATTTAGGTCACAATATTTGGTTTAAGAAATCATCAGTGTTTCCATTATAATGACCATTGCAATGATATTCAAAGATGAACCAGTGACTACAATGATTATGTTTTCTTTCTTTCCTTTTTCCTGGAGTTAGTAATTGCCTTTTTATTTTTTGGAGACAGGGTCTGTCACCCAAGCTAGAAGGCTGGAGTGCAGTGGTGCAATTATAGCTCACTGCAGCCTCAAACTCCTGAGCTCAAGTGATCCTCCCAACTCAGCCTCTGGAGTTGCTGAGATTACAGGCATGAGCCACTGCACTGGGCTGCCTTCTTTTTATATAAAATTTACTTAGTGCCTGAAACTATTTTATCCCAGTGCTCCAAAAGGCCTACCATGTGCCCCTAAATTCATCAGTTTTTCTAACTCCCATACTTTTTGTCCATTCATTCCTGCTCTTTCTTCCTGGACGGCTCCGTCTAGCATCTCTTGAACCCCATCTCCAACATGAACTGTTTGTCTATGGAACCTGGTGAATGGCTGTCACCCTGGCCACCAACTACACTTCTCTCCTCCACCGGATCTCCTAACTTTCTGAATCCACCTCTTACTTGTTCTCAGTTTGCGCCGTCCATTTTCTGAAGAACATCTTGTAGTAGCTGTCTAAGAAAAGGTGTCAACAAAAAGAGTCAAACTCTGTAAAATATTTGAAGAAATTTATTCTGAGCCAAATACGACTGACCATGGCCCATTACACAGCCCTCAGGAGGTCCTGAGAACATGTGCCCAAGGTGGTTGGGGTGCAGTTTGGTTTTATACATTTTAGGAAGGCATGAGACAGCAATCAAATACATTTGAGAAATACATTGGTTTGGTCCAGAAAAGAGACAAGTAGAAGTGGTGGGTGGGGGCGAGGGGGTGGAGGAAAGGGGGTTCCAGGCTGTGGGTGAATTTAAACATTTTCTGGTTGACAGCTGGTTGAGTTTATCTGAAGACCTGGGATCACAGAAAGGAATGTCTGGGTTGTGATAAGAGGTGGTGGAGACCAAAGTTTTACTATGCAGATGAAGCTTTTAGCTAGCAGGCTTCAAAGACAAGAGAGAACAGGTTGTAAAATGTTTCCTCCCTCCTGAGTAGCCGGGTCTGGACCTGTGCGCCTCTGCGCCTAAGAGGGTCGGGGCGGTAGGTCGCGGTGAGAGGTCGTCCTGGGTGCCACCCGAGGGGCGCCTCGGGCGCGGAGGGGGCGTGAGCACCTCCCCAGGGCCGCGCCTGCCCACGGTGGCGGGGCACGCCCAGGTCTCTGGCTCCTGGGCTGGGTCGCGGCAGGGGCGGAGCGCGTGCGAAGGCGACGCCCCCAGCCCCTAGGCCTCGCCCAGGCGGCTTCCGCCCGCCTCTTCAACGCGCACGCTGCTACCGAGCTGCAGGAGGCCGCGGGCGCGAGACTGGGAATGCGCAGGGCCCCCGCCTGGCTCTACAAGCCCGGGCCGCGGCCCCCGCCTTCCCCGCCGCCTCCCGGCGCTCCGTGCCCGCCCCACGAGGCCGGCGGCTGCTGCTACCTGGGGCCGTTGCTGCTTGTGCCGTGAGCGACGGCCAGCCATTGTCCCCGCCGCTCCGTCAGCCGCGCCCGGCCGCGCGCGCACCGGAAGGCGCATTGGCGTCTTGCGGGCTCCGGGCCGGGTGGGCAGGATGGCCTCCACAAGCCGCATGGCGCGCATGGGGAGCCTCCGTTGATGCCGCCGCGCCGCCCTCCGAGGCTGCATCCGCGGAAGCCCGGCTCCCCGAGCGCTCCGGCCCGGCCCGGCGCCCCGGACCTGAGTGCGTCCCCATGAAGGCGCCCGGGCTGGCCCAGGCGGCCGTGGCAGAGGAGACCCCGGACTGGGCGCCCGAGCTCTGCCCCAGCCCCGAGTCGCGGTCGCCGGAGCCGCCTGCCAACCGCCTTCAAGACTTCGACACGCTGGTCACCGTGGGTGAGTGAGTGCGCGCGGGGACTCGGCCCACAGGGGCGCGCGGCGCGGCCGGGACGCTGTCGTAGGACAAAGGGCCCCGGGTGCCCGCCTCCTGGGGAGGGCCCTGCCCCGCCGCTGCGGCTCGGGATCCCAGCGCGGGGCTGCCCCTGCGCCCTGGGTCTCCCTGGGGGGCGCTCGGAGAAGTAGAGCGCACCCCCCAGCCCCGGCGAGTCCCCCGACCGACCGGGTGCCTTCCCTGGAACGCCGACGGCTCCTGTCGGGGACCACCCTCCACCCCCAGCACACACAGCACTCTGGGGCCTGGGCCATCCGACGTCACCAAACTTCCTGTGGGTCACCTCGCCTGGGGTAAATCGTGCGCTCTCCCAGGCAGCGGCCCCAGGGACACGGGCGCGGGGTCCCTCAGGCCAGCCTCCCAGTGTGCCCAGCGGCAGGGTCCTCGGCGGGGAATGTACAGATTTCTCCAGGGGCTGCAGGAGCAGCTGGGCTCCGGGGTACAGGTGTTCCGTGGCTTTGTGGGGATGAAGACGGCGGAGTTGGGGACGGATCCTAACATGTCCTGACACCGCCTGTGCTCTTCGTCTTGTGCGTCTGAAATGGGTAATTCTTGTATTGGACGCTTTATCTCGTTTCCTTTGTCCTCTTTGAACTTAACTCCCAATGGGCAGCTTGACAGAGAGGTTTCGAGTTCTCGGTGCGCTTGGATCCGGACCACGCGCTGGTTTATGGGGCAGCCCTGAGTGGGTCAGAATATCCCAGCCGAACGTGGGCGCTGGATTTAAACAGTTGTCAGTGGTCAGCCTGTGCCTTCTTAGGGGGGTGTGTTGCTGGGACAGGTCTTCTCAGGCTCTCTAACTCCTGTTTGTCCTCTCATTTTGGACAGGAGGAAGCTAGGCTGGGAAGCCCAATGGCTCAGGGTTATAGCTTCTGGCTTAGGAAGACCAGCAGCCATAGCCCAGGAGCCTTCAGGCCTGCTGAGGAAGAGGGGACTGTGCTTCCTTCAGTGACCTTTTTGGCACCTAGGCCTTGAGGAAGGGGTCATGAGGAAACCCTGATTTTGGAAGGATAGTGGGAAGAGGGCCCTCTCTTTTTCTCCTGTCCCTCCCTTTCTCCTATTACATTCTCTCTCTCTCTCTCTCTCTTTCTCTTTTTGTCTCTCTCCCTCTTTCTGTGTCTTTATGCATTACTCTCTGTATTAGTCGTTTTTACGCTGCTGATAAAGACATACCCTAGACTTAGAAGAAAAGGAGGTTGAATTTCTTTTTTTTCTGAGACGGAGTCTTGCTCCTGTCGCCCAGGCTGAAGTGCAGTGGCGCGATCTAGGCTCACTGCAACCTCTGCCTCCCGGGTTGAAGTAATTCTCCTGCCTCAGCCTCCTGAGTAGCTGGGATTACAGGTGCGTGCCCCAACTCCTGGCTAATTTTTGTACTGTTAGTAGAGACGGGGCTTCACCATGTTGGCCAGGCTGGTCTGGAACTCCTGACCTCAGGTGATCCACCCACCTCACCCTCCCAAAGTGTTGAGATTACAGGTGTAAGCCACCATGCCTGGCCAGGAGGTTTAATTTGACTTACAGTTCCACATGGCTGGGTAAGTCCCATAATCATGGCAGAGGGCAAAAGGTACTTCTTACATGACGGCAGCAAGAGAGAATGAGGAGGAAGCAACAGCAGAAACCCCTGAAAACCCATCAGATCTCGTGAGACTTATTCACTATCATGAGAATAGCACGGGAAAGACCCGCCCCTATGATTGCAGTTACCTCCCCCTGAGTCCCTCCCACAACACGTGGGTATTCTGGGAGATACAATTCAAGTTGACATTTCAGTGGGGACACAGTCAAACCGTATAATTCCACCCCGGCCCCTCCAAATCTCATGTCCTCACATTTCAAAACTAACTGTACCTTCCCAACAGTCCCCCCAAAGTCTTAACTCATTTCAGCATTAACCCAAATGTCCACAGTCAGACAAGGCAAGTCCCTTCCACCTATGAGCCTGTAAAATCAAAAGCAAGCTAGTTACTTCTTAGATACAATGGGGATACAGGTATTGGGTAAATACAGCCATTCCAAATGGGAGAAATAGGCCAAAACAAAGGGGTTATAGGGCCCGTGCAAGTCCAAAATCCAGTGGGGCAGTCAGATCTTAAAGCTCCAAAATGATCTCCTTTGACTACAGGTCTCACATCAGGTGCAAGAGGTGGATTCCTATGGTCTTGGGCAGCTCTGTGCCTGTGGCTTTGCAGGGTACAACATCCCTCCCTGCTGCTTTCACAGGCTGACGTTGAGTGTCTGTTGTGTTTCCAGGCCTATGGTGCATGCTGTTGGTGGATCTACCTTTCTGGGGTTTGGACGACAGTAGCTCTCTTCTCACAGCTCTACTAGGCAGTGCCCCAGTAGGGACTCTGTGTGGGGGCTCCAACCCCACATTTCCCTTCTGCACTGCCCTAGCAGAGGTTCTCCATGAGGGCCTCACCCCTGCCACAGACTTTTGCCTGGACATCCAGGCATTTCCATACATCTTCTGAAATCTAGGCGGAGGTGCTCAAACCTCAATTCTTGACTTCTGTGCATCTGCAGGCTCAACACCACATGGAAGCTGCCCAGGCTTGGGGCTTCCATCCTCTGAAGCCACAGCCTGAGCTCTACGTTGGCTCCTTTCAGTCACAGATGGAGCAGCTGGAACCCAGGGTACCAAGTCCCTAGGCTGCACACAGCACAGAGACCCTGGGCCCAGCCCACAAAACCACTTTTTTCTCCTGGGCCTGTGATGGGAGGGGCTGCTGTGAAGGTCTGTGACATGGCCTGGAGACATTAGACTCCTTCCTACTTATGCAAATTTCTGCAGCTGGCTTGAATTTCTCCCCCCAAAAATGGATTTTTCTTTTCTACTGGATCATCAGGCTGCAGATTTTCAAACTTTTATGCTCTGTATCCCTTTTAAAACAGAATGCTTTCAACAGCACCCAAGTCACATTTTGAATGATTTGCTGCTTAGAAATTTCTTCTGCTAGATATTCTAAGTCATCTCTCTCAAGTTCAAAGTTCCACAAATCTCTCGGGCAGAGGCAAAATGCCACCAGTCTCTTTGCTAAAACATAATAAGAGTCACCTTTGCTCCAGTTCCCAAGAAGTTGCTCATGTCTATCTGAGACCACCTCAGCCTGGACCTTATTGTCATAATCGCTATCAGCGTTTTGGCTAAAGCCATTCAACAAGTCTCTAGGAAGTTGCAAACATTCCCACATTTTCCTGCCTTATTCTAAGCCCTCCAAACTGTTCCAACCTCTGCCTATTACCCAATTCCAAAGTCGCTGTGACATTGTTGGGTATCTTTTCAGCAATACCCCACTCCCGGTACCAATTTACTATATTAGTCTGTTTTTATGCCACTGATACAGACATACCCAAGACTGGGAAGAAAAGGAGCTTTAATTTGACTGACAGTTCCACAGGCTGAGGAAGTCTCGTAATTATGGCGGAGGGCGAAAAGCACTTCTTCCATGGTGGCAGCAAGAGAAAATGAGGAGGAAGCAAAAGCAGAAACCCTGATAAACCCATTAGATCTCATGAGACTTATTCACTATCACCAGAATAGCACAGGAAAGACCGGCCACCATGATTCAGGTACTTCCCCTGGGTCCCTCTCACACCACGAGGGAATTCTGGGAGATAAAATTCAAGTTGAGATTTCAGTGGGGACATGGCCAAACAATATCATTTTGTGTTTCTCTATTTCTGTCTTTCCCCGTCTCATTTTTTTTCTTTTCTTTTTTTTGAATGAATCATTGAAAATGACATTTGCAATTATTTCGGGATATACTTAATGACAGACTATTAAATGCAAAAAGGAAGACAGAATACACTTTTTCAAGCAAGGCTTTCCATTCCATTCATTTATTTATTCATCCCGGAGTGCTGGGATTAAAGGCAAGAGCCACCACTCCTGGCGCAAGGATTCCGTGTATATATATAGAAATACATGTGTACAGTGAAAGGAAATAAAAATGGACAAGAAGGAAGTCGAGACCCCTGCAGCCGTTATTTTTTGGGCAATAGGGAATTCGGTGGTTCTTTTGGCCTTTGGTTTTCTGGGTTTTCTGAGCTAGATTTAACCATGCTGAAAGGCTCTTGATACACGAAGTTGCCAGGCCTCAGGATTCTCAGAGTTAAAACCAGCATTGAATGGGAATGTTTGAAAACCTCACTGCAGAGCCAAGCCTCCCATGTGCAATTTGCATTTTCCCTGTGGAAGCCTGCGGTTCCCTGTAGGAAGCCGCCTCCCTTCTCCTTGAAGTCTCCTAGGTCTCAGTTTCTGCATCCACCCAATGGGGATGACAGTGAGGCGGTCAGAAGTCGCAGCTGGGGCCAAGCGGGGAGGCAGCCAGTGGCGCGGGCTCTGCAAGGAAATCAGTCGCGGGCCGGCGCGAACACGGAGCCCTTTCAGACGCTCGGGCAGCACTAGATGGTCGGGCGGTCGGTTATCTCAGTTGGTGAGCGCGTGGTGCTGATACCGCCATGGTCGCGGGCTTGATCCCCGCACCGGCCCTAGTCCCAGTTTTTTGTTGGTTTGTTTCTTTGTTTTCTCCCCATGAACTGTTTCTGCAACTCTTTTTCAAAATGCGCCTTTCAGGTTCTGTAAGCCCCATGCGGGCAGGAGCGACTTGCGGGATCTCTTGGACTCGGCCCAGAGGTTGTCGAGGACAGCCTGGCAGGGAGGAGCGGGAGAAACCCGGCCAGCGCTGGGGCGGTGGCTCCTCCCCGGAGTCCCCGCGGCTGGGGCAAAGCGGAAGGCAGCCAGAGGCGCGCGGGCTTGGCGAGGAATCGCTCGTGGACGGGCGCGAACGTGGAGCCCTTTTATACGCTCCAGGGGCACTGTGCCGTCGGGCGGCCGGTTAGCTCAGTTGGTAAGAGCGTGGTGCTGATAACACCAAGGTCGCGGGCTCGACTCCCGCACCGGCCACGGCGTTAGCTTTTTTTTTTTTTTTTCCCCGCCGCCACCCCGCCATGAACTCTTTCTACAACAGTTTGTGAAAAATGCGCCTTTCGGGTACTGTGAGCGGCGTGCGGGTAGGAGCGAACTGCAGGATCTCTTGGTCTCCCCGCCCAGAGGTTGTCGAGGGCAGCCTGCTGGGGAGAGCGGGAGGTACCAGGCATGCGCTGGGGCGGTGGCTCCGCACCCGAGTCCCTGCACCCTCCGCCACCTGCAGGCCACTCAGGATATCCAAAGCGATCCACATCTCCGGCCCTCAGCCCCCACCCCTGCCGCCCCCGCGCTTCCTGAGGCTGTGGCTCCCCTGGAGGAATCGCCCAGTGAAGACGGGTGCTCCCAGATGTCACCGCCTCGTGTTCCCTTGGCCGCCTTGCGGGGAAGTCTTAGGGTTGAAAATCCAGGTCTGCAATGAATGCATTCCACAGATGGTGTGTAGGGCTACTGCATGCCCAGCACCGTTCTAGGCGGGGAGCAAAGCGGTAAGTGAGACACAAATCCCAAGCCACGTGGAGAAAGTGACCAGCCAGTAGATGCCTGCCATGTTTTTAGAGAGGCGTTCTGGTTGTGGAAGCCTCTGGAAACCTTCTCTTGCTCTTCCCCCCCACCCCCCGTTTCTTTTCAGAGACATCTTAGGCTTCACATTTCTTCCTCTTGGTTCTGCATTTTGCAGCCAGAGCAAGTGGATGAGTTTCTCGCTGGTGGTTCAAGTTTCTGGGGTGGTCAGGTGTGCTCCGTTGAACGAAGCCAGTTGTGTAGGGTCAGTGCCATTTTCTGTCACGATCCAGCAGGGGCTCCACCTGCTTTTGAAAACTCTCCAGTGGAAACATCTACTAACTCTGACCTAAATCAGTAGCTGCTCAAAATCTACAGACTACTGGCTTAAAACCTTGGTAAGTGCCCAGGGTGTAGTGAAAGTTCTCAATAAACGCCGGCTGGTGGCGCTGCTGCTACTATAAGCAACGTTAGGAGAGCCTGGGTCGGCTGACACCTGCAATAGAAACCTGTACGCAACAAGTTGGATGTCACATCTTGCAGTAGTCGTGCCGGGTTAGATGCAGGGACAGAGCACGGAGGAGTCGGTGGAGGCTGCTGCCCTCAAGTTTCCTGAACTTGAAGGGGTTTAGAATGTGCCACGGTGGCGTGAAAATTATTTTGAGCAGAAGGCATTTGAATTCCTGAAATTTCTTGTCTGCTGAAAAGCAGAGCTTCCCAAAAGATCTCAAAAGAACTCAGTTGTCATAAATCCCTTCTTGGGAAGGAACTAGGAAAGATTGACTTGGGCCAGGCGCAGTGGTTCACGCCTGTAATTCCAGCACTTTGGGAGGCCTAGGCAAGTGGATCATCTGAGCCCAGGAGTTGGAGACCAGCCCGGGCACCATGGTGAGATCCTCTCTCTATTAAAAAAAAAAAAAAAAAAAAGAAACGAAAATTAGCTGGGCATGGTAGCGCATGCCTGTAGTCCGAGCTACTCCAGAGGCTGAGGTGGAAGGATCACCTGAGCCCGGGAAGTCGAGGTTGTAGCGAGCTGAGATGGCGCCACTGCACTCCAGCCTGGGCAACAGAGTGAGACCCTGTCTAAAAACAAACAAACAAAAAAAAATGTGGTAAGATACCCATCATATGAAATTCACCATTAAAAAATAGCAGGGAGCATCGTGAATGCGAAGTATTGATGAGGATGATGGTGATGTTCCAGAACCTTCTCTGACACCAGCCTGGCGCCCCCCCCCCCCCCCCCAGCCTTACCTTTCCTGGCTTCATGGTGCTCATCATACTGTACTGCAAATGCTGGTTTCCTCCTTCTCGCCAGCTAGACCCGTGGTACCCCACAGGGAGGGAATGGCGACTCACCCACCAGGCGCTTAATAAGTGTTTGTTGGCCAGTGGACCTCCTACGCTCCCTGGGGAGAGGGACTGGGACTGGGACTGGGACTGGGACGTGTGTACACACCTGCAGCTACAAGACTCGGTGGGGAGGGTGCACAGAGCCTCGACCCTGTAAGAGAGGCGATCGGGCTGAGGAAGACGGGGCACTGGGGCTGGATGGATGGGACGGACATGTGGAGAGGGTGGGTTCGTGGATTTGTTCACCCGTTCATTTATTGGTTTCTATGCATCCATCCATCTTTCACGCCTTGAGCGTGCGTTCTGGGCAGGGCCTGTAATGGGCACCGAATGAGTAACATATCGTCTCTCCCTTCAAGGTACACGCAGCCTGGGTGGGTGAGGGGAGAGACGGTAGGGTGACATGGGAACAGTTTGGGGGTTGGGAAGCGCTCTTGTTAAAAATTCAAACTTTGGGTCCCCTCTCAGATTTATAAACCTAAACGTTTGCTGGTGGACCTAGGACTCCGCGTATCCAGGCAGGATCCTCCGCTGATTGGGGTGCACGATGACGTCAGAACACGTGGATAACGTGATAACTTGTGGGCCAGGGGCTTTGGAACCTCAAAGAATGTGATAACTTTTGGGTCAGGGGCTTTGGAACCTCAAAGACCTCCGCCTGGGAGATCGGGGACAGCTCCCGGAGGAGGTGACATCTGAGTGTTAAACACATCCGTGACAGGCAATGAGAAAATAAGGTGGGTCCGCTGTGCTGATCGGCCCTAGGGGCCGCGGCGGCTGTCCCGGCCGGGCAGCGTCGCCTTCCGAGGTGTCTTGGCCTGCGGGGCACTCGTAGCCCGCCGCTTTCCCAGGTGAGGCACGTCGTCGCCCAGCGACCCAGGTTGGAGTCCCCGCTTCAGCCGCCGCGGCGGATGCGGCGGCCAGGCTTCTCCGGGCCAGGGCAGCGTTGCACGTGTGGCCCCGCTGGGCCCCGAGCAGCTGCGGCAGGTCCTGAAGCGGGTGACGAAGGCGCAGCTGCTGCCGCCGCGGCCCATCAGGCCGCCCTCCAGCGGGACCCTGGCGCCGAGCCCCCGTGCCCGCCACGCCTGCTGCCGCCCCAGGTGAGGCTCCGGGAGCGACGTGGGGAAACTGAGGCCCGGAGGGGGCCGAGGCCCCGCGGCGGGGTTAGCTGCTTGGCCGGGGTGGCCAGTATCCGGCCCCAGTCAAGACTCAGGGTGTCCCGAAGCTGAGCCCCTTAGGGACGGCGTTCGGCCCCCACCTGCCACCACCCTGGCGTTTTCACCCCAGGAGCCTCACTTGAGGAGCCGATGCTCACGCTGGGCCCTCTGCCTGGGACGCCGTCGTGCCCTCTCTGCCTCCACAGCCCTGCCCGGGGCTCCCCTGTGCTGCCTAGCTCGTCTGACACGCCTTTGACCACTCGTTCAGCCTCTGTGGGGCACTCAGAGACGGGGTTGCCCGCACTCCCACCTAAGTGCAGGAGGTGCGGCCTTCAACACACTCGAAGAACGAACATCAGGCAGGTTCTGGGAGGGACAGGGGGCCGCTTTAGAGTGGGTGGGCCCGTAGGCCAGACGCTGCCCCTGAGACCTGAATGAATTAAAAGGAACCAACTGAGCTTTTCAGGTCTCAGGCACAGCAAGTGCCACGGCCCAGCATTTTCTTCTCTTCATTGCTGCTTCTCAGCATTTTCTTTCTCTCTCTCTCTCTGTCTCTGTCACTGTTTTTGCATACAGATACTATGCTTTTGGGGTGGGTACTCTCATTGTCCTTCCAGGGGTCCTACACGGCGTCTGTAAAATTCCATCTCATTTCATTGCTGGCGCTGTAAATAAAATTAGTCTTAACCCAAAATTGCCAAAAGAAGAGGGCTTTTTCCACTAGAAGAGATGCGTTAGAGAATAGAATCAGCGATCTTCACTCCTGAGTTTTTTCGACTTCACTCGTGATTTTAGCTGCCTGGGGTTGTTGTATCCAGTTCATCATCAAGAGTGGAGAGTTGTCTTGCTAAGGTTTAGGAAGGCAAGTATGATTCTGCCCAAATGCCACACTATCTAGAGGTGTGACCTTGGGCAACTCGACCTTTTTGGACTGTGGTCTGGGTCCGAAGGCTGCAAGACGCCATCCCGGGACAGCCATCTGCTGAGCCTCTGCTCTGTGCCGGGCAGTGTTCTGGGTTGCTTAGCTCGCAGTAGTGTTTTTGTACCAGCATTTTGCAGGGAGGTTGAGTGGCTTTGTCCAAGATCCCTCAGGTGTGGCTGCTCTCCAGAGCCCTTGTTCTCCCCAGCACACCCTGCTGTATGTGGCCACAGCTTTTTGGGTTTGGAATGGAGTCAAAAAATGACATACTTTTCATAAAGTAAAAGCAAACTTAGTCAAGATCAGGCAGCATGATGGGACTTATTCTGTAGCTAATCTGATGGAGACGTATAAATTCTACCTCCAATAATGTACCTTTGTAGCACATTCTGCGAATACTTTTTCAGCCCCAGCTGTGTCGTGGAAGCCACGAAGTCAAACCGGATGTGTACTTTGCCCCTCAGTAGCTGATGAACTAACAGGAGATAAAACATGACCCAGATACCTGCTAATCAAGGCCTGAAAGCTAGTGATGAAGAACTAAATGTAGTTAGAGAAAGGGAGATTGTTTCTGGCCGAGGAAATCACAAGCAGCTTTGTTGAAGAAGTGGTGTCTGAACTAGATTTGAAAGGGTGAGTCTGAGTTGAAAATGCAGAAGAGGAGAGGCAGGTTCTGGAGCAGGTGGCGGGGTGCATTTCAACAACCACAGCAGACTGCCCAGTGGTTCGCTGTGGGGGATGGTGTGGATCAGAAGCACAGACCAGTGGACACACTTGGGTCAGATGGAGGCCCCTGTCTCTCCGCATCTTCCCTCTTCCCACCCCCCAGAAATGTCCAGTTCCATCCAACATGCCAACCCCTTTTCATGCATCCATGCATGTACACATTTTTCTTTGTACTCAGAATGCCCTACCTGGCAAAAATTCCCAGCCTTCAAAACGCCCCTCAGAGATCACTGCTTCTGGTCTGTTCTGCCTCTTTATTGCACCTGTTGTACCATGATGACATTTTTCCCGTCTGCCTCACCTGTCTGCATTCCTTAGGGAAACTTGTCTGCCTTCGAAATCGTCAGCGGAGCTTTTGAAAGGGCAGATCGGGTCTCCGACCCAGGAGATCGATTCAGCAGGTCTGCGGGGACTGAGGCATGGCAGGGAAACTGCCCACCATCTCAAGGGTGAGGCTAGGAGTTGGCTAGTGTGTATGTATTCCATCCAGAAATATTTAGTAAATGTTCACCAAACAAAATAAAAACACACAAGAAAGCATGAGGCGTAATACCCACGGGGTAAGCCAGTCAGGATAGAGGATGAATACATTATTAGGCCGGCTTTGCTGCTGTGGTTATCCTAAAACAATAGGGTTTAGGTTGTGTGTCTGTGTGTATATGTATTTTGTTGTTGTTTTGGGGTTTTGTTGAGACAAGGTGTTGCATTCTCACCCAGGCTGGACTGATCACGGCTCACTACAGCCTCAAACTCCCAGACTCAAACGATCCTTCCCCCTCAGCCTCCCGAGTATCTGGGGCTACAGGCATGTACCATCAAGCCTAATTTTAAAATGTTTTGTAGGCGGGGCTCGGTGGCTCACCCCTGGAATCCCAGCACTTTGGGAGGCGGCGGCGGGTGGATCACCTGAGATCAGGAGTTTGAGGCCAGTCTGGCCAATGTGATGAAACCCCGTCTCTACTAAAAATACAAAAATTAGCCAGTCACGGTGGCGCATGCCTGCAATCCTAGCTACTAGCGAGGCCAAGTCAGGAAAATCGCTTGAACTCGGGAGGCAGAGGTTTCAGGGAGCCAAGAATGCACCACTGCAGTCCAGCCTAGGCAACAGTGAGACTCTTTGTTTTGGGTTTTTGTGTTTTTTTTTAACATTTTGTAGGGACAGGGTCTTGCTCTGTTGCCCAGGCTGGCCCTGAACTCCTGGCCTCAAGCAATCCTCCCACCTCAGCATCCCAAAGCACTGCTACTGCAGGTGTGATTTGTGTTTGGCCCTTAGAGAGAGATTCTGTGTGATTGGTAGTAAAATGAAACAGACATCGTTCTTGAAGGATATGCACAGCCAATCTAGTTGTCATTTGATTTGCACGTAGCCCAGGAATGGGGACTCCCAGGGTTGTGGTGCCACCTCGGTACACTTGACCTCTGTTATTTGTACTAGTGTATAACAAGAGCCAGACGAGAGACACACTCCAGCCTGATCTCAGTGAGGGTCTTTATTCTGTCCTGTTTGACATTTTTATTGACTTTCTACTGTTTGAGGGTCACACCAGAAGGTTGAGTCCAAAGAGGGCCAGTTGGTGGTCCCAAATAAGTGGTTCTCAACCGAGGACAGTTTTGCCCCACAAGGGGCACTTGGCAATATCTTGTCAGGACTCGGGATCACTACTAGCATCTAGTGGGTAGAGGCAGAGATGCTGCTGGGCATCCTCCAGCCACCCATGTCAAAGGATTATGTTCTGAAATGTTGGTTGTGAAATCATGCTCTGGATGACGAGGTTTGCCTCTTTTTCTCCCTGGAGGAAAATGCTCATTATTTCTGCTCTGTGAGGGCAGGAGCCTTGTTTCTTTTGCTTCCTGACCTTCTCCCCTAAGCTGTATGAGAACTGTTTCTCTGACACCTGTAGCAGTGTCTCATGCACATGGTCAGTACTCAATAAATATTTGTGGGATGTTGTCGAAGGTAGCTCTCCCCTTTGGTAGGTGTTTTGCTATTACAGACAGTGCTGCCTTGAACCTCATAGAACATAACATCTTTATGGCCATCTAAGTTTTTTTAATTTTGGAATCCAGGAAGTAGAATTACTGGGTCAAAAAGCACATGTATTTGAAATTTTGTTAGATATATTTGTAAAAAGTTGTTGAGGATATTCAGCCCGGCCGGGCACGGTGGCTCACGCCTGTAATTCCAGCACTTCGAGAGGCTGAGTGGGGCAGATCACTTGAGGTCAGGAGTTTGAGACCAGCCTGGACAACATGGTGAAACCCTATCTCTACTAAAAATACAAAAATTAACCAGGCGTAGTAGCACGTGTCTGTAATCCCAGCTACCCGGGAGGCTGAGGCAGGAGAATCACTTGTACCTGGGAAGCGCAGGTTGCAGTGAGCTGAGATCATGCCATTGCACTCCAGCCTGGACAACAGAGCAAGACCTTCTCTCAAAAAAAAAAAAAAAAAAGAAAAAGATATTCAGCCCTACTCCTAGATACATGCCCCTGGAGAAACTCACACATGTACACACATACATCCGTGGAGATTCAGAGCAGACCTTAGAGCAGAAGGTTGGAAAGTACCCATCCATCAATAGGAGATTGGTAAACTCATACTGCAGAGAAAATCAACCCCTGAGAGCTACACATGTCAATGAGGGTAAAATTCACAAAGCAAAATGGAGTAAAGAAACCTGAAAAAAGCCCTATCAAGTTGCAGGAGATGATATCATTTCTATAAAGTTTTAAAGCATTTCAGAACTGAACTGTATATTTTTAGAAATATCTGCATATGCCATGTAAATATTTAAAAAGCATAAGAATGCTGAACAGCACATTCAGGACAGGGTGAAGAAACGGGCATGCAGGTTGGGCAGGAGGATCCTGGGTAACATTGTCCTTTATGGCTTTTTTGTGGCTTCTAGAATTTCATTAGAAACTTTTTTAAAAACATGGTCCCACATTATGAATTACATCTGATTTTAGAGTACTAAAAACTCCAAGCAAAAACACATGGGTGAAACTGTTAAGAAGGCTCTTATTATCTCTTAATTCATCATGAAATCAACTTAGTGGATTATGACTAGTATTTTTTTTAAAGTGATGTAGATTAGGGTCAGTGCGGTAGCTCACACCTGTAATCCCAGCACTTTGGGAGGTCGAGGCGGGCGGGTCACTTGAGTTCAGGAGTTTGACACCAGCCTGTCCAACATGGTGAAACCCCGTCTCTACAGAAAATACAAAAATTAGCCAGGCATGGTGGCGTGTGCCTGTAATCCCAGCTATACAGGAGGCAGAAGCAGGAGAATCACTCGAACCTGGGAGGCGGAGGTTGCCATGAGCTAAGATCGCGCCACTGCACTCCAGCCTGGGCAACAGAGTGAGACCGTCTCCAAAAAAAAAAAAAAAAAAAAAGGTGATGTAGAAATGAAGAATAGATACAATCAGCAGGCATTTACATAGGAATGCTAAGTAGTTCCATCAGCTTTTCATTTATGTATGCAAATATTTATATACGTGCATACTAGGTCATAATGTAAAATGTGTCACTGTGGTCTGTTTTTGTTTTTTGTTTGTTTTTGAGACTGAGTCTAGCTCTGTCACCCAGGCTGGAGTGCAGTGGCAGGATCTCGGCTCACTGCAGCCTCTCCGCCTCCCAGGCTCAAACAATTCTCCTGCCTCAGCCTCCCAAGTAGCTGGGAGTACAGGAATGTGCCACCACACCCGGCTAACTTTTGTATTTTTAGTATAGATGGGGTTTCACCATGTTGACCAAGCTGGTCTGGAACTCCTGGCCTCAAGTGATTCAGCCTCCCACAGTGCTGGGATTACAGGCGTGAGCCACCGTGCCCGGCCATTTTGTTTGTTTTTTGAGATGGAGTCTCGCTCTGTCACCCAGGCTGGAGTGCAGTGGCGCGATCTTGGCTCACTGCAACCTCGTCCTCCCAGGTTCAAGCGATTCTCATGCCTCAGCCTCCAAAGTAGCTGGGATTACAGGTGTGCACCACCACACCCTGCTAATTTTTGTATCCTTAGTAGAGAAGGGGTTTCACCATGTTGGCCTGGCTGGTCTTGAACTCCTGACCTCAAGTGATCTGCCCACCTTGGCCTCCCGAAGTGCTGGGATTACAGGTGTGAGCCACTGCGCCCGGCCTGTATCACTGTGGTTTCTGGTCAGAAAGGTCTGAAAAACAGTTAATACAAACACGTTACATAAATTGTATATGTAAGACGTAATTTAGAAAAAATGTCAGTAGTGGATTTACTATGAGAGCAGAATTGCAGACATGTTGATAAGCACAATGCTTCTTTTCCCTTTCTTGTCTTTCTGTAGGAAAGCAACTAGAAGCCATTTGTGTCAAGGTAACGTCTGGAGAAACAAAAGGTCAGGAACGGCCAACGTCCCTACTGGCCACAGTCTAGCCCCAATCTGCAAGACAGAGCCAGCCGCCCCGGGGGAATTCCCGCCTGGTGGGACTCCACGTCACCAGCCCCCAGCTGCTCAGGGTACAGCCCCTCGTGAGAACCGAGCCACAGTCATGTTTCCTACATCAGCCTCCTGCTCAGGGGTTTGTACAGAGACCACTGCCAGCCCTCTAGGTGGTCCCTGCAAAGAAAGTCCCAGCTCCCAAGGCTCCAAATGGACAGGGCACCATGTTGACCCCTTCGTTGGCCTCCAGTTCGCCGACTGTAACATGTTTCATCCAGTTCAGGACGTTTATTTATTTCCAACTTGCATACAAAACATACTGAGAAACTAAAACCATCGTTAAAAGTGAAGACACGTTGAGACAGGTATCTCGACCTGCCAAGTATACAGCTAAAGCTGAGTTCATAAAAAGGGATGATTTGGCCGACGGTCATCTGCCAGATTCTGATGATGATTCAGAAGTCAGTGTGGAAGAAGATCAGAGGGAGAGGCAGGCGCTCTTTGACTTATCAAGCTGCTCCCTGAGGCCCAAAAGCTTCAAGTGTCAGACTTGTAAAAAGTCATATATAGGGAAGTGGGGACTGGCCCAGCATTTTAAACTTAATCCAGGCCATGGCCAGCTGGACCCTGAGATGGTGCTATCTGAGAAAGCCAATGGGAGCACCCTCCGGGGGTGCACAGAGGAAAGGACGCTCAGCCTGACCTTCCCGAGGCTGTCCGTGCCAGCGGCTCCGCGTGAGGGAGGGGCCCGCTCCTGCTTGGTGAGAGAGTCAGCACGCGGTGGCCTGGGTAATGTTTGCATCTGGGTGTCGTTTTCGGCCATTCTCACACTGTTATAAAGAAATACTTGAGACCAGGTATTTTATAAAGAAAAGAGGTTTAGTTGGCTCACAGTTCCACAGGCTGTACGGGAAGCATGGTGCTGGCATCTGCTCAGCTTCTGGGGATGCTTCAGAATCAGTCACGGTGAAGGCAGAGTGGGAGCAGGCATGTCACGTGGCCACAGCAGGGACAAGGGGCCGGGGTAGGTGCTGCACACTTTTTTTTTTCCTTTTTTTTTTTTGGAGACGGAGTCTCGCTCTGTAGCCTAGGCTGGAGTACAGTGGCGCGATCTCGGCTCACTGCAAGCTCCGCCTCCTGGTTTCACGCCATTCTCCTGCCTCAGCCTCCCGAGTAGCTGGGACTACAGGCGCCCGCCACCGCGCCTGGCAATTTTTTCTATTTTTAGTAGAGACGGGGTTTCATCGTGTTAGCCAGGATGGTCTCGATCTCCTGACCTCATGATCCACCCACCTCAACCTTCCAAAGTGCTGGGATGACAGGCGTGAGCCACCGCGCCCGGCAGGTGCCACACACTTTTAAACAACCAGCTATCATGAGAGCAGCACCAAGCGGATGGTGCTAAAGCAATGAGAGATTCAACCATATCAGTCCTTATTCCTGCCTCTGCCTGCCCATCATCCTTAAGTTGACCTTTACAATGCCTGATGGGGACTCAGGCGAAGGCTCAGGCAGAACCAGAATCATTCTTGTGGAAGATCTGAGACCCCTCATGTTGTCTGCACTGCTGCCGAACAGGCTGGAAGATGCATGTCTGTGTGTCGGCATGATTTAGTGAGCAAATCTGATGGGAACGCAGCCGTTTCTTTAGGTTTGGTCAGTAAAACCAATGGCAGTGCACTCTTGGCTGACGCTGCCATTACAGAGGGTGATGTTGAGAAAGGCAGTCCCTGGGGATGCTTCCGGTGTGTCAATAGCCTCTGGCTGCTTAGCGTGTCCTCTCCCTCCTGCCCCTTCTGAAACTCCCGATAAAGCAGGTGTGAGTCGCTGTAAGTTTGCATTATCACATCAAAATTTTTTTTCCAACATATTTTATTGTAGTAAAATATACATAGCATAACATTTACCATCTTAGCCATATGTAGGTGTGTGGTTCAGGGGCACTAAATACATTCACGATGTTGTACGGCCATCACCCCCACACATCTCCAGAACTCTTTTCATCTTGTACAACTAAAACTCTGAGCTTCAAGTTGGGGTAAGCGGGGCAGTGGGGGGACTAAAACTGTCCCCATAAACACCAACTCTCCATTCCCTTTTTCCCCAACCCTGGCAGCCACTATTCCACTTTCTGTCTCTATGATTTTGACTACGCTGCTTTCTTCACAGAAGTGGAATCACAGAATATTTGTCTTTCTGTGACTGGCTTATTTCACCTAGCACAGTATTCTCAAGGTTCATGTTGTAGAAAGTGTCTCAGTGTCCTTTAAGGCGGAGTAAAATTTCACTGTGCATACCACATTTTGCTCATTCATTCATCTGTCAATGGACACTTGGGTTGCTTCCACCTTTTAGCTATTATGAATAATGCTGCTGTGAACACGGGTGTTCAATTACCTCCTTGAGGCCCTCCTTTCAATTTTTTGGGGTATATATCCAGAAGTAGGATTGCTAGATTTTAAGTGGAATTTTCATTTTCTTTAGTTCCTTTTCAGACTGTTCATTGTTTGTTAGTATTTAGAAATGCAGCTGATTTTTGTCTATTGACTTTTTTTTTTTTTTTTCCAGTCTCACTCTGTCGCCCAGGCTGGAGTACAGTGGAGCAGTCTGAGTTCACTACAACCTCCACCTCCCAGGTTCAAGTGATTCTCCTGCCTCAACCTCCCGAGTAGCTGGGACTACAGTCACGTACCACCAGTAATTTTTTTATATTTTTAGCAGAAACGGGGTTTCACCACGTTGGCCAGGCTGGTCTTGAACTCTTGACCTCAAGTGATCCATTCACCTTGGCCTCCCAAAGTGCTGGGATTACAGGTGTGAGCCACCGCACCTGGCCTGTGTATTTACCTTGTATGCTACTACATTGCTGATTTCATTTATTAGGTTTTTTTTTTAATTCTTTTTTAAAAAAGAAAAAAGAGACAGAGTCTCGCTCTCTTGCTCTGTCGCCCAGGCTGGAGTGCAGTGGCACAATCTTGGCTCACTGCAACCTCTGCCTCCAGGGTTCAAGTGATTCTTGTGCCTCAGCCTCCCAAGTAGCTGGGACCACAGGTGCCCACCACCATGCCTGGCTAATTTTTGTATTTTTTTGTAGAGATGGGGTTTTGCCAGGTTTTGCCATGTTGGTGAGGCTGGTCTCGAACTCCTGACCTCAAGTGATCTGCACACGTCTGACTCCCAAAGTGCTGGGATTATAGGCACAAGCCACCATGCCTGGCCTCATTTATTAGTTCTAACGTGTGTGTGTGCACACACGCCCTTTAGGCATTTCTACTTATAAGATCCTATCTGCAAATAGAGATAATTTTACTTCTTTCTTTTCAATTTTGATGCCTTTTATTTCCTTTTCTTGCCTAAGTGTGCCGGTTAGAACTTCTAGCACTGTGTTGCATAGAAGTAATGAATGCAGACATCCTTGTCTTGTTCCTAATTTTAGAGGAAAAGCTTTCAGTTTTCACCATTGAGTGTGATGTGGCTTTTTCATATATGACTTTTATTATGTTGAGGTAGTTTTCTCTATTCTTAGTTTGCTGAATGTTTTTAATCATGAAAGCGTGTTGAATTTTGTCAGTGCTTTTTCTCCATTAACTGAAAAAATCATACATTTTTGGAAATGGAAATGCAGCCACAAATAATGGCCAGCCTGGGCTCTCCTGGTGCCCACTTGCCCCAGCCGGCCTCTTACACCCCGGGCTCTGCTCCACTCTGAGGCTGCAGCCCAGACTGCCTGTGCCCCACACTTACCATGGATGCAGGGTCAGTGCGCCCCTCTGGAGCTGACAGCCCAGCCTGTGCCCAGGACCTTTCTGCCTTCCCTTCCCGCCGTGTCCTGAGAGCTCACCGTGCCCTCTGTGGCCCCGACCCCAAGGCTTGTTTGTTTCTTGGCCTGCTCCTCCCTGCCCTGCGCCATACGGAACACACAGTAGGTGCTCACTGGGGAGTGAAGGAAACGCCCACCACTGAGTGGCTGCTCAGGGGCTGAGAACCGAAACTTTGTTTAGGTTTTCTTCTGTGTTTTCCTTGCCTCAGGTTTAAACTTTTTTCTTAATCTTTATCTTCACAAAGGTTGAAAAAGATCATCTAGCAAAGCCTTTTTTCCCAGCTACATATAAGGAATTTGAAAGTCGCATAAAATGGTTAAGAAAATGTGCCAAGATTACCTCAGTAATTCTGGTCTGTGTTCTCAGGAGACCCTGGAAATAAACAATGGTAAGGTACAATCTCCCATGGCAGAAAGAGTTTCCCTCAGAGTTAGCCAAAACAAGGGCCAGGCGCAGTGGCTTACACTTGTAATCCCAGCACTCTGGGAGGCTGAGGCAGATGTATCACTTGAGGTCAGGGGTTCAAGACCAGCCTGGCCAACATGACAAAACCCTAATACAAAAATTAGCCGGGCATGGTGGTACATGCCTCTAATTCCAGTTATTCAGGAGGCTGAGACACAAGAATTCATTTGAACCTGGGAGGCGAAGGTTGCAGTGAGCTGAGATTGTACCACTGCACTCCAGCATATGCGACAGAACGAGACTGTCTCAAAAAAAAAGTCCATGAATGAAGGAGAATGTTTTTAGTAATGATATTTTCCTAGTCAGCCTCATTTTAGCTTCTTCCCATCAAGTGAAATTTTTTTTTCTTAAAGCAATAAATGCGACCGGGCGCGGTGGCTCACGCCTGTAATCGCAGCACTTTGGGAGGCCAAGGCAGGTGGATCACAAGGTCAGGAGATCAAGACCATCCTCCTGGCTAACAAGGTGAAACCCTGTCTCTACTAAAAAAAATACAAAAAATTAGCCGGGCGTGGTGGCATGTACCTGTAGTCCCAGCTACTCAGGAGGCTGAGGCAGGAAAATCGCTTGAACCCAGGAAGTGGAGGTTGCAGTGAGCCAAGATCATACCACTGCACTCCAGCCTGGGCGACAGAGGGAGACTCCGTCTCAAAAAGAAAAAAAGCAATAAATGCTCTTCCAGAAAACTCAAAAATGAAGATAAGCTAAAAGAAAATGGAAAGCACCAGAATACCAGAATCTTTCCACTCACTGATGATCAGAGTTAATACCTCAGGTACCCTTTTCGTCTTTCTGTTTTTGAGACAAGGTTTCACTCTGACTCTCAGGCTGAAGTACAGTGGTGCAAATACAGCTCACTGTGGCCTCGATTTCCCAGGCTCAAGCAATCCTCCCTTCTGGGCCTCCCAAAGTGCTGGAATTATAGGCATGAACCACTACACCCAGCCCTGTTTTCTTCTTTACGTGGGTTTTTGGGGATGGGTTATATAGGAGCCATTTCATTATTGTTTGTGGTTTTTCTGACACAATTCTCATTTCAGTGTCACTGTTACCATCAAACTGCTTTTAGCTACATTGGATTTTTTGGGGTTTTTTGCATAGAGTCTCGCTCTGTCGCCCAGGCTGGAGTGCAGTGGTGCAATCTCGGTTCACTGCAACCTCGGCCTCCCGAGTTCAAGTGATTCTCCCACCTCAGCCTCCCCAGTAGCTGGGATCACAGGCACCCGCTACCATGCCCGGCTAATTTTTGTATTTTTAGTAGACATGGGGTTTCACCATGTTGTCCAGGCTGGTCTTGAACTCCTGATCTCAACTGATCCACTTGCCTTGGCCTCCCAAAGTGCTGGGATTACAGGTGTGAGCCACTGCGCCCAGCCCCTGCTGCGCTTTAAGCAGAGAGAAAAACACTGTAGTCATAAGAGCTATTAAATACAGTACATAATTTTAAAACATTTTTGAAACACAGAAAACACATACTTTTTTGATCTCAGGAAGGAGGAGGAGTTAGTAGGGGAGGCTTGCACCCATCCATGCTTCTGAGCGTGCACTCACACATGCATGCACACTACCACTCATTCACATACACTCACACACACTTGCACTCATGCCCTTTACACTGTGCACATTCAGATCCACACCATGTACACTCATACACTGGCAAACCCACACATGCATCACACCCCTACACTTGCACTGTCACATGCACACTTAAGCACGTTCACACCCTCATGGTTACACTCACACACACAGCCTCACATATGCACACTCACTCAACACTCATACATACACATTTACATGCTCTCATTTATACACACTGATACATCCACACACCATCACACTACACACACTTTTACATGCTTTCACACATACCCGTTGGATATGGACACACCCACAAGCACTCATTCCCACACATGCTTGCACTGCACACACTGACACACTACATGCCTTCATAGTTGACACACACTTCCATGCACATTCACTCACCTTTTTGCACACTCATTCACACTCCCATCACACTGACACACTTCTGCCTGTCCTCACACGCCTACACACTTGCCACACACACTGAGTGTTCCATGCACACTCACACATCCTGCGCAGTCACTAACTTACCCTCATGACCACACACACACACACACAGACTTTCAAATGCACTCATCCACAGACACATATTCTCATATGCATACGCACTTGCACACACACCCTCGCACGCTTGTTCACACTCCCTGACATGCAGTCACACTAGCCATCACTCATGCTCACACGCATACACACTCACACCCCCTTTGCACACACACTTCCCCCACCCACTCACCCCAAGCCCACCTGACAGGTGACACACTTTACCTGCAGGCTGGGATGGCTGGTCCTCTGCCTGGGCTTCGAGGTTCCTTGGGGGCAGCGGCTCATGCTGGTTTTCCCACTGCAGTGTCTTCTGTGGCTTCAGCGTCACCTAGTGCAGGCTGCCATTCAACAAACGCATTGTCAACAGTCAACCAAAAGAAACCCATTGGCCACCATACCCTGAGGACTAACCCTGACACAGATGCCCTTCCAGATGCCCTCAGTAGTCTAACTGATTCCATCGCCCCAGCCTTGGGGGAGAAGCACTGCTGCCTATGCACTCCATTTACAGGTGAGACTGGGAGAGGTTTAGGGAGTGGCCAAGTCCCCTGCCTACACAGCTGCCTCCCAATCTATCTTCTCACCCTCCCCCTTCTCAGGCTAAAATCACACTCGATGTTTTTATGGGATCATTTGATCTGGACATTGTCAAAGAAAAAATTGCACCAGACAAGTTAAACCTTCAAGGAAGGACTCAGTCAGGACTACTGCAATACGGAAGAGAGAAGGAGCTTAACTTTGTTGAAACAAAAGGCTGGAGAGTTTTTAAGTGCCGGGGTGAGATGCTGAGAAGGAACTGGAGACATCAGGAAGAGGTTAGGAAATGCTGTAAAGCTATCTGCGTTGGCTCATTGGAATTTTTCAAAACTAGGAATCTGCCCTTCTACAAAAACTGAGACACAGATGTATCATCTCCTTCAATAATTGCATTTTAAAGGGATGGCTCTGAAGTCTTGAGAAAGGCATTCCTGGGTTGCAAAACTAGGAAGAGGCTAGAAGAAAATTTGGGAGAAGATTTGCATCTCAAAGAGATAGAGAAAGAACTCACAATTGCAAGTTTCCTAAAATAAATCCTCCGTGAAAAAAGGAGGCCTGATGGATGGAACTGGAGGTCATTATGTTAAGTGAAATAAGCCAGGCACAGAAGAAAAATACTGCATGTTCTCACTCACATGTGGGAGCTTAAAACCTGGATCTCATGGAGATAGAGAGTAGATTGGTGGCTACCAGAGGCTGGGAAGGGAGCAGAGAAGGGAGATAAAAATAGTTTGATTAATGGATGCAAATATCTTAGGTTTTTTTGGTTTTTTGTTTTGTTTTTTTGGAGACAGGATTCTGCTCTGTTGCCAGACTGAAGTACAGTGGTGCGATCATAGCTCACGGTAACCTTGAACTCCTGGGCTCAAGCAATCCTCCTACCTCAGCCTCCCCAGTAGCTAGGACTACAGGTGCATGCCACCATGCCAGGCTGGCTTTTGTGTTTTTTTTTGTAGAGACAGGGTCTCACTAGGTTGCCCAGGCAGGTCTCGAGCTCCTGAGCTCAAGAAATCCTCCCACTTTGCAAATATACACTTCGATAAGAGAAAAAAGACATAGTGTTCAATAGATCAGCAAGTGACTGTAGTTTACAATAATCTATTGTACATGTCTTTTCTTCTTCTTTTTTTTTTTTTATTTTTTTTTTTGAGACAGAGTCTCGCTCAGTCACCCAGGCTGGAGTGCAGTGGCATGATCTCCACTCACTGCAGCCTTGACTTCCCAGGCTCCAGAGATCCACCCACCTTAGCCTCTTGAGTATGGGACTACAGGTACACAACACAACACCTGGCTAATTTTTGTATTTTTTGTAGAGACAGGGTTTCGCCATGTTGGCCAGGCTAGTCTCAAACTCCTGGACTCAAGTGATCCACCCACCTTGTAGCAGGATGAGCCGCAGACAAAACCTCTCAGACCCCGAGTTGTAGAAGGAAGGGCTTTATTCAGCTGGGAGCATCGGCAAGCTACTGCCTTAAAATCCGAGCTCCCCGAGTGCACAATTTCTGTCCCTTTTAAGGGTTCACAACATTAAAGATTTCACATGAAAGGGTCGTGATTGATTTGAGCAAGCAGGGGGTACGTGACAGGGGCTGTATGCACCGGTGGTCAGAGAGAAACAGAACAGGGCAGGGAGTTTCACAGTGTTCTTCTATACAATGTCTGGAATCTATGAATAACACCGGTTTCTAAGTCATGAGTTGATTTTTAACTACTGGGTGTAGGCCAGGCAGGCCCAGGCCTGGTTTCAGGCCTGGCACCGAGCTGCCTGTCTTTGGTTTTACTTCCTTGCTGTTTTTGCTTAAAACAGGTACTGAGTATAAAACAATATAAAATAATATGAGAGGGTCTTTCTCTTCCTTCAACCTCGGCCTCCCAAAGTGCTGGGATTACAGGCCTGAGCCACCGCACCCAGCTATCTTGGTGTTTTTAACCTTAATAACGACAAAGTGCATCCTCGATATGGTCTCATCCCCCTTGCTGTAAGCACGTTAAAATGCTGTTATGACGTGCATTCAAGCGATCAAATGGTGCTAACATCAATGCCTTTGCCTGCAGAATTAATTCAGGGGTTTATTTGAAACTCAATAAAAAAGGCCTAATGTGCAACATTCGGCAGACAAGAAGCCATATGCAGATACTTTCTTTTAAAATAACAGGTCATTATTTGGTTCTTTCTCATGTGAGAGTCAGATGACTCAGAGCCAACATAAATTCCAAGTGGTATGCAGAAAACCAGTGCATAGCTGGAGAGGGGAATGAAGGTTAGTATCTGCAGTAAGGCTGAGTCGATGCAAACGGCCACACGGTCATGGATTCACAATGATCTGGGTCTCCATCATCCTGCAAACCAACACCTTGCACAGCCTTCAAACACCAGCTGGGAAATCAAAAGTAGCATGTGCAGTAGCAGGAGATCTGTTCACCCTCTATTTCCTCTCATCTCCATGCGGCAATCTGTGAACGGAGAGAAGCCTTTAAGCTCTGGGGTCTGCTGCTCTGCAGAGACAATTTGCATTTCTCTCAACACTCCTGGAATTCTTACTGGGAAACCCAGGGTACCTGGGAGCTCAGGCCATCCTGTGTCCTTTGGGATGTCAGGAGGAAGCAGAATAGCCAGCTCCCAAATGGAATACTGCAAAATGCTCACTTCTCAAGGGTCTGTTTTGGGTTTTGTGTTGTTTTTTTTTTGAGACAGGGTCTCTGTCACACAGTCTGGAGTGCAGTGGCATGATCCCGGCTCACTGTAACCTCCACCTCCCAGGTTCAAGGGATTCTCCCACCTCAACCTCCCAAGTAGCTGGGACTACAGGCACGCACCACCACACTCAGTTAATTTTTGTATTTTCATTTTTGGGGGTTTTTTGGTAGAGACAGAGTTTCACCATGTTGGCCAGGCTGGTCTCAAATGCCTGACCTCAAGTGATCTGCCCACCTCAGCCTCCCAAAGTGCTGGGATTACAGGCATGAGCCACCGCGCCCGGCCTCCTTCAAGGGTCTGAATCCAGCCAGTGAGCTTGCCCTACATCATGCCTGCTTCATCCTATGCAATGGAGAGAGGCTGAGATTTTATTTTAATGAGAAAATCTATTGAATTGCATTACATTAAACTAAAATGGAGAGACACAAACATAAAAAATGAAATAAAAATCCAGAAATTGCAATAGTAGGTAACCCTCCAAAATGTGGCAAAGCTCTGTGTATATTAAAAGTGTACTGAGGTCGGGCGTGGTGGCTCACACCTGTAATCTCAGCACTTTGGGAGGCCAACGCAGGTGGATTGCCTGAGCTCAGGGGTTCAAGACTAGCCTGGGCAAAACAGTGAAACCCCATCTTTACTGAAGTACAAAAAATTAGCCAGGCATGGCGGCATGCACCTGTAATCTCAGCTACTCGGGAGGCTGAGACAGGAGAATTGCTTGAACCCAGGAGGCGGAGGTTGCAGTGAGCTGAGACCTCGCCATTGCACTCCAGCCTGGGCAACACAGCGAGAGTCCATCTCAAAAACAAAACAAAACAAAAAATATACTGAAACATGCAACATCCACCTTTTCATAATAGTTCCCATGGCCTACACAAGTGAGTATGAAATGCTTAATATTTTGCTTGCCCTACATTTTCTTTTGCTGGAAGGGTGGTTCTGGATAAAAACTTTTTATTTTCCCGTTCTTTGCTTTTTCATTAATGCTATTTTCTTTGCCCCAAAGTTATAGAGTGGAAAAACTCCCAATCTCTTTTTCTTCTCTCTTGTATTTTCAGGTAGATGCATTCTATTACTATATTCTATCTATCCGTTCATTCCATCTATAATCTATCGTCTATTCCATATATCTATCCACCATCTATCTATCTATTCCATCTATCATCTATCTACCTACCTATTATTGTCTATCTGTCTATCTTTCTATCATCTATTCATTATCTATCTATTCTATCTACCTATCATTAATCTGTCATCTATTCCATCTAACATCTATCTACCTATTGTCTATCTTTCTATCATCTATCGTCTATCTACATTTACCTATATTGTTCTCTCTGTCAATCATCTATCTATCCATCTATGTATATATGTATTTATGAATGTATGTGTGTAATTTTCTATCTTCTAGTTATCCATCTGTCTATCTATCCATCCGTCCATCTATTTCTCTTATGTATACAGATAAATATATAATCTATATATCTTACATCTGTAACATGTTCTTTTTACTTTTATACATCAGTGACATTAATTAAATCCCACCTAATAAAAATTGTATTCTAAAATTTGGTGTAGTAGGAGGCTGAATAACCTGACCCTAGATCAAGGTACACATTGTGTGGCTGAAAATCACCTGGCTTTGTTAGACTTCATCTTTCTCCTACATAGGACTTGGTAGCCAGCCTAGAAAATCTCAAAGGTGCCTTCAACCTTTGAATGCATTGGTTCCATGGAAGCAGGAGGCTTAAGCTCTAGACCCATGGCTGTTGTAATTACACATAACTCAGGCATTGCCATAAGGGACCCTTAGGATGGCAGTACGACACTTGTTCCTCAGAATACCCTACATGCAAATTTGCCCTCCCAAGAGCCATATTTTACAAAGTGATAATCTTGGGAACATGGTCCACCCAAATGCCTCTGCCTGCAGTGGATTTCTGCAGACTTCAGACAATCTGGGCACCATCAAAGCCAAGCACTCCCTGGTGTAGTATCTAATAGGGACCATGTAATTAGGGCATGTTTTATGTGAGATTCTGCTCAAGAGATGTAAGTACAAGAAAAAGACAGCTTTTCACGGCAGAGATAAGATAATTGAGCTGTCTGGCATAGTGACTCAAAGCCATTGAAGGTTCTAGTCAAATGATTCCTCTGGTTTTGACTTTTTAAATGGCTCTTTCACTGTTGTTGCCTCTGGCAACTACCATTATAATTGGAGGAAATTTTGTTCCGCTAAGAGGCTACTCCATTTACGGACTCAAGCCAGACCAAAATAATGAAGCTCTCTTATAATCCCGGTATGTTTCCTGATCATTCCCATTTCCCTCTCTGGCTGTCCAGAAATAGACTCTCTTCCAAGGTATCACTTTTATTTATAGCCAATATGAAGGTCTTGTAGAAAAACACTGACTTCCAAAAACAACAGACGCATGTTGGCAAGAGTACAGAGACAAGGGAATGCTTATACACTGTTGGTGAGAAGTAAATTGTACAACCTCTATAGGAAACAGTATGTAGATTTCCCAAAGAACTAAAAATAGATCTGCCCTTTGACCCAGCAACTCCACTAATGATTATCTATGCAAAGGAAAAGAAATTATCAAAAAAGATGCCTATGCTTACATTTTTATTGCACCTCAATTCACAATAGCAAAATCGTGGAATGAACCTGAATGTTCATTGGATGAAGAAAATGTGGTATACACACACCAAGGAATACTATGCATCTATAAAAAAGAATGAAACTGTATCTTTTGCAGCAACATAAATGGAGCTGCAGGTCAATATCCTAAGTGAGATAACTCAGAAACAGAAAATCAAATACCACATGTTTTCACTTATAAGTGGGAGCTAAAAATGGGTACACATGGACCTATAGAATGGAATAACAGGCACTGGACACCTTTAAAAGGGGGAAGGTGGGAGAGGATGAGGGTTGAAAAATTACCTATCTGGTATTATGTTCACTGTTTAGGGGACAGAAGGCCAATCCCCACCACTAGGCAACATATCCATGTAACAAACCTGCACCCTTATGCTCTGAATCTATTTGTTTTTTCAACATTGACTTCCATGGTCACTATTTGTGAAATCACTCCTCATGAACCAGGACTTGCATGTTTTTTTGTTTCTCAGGTGAACTGTCACCCCTACAACTCAGCTTGCAACCAGCCCTGGCCACCACCAGTTTCCCCACACTGAGCTGAATATTGGACATGCCCATCTTAGACATTCCAGCCCATTCTGAAATTCCACATCGATTCACCCGACAAAGTCTGAAGTTCCAGGGCAATTTATCTGGAAAAGCTCACCTGGAATCATGTGTCATTTCAACCAACAACTGTTGAAGAGGACGTGGCATCAAAACCAAGGTTATCAATTATTTATAAGGGTTGTGTGGTGGTTGGTCCAAGCATCTCTCCTTCATGCCATCACTCCTTTCAAGAGCTGCCTCTATTTTCTAATTTAGCACAGGAATTTAGATGCCCCTAAATAAGTAGGCATCCAGTATCTGCCCACACCAGTTTTAGTGAGAGTACATATGGAGACACTACCACCACCCCTGCTCTCCTACTGCATACCCCACCATGCCAAAGCATGGTGGCTCACACCTGTAATCCCAGTGCTTTGGGAGGCCAAAGAGGAGGAACACTTGAGGCCAGAAGTATGAGACCAGCCTGGGCAACATAGTGAGACCTCATTTCTATAAATAAGTTAAAAAAACAAAAAAATAGGGCATAGTGGTGCACATGTGTGGTCCCAGTTACTCAGCAGGCTGAGGCTGGAAGATCACTTGAGCCCAGGAGTTTGAGGCTGCAGTGAGCTAGGATTATGCCACTGCACTCTAGCCTGGGCAACAGAGAGAGACCCCATCTCTAAAAAGAGGGAGAAGAAGGAAGGAGGAGGAAGAAGAGGAAGAGGAGGAGGAGAAATACTGCTCTTTCTCAGGCCCAAGGTAAAAAGGTTTTTGGTCTCATGTTGACCAGAAAGACATTGATATTTAATTAAGCAATATAAAAAGGCTCATTGTTAGGATTAAAGAGTAAGTAAAATCAATATTGAGATAGGAGGATGGAGGACACCAACTGAGTTCCGATCCCAATGAAGAGGAGAAAAAGCTACAACTATCTAGGTGAAATATCTACTTATCCTAGAAGAAGCCTTTTGACAGCAACATAAAATTCATACCTATAGGTTTTTAATTCCTATGGATGCCGTAGCAAATAACAAAAACTTGGATGGTGTAAAGTAACAGATGTTTACTCTTTTCCAGTATTGGAGACCAGGAATCTGAGATCAAGGTGTGGGCAGGGGTGCGCTCCCCCTGGAGGTTCTAGGAGAGGATCCTTCCTGCCTCTTCCAGCTCCTGGTGGCTCCAGGTGTCCCTGGGCTTGTGGCCACATCACTACATTCTCTGCCTCCATCTCCACGTGACCTTTTCCTCTGTGTCTGTGTCTCCTCTTCTGTCTCTTAGAAGGACACTGGTCATTGGATTTAAAGGCCACCTGGGTAATTTATAGTGATCTAATCTCAAGAATCTTTCCTTAATTACATGCAAATACTCTTTATCCAAATTAGTTTGCATTCACAAATTCTGGAGCTTAGTACTTGGACATATATTTTGGGGGGTTGATGGTTGGAGGGGCTTTTATTCAACTCAGTACATCTTAATAAGGAATTAATGCCCCCCAACTTGCCTTACAAGTCATATATTAAAAACAATGTTGGCCTGGCACAGTGGCTCATGCCCGTAATCTCAACACTTTGGGAAGCCAAGGGAGGAGGATCACTTGAGCCCAGGAGTTGGAGACCAGCCTGGATAACAAAGGGAGACCCAGTTTCTACAAAATATTTAAAAATTAGCCAGGCATGATGGTGCATGCCTGTGGTCCTAGCTATTCAGGAAACTGAGGTGGGAGGATCACTTGAGCCTGGAAGTTCAAGACAGCAGTGAGCTATGCTCACACCACTGCACTCCATCCTGGGCAACAGAGCTGGACTCTGTCTCAAAAAACATAACACTAAAACATCAAAATTAAAAAAAAAAAAACAATGAAAGTAGCCTCCACTTACAAACTAATTACTCTTTCTTGAAAATATTACACTTTTTTTCTTCTATATCTCTACTCCTAGCTCTCAACACCTTTCTTAAGCCCACATCATAACCTGTCTTGCATAACTTTGTGAGTGCCCAACGTTTCACTGTACAAGATTGTAGAGCTGCATGCTTCTTAAGAATAAATCCACACTTTAGGTACCAGTAAATCCATGCAATGCCTCAGACGTTATAACCAAATAATGCCTGGAAAATCGACATGAATTTATGTGAAGCATAAGCCTTTAATTTTTTTAAAGAAAAGTAGATTGCTGTTTTTCCACATCATTTCAGAGCCGTTCTCTAGTTTTGCATGCCCTTTACTGCAGAACCATACAGATTTTGTTCTCCATTTCATACATCATTTGTTGAAATGCCCTTTAAAATGTAACGGAATATAGAGCTTTATGGGAAAAAATGCTGTAGAAAATAAATTATCTTCTCTCTTTGTATTGGGAACCAAAAGGTCTCACCTTATTAATGACCACAGAGACTCTCCTAAAGCAATTCTGGAAGTCAAAACAGCTGGAGTCTAGTTTAATGGGAACCCTCATTAATTAGACAAGAACACCAAGGCTATGACCACAGCAGCTGGTAGCAGCAGCCCTGCAGTGAAGTAGACTCTCAGAGGACACAAGGAAAGAGTGTATTGATAAGAAATCTACAGCAAAGGTGTAGCACATCATCATTTGATCTTGATACACTTGACTGTGGGCAAAGTACCTGTTATGTAAAACATGCTTTGTTAGTTAGGGCCATGATAAGCTGCTTAAGCTGATGAATGAACACCAAATCTCAGTGTTTTTTTTTTTTTTTTTGGTTTTTTTTTTTGAGACAGAGTCTCACTCTGTCGCCCAGGCTGGAGTGCAGTGGGGTGATCTCAGCTCACTGCAAGCTCCGCCTCCCAGGTTCACGCCATTCTCCTGCCTCAGCCTCCCGAGTAGCTGGGACTACAGGCGCCCGCCACCATGCCCAGCTAATTTTTTTGTATTTTTAGTAGAGACGAGGTTTCACCATGTTAGCCAGGATGGTCTCAATCTCCTGACCTCATGATCCGCCCGCCTCAGCCTCCCAAAGTGCTGGGATTACAGGCGTGAGCCACCGCACCCAGCCCGTATTTTTTTTTCTAACAAATACCTGGTGTTAAGCCCAAAGTGTGTGTTTCTGGTTGGCTGGTGATGCTCTTTCAAGTCCTGAATCAGGGACCCAATAACTTTCAACATTGTGGCTCAGCTCTCTTCAACAGCTGCCTCCAAGTTCTCTTGAGATATTGGTATTTATCAGAGGAGAGGGGATGGAGAAGGTATATGCCTTTGCTAGAGCTGCCATAACAAAGGACTGTAGACTGAGGGGCTTAAACAACAGAAATTTATTTCCTTACAATCCTGGAGGTCGGAAGTCTGAGATCAAGGTGTGGGCAGGGCTGGTTCCTCCTGAGGCCTCTCTCCTTGGCTTGTAGACTCTGTGTTCTCCCTTTGTCCTCATACAGTCGTCTCTCTGTGTGTGTCTGTGTCCTCATCTCTTCTTATGAGGTGTCTTAGTCCATTTCAAGCTGCTATAACAGAACACCATAGACTGCAGGGCTTAAACAACAGACATTTATTCTCCCATTGTCTTGGAGGCTATCTATCTACCTATGTAGCATCTATCTACCCATCTATCTATCATCTGTGTATAATCTACCTATTATCTATCTATCTACTTATCATCTACTTATCATCTACCTATCATCTGTCTATTTTTCTGTCTATCATCTATCTACCATCTATGTATCTACCTATCATCTAGCCATCTGTCATCTATCATCTATCACCTATCATCTATCTGTCTCACCTATCATTTATCTATGTATTTGTGTATCATCATCACCCAGCTATGAACTATCTATCATGTATGATGTATCTATCATCTATGTATCTACCTATCTGTTATTTTGGTCAAATATACATAATATAAAACTCACCATTTTAACCATTTTTAAGTGCACGGTTCAGTGGCATTAAGTGGATTCACACTGTTATGCAACCATCACCACCACCTATCTCCAGAACTTTTTTAATATCCTCAGTGAGATTCTGTCCCCATTAAACACTAACTCCTCATGTTCCCTTCCCCCAGTGCCCAGTGCCCACCATTGTCTCTATGCATTGGATGACTCTAGAGACTTCACATGAATGGACTCATAGAGTATTAGTCTTTTTGAGCCTGGCTTATTTTACTTAGCATAATGTCCTCAAGGTTGATCTACGTTGCAGCACGTGTCAGAATTTCCTTCGTTAGGGCTGAACAATGTCTCATTGTATGGATGGACCACACTTCGTTTATCCATTCCTCTGCTGATAGACACTTGGGTTGCTTCCACCTCTTGGCTACAGTGAAAAACAGTGTTACGGACATAGGTTTACAAGTATCTCTTTGAGACCCTGCTTTCAATTCTTTTGAGTATATACCCAGAAGTGGAATTGCTGGATCCTATGCTAACTCTGTGTTTAATTATTGGAGAAACCACCACACTGTTTTGCACAGGGGCTGCACCATTGAGCATTTTCACCAACAATGCACAAAGATTCCCATTTCTCTACATCCTGGCTGACACCTGCTATTTTCTGGATTTTGTGAATCGTAGCCATCCTAGTGGGTGTGAAGTGGTACAGCTTTTATTTAACACTGAAGGACACAGCACAGCAAGAGAGAGAAAAAGTGTGTGCGCAGGCCAGCATTGGGATACAGAGAGACCCTTGTGCAAGATCCCAGGGTTCGTATTGATGCATGAATTGAACCACCTAAATATAGTGAAGCCATACTGACTTCACAAGTGGTTAGGCCAGTTGCAAGCCATCAGTAAAGAAATTGACCCTCAAGGGATTTCTTGCTTTTTTTTTTTTTTTTTTGAGATGAAGTTTCCCAGGCTATAGTGGCATGGCATGATCTCAGCTCACTGCAACCTCTGCCTCCTGGGTTCAAGCAATTCTGCTGCCTCAGCCTCCTGAGTAGCTGGGACAACAAGTGCGTGCAACAACACCTGACTAATTTTTTTGTATTTTTAGTAGAGACGAGGTTTCATCATGTAGGCCAGGATGGTCTTGAACTCCTGACCTCAGGTGATCTGCTAGCCTTGGCCTCCCAAAGTGCTGGGATTACAGACGTGAGCCACTGAGCCCGACCAAGGGATTTCTTAATTGTACATTTTAAAAGAACTTAAAGAATGTCATTGGATTGTTTGTAGCTGAAAGGATAAATGCTTCAGGGGATGGATATCCCATTCCCCATGATGTGCTTCTTTCACATTGTATGCCTGTATCGAAACATCTCATGTAAGGCTGGGCACGGTGGCTCATGCATGTAATTCTAGCACTTTGGGAGGCCAAGGCCAGCGGATCACTTGAGGCCAGGAGTTCGAGACCAGCCTGCCCAACATGGTGAAACCCCATTTCTACTAAAAATACAAGAATTTGCTTTACATGGTGGTGCACACCTGTAGTCCCAGCTACTCAGGGGGCTGAGGCAGGAGAATTGCTTGAACCCAGGAGTCAGTGGTTGTAGTGAGCCAAGACCACATTACTGCACTCCAGCCTCGGTGACGGAGCCAGACTCTGTTTCATAAAAAACAAAAACAACTCATGTACCCCATAAATACATACACCTACTATGTATCTACAAAGATTAAAAATTAAAATTAAAAATTTTAAAAAAGAAATCTTATCCCACCATGCAAAGCAAAGAACCACTCTATTCTACAATTACCAAGCCCAGTATGAGACTTTAAGCAACATCTCATAAAACCCACTGACCGTGGGTCAAAGACCAGACCTCTAGTAGTTGCAAGAGATAGATAGAGCTTGTCCAGTTCAGCTATAAATCAATTTTATTTCCACAGAGGGTCACACAGCCCTTTCAAAAACAACCATATTGGATCAAACACAAAATTCGTAAAAAATATTCCTCCTGTTCCCCCAACCTCAAAATATATGTTGAAGGTCATATGGCCAGGGGCAATGCAGATTCAAAGCCACTATTGTGAGCTGCATTGACTATACCACCATGTAATTCATAATGTGTTGAAAATCAAATGCTCATGATAAATGATCATTGATTAGGGCCCCTAGTTGTGAGTGTACCTATATTTTTTCATTCTATAAAAGCAAATATTAAATCAACATGAAGAGTAAATAATTACCCATATTATATTGAGAGGGTGAAATTGGTTTATATTCCATATGGAGTTCAATTGATCATTATTTTCATCCTTGACACTTGGGTTTATCCATTCTCCAAACCACCACTTTGGAAGAGCAAGTTAATATACAATTACTGCTAAAAAAGGTACATACCTCCAATTTTGTGTTGTGTTGACAATTCCACTTGTTTGTTCTGTCCTTCTGATTGGGAGTATTATTTTCCTAGGTCTGTTTTAACAAAGTTCCATAAATTGAGACACTGAATGAGTCTCAATAAATGTGCATTCTCACATTTCTAGAGACCAGAAGTCTGAAATCAAGGTGCGGTCCGAGCCACACTCCCTCTGAAGGCTCAGCCTGGCCAACATGGTGAAACCCCATCTCTACTAAACATACAAAATTTATCTGGGCATGGTGGTGCGCACCTGTAGTCCAAGCTACTTGGGAGACTGAGACAGGAGAATCACTTGAACCCAGGAGGCAGAGGTTGCAGGGAACAGATATCGTGCCACTGCACTCCAGCCTGGATGACTGAGCAAGACTCCATCTCAAAAACAAAAACAAAAACAAATACAAAAACAAAAACAAAAACAAAAACAGAGACTGATGCTCACAGATTGTGTATTCCAGACCACCAAGTTAATTCAGCATTGGCAGTGACATCATGTTCTTCCAAACAGCATCCCCTTTCTCCTTCTGGGTACTGAATTTTTGTAAATGGCAAATGAATTCCTTCATTAAGCCACAAACAGTGACATGACAGCTGCAAATTCAGCCATCTATAAGGTTTCCAGATAAAAGACACAACACCAATTAAATGTGAATTTCAGATAAATACTGAATAATTTTTTAGTATCCATATGCCCCCAGTGTGACATGGGGCATACTGATACTCAAAAATCTGTTACTTGGCCAAGTGCAGTGGCTCACACCTGGAATCCTAGGACTTTGGGAGGCTGAGGTGGGGGGATTGTTGATCCCAGGAGTACAAGACCAGCCTAGGCAACATGGTGAAACCCTGTCTCTACAAAAATACAAAAATTAGCTGAGCGAAATGGTGCACACCTGTAGTCCAACTACTCAGGAGGCTGAGGTGTGGGGATCGCCTGAGCCCGAAGAGGTAGAGGCTGCAGTGAGCCGTAATCACACCACTGTACTCCAGCCTGGGCCACAGAGTGAGACCCTGTCTCAAAAAATAAAAATAAAAAAGTAGAATAAATATAATTAAAATTTAAAACATTTTAAAATGTGTTATCTGAAATTTAAATTTATTACAATTTTTATTTGCTAAATGTGGCCACTCCAAGTGTATGGAGTATTTATTCTACCATGCAGTTTTTAACACTTGCATCTCTGCATCTGCTTCTGTTCCAGGACAGAGAAAAACTAACACATTTCTGCTGTATCTAAGAATATGTAGATATACCTGTGTTTTGATTCTTTCTGATTTCAGTACTAAACATCCCTCATTATCATTCTCAGGGAAAAGATGAATGTAGAATCTCTGCTGAGCTAGTATTTCCTGACACCCTGTTTATGTGCCTTGTGAATTGTGGGCATTGCCATGTGGGTTATTTCATTTCATCTTCACAATCACCCTCCAAAAGTAAAAAACAAAGACTGCCTCACTCAAATGTCCACTGCCATCAGTGCCCCATGAGTATATATACGGTGCCAAGCTCTGCCATGATCTCTCCAGAGAAGAGGAGTAAAACCAAAGAAGTGAAGACGTGTCTGACTGGAAGGGAACATCTGTGACACCTTCTTTTCCAAATGTTCTTAAAGTTTAAGCAGATTATTGTAAAGGAAATATGAAAGAGTTAGTACTTAAAAAAAAACCTCCTTGTATCAAAATGTCCCATTCCCAGCCTCTATTCAATTTCAATCTTTTAAATGTTTGTTTTCATATTTACAATCATGGTGCTATGTAATATTCTTACACTACAGTTTCAAGATTTGTCAATTTTACGCCTTATGGTTATTGGGGATTTGGTCTTGAAACTGAGATTGCAGAATTATAAGAAATGTGAGAAATCTTGGCTGGGTGCGGTGGCTCATGCCTGTAATCCTAGCACTTTGTGAGGCTGAGGTAGGCAGATCGCTTGAGGTCAGGAGTTCAAAACCAGCCAGCCAACATGGTGCAACTCCGTCTCTATTAAAAAAAAAAAAAATTAGCCAGGCATGGTGGCGGGTGCCTGTAATCCCAGCTACTCGGGAGGCTGAGGCAGGAGACTCACTTGAACCCAGGAGGCAGAGGTTGCAGTGAGCTGAGATCACGCCATTGCACTCCAGCCTGGGCAACAACAGCAAAACTCCATCAAAAAAAAAAGGAAAAGAAAAACAAATATGAGAAATCTAACGTGACTGACTCCATCTTCCATCAGACCTCACAGGCTAAATTGTTTTGTTTTTGCTTATTCTAGTGTGGCAGCCAAGATAACTGCGTGAGGAAGTTAGTTTATAGTTAAAATTTGAAGCCAGGTGTGGTGCCACCCAGCACCTTGGGAGACCGAGGCAGGAGGATTGCTTGAGCCCAGGAGTTGGAGAACAGCCTCAGGAACATAGTGAAACCCCTTCTCAAAAAAAAATTTACAAAAATTAGCCAGGCATGGTGGTGTGCACCTGTAGTCCCAGCTACTCAGGAGGCTGAGGTGAGAGGATCGCTTGAGCCCAGGAAGTTGAGGCTGCAGTGAGCCAAGATCACACCACTGCACTCCAACCTGGACAACAGAGCAATATTGTGTCTCAAAAAATAATAAATAAATAAATAAATAGTAAATAATTGTGTATATATATTTATACACACACAGAGAGAGTGAGAGAGAGAGAGAGTTAAACTCTGAGGCAAGGAAACTGACCCCACTCCTTGACTGCAGATTAAAGCCACATTCAGAAAACAAGGTTAGAATTACTGTAGGGGCTTGAACTTTGCTAAAGAATAGGCATAGTTAATCAATGACCTGCCATCACTTAGTGTGTTTTCATGTAAGTTGTTCACTGCACCAGAGTCATGTAACCAGGGATCACAAGATGTATAACTTCCCAAACTACTCTTGTAGATAACATTACTATTGTAAAACCTAAACAATGGTCTTTGAAATATTTTTCAGATTTAGCATTTTGGCAGACCAAGAGATGCCACCTGGTCCTGAGATACCCTCTCCTGGGAACTAACTCACCTGCAGAAAGACAGTTTTAGACACCCCTGAGATTTCATCCATAGTCTATCAGTTGTTGCAGTTCCCCAGGCTTCTGCCCACAAAAGTACCATGAAAAACCATAGTTTCCAACTTTTTAGGGAGACAGATTTGAGAAACCTCTCCTATTCTTCTCAATTAGCTGTCCCTGCAATTATTAACCTCCCTCTTTGCTGCAACATCTGCTGTTCTCAGTGCACTGGGTTTTTGGGGGGCAGCAGGAAAGAAGAACCCCTCAGACTGTGACACTCTCCTGCCTGCCTTTCCATCCAATCACAAATGTCCTTTCCCTCCTACCACATTCTTGTAAACATTTAGGTCACAATATTTGGTTTAAGAAATCATCAGTGTTTCCATTATAATGACCATTGCAATGATATTCAAAGATGAACCAGTGACTACAATGATTATGTTTTCTTTCTTTCCTTTTTCCTGGAGTTAGTAATTGCCTTTTTATTTTTTGGAGACAGGGTCTGTCACCCAAGCTAGAAGGCTGGAGTGCAGTGGTGCAATTATAGCTCACTGCAGCCTCAAACTCCTGAGCTCAAGTGATCCTCCCAACTCAGCCTCTGGAGTTGCTGAGATTACAGGCATGAGCCACTGCACTGGGCTGCCTTCTTTTTATATAAAATTTACTTAGTGCCTGAAACTATTTTATCCCAGTGCTCCAAAAGGCCTACCATGTGCCCCTAAATTCATCAGTTTTTCTAACTCCCATACTTTTTGTCCATTCATTCCTGCTCTTTCTTCCTGGACGGCTCCGTCTAGCATCTCTTGAACCCCATCTCCAACATGAACTGTTTGTCTATGGAACCTGGTGAATGGCTGTCACCCTGGCCACCAACTACACTTCTCTCCTCCACCGGATCTCCTAACTTTCTGAATCCACCTCTTACTTGTTCTCAGTTTGCGCCGTCCATTTTCTGAAGAACATCTTGTAGTAGCTGTCTAAGAAAAGGTGTCAACAAAAAGAGTCAAACTCTGTAAAATATTTGAAGAAATTTATTCTGAGCCAAATACGACTGACCATGGCCCATTACACAGCCCTCAGGAGGTCCTGAGAACATGTGCCCAAGGTGGTTGGGGTGCAGTTTGGTTTTATACATTTTAGGAAGGCATGAGACAGCAATCAAATACATTTGAGAAATACATTGGTTTGGTCCAGAAAAGAGACAAGTAGAAGTGGTGGGTGGGGGCGAGGGGGTGGAGGAAAGGGGGTTCCAGGCTGTGGGTGAATTTAAACATTTTCTGGTTGACAGCTGGTTGAGTTTATCTGAAGACCTGAGATCACAGAAGGGAATGTCTGGGTTGTGATAAGAGGTGGTGGAGACCAAAGTTTTACTATGCAGATGAAGCTTTTAGCTAGCAGGCTTCAAAGACAAGAGAGAACAGGTTGTAAAATGTTTCCTCCCTCCTGAGTAGCCGGGTCTGGACCTGTGCGCCTCTGCGCCTAAGAGGGTCGGGGCGGTAGGTCGGGGTGAGAGGTCGTCCTGGGTGCCACCCGAGGGGCGCCTCGGGCGCGGAGGGGGCGTGAGCACCTCCCCAGGGCCGCGCCTGCCCACGGTGGCGGGGCACGCCCAGGTCTCTGGCTCCTGGGCTGGGTCGCGGCAGGGGCGGAGCGCGTGCGAAGGCGACGCCCCCAGCCCCTAGGCCTCGCCCAGGCGGCTTCCGCCCGCCTCTTCAACGCGCACGCTGCTACCGAGCTGCAGGAGGCCGCGGGCGCGAGACTGGGAATGCGCAGGGCCCCCGCCTGGCTCTACAAGCCCGGGCCGCGGCCCCCGCCTTCCCCGCCGCCTCCCGGCGCTCCGTGCCCGCCCCACGAGGCCGGCGGCTGCTGCTACCTGGGGCCGTTGCTGCTTGTGCCGTGAGCGACGGCCAGCCATTGTCCCCGCCGCTCCGTCAGCCGCGCCCGGCCGCGCGCGCACCGGAAGGCGCATTGGCGTCTTGCGGGCTCCGGGCCGGGTGGGCAGGATGGCCTCCACAAGCCGCATGGCGCGCATGGGGAGCCTCCGTTGATGCCGCCGCGCCGCCCTCCGAGGCTGCATCCGCGGAAGCCCGGCTCCCCGAGCGCTCCGGCCCGGCCCGGCGCCCCGGACCTGAGTGCGTCCCCATGAAGGCGCCCGGGCTGGCCCAGGCGGCCGTGGCAGAGGAGACCCCGGACTGGGCGCCCGAGCTCTGCCCCAGCTCCGAGGCGCGGTCGCCGGAGCCGCCTGCCAACCGCCTTCAAGACTTCGACACGCTGGTCACCGTGGGTGAGTGAGTGCGCGCGGGGACTCGGCCCACAGGGGCGCGCGGCGCGGCCGGGACGCTGTCGTAGGACAAAGGGCCCCGGGTGCCCGCCTCCTGGGGAGGGCCCTGCCCCGCCGCTGCGGCTCGGGATCCCAGCGCGGGGCTGCCCCTGCGCCCTGGGTCTCCCTGGGGGGCGCTCGGAGAAGTAGAGCGCACCCCCCAGCCCCGGCGAGTCCCCCGACCGACCGGGTGCCTTCCCTGGAACGCCGACGGCTCCTGTCGGGGACCACCCTCCACCCCCAGCACACACAGCACTCTGGGGCCTGGGCCATCCGACGTCACCAAACTTCCTGTGGATCACCTCGCCTGGGGTAACTCGTGCGCTCTCCCAGGCAGCGGCCCCAGGGACACGGGCGCGGGGTCCCTCAGGCCAGCCTCCCAGTGTGCCCAGCGGCAGGGTCCTCGGCGGGGAATGTACAGATTTCTCCAGGGGCTGCAGGAGCAGCTGGGCTCCGGGGTACAGGTGTTCCGTGGCTTTGTGGGGATGAAGACGGCGGAGTTGGGGACGGATCCTAACATGTCCTGACACCGCCTGTGCTCTTCGTCTTGTGCGTCTGAAATGGGTAATTCTTGTATTGGACGCTTTATCTCGTTTCCTTTGTCCTCTTTGAACTTAACTCCCAATGGGCAGCTTGACAGAGAGGTTTCGAGTTCTCGGTGCGCTTGGATCCGGACCACGCGCTGGTTTATGGGGCAGCCCTGAGTGGGTCAGAATATCCCAGCCGAACGTGGGCGCTGGATTTAAACAGTTGTCAGTGGTCAGCCTGTGCCTTCTTAGCGGGGTGTGTTGCTGGGACAGGTCTTCTCAGGCTCTCTAACTCCTGTTTGTCCTCTCATTTTGGACAGGAGGAAGCTAGGCTGGGAAGCCCAATGGCTCAGGGTTATAGCTTCTGGCTTAGGAAGACCAGCAGCCATAGCCCAGGAGCCTTCAGGCCTGCTGAGGAAGAGGGGACTGTGCTTCCTTCAGTGACCTTTTTGGCACCTAGGCCTTGAGGAAGGGGTCATGAGGAAACCCTGATTTTGGAAGGATAGTGGGAAGAGGGCCCTCTCTTTTTCTCCTGTCCCTCCCTTTCTCCTATTACATTCTCTCTCTCTCTCTCTCTCTTTCTCTTTTTGTCTCTCTCCCTCTTTCTGTGTCTTTATGCATTACTCTCTGTATTAGTCGTTTTTACGCTGCTGATAAAGACATACCCTAGACTTAGAAGAAAAGGAGGTTGAATTTCTTTTTTTTCTGAGACGGAGTCTTGCTCCTGTCGCCCAGGCTGAAGTGCAGTGGCGCGATCTAGGCTCACTGCAACCTCTGCCTCCCGGGTTGAAGTAATTCTCCTGCCTCAGCCTCCTGAGTAGCTGGGATTACAGGTGCGTGCCCCAACTCCTGGCTAATTTTTGTACTGTTAGTAGAGACGGGGCTTCACCATGTTGGCCAGGCTGGTCTGGAACTCCTGACCTCAGGTGATCCACCCACCTCACCCTCCCAAAGTGTTGAGATTACAGGTGTAAGCCACCATGCCTGGCCAGGAGGTTTAATTTGACTTACAGTTCCACATGGCTGGGTAAGTCCCATAATCATGGCAGAGGGCAAAAGGTACTTCTTACATGACGGCAGCAAGAGAGAATGAGGAGGAAGCAACAGCAGAAACCCCTGAAAACCCATCAGATCTCGTGAGACTTATTCACTATCATGAGAATAGCACGGGAAAGACCCGCCCCTATGATTGCAGTTACCTCCCCCTGAGTCCCTCCCACAACACGTGGGTATTCTGGGAGATACAATTCAAGTTGACATTTCAGTGGGGACACAGTCAAACCGTATAATTCCACCCCGGCCCCTCCAAATCTCATGTCCTCACATTTCAAAACTAACTGTACCTTCCCAACAGTCCCCCCAAAGTCTTAACTCATTTCAGCATTAACCCAAATGTCCACAGTCAGACAAGGCAAGTCCCTTCCACCTATGAGCCTGTAAAATCAAAAGCAAGCTAGTTACTTCTTAGATACAATGGGGATACAGGTATTGGGTAAATACAGCCATTCCAAATGGGAGAAATAGGCCAAAACAAAGGGGTTATAGGGCCCGTGCAAGTCCAAAATCCAGTGGGGCAGTCAGATCTTAAAGCTCCAAAATGATCTCCTTTGACTACAGGTCTCACATCAGGTGCAAGAGGTGGATTCCTATGGTCTTGGGCAGCTCTGTGCCTGTGGCTTTGCAGGGTACAACATCCCTCCCTGCTGCTTTCACAGGCTGACGTTGAGTGTCTGTTGTGTTTCCAGGCCTATGGTGCATGCTGTTGGTGGATCTACCTTTCTGGGGTTTGGACGACAGTAGCTCTCTTCTCACAGCTCTACTAGGCAGTGCCCCAGTAGGGACTCTGTGTGGGGGCTCCAACCCCACATTTCCCTTCTGCACTGCCCTAGCAGAGGTTCTCCATGAGGGCCTCACCCCTGCCACAGACTTTTGCCTGGACATCCAGGCATTTCCATACATCTTCTGAAATCTAGGCGGAGGTGCTCAAACCTCAATTCTTGACTTCTGTGCATCTGCAGGCTCAACACCACATGGAAGCTGCCCAGGCTTGGGGCTTCCATCCTCTGAAGCCACAGCCTGAGCTCTACGTTGGCTCCTTTCAGTCACAGATGGAGCAGCTGGAACCCAGGGTACCAAGTCCCTAGGCTGCACACAGCACAGAGACCCTGGGCCCAGCCCACAAAACCACTTTTTTCTCCTGGGCCTGTGATGGGAGGGGCTGCTGTGAAGGTCTGTGACATGGCCTGGAGACATTAGACTCCTTCCTACTTATGCAAATTTCTGCAGCTGGCTTGAATTTCTCCCCCCAAAAATGGATTTTTCTTTTCTACTGGATCATCAGGCTGCAGATTTTCAAACTTTTATGCTCTGTATCCCTTTTAAAACAGAATGCTTTCAACAGCACCCAAGTCACATTTTGAATGATTTGCTGCTTAGAAATTTCTTCCGCTAGATATTCTAAGTCATCTCTCTCAAGTTCAAAGTTCCACAAATCTCTCGGGCAGAGGCAAAATGCCACCAGTCTCTTTGCTAAAACATAATAAGAGTCACCTTTGCTCCAGTTCCCAAGAAGTTGCTCATGTCTATCTGAGACCACCTCAGCCTGGACCTTATTGTCATAATCGCTATCAGCGTTTTGGCTAAAGCCATTCAACAAGTCTCTAGGAAGTTGCAAACATTCCCACATTTTCCTGCCTTATTCTAAGCCCTCCAAACTGTTCCAACCTCTGCCTATTACCCAATTCCAAAGTCGCTGTGACATTGTTGGGTATCTTTTCAGCAATACCCCACTCCCGGTACCAATTTACTATATTAGTCTGTTTTTATGCCACTGATACAGACATACCCAAGACTGGGAAGAAAAGGAGCTTTAATTTGACTGACAGTTCCACAGGCTGAGGAAGTCTCGTAATTATGGCGGAGGGCGAAAGGCACTTCTTCCATGGTGGCAGCAAGAGAAAATGAGGAGGAAGCAAAAGCAGAAACCCTGATAAACCCATTAGATCTCATGAGACTTATTCACTATCACCAGAATAGCACAGGAAAGACCGGCCACCATGATTCAGGTACTTCCCCTGGGTCCCTCTCACACCACGAGGGAATTCTGGGAGATAAAATTCAAGTTGAGATTTCAGTGGGGACATGGCCAAACAATATCATTTTCTGTTTCTCTATTTCTGTCTTTCCCCGTCTCATTTTTTTTCTTTTCTTTTTTTTGAATGAATCATTGAAAATGACATTTGCAATTATTTCGGGATATACTTAATGACAGACTATTAAATGCAAAAAGGAAGACAGAATACACTTTTTCAAGCAAGGCTTTCCATTCCATTCATTTATTTATTCATCCCGGAGTGCTGGGATTAAAGGCAAGAGCCACCACTCCTGGCGCAAGGATTCCGTGTATATATATAGAAATACATGTGTACAGTGAAAGGAAATAAAAATGGACAAGAAGGAAGTCGAGACCCCTGCAGCCGTTATTTTTTGGGCAATAGGGAATTCGGTGGTTCTTTTGGCCTTTGGTTTTCTGGGTTTTCTGAGCTAGATTTAACCATGCTGAAAGGCTCTTGATACACGAAGTTGCCAGGCCTCAGGATTCTCAGAGTTAAAACCAGCATTGAATGGGAATGTTTGAAAACCTCACTGCAGAGCCAAGCCTCCCATGTGCAATTTGCATTTTCCCTGTGGAAGCCTGCGGTTCCCTGTAGGAAGCCGTCTCCCTTCTCCTTGAAGTCTCCTAGGTCTCAGTTTCTGCATCCACCCAATGGGGATGACAGTGAGGCGGTCAGAAGTCGCAGCTGGGGCCAAGCGGGGAGGCAGCCAGTGGCGCGGGCTCTGCAAGAAAATCAGTCGCGGGCCGGCGCGAACACGGAGCCCTTTCAGACGCTCGGGCAGCACTAGATGGTCGGGCGGTCGGTTATCTCAGTTGGTGAGCGCGTGGTGCTGATACCGCCATGGTCGCAGGCTTGATCCCCGCACCGGCCCTAGTCCCAGTTTTTTGTTGGTTTGTTTCTTTGTTTTCTCCCCATGAACTGTTTCTGCAACTCTTTTTCAAAATGCGCCTTTCAGGTTCTGTAAGCCCCATGCGGGCAGGAGCGACTTGCGGGATCTCTTGGACTCGGCCCAGAGGTTGTCGAGGACAGCCTGGCAGGGAGGAGCGGGAGAAACCCGGCCAGCGCTGGGGCGGTGGCTCCTCCCCGGAGTCCCCGCGGCTGGGGCAAAGCGGAAGGCAGCCAGAGGCGCGCGGGCTTGGCGAGGAATCGCTCGTGGACGGGCGCGAACGTGGAGCCCTTTTATACGCTCCAGGGGCACTGTGCCGTCAGGCGGCCGGTTAGCTCAGTTGGTAAGAGCGTGGTGCTGATAACACCAAGGTCGCGGGCTCGACTCCCGCACCGGCCACGGCGTTAGCTTTTTTTTTTTTTTTCCCGCCGCCACCCCGCCATGAACTCTTTCTACAACAGTTTGTGAAAAATGCGCCTTTCGGGTACTGTGAGCGGCGTGCGGGTAGGAGCGAACTGCAGGATCTCTTGGTCTCCCCGCCCAGAGGTTGTCGAGGGCAGCCTGCTGGGGAGAGCGGGAGGTACCAGGCATGCGCTGGGGCGGTGGCTCCGCACCCGAGTCCCTGCACCCTCCGCCACCTGCAGGCCACTCAGGATATCCAAAGCGATCCACATCTCCGGCCCTCAGCCCCCACCCCTGCCGCCCCCGCGCTTCCTGAGGCTGTGGCTCCCCTGGAGGAATCACCCAGTGAAGACGGGTGCTCCCAGATGTCACCGCCTCGTGTTCCCTTGGCCGCCTTGCGGGGAAGTCTTAGGGTTGAAAATCCAGGTCTGCAATGAATGCATTCCACAGATGGTGTGTAGGGCTACTGCATGCCCAGCACCGTTCTAGGCGGGGAGCAAAGCGGTAAGTGAGACACAAATCCCAAGCCACGTGGAGAAAGTGACCAGCCAGTAGATGCCTGCCATGTTTTTAGAGAGGCGTTCTGGTTGTGGAAGCCTCTGGAAACCTTCTCTTGCTCTTCCCCCCCACCCCCCGTTTCTTTTCAGAGACATCTTAGGCTTCACATTTCTTCCTCTTGGTTCTGCATTTTGCAGCCAGAGCAAGTGGATGAGTTTCTCGCTGGTGGTTCAAGTTTCTGGGGTGGTCAGGTGTGCTCCGTTGAACGAAGCCAGTTGTGTAGGGTCAGTGCCATTTTCTGTCACGATCCAGCAGGGGCTCCACCTGCTTTTGAAAACTCTCCAGTGGAAACATCTACTAACTCTGACCTAAATCAGTAGCTGCTCAAAATCTACAGACTACTGGCTTAAAACCTTGGTAAGTGCCCAGGGTGTAGTGAAAGTTCTCAATAAACGCCGGCTGGTGGCGCTGCTGCTACTATAAGCAACGTTAGGAGAGCCTGGGTCGGCTGACACCTGCAATAGAAACCTGTACGCAACAAGTTGGATGTCACATCTTGCAGTAGTCGTGCCGGGTTAGATGCAGGGACAGAGCACGGAGGAGTCGGTGGAGGCTGCTGCCCTCAAGTTTCCTGAACTTGAAGGGGTTTAGAATGTGCCACGGTGGCGTGAAAATTATTTTGAGCAGAAGGCATTTGAATTCCTGAAATTTCTTGTCTGCTGAAAAGCAGAGCTTCCCATAAGATCTCAAAAGAACTCAGTTGTCATAAATCCCTTCTTGGGAAGGAACTAGGAAAGATTGACTTGGGCCAGGCGCAGTGGTTCACGCCTGTAATTCCAGCACTTTGGGAGGCCTAGGCAAGTGGATCATCTGAGCCCAGGAGTTGGAGACCAGCCCGGGCAACATGGTGAGATCCTCTCTCTATTAAAAAAAAAAAAAAAAAAAAGAAACGAAAATTAGCTGGGCATGGTAGCGCATGCCTGTAGTCCGAGCTACTCCAGAGGCTGAGGTGGAAGGATCACCTGAGCCCGGGAAGTCGAGGTTGTAGCGAGCTGAGATGGCGCCACTGCACTCCAGCCTGGGCAACAGAGTGAGACCCTGTCTAAAAACAAACAAACAAAAAAAAATGTGGTAAGATACCCATCATATGAAATTCACCATTAAAAAATAGCAGGGAGCATCGTGAATGCGAAGTATTGATGAGGATGATGGTGATGTTCCAGAACCTTCTCTGACACCAGCCTGGCGCCCCCCCCCCCCCCCAGCCTTACCTTTCCTGGCTTCATGGTGCTCATCATACTGTACTGCAAATGCTGGTTTCCTCCTTCTCGCCAGCTAGACCCGTGGTACCCCACAGGGAGGGAATGGCGACTCACCCACCAGGCGCTTAATAAGTGTTTGTTGGCCAGTGGACCTCCTACGCTCCCTGGGGAGAGGGACTGGGACTGGGACTGGGACTGGGACGTGTGTACACACCTGCAGCTACAAGACTCGGTGGGGAGGGTGCACAGAGCCTCGACCCTGTAAGAGAGGCGATCGGGCTGAGGAAGACGGGGCACTGGGGCTGGATGGATGGGACGGACATGTGGAGAGGGTGGGTTCGTGGATTTGTTCACCCGTTCATTTATTGGTTTCTATGCATCCATCCATCTTTCACGCCTTGAGCGTGCGTTCTGGGCAGGGCCTGTAATGGGCACCGAATGAGTAACATATCGTCTCTCCCTTCAAGGTACACGCAGCCTGGGTGGGTGAGGGGAGAGACGGTAGGGTGACATGGGAACAGTTTGGGGTTTGGGAAGCGCTCTTGTTAAAAATTCAAACTTTGGGTCCCCTCTCAGATTTATAAACCTAAACGTTTGCTGGTGGACCTAGGACTCCGCGTATCCAGGCAGGATCCTCCGCTGATTGGGGTGCACGATGACGTCAGAACACGTGGATAACGTGATAACTTGTGGGCCAGGGGCTTTGGAACCTCAAAGAATGTGATAACTTTTGGGTCAGGGGCTTTGGAACCTCAAAGACCTCCGCCTGGGAGATCGGGGACAGCTCCCGGAGGAGGTGACATCTGAGTGTTAAACACATCCGTGACAGGCAATGAGAAAATAAGGTGGGTCCGCTGTGCTGATCGGCCCTAGGGGCCGCGGCGGCTGTCCCGGCCGGGCAGCGTCGCCTTCCGAGGTGTCTTGGCCTGCGGGGCACTCGTAGCCCGCCGCTTTCCCAGGTGAGGCACGTCGTCGCCCAGCGACCCAGGTTGGAGTCCCCGCTTCAGCCGCCGCGGCGGATGCGGCGGCCAGGCTTCTCCGGGCCAGGGCAGCGTTGCACGTGTGGCCCCGCTGGGCCCCGAGCAGCTGCGGCAGGTCCTGAAGCGGGTGACGAAGGCGCAGCTGCTGCCGCCGCGGCCCATCAGGCCGCCCTCCAGCGGGACCCTGGCGCCGAGCCCCCGTGCCCGCCACGCCTGCTGCCGCCCCAGGTGAGGCTCCGGGAGCGACGTGGGGAAACTGAGGCCCGGAGGGGGCCGAGGCCCCGCGGCGGGGTTAGCTGCTTGGCCGGGGTGGCCAGTATCCGGCCCCAGTCAAGACTCAGGGTGTCCCGAAGCTGAGCCCCTTAGGGACGGCGTTCGGCCCCCACCTGCCACCACCCTGGCGTTTTCACCCCAGGAGCCTCACTTGAGGAGCCGATGCTCACGCTGGGCCCTCTGCCTGGGACGCCGTCGTGCCCTCTCTGCCTCCACAGCCCTGCCCGGGGCTCCCCTGTGCTGCCTAGCTCGTCTGACACGCCTTTGACCACTCGTTCAGCCTCTGTGGGGCACTCAGAGACGGGGTTGCCCGCACTCCCACCTAAGTGCAGGAGGTGCGGCCTTCAACACACTCGAAGAACGAACATCAGGCAGGTTCTGGGAGGGACAGGGGGCCGCTTTAGAGTGGGTGGGCCCGTAGGCCAGACGCTGCCCCTGAGACCTGAATGAATTAAAAGGAACCAACTGAGCTTTTCAGGTCTCAGGCACAGCAAGTGCCACGGCCCAGCATTTTCTTCTCTTCATTGCTGCTTCTCAGCATTTTCTTTCTCTCTCTCTCTCTGTCTCTGTCACTGTTTTTGCATACAGATACTATGCTTTTGGGGTGGGTACTCTCATTGTCCTTCCAGGGGTCCTACACGGCGTCTGTAAAATTCCATCTCATTTCATTGCTGGCGCTGTAAATAAAATTAGTCTTAACCCAAAATTGCCAAAAGAAGAGGGCTTTTTCCACTAGAAGAGATGCGTTAGAGAATAGAATCAGCGATCTTCACTCCTGAGTTTTTTCGACTTCACTCGTGATTTTAGCTGCCTGGGGTTGTTGTATCCAGTTCATCATCAAGAGTGGAGAGTTGTCTTGCTAAGGTTTAGGAAGGCAAGTATGATTCTGCCCAAATGCCACACTATCTAGAGGTGTGACCTTGGGCAACTCGACCTTTTTGGACTGTGGTCTGGGTCCGAAGGCTGCAAGACGCCATCCCGGGACAGCCATCTGCTGAGCCTCTGCTCTGTGCCGGGCAGTGTTCTGGGTTGCTTAGCTCGCAGTAGTGTTTTTGTACCAGCATTTTGCAGGGAGGTTGAGTGGCTTTGTCCAAGATCCCTCAGGTGTGGCTGCTCTCCAGAGCCCTTGTTCTCCCCAGCACACCCTGCTGTATGTGGCCACAGCTTTTTGGGTTTGGAATGGAGTAAAAAATGACATACTTTTCATAAAGTAAAAGCAAACTTAGTCAAGATCAGGCAGCATGATGGGACTTATTCTGTAGCTAATCTGATGGAGACGTATAAATTCTACCTCCAATAATGTACCTTTGTAGCACATTCTGCTAATACTTTTTCAGCCCCAGCTGTGTCGTGGAAGCCACGAAGTCAAACCGGATGTGTACTTTGCCCCTCAGTAGCTGATGAACTAACAGGAGATAAAACATGACCCAGATACCTGCTAATCAAGGCCTGAAAGCTAGTGATGAAGAACTAAATGTAGTTAGAGAAAGGGAGATTGTTTCTGGCCGAGGAAATCACAAGCAGCTTTGTTGAAGAAGTGGTATCTGAACTAGATTTGAAAGGGTGAGTCTGAGTTGAAAATGCAGAAGAGGAGAGGCAGGTTCTGGAGCAGGTGGCGGGGTGCATTTCAACAACCACAGCAGACTGCCCAGTGGTTCGCTGTGGGGGATGGTGTGGATCAGAAGCACAGACCAGTGGACACACTTGGGTCAGATGGAGGCCCCTGTCTCTCCGCATCTTCCCTCTTCCCACCCCCCAGAAATGTCCAGTTCCATCCAACATGCCAACCCCTTTTCATGCATCCATGCATGTACACATTTTTCTTTGTACTCAGAATGCCCTACCTGGCAAAAATTCCCAGCCTTCAAAACGCCCCTCAGAGATCACTGCTTCTGGTCTGTTCTGCCTCTTTATTGCACCTGTTGTACCATGATGACATTTTTCCCGTCTGCCTCACCTGTCTGCATTCCTTAGGGAAACTTGTCTGCCTTCGAAATCGTCAGCGGAGCTTTTGAAAGGGCAGATCGGGTCTCCGACCCAGGAGATCGATTCAGCAGGTCTGCGGGGACTGAGGCATGGCAGGGAAACTGCCCACCATCTCAAGGGTGAGGCTAGGAGTTGGCTAGTGTGTATGTATTCCATCCAGAAATATTTAGTAAATGTTCACCAAACAAAATAAAAACACACAAGAAAGCATGAGGCGTAATACCCACGGGGTAAGCCAGTCAGGATAGAGGATGAATACATTATTAGGCCGGCTTTGCTGCTGTGGTTATCCTAAAACAATAGGGTTTAGGTTGTGTGTCTGTGTGTATATGTATTTTGTTGTTGTTTTGGGGTTTTGTTGAGACAAGGTGTTGCATTCTCACCCAGGCTGGACTGATCACGGCTCACTACAGCCTCAAACTCCCAGACTCAAACGATCCTTCCCCCTCAGCCTCCCGAGTATCTGGGGCTACAGGCATGTACCATCAAGCCTAATTTTAAAATGTTTTGTAGGCGGGGCTCGGTGGCTCACCCCTGGAATCCCAGCACTTTGGGAGGCGGCGGCGGGTGGATCACCTGAGATCAGGAGTTTGAGGCCAGTCTGGCCAATGTGATGAAACCCCGTCTCTACTAAAAATACAAAAATTAGCCAGTCACGGTGGCGCATGCCTGCAATCCTAGCTACTAGCGAGGCCAAGTCAGGAAAATCGCTTGAACTCGGGAGGCAGAGGTTTCAGGGAGCCAAGAATGCACCACTGCAGTCCAGCCTAGGCAACAGTGAGACTCTTTGTTTTGGGTTTTTGTGTTTTTTTTTAACGTTTTGTAGGGACAGGGTCTTGCTCTGTTGCCCAGGCTGGCCCTGAACTCCTGGCCTCAAGCAATCCTCCCACCTCAGCATCCCAAAGCACTGCTACTGCAGGTGTGATTTGTGTTTGGCCCTTAGAGAGAGATTCTATGTGATTGGTAGTAAAATGAAACAGACATCGTTCTTGAAGGATATGCACAGCCAATCTAGTTGTCATTTGATTTGCACGTAGCCCAGGAATGGGGACTCCCAGGGTTGTGGTGCCACCTCGGTACACTTGACCTCTGTTATTTGTACTAGTGTATAACAAGAGCCAGACGAGAGACACACTCCAGCCTGATCTCAGTGAGGGTCTTTATTCTGTCTTGTTTGACATTTTTATTGACTTTCTACTGTTTGAGGGTCACACCAGAAGGTTGAGTCCAAAGAGGGCCAGTTGGTGGTCCCAAATAAGTGGTTCTCAACCGAGGACAGTTTTGCCCCACAAGGGGCACTTGGCAATATCTTGTCAGGACTTGGGATCACTACTAGCATCTAGTGGGTAGAGGCAGAGATGCTGCTGGGCATCCTCCAGCCACCCATGTCAAAGGATTATGTTCTGAAATGTTGGTTGTGAAATCATGCTCTGGATGACGAGGTTTGCCTCTTTTTCTCCCTGGAGGAAAATGCTCATTATTTCTGCTCTGTGAGGGCAGGAGCCTTGTTTCTTTTGCTTCCTGACCTTCTCCCCTAAGCTGTATGAGAACTGTTTCTCTGACACCTGTAGCAGTGTCTCATGCACATGGTCAGTACTCAATAAATATTTGTGGGATGTTGTCGAAGGTAGCTCTCCCCTTTGGTAGGTGTTTTGCTATTACAGACAGTGCTGCCTTGAACCTCATAGAACATAACATCTTTATGGCCATCTAAGTTTTTTTAATTTTGGAATCCAGGAAGTAGAATTACTGGGTCAAAAAGCACATGTATTTGAAATTTTGTTAGATATATTTGTAAAAAGTTGTTGAGGATATTCAGCCCGGCCGGGCACGGTGGCTCACGCCTGTAATTCCAGCACTTCGAGAGGCTGAGTGGGGCAGATCACTTGAGGTCAGGAGTTTGAGACCAGCCTGGACAACATGGTGAAACCCTATCTCTACTAAAAATACAAAAATTAACCAGGCGTAGTAGCACGTGTCTGTAATCCCAGCTACCCGGGAGGCTGAGGCAGGAGAATCACTTGTACCTGGGAAGCGCAGGTTGCAGTGAGCTGAGTTCATGCCATTGCACTCCAGCCTGGACAACAGAGCAAGACCTTCTCTCAAAAAAAAAAAAAGAAAAAGATATTCAGCCCTACTCCTAGATACATGCCCCTGGAGAAACTCACACATGTACACACATACATCCGTGGAGATTCAGAGCAGACCTTAGAGCAGAAGGTTGGAAAGTACCCATCCATCAATAGGAGATTGGTAAACTCATACTGCAGAGAAAATCAACCCCTGAGAGCTACACATGTCAATGAGGGTAAAATTCACAAAGCAAAATGGAGTAAAGAAACCTGAAAAAAGCCCTATCAAGTTGCAGGAGATGATATCATTTCTATAAAGTTTTAAAGCATTTCAGAACTGAACTGTATATTTTTAGAAATATCTGCATATGCCATGTAAATATTTAAAAAGCATAAGAATGCTGAACAGCACATTCAGGACAGGGTGAAGAAACGGGCATGCAGGTTGGGCAGGAGGATCCTGGGTAACATTGTCCTTTATGGCTTTTTTGTGGCTTCTAGAATTTCATTAGAAACTTTTTTAAAAACATGGTCCCACATTATGAATTACATCTGATTTTAGAGTACTAAAAACTCCAAGCAAAAACACATGGGTGAAACTGTTGAGAAGGCTCTTATTATCTCTTAATTCATCATGAAATCAACTTAGTGGATTATGACTAGTATTTTTTTTAAAGTGATGTAGATTAGGGTCAGTGCGGTAGCTCACACCTGTAATCCCAGCACTTTGGGAGGTCGAGGCGGGCGGGTCACTTGAGTTCAGGAGTTTGACACCAGCCTGTCCAACATGGTGAAACCCCGTCTCTACAGAAAATACAAAAATTAGCCAGGCATGGTGGCGTGTGCCTGTAATCCCAGCTATACAGGAGGCAGAAGCAGGAGAATCACTCGAACCTGGGAGGCGGAGGTTGCCGTGAGCTAAGATCGCGCCACTGCACTCCAGCCTGGCCAACAGAGTGAGACCGTCTCCAAAAAAAAAAAAAAAAAAAAAGGTGATGTAGAAATGAAGAATAGATACAATCAGCAGGCATTTACATAGGAATGCTAAGTAGTTCCATCAGCTTTTCATTTATGTATGCAAATATTTATATACGTGCATACTAGGTCATAATGTAAAATGTGTCACTGTGGTCTGTTTTTGTTTTTTGTTTGTTTTTGAGACTGAGTCTAGCTCTGTTACCCAGGCTGGAGTGCAGTGGCAGGATCTCGGCTCACTGCAGCCTCTCCGCCTCCCAGGCTCAAACAATTCTCCTGCCTCAGCCTCCCAAGTAGCTGGGAGTACAGGAATGTGCCACCACACCCGGCTAACTTTTGTATTTTTAGTATAGATGGGGTTTCACCATGTTGACCAAGCTGGTCTGGAACTCCTGGCCTCAAGTGATTCAGCCTCCCACAGTGCTGGGATTACAGGCGTGAGCCACCGTGCCCGGCCATTTTGTTTGTTTTTTGAGATGGAGTCTCGCTCTGTCATCCAGGCTGGAGTGCAGTGGCGCGATCTTGGCTCACTGCAACCTCGTCCTCCCAGGTTCAAGCGATTCTCATGCCTCAGCCTCCAAAGTAACTGGGATTACAGGTGTGCACCACTACACCCTGCTAATTTTTGTATCCTTAGTAGAGAAGGGGTTTCACCATGTTGGCCTGGCTGGTCTTGAACTCCTGACCTCAAGTGATCTGCCCACCTTGGCCTCCCGAAGTGCTGGGATTACAGGTGTGAGCCACTGCGCCCGGCTTGTATCACTGTGGTTTCTGGTCAGAAAGGTCTGAAAAACAGTTAATACAAACACGTTACATAAATTGTATATGTAAGACGTAATTTAGAAAAAATGTCAGTAGTGGATTTACTATGACAGCAAAATTGCAGACATGTTGATAAGCACAATGCTTCTTTTCCCTTTCTTGTCTTTCTGTAGGAAAGCAACTAGAAGCCATTTGTGTCAAGGTAACGTCTGGAGAAACAAAAGGTCAGGAATGGCCAACGTCCCTACTGGCCACAGTCCAGCCCCAATCTGCAAGACAGAGCCAGCCGCCCCGGGGGAATTCCCGCCTGGTGGGACTCCACGTCACCAGCCCCCAGCTGCTCAGGGTACAGCCCCTCGTGAGAACCGAGCCACAGTCATGTTTCCTACATCAGCCTCCTGCTCAGGGGTTTGTACAGAGACCACTGCCAGCCCTCTAGGTGGTCCCTGCAAAGAGAGTCCCAGCCCCCAAGGCTCCAAATGGACAGGGCACCATGTTGACCCCTTCGTCGGCCTCCAGTTTGCCGACTGTAACATGTTTCATCCAGTTCAGGACGTTTATTTATTTCCAACTTGCATACAAAACATACTGAGAAACTAAAACCATCGTTAAAAGTGAAGACACGTTGAGACAGGTATCTCGACCTGCCAAGTATAAAGCTAAAGCTGAGTTCATAAAAAGGGATGATTTGGCCGACGGTCATCTGCCAGATTCTGATGATGATTCAGAAGTCAGTGTGGAAGAAGATCAGAGGGAGAGGCAGGCGCTCTTTGACTTATCAAGCTGCTCCCTGAGGCCCAAAAGCTTCAAGTGTCAGACTTGTAAAAAGTCATATATAGGGAAGTGGGGACTGGCCCAGCATTTTAAACTTAATCCAGGCCATGGCCAGCTGGACCCTGAGATGGTGCTATCTGAGAAAGCCAATGGGAGCACCCTCCGGGGGTGCACAGAGGAAAGGACGCTCAGCCTGACCTTCCCGGGGCTGTCCGTGCCAGCGGCTCCGCGTGAGGGAGGGGCCCGCTCCTGCTTGGTGAGAGAGTCAGCACGCGGTGGCCTGCAGGTAATGTTTGCATCTGGGTGTCGTTTTCGGCCATTCTCACACTGTTATAAAGAAATACTTGAGACCAGGTATTTTATAAAGAAAAGAGGTTTAGTTGGCTCACAGTTCCACAGGCTGTACGGGAAGCATGGTGCTGGCATCTGCTCAGCTTCTGGGGATGCTTCAGAATCAGTCACGGTGAAGGCAGAGTGGGAGCAGGCATGTCACGTGGCCACAGCAGGGACAAGGGGCCGGGGTAGGTGCTGCACACTTTTTTTTTCCTTTTCTTTTTTGGAGACGGAGTCTCGCTCTGTCGCCCAGGCTGGAGTACAGTGGCGCGATCTCGGCTCACTGCAAGCTCCGCCTCCTGGTTTCACGCCATTCTCCTGCCTCAGCCTCCCGAGTAGCTGGGACTACAGGCGCCCGCCACCACGCCTGGCAATTTTTTCTATTTTTAGTAGAGACGGGGTTTCATCGTGTTAGCCAGGATGGTCTCGATCTCCTGACCTCATGATCCACCCACCTCAGCCTTCCAAAGTGCTGGGATGACAGGCGTGAGCCACCGCGCCCGGCAGGTGCCACACACTTTTAAACAACCAGCTATCATGAGAGCAGCACCAAGCGGATGGTGCTAGAGCAATGAGAGATTCAACCATATCAGTCCTTATTCCTGCCTCTGCCTGCCCATCATCCTTAAGTTGACCTTTACAATGTCTGATGGGGGCTCAGGCGAAGGCTCAGGCAGAACCAGAATCATTCTTGTGGAGGATCTGAGACCCCTCATGTTGTCTGCACTGCTGCCGAACAGGCTGGAAGATGCATGTCTGTGTGTCGGCATGATTTAGTGAGCAAATCTGATGGGAACGCAGCCGTTTCTTTAGGTTTGGTCAGTAAAACCAATGGCAGTGCGCTCTTGGCTGACGCTGCCATTACAGAGGGTGATGTTGAGAAAGGCAGTCCCTGGGGATGCTTCTGGTGTGTCAATAGCCTCTGGCTGCTCAGCGTGTCCTCTCCCTCCTGCCCCTTCTGAAACTCCCGATAAAGCAGGTGTGAGTCGCTGTAAGTTTGCATTATCACATCAAAATTTTTTTTCCAACATATTTTATTGTAGTAAAATATACATAGCATAACATTTACCATCTTAGCCATATGTAGGTGTGTGGTTCAGGGGCACTAAATACATTCACGATGTTGTACGGCCATCACCCCCACACATCTCCAGAACTCTTTTCATCTTGTACAACTAAAACTCTGAGCTTCAAGTTGGGGTAAGCGGGGCGGGGGTGGGGACTAAAACTGTCCCCATAAACACCAACTCTCCATTCCCTTTTTCCCCAACCCTGGCAGCCACTATTCTACTTTCTGTCTCTATGATTTTGACTACGCTGCTTTCTTCACAGAAGTGGAATCACAGAATATTTGTCTTTCTGTGACTGGCTTATTTCACCTAGCACAGTATTCTCAAGGTTCATGTTGTAGAAAGTGTCTGAATGTCCTTTAAGGCGGAGTAAAATTTCACTGTGCCTACCACATTTTGCTCATTCATTCATCTGTCAATGGACACTTGGGTTGCTTCCACCTTTTAGCTATTATGAATAATGCTGCTGTGAACACGGGTGTTCAATTACCTCCTTGAGACCCTCCTTTCAATTTTTTGGGGTATATATCCAGAAGTAGGATTGCTAGATTTTAAGTGGAATTTTCATTTTCTTTAGTTCCTTTTCAGACTGTTCATTGTTTGTTAGTATTTAGAAATGCAGCTGATTTTTGTGTATTGACTTTTTTTTTTTTTTTCAGTCTCACTCTGTGGCCCAGGCTGGAGTACAGTGGCGCAGTCTGAGTTCACTACAGCCTCCACCTCCCAGGTTCAAGAGATTCTCCTGCCTCAACCTCCCGAGTAGCTGGGACTACAGTCACGTACCACCAGTAATTTTTTATATTTTTAGCAGAAACGGGGTTTCACCACGTTGGCCAGGCTGGTCTTGAACTCTTGACCTCAAGTGATCCATTCACCTTGGCCTCCCAAAGTGCTGGAATTACAGGTGTGAGCCACCGCACCTGGCCTGTGTATTTACCTTGTATGCTACTACATTGCTGATTTCATTTATTAGTTTTTTTTTTTTTAATTCTTTTTTAAAAAAGAAAAAACAGACACAGTCTCGCTCTCTTGCTCTGTCGCCCAGGCTGGAGTGCAGTGGCACAATCTTGGCTCACTGCAACCTCTGCCTCCAGGGTTCAAGTGATTCTCGTGCCTCAGCCTCCCAAGTAGCTGGGACCACAGGTGCCCACCACCATGCCTGGCTAATTTTTGTATTTTTTTGTAGAGATGGGGTTTTGCCAGGTTTTGCCATGTTGGTGAGGCTGGTCTCGAACTCCTGACCTCAAGTGATCTGCACACGTCTGACTCCCAAAGTGCTGGGATTATAGGCACAAGCCACCATGCCTGGCCTCATTTATTAGTTCTAACGTGTGTGTGTGCACACACGCTCTTTAGGCATTTCTACTTATAAGATCCTATCTGCAAATAGAGATAATTTTACTTCTTTCTTTTCAATTTTGATGCCTTTTATTTCCTTTTCTTGCCTAAGTGTGCCGGTTAGAACTTCTAGCACTGTGTTGCATAGAAGTAATGAATGCAGACATCCTTGTCTTGTTCCTAATTTTAGAGGAAAAGCTTTCAGTTTTCACCATTGAGTGTGTTGTGGCTTTTTCATATATGAATTTTATTATGTTGAGGTAGTTTTCTCTATTCTTAGTTTGCTGAATGTTTTTAATCATGAAAGCGTGTTGAATTTTGTCAGTGCTTTTTCTCCGTTAACTGAAAAAATCATACATTTTTGGAAATGGAAATGCAGCCACATATAATGGCCAGCCTGGGCTCTCCTGGTGCCCACTTGCCCCAGCCGGCCTCTTACACCCCGGGCTCTGCTCCACTCTGAGGCTGCAGCCCAGACTGCCTGTGCCCCACACTTACCATGGATGCAGGGTCAGTGCACCCCTCTGGAGCTGACAGCCCAGCCTGTGCCCAGGACCTTTCTGCCTTCCCTTCCCGCCCTGTCCTGAGAGCTCACCGTGCCCTCTGTGGCCCCGACCCCAAGGCTTGTTTGTTTCTTGGCCTGCTCCTCCCTGCCCTGCGCCATACGGAACACACAGTAGGTGCTCACTGGGGAGTGAAGGAAACGCCCACCACTGAGTGGCTGCTCAGGGGCTGAGAACCGAAACTTTGTTTAGGTTTTCTTCTGTATTTTCCTTGCCTCAGGTTTAAACTTTTTTCTTAATCTTTATCTTCACAAAGGTTGAAAAAGATCATCTAGCAAAGCCTTTTTTCCCAGCTACATATAAGGAATTTGAAAGTCACATAAAATGGTTAAGAAAATGTGCCAAGATTACCTCAGTAATTCTGGTCTGTGTTCTCAGGAGACCCTGGAAATAAACAATGGTAAGGTACAATCTCCCATGGCAGAAAGAGTTTCCCTCAGAGTTAGCCAAAACAAGGGCCAGGCGCAGTGGCTTACACTTGTAATCCCAGCACTCTGGGAGGCTGAGGCAGATGTATCACTTGAGGTCAGGGGTTCAAGACCAGCCTGGCCAACATGACAAAACCCTAATACAAAAATTAGCCGGGCATGGTGGTACATGCCTCTAATTCCAGTTATTCAGGAGGCTGAGACACAAGAATTCATTTGAACCTGGGAGGCGAAGGTTGCAGTGAGCTGAGATTGTACCACTGCACTCCAGCATATGCGACAGAACGAGACTCTGTCTCAAAAAAAAAGTCCATGAATGAAGGAGAATGTTTTTAGTAATGATATTTTCCTAGTCAGCCTCATTTTAGCTTCTTCCCATCAAGTGAAATTTTTTTTTCTTAAAGCAATAAATGCGACCGGGCGCGGTGGCTCACGCCTGTAATCGCAGCACTTTGGGAGGCCAAGGCAGGTGGATCACAAGGTCAGGAGATCAAGACCATCCTCCTGGCTAACAAGGTGAAACCCTGTCTCTACTAAAAAAAATACAAAAAATTAGCCGGGCGTGGTGGCATGTACCTGTAGTCCCAGCTACTCAGGAGGCTGAGGCAGGAAAATCGCTTGAACCCAGGAAGTGGAGGTTGCAGTGAGCCAAGATCATACCACTGCACTCCAGCCTGGGCGACAGAGGGAGACTCCGTCTCAAAAAGAAAAAAAGCAATAAATGCTCTTCCAGAAAACTCAAAAATGAAGATAAGCTAAAAGAAAATGGAAAGCACCAGAATACCAGAATCTTTCCACTCACTGATGATCAGAGTTAATACCTCAGGTACCCTTTTCGTCTTTCTGTTTTTGAGACAAGGTTTCACTCTGACTCTCAGGCTGAAGTACAGTGGTGCAAATACAGCTCACTGTGGCCTCGATTTCCCAGGCTCAAGCAATCCTCCCTTCTGGGCCTCCCAAAGTGCTGGAATTATAGGCATGAACCACTACACCCAGCCCTGTTTTCTTCTTTACGTGGGTTTTTGGGGATGGGTTATATAGGAGCCATTTCATTATTGTTTGTGGTTTTTCTGACACAATTCTCATTTCAGTGTCACTGTTATCATCAAACTGCTTTTAGCTACATTGGATTTTTTGGGGTTTTTTGCATAGAGTCTCGCTCTGTCGCCCAGGCTGGAGTGCAGTGGTGCAATCTCGGTTCACTGCAACCTCGGCCTCCCGAGTTCAAGCGATTCTCCCACCTCAGCCTCCCCAGTAGCTGGGATCACAGGCACCCGCTACCATGCCCGGCTAATTTTTGTATTTTTAGTAGAGATGGGGTTTCACCATGTTGTCCAGGCTGGTCTTGAACTCCTGATCTCAACTGATCCACTTGCCTTGGCCTCCCAAAGTGCTGGGATTACAGGTGTGAGCCACTGCGCCCAGCCCCTGCTGCACTTTAAGCAGAGAGAAAAACACTGTAGTCATAAGAGCTATTAAATACAGTACATAATTTTAAAACATTTTTGAAACACAGAAAACACATACTTTTTTGATCTCAGGAAGGAGGAGGAGTTAGTAGGGGAGGCTTGCACCCATCCATGCTTCTGAGCGTGCACTCACACATGCATGCACACTACCACTCATTCACATACACTCACACACACTTGCACTCATGCCCTTTACACTGTGCACATTCAGATCCACACCATGTACACTCATACACTGGCAAACCCACACATGCATCACACACCTACACTTGCACTGTCACACGCACATACACTTAAGCACGTTCACACCCTCATGGTTACACTCACACGCACAGCCTCACATATGCACACTCAACACTCATACATACACATTTACATGCTCTCATTTATACACACTGATACATCCACACACCATCACACTACACACACTTTTACATGCTTTCACACATACCCGTTGGATATGGACACACCAACAAGCACTCATTCCCACACATGCTTGCACTGCACACACTGACACACTACATGCCTTCATAGTTGACACACACTTCCATGCATTCACTCACCTTTTTGCACACTCATTCACACTCCCATCACAACACTGACACACTTCTGCCTGTCCTCACACGCCTACACACTTGCCACACACACACTGAGTGTTCCATGCACACTCACATCCTGCGCATTCAGTCACTAACTTACCCTCATGACCACACACACACAGACTTTCAAATGCACTCATCCACAGACACATATTCTCATATGCATACGCACTTGCACACAACCCTCGCACGCTTGTTCACACTCCCTGACATGCAGTCACACTAGCCATCACTCATGTGCTCACACACATACACACTCACACCCCCTTTGCACACACACTTCCCCCACCCACTCACCCCAAGCCCACCTGACAGGTGACACACTTTACCTGCGGGCTGGGATGGCTGGTCCTCTGCCTGGGCTTCGAGGTTCCTTGGGGGCAGCGGCTCATGCTGGTTTTCCCACTGCAGTGTCTTCTGTGGCTTCAGCGTCACCTAGTGCAGGCTGCCATTCAACAAACGCATTGTCAACAGTCAACCAAAAGAAACCCATTGGCCACCATACCCTGAGGACTAACCCTGACACAGATGCCCTTCCAGATGCCCTCAATAGTCTAACTGATTCCATCGCCCCAGCCTTGGGGGAGAAGCACTGCTGCCTATGCACTCCATTTACAGGTGAGACTGGGAGAGGTTTAGGGAGTGGCCAAGTCCCCTGCCTACACAGCTGCCTCCCAATCTATCTTCTCACCCTCCCCCTTCTCAGGCTAAAATCACACTCGATGTTTTTATGGGATCATTTGATCTGGACATTGTCAAAGAAAAAATTGCACCAGACAAGTTAAACCTTCAAGGAAGGACTCAGTCAGGACTACTGCAATACGGAAGAGAGGAGCTTAACTTCATTGAAACAAAAGGCTGGGGAGTTTTTAAGTGCCGGGGTGAGATGCTGAGAAGGAACTGGAGACATCAGGAAGAGGTTAGGAAATGCCGTAAAGCTATCTGCGTTGGCTCATTGGAATTTTTCAAAACTGGGAATCTGCCCTTCTACAAAAACTGAGACACAGATGTATCATCTCCTTCAATAATTGCATTTTAAAGGGATGGCTCTGAAGTCTTGAGAAAGGCATTCCTGGGTTGCAAAACTAGGAGGAGGCTAGAAGAAAATTTGGGAGAAGATTTGCCTCTCAAAGAGGTAGAGAAAGAACTCACAATTGCAAGTTTCCTAAAATAAATCCTCCGTGAAAAAAGGAGGCCTGATGGATGGAACTGGAGGTCATTATGTTAAGTGAAATAAGCCAGGCACAGAAGAAAAATACTGCATGTTCTCACTCACATGTGGGAGCTTAAAACCTGGATCTCATGAAGATAGAGAGTAGATTGGTAGCTACCAGAGGCTGGGAAGGGAGATAAAAATAGTTTGATTAATGGGTACAAATAAGTAGGGGTTTTTGTTTTTTTGGAGACAGAATTCTGCTCTGTTGCCCAGACTGGAGTACAGTGATACGATCGTAGCTCATAGTAACCTGGAACTCCTGAGCTCAAGTGATCCTACCACCTCAGCCTCCCCAGTAGCTGGGACTACAGGTGCGTGCCACCATGCCAGGCCGATTTTTGTATTTTTTGTAGAGACAGGGTCTCAGTAGATTGCCCAGGCTGGTCTCAAACTCCTGGGCTCAAGCAATCCTCCCGCCTTGCAAATACAGAGTTTGATAAAAGAAATAAGACCTACTGTTCAATAAATCAGCAGGGTGACTGTAGTTTACAGTAATCTATTGTACATTTCAAAATAGCTAAAGATAAGAATTTAAATGTTTCTAGCTTAACGAAAAGGCAAATATGTAGGGTGATGAATATCTTGATCACAATGATGTGATCTTTACAAATTGTGAGTGTATTTAGTAATCACATGTACCCCCAACATATGTGCATCAATTATGTATCAAAAAAATTAAAACTAAAAAATAGACAAGGAGGTCGGGAGGAAAACTGTGTAACAGTCAAGCTGAGGGAAATGTGAAGGCTGTCTTAGTCAACAGATTTGCCTTTTTCCCTTTAATCTGCTAATTATCAATTGATATGGTTTGGCTCTGTGTCTCCACCCAGATCTCACCTTGAATTGTAATAATCCTCACATGTGGTGGAAGGGAACTGGTGGGAGCTAACTGAATTATGGGGGTGGGTTTTTCCCATGCTGTTCTTGTGATAAGTGAATGAGTCTCAGAAGATGGTTCTATAAAGGGCAGTTCCCCCTGCACATATTCTTCTGCCTACCACCATGTAAGACGTGACTTTGCTCCTCTTTTGCCTTCTGCCATGATTGTGAGGCCTCCCCAGCCATGTGGAACTGTGGATCCATTAAACCTCTTTCCTTTATAAATTACCAGTATTAGGTATGTGTTTATTAGCAGCATTGAGAACAGACTAATACATCAATAACTCCCTTTGAGGACATTTTAGCTGTTTGGAAATGTCTGCTCCTATCTTGTTTTTGTTTTTGTTTTTTTGGGACAAGGTATCACTCTGTCACCCAGGCTGGAGTGCAGTGGCACGATCTTGAAACTCTCAATATAAATGCCTAAGGTGCAGCACTTGGCAGATAAGAAGCCATATGCAGACACATTCTTTTAAAAGAACACATCATTATTTGGTTCTTTCTCATGTGAGAGTCGGATGACTCAGAGCCAACATAAATTCCAAGTGGTATGCAGAAAACCAATGCATAGCTGGAGAGGGTAATGAAGGTTAGTATCTGCAGTAAGGCTGAGTCGATGCAAACGGCCACACAGTCATGGATTCACAATGATCTGGGTCTCCATCATCCTGCAATCCAACACCTTGCACAGCCTTCAAACACCAGCTGGGAATTCAAAAGTGGCATGTGCGGTAGCAGGAGATCTGTTCACCCTCTTATTTCCTCTCATCCCCATGTAGCAATCTGGTGCAATCACAGCTCACAGCAACCTCAAACTCCTGGACTCAAGTGATCCTACCTCCTCAGCCTCCCTAGTAGCTGGGACTACAGGTGTGTGCCACCCTGCCAGACTGATTTTTGTAGAAACAGAGTCCCACTAGGTTGCCCAGGCTAGTCTCGAACTTCTGGGCTCAAGCAATCCTCCCGCCTTGCAAATACAGAGTTTGATAAAAGACCTCCTGAGGTCCTACAGAGAGAAGTCTTTAAGCTCCAGGGCAGAGACAATTTGCATTTTTCTCACCACCCAGGGAATGCTAACTGGGCAGCCCAGGGTACCCGGGAGCTCAGGCCATCCAGTGTCCTTTGAGATGTTAGGAGGAAGCAGAACAGCCAGCTGCCAAATGAAACACGGCAAAATGCTCACCCTTCAAGGGTCTGCTTTTGTTTTGTTTTTGTTTTTTGAGACAGTCTCACTCTGTCGCCCAGGCTGGAGTGCGCTGGTACAATTTTGGCTCACTGCAACCACCACCTATTGGATTCAAGCAATTCTCCTACCTCAGCCTTCCAAGTAGCTGGGACTACAGGCACGCACCACCACGGTCGGTTAATTTTTGTTTTTCGTTTTTTTGGTAGAGACGGGGTTTCACCATGTTGGCCAGGCTGGTCTCAAACTCCTGACCTCAAGTGATCTGCCTGCCTCAGCCTCCTAAAGTGCTGGGATTACAGGCATGAGCCACCGCGCCCGGCCTCCCTCAAGGGTCTGAATCCAGCCAGTGTCCTACGTCATACCTGCTTCAGCCTATGCAATGGAGAGAGCCTGAGATTTTATTTCAATAAGAAAATCTACTGAGTTGCATTACATCAAACTAAAAGGGAGAAACACAAATATAAAAAATAAAAATCCAGAAATTCCAACACTAGGCAACCCTCCAAAATGTGGCAAAGCTCTGTGTATATTAAAAATGTATTGAGTCCGGGCACGGTGGCTCACGCCTATAATCTCTGCACTTTGGGAGGTTGAGGCAGGTGATCACTTGAGGTTAGGAGTTCAAGACCAGCCTGGACAACATGGTGAAACCCCATCTCTATTAAAAAGAAAAAAAAAATTAGCCGGGCATGGCGGCAGGAGACTATAATCCCAGCTATTTGGGAGATTGAACCCAGAAAGCGGAGGTTGCAGTGAGCCAAGATCACTTCACTGCACTCCAGCCTGGGCGACAGAGTGAGACTCTGTCTCAAAAAAAAGAAAAAAAAAAAGCATTGAAACATGCGACATCCACCTTTTTGTAATAGTTCCCATAGCCTACACAAATGCATATGAAATGCTTAATATTTTGCTTGCACTATTCTTTTCTGCTGGAAGGGTGGTTCTGACTAAAAAATTTTACTTTCCCATTCTTTGCTTTTTCATTAATGCTATTTTCTTTGCTCCAGGGTTATAGAGTGGAAAGTCCCACAATCTTTTTCTTCTCTATTTTCAGGTAGATGCATTTTATTACTATATTCTATCTATCCATTTATTCCATCTATCTATTCCATTTATCATCTACCTACCTATTATTATCTATCATCTATGTATTCCATCTACCTGTCATTGATCTATCTATCATCTACCAATCTACATTTTTGTCTTGTAGAAAAACGTTGACCTCTTGGCGAGAATGCAAAGAAGGGAACGCTTGCTTATACGCTGTTGGTGAGAATGTAAAATTGTACAATCTCTATAGAAAACAGTATGTAGATTTCTCAGAGAACTAAAAATAGATCTACCCTTTGACCCAGCAACTCCAGTAATGGTTATCTACCCAAAGGAAAGAAATTATCAGAATAGACACCTACACTTATATTTTTATTACAGCACAATTCACAATAGCAAAATCATGGAATGAACCTGAATGTTCATTGGATGAAGAAAATGTGGTATACACACACCAAGGAATACTATGCATCTATAAAAAAGAATGAAACTATATCTTTTGCAGCAACATAAATGGAGCTGCGGGTCAATATCCTAAGTGAAATAACTCAAACAGAAAATCAAATACCACATGTCCTCGCTTATAAGTGGGAGTTAAAAAAAATGGGTACACATGGACCTATAGAATGACATTAACAGACACAGGACACCTTAAAAAGGGGGAAGGTGGGAGGGGATGAGGGTGGAAAAATTACCTATCTGGTATTATGTTCACTGTTTGGGGGTTAGAAGGCCAATCCCCACCGCTAGGCAATATATCCACGTAACAAACCTGCACCCTTATGCCCTGAATCTATTTGTTTTTCAACATTGACTTCCATGGTCACTATTTGTGAAATCACTCCTCATGAACCAGGACTTGCATGTTTTTTTGTTTCTCAGGTGAACTGTCACCCCTACAACTCAGCTTGCAACCAGCCCTGGCCACCAGTTTCCCCACACTGAGCTGAATATCGGACATGCCCATCTCAGACATTCCAGCCCATTCTGAAATTCCACATCGATTCACCTGACAAAGTCTGAAGTTCCAGGGCAATTTATCTGGAAAAGCTTACCTGGAATCACGTGTCATTTCAACCAACAACTGTTGAAGAGGACGTGGCATTAAAACCAAGGGTATCAATTATTTATAAGGGCTGTGTGCTGGTTGGTCCAAGCATCTCTCCTTCACGCCATCACTCCTTTCAAGAGCTGCCTCTGTTTTCTAATTTAGCACAGGAATTTAGATGCCCCTAAATAAGTAGGCATCCAGTATCTGCCCACACCAGTTTTAGTGAGAGTACATATGGAGACACTACCACCACCCCTGCTCTCCTACTGCATACCCCACCATGCCAAAGCATGGTGGCTCACACCTGTAATCCCAGTGCTTTGGGAGGCCAAAGAGGAGGAACACTTGAGATCAGAGGTCTGAGACGAGCCTGGGCAACATAGTGAAACCTCATTTCTACAAATAAGTTAAAATATATATATGTAGGGCATAGTGGCACACACCTGTGGTTTCAGCTTTTCAGCAAGCTGAGGCCGGAAGATCACTTGAGCCCAGGAGTTTGAGGATGCAGTGAGCTAGGATTATGCCACTGCACTGTAGCCTGGGCAGCGGAGAGACCCCATCTCTAAAAAGAGGAGAAGGAGGGAAAATACTTCTCCTTCTCAGACCCAAAGTAAAAAGGTTTCTGGTCTCACACTGACCAGAAAAACATTGATATTTACTTAAGCAATATTAAAAGGGTCACTGCTTTAGAACAGGATTAAAGAGAAAGTAAAATCAACATTGAGATAGGAGGACAGAGGCCATCAACTGAGTTCTGATCCCAATGAAGACGAGAAAAGGCTACAACTATCTAGGTTAAATATCTACTTGTCCTAGAAAAAGCCTTTTGGCAGCAACATAAAATTCATACCTCTTAGTTTTTAAATTCCTATGGATGCTGAAGCAAATAACCACAATTTGGGTGGCTGAAAGTAACAGAAGTTTATTCTTTCCAGTATTGGAAACCAGGAATCTGAGATCAAGTTGTGGGCAGGGCTGGACTCCCCCTGGAGGCTCTAGGGGGTGTTCCTTCCTGCCTCTTCCAGTTCTTGGTGGCTCCAGGTGACGCTGTCATAGGACAAAGGGCCCCGGGTGCCGACCTCCTCAGCCGCAGCGGGGCAGGGCCCTCCACAGGAGGTCGGCACCCGGGGCCCTTTGTCCTATGACAGCGTCACCTGGAGCCACCAAGAACTCCGCGCAGGGCTACCCCTGCGTCCTGGGTCTCCCCGGGGGGCGCTCGAGGAGGTGGAGCTTCCCCCGCAGCCCCGGGGAGTCTCCCCGACCGGCCAGGTGCCTTCCCTGGAAGGCTGACGGCTCCTCTAGGAGGCCGCCCTCCACCACTAGCACACACCACCCCCAGGACTGGGCCGCCCAATGTCACAAAACCTCCTGTGGGTCACCTCGCCTGGGGGACCTCGTGCGCCCTCCCAGGCAGCGACCGCAGGGACACGGGCCTCCATTTGCCCAGCGGCAGGGTTCTAGGCGTGGAATGTACACATTGCTCCCAGTTCGCCCGCCCCCTCCGGCTCGGAGCCCGAGAGCCGCCTGCTCTCATTTCAAATCGGATAATAGGGACGCTGAGAATAACTACGACCAGCACCGCGAAGGCGCCCCTCTCGTGGGTCAGAGGTCGGCGCCCCCGCTCCGCAAGCCCCCATCACCTGCCCGGGGACCCCCGGTGGCCTCAGGCCTCCAGGCCCACCCCGGAGCCCCCTATTGGCCCCTAGGCCCGCCCCGAGGCCTGCGGCGCAGCTTTGCCGACGGGGAGCGCCTGCAGGCCACAAGGCTGCACGAATGCCCCCGCCCGCCGCCCCGACCACCGTCCTGAGGCCAGCGGGGCCTCTCATCCGGCTGCAAGGGCTGTGCGGCTCCGCGGCTGCGTTTCCCGGCCCCAGCGGGAAGGCGACGGCGGAGCGGACTCCGAGCCCAGCCGAGCTGTGAGGGCCGACGGGAGGCGAGCCCGCCCCTCGGGTGCGCCCATGGTTTAGGCGAGAGCCGCGGCACCCGCTGCGGGCGCTACTGAGGGGCGTCTGGCTGCGGGTTCGGCGGCGGCGCCTCTCCGGCAAGAGCCCTTGGTCCATTGTGCGCTTCTCTCTTTTTTTTTGGAGACGGAGTCTTGCTCTGTCGCCCAGGCTGGAGTGCAGTGGCGCGATCTCGGCTCACTGCAAGCTCTGCCTCCCGGGTTCATGCCATTCTCCTGCCTCAACCTCCCGAGTAGCTGGGACCATAGGCGCCCGCCACCATGCCCGGCTAATTTTTTGTAGTTTTAGTAGAGACGGGGTTTCACCGTGTTAGCCAGGATGGTCTCGATCTCCTGACCTTGTGATCCGCCCGCCTGAGCCTCCCAAAGTGCTGGGATTACAGGCGTGAGCCACCGCGCCCTGCCTATTGTGCGCTTCTCAGGGAGGCTTCTGCCTCCAGGACCCAGCGGCTGCTGCGGCGGACGTCAGCCGCGTAACCCGTTCCCGCGCAGTGGCCCGCCGTTTCCGCCACCGCCATTGACCCGCCCCGGCCTGGTGCTGTGCATGTCATGGTGTCGGAAGGAAGTACGCCAATGGGGTAAAGGGGTCAGACGGCATTGACAGCCTCTGCGATGGCCCTGAGGCGGGACTAGGAGGACGTTCCCGGTAGCGATTGGACAGGATCTTTCGTAAGGGCGCCTGCGACACTGGAAGTAACGAGCAACTGGATTGGCTGCCTCCATCGCAAAGTGGGTGGGTCTTGCATCCTCGGGCCTAACGATTGGTCTTTCCAAGTGCGGGAAGCGGCAAGCATATGGTCTGGAAACATTTGGTATCGAGACGCTGCCAGCCATAACGTCCGTCTCCCGGGCCGGAGAGGCCCGTGACCGCCGCATACCCATGGTCTCTTGCTTCTCCTCGGGCATCTCTGGCCACGTCCGCACCAGCCCCCGAAAGGCCCGGCTCTTGGCCGCGCTGTCCTGGTGCGGCGGTGAGGGGAGGGGACCGGGGCCTCGGGGCGGGTGGCGGCCGTAGCGCGAGAGCCCTGTGCCTTGCGCTCAGAGGCTGAGCTGCGTGAGGGAGGCCAAGCCCCCGCGAGCGGCAGCCCCTGCCTTGCTAGTTCCCCAACACGCGAAAAAGGTAGATGAGAACTGGTGCGGGGATAGGTTTGGGTGGGGTTTACTTGGCACCACCCAATTTCTAAATCGGTCATATTTTCTGAGTAGTTCTACCAACAAAGGTCAAGCTGGAGCCAAGTGCTGTAATCCCAGCACTTTGGGAGGCCCAGGCGAGAGGATACATTGAGGCCAAGAGTTCGAGACCAGCCTGGGCAACATAGCAAGACTGTCTCTACAAAGTTTTTGATTTTTTTTTTCTTTTTTTTTTTTTTTGAGACGGAGTCTCCCTCTATCACCCAGGCTGGAGTGCAGTGGCACAATCTCGGCTCACTGCAACCTCTGCCTCCCGGGTTCAAGCGATTCTCCTGCCTCAGCCTCCCGAGTACCTGGGACTACAGGCGCCCTCTACCACGCCTGGTTAATTTTTGTATATATAGCAGAGACGGGGTTTCACCATGTTGGCCAGGCTGGTCTTTAACTCCTGACCTCAGTGATCTGCCTGCCTCGGCCTCCCAAAGTTCTGGGATTACAGGCATGAGCCACCGCACCCAGCCGCAAAAAGTTTTAAAATTACCTGGGCATGGTGGTGCGTGCTGGTAGACCCGACTACTTGGGAGACTGAGACGGGAGGATTGCTTGAGGCCAGGAATTTGAGACCAGCCTGGGCAACATAAGGAGACTCTGTATCTAGAAAACATATATATATTAGCTAGGTGTAGTGGTGTACGCCTGTGGTCCCAGCCACTCAGGAGGCTGAGGTAGGAGGATCGCTTGAGCCCAGGAGGTCCAGGATGCAGTGAGCTATGATCGCACCACTGCACTCTTTGCTGGGCCAGAGCGAGACCCTGTCTTCAAGAAAATAAAAGGATACAGCCACACACAGAGGGATGACCATGTGAGGACACAGGGAGGATCGCTTCAGCCTGGGAAGTGGAGGCTGCAGTGAGCTATGATCACGCCACTGCACTTCCCAGGCTCAAGCGATCCTCCCGCCTCAGCCCCCCGAGTAGGTGGGGCCACAGGTTTGTGCCACCATTCCGGGCTAATTATTTGTAGAAATGAAGACTTCCTATGGTGCTCAGGCTGGTCTTAAACTCCTGAGCTCCCGTGATCCTCCTGCCTTGGCCTCCCAAAGTGCTGGTACTATAGGCATGAGCAACTATGCCTGGACCAATTCTTAACTGGTGACTTGACTTGTTTATTAGTTAATCTGTCTCACTCAGCTTCCTTCAAATGCTGAGCCTCCGTCCTCTTGCTAAGCTCTTTTAAGAACGTTGTGTACCATGTCAACCTGTTCTAAATATTTGAGGAGAGAAAGTTCTAGAATTCACGTCCCCACCAACTTTCTTTTTTTCTTTAAAAAAAAAATTTTAAGAGACATGGTCTTGCTCTGTTGCCTGGGCTGGAGTGTGGTGGTGCAATCATAGCTCACTGTAGCCTTGACCTCCTGGGCTCAGGTGATCCTCCTACCTCAGTCTCCCAAGTAGCTGGGACCACAAGCATGCATAACCACACCCAGCCAATTTTTGTTTGTTTACTTTTTGTAGCAGAGAGGTCTCGATCTCCTGGCTTCACATGATCCTCCCGCCTCAGCCTCCCAAAGCACTAGTATTACAGGCATGAGCCACCGTGTGTGGCCACCACTGACTTTCTGAACCCCAAGTGTATTAGCCACCATAACAAACACCTTTTGTCTGATACATTCTGTGGATCATATTCCTTTTTTATATATAATTTTACCTTTTATTTTAGATTTGAGTGGTACAGGTACAGGTTTGTTTCATGGGTATATCATGTGACACTGAGGTTTGGAATGCAGATGATCCCATCACCCAGGTACTGAGCATAGCACCCCACAGGTAGTGTTTCAGCCCTGGCCCCTCCATCTCTCCACCCTCTAGTATTCCCTAGTATCTACTGTTCCCAACTTTGTGTGCATGTATAGATTATGTTTCTTAGAGTTCTCTAAATAACGGGGCAGGGAAGGTAGTGTGAATGATGTAAAGGTGTGCCAAATTGGTTCTGCAAAATTAACCTTTTTTGAATAAAATATTCAATTTTCTGAAGCGAGCAGGCTACTTTCTCAAGCAAAATTTCGTTTGAATCCTCCACCCCCAGCCTGCAGAGAGAGAGGGAGGGAGGGAGACCTCTTAAGAGTTTTATTTGTTCTCTTGCAGTCTTATGACTTACTTCTTAATGAAAACCCTTATTGTTTTCTAAGAGAAAAAAAAAGAGAATGAATGCAATGTTCGAAATGGGATTATGTAGAATTTTTAGGAGCATAAAGAGAAATTGAAGAATTATGAAAACAAAGGCCAGAAAAGCAAACAGTGTTCTTCCTCTACGTAGCAGCCAGATGGCGTTTTAGGCAAATACACCGCAAACTGCACAGCCAGGTCCCCATCTCAAAGGGCTTTCCACGGAGCAAAAGCAGTTTCGATCGTATTGTCATCACCACCATCAACTTTTTTTTTCCACTCACATGATGTATGCCAATATCATTATTCTCGTTATTTGTATAACCATCATCATCATCAATGTCTCGTGAATTTTTGCGTGTTATTTTTAACATAGCATGTAAACAGCACCTCCCCACAAAAAAAACTAGCTCAGGATAAACATCTCTAAGAGTATTTCATAGGAGCTGATAGTTTGACCAACAAAAAAATGTTTTCTTTTCCCAAAATAAAGTTCTGTGGTTTGTCTCAGGGAAAGTTTTTTGTTTGTTTATTTGTTGGATTTTTGGTTTGGTTTGGTTTTGTCTCATTTGTGGGTTTGGTGGTTGGTGGTTGAGTTTGTTTCTGGCTTAAAGGGCACCCTTAATGAAGAAGTGTTTATGTTTTCAGATATGTAGGCTTTAGTAAACTAGCTCACTCTGAGAAATCTAAAGTTTCAATTGCTCTGTGAACACCACTGAAAGAATCCACCTCCCTTCTCAAACCACATTCTCAAGGGCAGACTTGGGGATGCTAGAACTCTCCTCCCCTCTCCCCTCCCCCTCTCGCCTCCCCTCCTCCCCTCCCGAGGCTCTGCTGCCCAACCTCCGCCTCCCAGGTTCAAGCCATTCTCCCTGCCTCAGCGTCCTCAGTAGCTGGGATTACAGGCGCCCACCACAATGCCCAGCTAATTTTTGTATTTTTAGTAGAGATGCAGTTTTGCCATGTTGGCCAGGCTGGTCTCGAACTCCTGACCTTAGGTGATCCACCCACCTTGGCCTCCCAAAGTGCTGGGATTATAGGCGTGAGCCACTGTGCCCAGCCTAGAACCATTTTCAACAACAAAAGAGTCAACACATTCGGCCTCCCAAAGTGCTGGGATCATAGGCGTGAGCCCCTGTGCCCAGCCTAGAACCATTTTCAACAACAGAAGACTCAACACATTCAGCCTCCCAGAGTGCTGGGATTATAGGCGTGAGCCACTGTGCCCAGCCTAGAACCATTTTCAACAACAAAAGACTCAACACATTCATGCTTCCATGCAACATGGCAAGTCCACTTCGAGATGGTGCCTTTATTTACCTTTGATTATTCTTCACCATACACCCATCTTACTTTGTGGAGTCTTCACAATAATGAACCACCCAAGACTCATATGGCCAGAACTGAAACCTGAGACTGTCAACGAGAACAAAGTGTCCCGATACTTATTTCTGCTTGGACTGTTATTCAAGATATTCAATATATTCAATAAATATTCAGTATTCAACAAAATATTCAATGCTGTTCAAAATACTCAATAACAGTTACAGGAACTGTCCAAGGAGAAGGACCCTGGTCTCAATGGCAAGATAATGTCCTGGGTCAGGCATTGCCAGCGTGAACCATGAGATTGGGAGTCCCAGTCTGGGGTGTGGCATCCAGAGAGCTTAGGTCTGGGACAGAGGCTGTTTGACCTACCACTGCAGAGGTGTGGCCATATTTTAAGCCCAAGAATGTCCCAAGAAATATTGTAAAGCCAAGAATTGTGTACATACCGGCTGATCAGCCTTGTTTCTGCTCAAAGCCATCTTATGAGTGTTTGGTAGTAGAATCCTCCATTCAAACAATCTAACCCAAAACAAATGGAGACATTGAATGATTCCAAGTCAACAACTGGCTCTCGATTTCAGGGGAAAAAATGGCCATATTTCAACTCATTCTGAGCATATCCTTTTAAGGTAGAGAAAGAGGCAGAAAAAAATAGTATGTACTTCCTGACACAGCAATGCTCTCTCATTCCATAGAATGTTGTAGCAGCCCCCTCAAGACTGATAATGGCCTGCAGAATGAATACCAAGGACACTCACAGGATATAGGGGGTCTTCTTGAAGCTTTACAGTTCTAACCTGCCCTTCCTCTGGCACATTGCCCCAGTGGGAACAGGCTTTTTCGTGGAATAAAAAAGTAACCAGGAATTCCCCAATTATACTAGGTTGGTGCAAAAGTGATTGCGGTTTTGTGTGTGTGTGTGTGTGTGTGTGTGTAAAATGGAGTCCCGCTCTGTTGCCCAGGCTGGAGTGCAGTGCCATAATTTCGGCTCACTGCAGCCTCTGCCTCCTGGGCTCAAGCGATTCTCATGCCTCGGCCCCCCAAGTAGCTGGCACCACAGGCACGCACCACCGTGCCCAGCTATTTTTTGTATTTTTAGTACAGATGAGGTTTCACCATGTTGACCAGGCTGGTCTCGAACTCCTGACCCCAAGTGATCCGCCCACCTTGGCTTCCCAAATCTCTGAGATTACAGGCATGAGCCACTGCGCCCAGTCTGGCCATTACTTTTAATGGCAAAAACTGCAATTATGTTTGCACCAAGCCTACATTTCGGTCTACGCAAATCCTCCAGCAACTATACTTCAGAACCACATGGAAAAAATACACAGCTTTTCAGGGAAGTAGAACCATTGGTGCCTGTAACTATCTGTAAAAGCCACTTTCTCCTCAGCCGTGGGATGCAGGAGGCATGTTCTTCCTGCTGGGTCATGGGGATGTAGCCTCTGCCACATTCTGAGATCAAATTCCAAGATTCATCTGGGGGTCCTCAGTCATCACTGCCTAGTGTAAAACTCCAGCTCCAATGAACAACTTGAAAGTGGAAGAATGAGACACATGCGCCACTACTCCCAGGGTACAATCAAATCCAACATCTTCTGGCAAACTCAAAGCATGGATGCTAAACACAGAAATACACTCCTGATGGGAATGTTTTCACACACGTCCATGTGAAGAGACCACCAAACAGGCTTTGTGTGAGCAGTAAAGCTTTTTAATCACCTGGGTGCAGGCAGGCTGAGTCTGAAAAGAGTCAGCAAAGGGAGACAGGGGTGGGGCCGTTTTATAGGATTTGGGTAGGTAGTGGAAAATTACAGTCAAAGGGGGTTGTTCTCTGGCTGGCAGGGGTGGGGGTCACAAGGTGCTCAGTGGGGGATCTTTTGAGCCAGGATGAGACAGGAGAAGGAATTTCACAAGGTAATGTCATCAGTTAAGGCAGGAACATTTTCACTTCTTTTGTGATTCTTCAGTTACTTCAGGCCATCTGGATGTATAAGTGCAGGTCACGGGGGATATGATGGCTTAGCTTGGGCTCAGAGGCCTGACAGATGTAAATTAACTCCGCTGCAGTGAAAAGCAGTTTGGAGAGTTCTCAAGGAACTCAGAACTAGCATTCGACCCAGCAATCCCATTACTGTTTATATACCCAAGGACAAATACATTCTTCTAACATAAAGACACCTGCACGCACATGTTCATTGCAGCTCTATTCACAATAGCAAAGACACGGAATCAACCCCGGTGCCCATCCATGTGGAGTGGATAAGGAAAATGTGGTACATATACACCATGGACTACTACACAGCCATAAGAAAGAATAAAATCATGTCCTTCGTAGCAACAAAGATGCAGCTGGAGGCCATTATTCTAAGCAAATTAATTCAGGAACCAAATATGGGGCATATTCTCACTTATAAAGTGGGAAGTAAACATTGGGTACTCATGGACATAAAGATGGGAACCACAGACACTGGGGACTACTAGACGGGAGAGGAGGGGAAGGCGACAGGGCTGGGAAAGTGCCTCCTGGGTACTATGCTCACTACCTGAATGATGGGATTCATACAGGAGCTAGAAAGAAATTACTCAGGCAGATAGTGAGGGTAAAAGAGTCCTCGGCGGAATTTCTCTTTTAACAAAAAGCAGCTCCAAAATCATTTCTAACAAAGAGCAGCCTGAAAAATCATGCTGCAGACATAGATAAGCAAGCTGGAAGCTTGCACAGGTGAATACCGGCAGCTGTGCCAATAGAAAAGGGCTACCTTGGAGCCAGGCACGTTCAACATGGAGGCTCCATCTTCCCTTTTGTCACCGTGTACCTTAAAGGAACAGGCAACATAGTGCCAACCAGGTAGAGAATCCATCTGCATAATAAAAGATTAGGGTGAAGGTGGCCAGGTTTTGGTGCCCTATGCAAATGGCATGCCTAGCCCTAACCAGTTTTTTTGTGCCCTATGCAAATGACACACCTGGTCCAACCAATCTCTTGCACCCTATGTAAATCAGACACCACCTCATCAAGCTCATCTATAAAACCCATTGCATTTTGCTGCAGACCAGAAAACCCACTCGGAACCTCCTCTCTGCAGGAGAGAGCTCTTCTTGTTCCTTCACCTATTAAACCTCCGCCCTTAACCTCACTTCTTGTATGTCCACATCCTTGATTTCCTCAGCCGGAGACAACAAACCTCAGGTATCACCCTAGATGAACAACCTGCTTCAGAATCGTTCATACACCAGACCTCAGCATCACGCATTATATCCATGTAACAAACCCACACATGTGCCCCCTGAATCTATAATAAAAGTTGACATTTTTTTAAAAAAAGAAATACACTCTAAAGGACATATATTGTATGATTTCACGTATATCAGTACCTCTAGAGTAGGCAAATTCATGGAGTCAGAAAGTAGAATGGTGGTTACTAGGGGACAGAGTTTCAGGTGGGAAGATGAATTTCCAGAGGTGGATGGTGGTGACAGATGCACAATATGAGTGCACTTAATGCCACTCAACTGTACACTTGAAAATAGCTAAAATGGTCAGTTTTGTCTTATGTATACTTTGCCACACAATTTTTTTTTGAGATGGTGTCTTTCTATGTGGGCCAGGCAGGTCTTGAACTCCTGGGCTCAATCTTCCCACCTTAGCCTCCCAAAGTGTTGAGATTACAGGCGTGAGCCACAATTTCTAAAACGATACACAGTGTTTGCCACAATTTCTAAAACGACACACAGCATTTGCCACAATTTCTAAAACGACACACAGCGTTTGCCACAATTTCTAAAACGACACACAGTGTTTGCCACAATTTCTAAAACGACATATAGAGACTTGTTATCTTTATAAAGGAAGAGCAGTGAAGGGCATGCAGACTAGAAAGAGAGCCGTTTCAGAGGCTCATCTTTGACCCCTGGTTTCCAGGCACCTGTCCCTGTGACCCATCGCAGCCCATGTGCTGCACACCTCTCCCAGGAATGCATTATTTGTCCTTTTTCTCCAAAACTGCCAAAGTTAATATTTTGTCATAAGCAGCCCTATTTGTGAACCACGCAGCAATGCTCTGGAGGAAAAACATACAAACTCACTTTCTCTGGTGACTGGAAGAAGCCCTTTCATCAGAAACTGGGTTGAAAGTGTTGGATGAAAACGAAAACCCCGATCTCACTGGAGCTGGTGCGTGGCAGCTCCAGCCCGTGGTTAGTGAAGCCCCAGGGCTCCCTCCTCCGCAGGCTGATAGCGCATCAGCGGCTGGGGCTGATAATGAACCCTCCGGGTACTGCATCTCTCCCAGGAACTCTCTCACTGCGAGTGAGAAAGCAGAAACAGGTGTGGTTTTCCTTAATAATGCCTCAGGATGAGAAAGCAGAAACAGGTGTGGTTTTCCTTAATAATTCCTCAGGATGAGAAAACAGAAACAGGTGTGGTTTTCCTTAATAATTCCTCAGGATGAGAAAGCAGAAACAGGTGTGGTTTTCCTTAATAATTCCTCAGGACTCGCAGGCAGACCAAACAATTAGCCTACATGTGAAATAAACATGAAGTTTCCCTATCAGGAACCAATCTAAATGCCCGGATATTTAAATGATGCCAGCCCAATACAGCCCAAGGGTGATCAGAAACCCATCCCATTACAGGGAGCTTCAGAACATGACAAACCAGTACTTCAAGGGTGAACGATTAAAAGGTTTGAGAATGTACCGAAGTTGGTGTAAGAAAAAAAAAAGGGAGAGACAGACACAGAGACAGGTTCTGGCTCTGTCATCCAGGTTGGGGTGCAGTGGTGCAATCGCAGCTCACTGCAGCCTCAAACTCCTGAGCTCAAGCAATTCACCTGCCTCAGCCTCTCTAATAGCTGGGGCTACAGGTGCGTGCCACCACGCTCAGCTAATTTTTAATATTTTGTAGAGATGGGGGTCTCACAATGTTGCCCAGGCTGGTCCTGAACTCCTCAGCCTCCTGAGTAGCTGAGACTACAGGCATGTGCCACCACATGCAGCTATTTTTTAAAATTTTCTGTAGACATGGGGTTTCAATGTGTTACCCAGTCTGGTCTCAAACTCCTGGGCTCAAGCAATTGCCTCACCTCAGCCTCCCAAGTATCTGAGACTATAGGTGTGTGCAAACACACTCGGCTAATTTTTTATTTTTTGTAGACACGGAGTCTCGCTGTGTTGCCTAGGCTGGTATCAAACTCCTGGGCTCAAGCGCTCCTCCTGCATCAGCTTCTCAAAGTCCTGGGATTACAGGCATGAGCTACCGCATTCAGCCTCATTTTCTTTCTCTGCTTTTTGCAGAAAAAAGACAATTAGAATTACGTTAGGAAAAAAGCCAAGGAAACTTGATCCATGTTTAACACGGGAGACACTGTTTTTTTTCTTTCTTTTTTTTTTTTTTTTTTTTTTTTTGAGATGGAGTCTCACTCTGTCGTCCAGGCTGGAGTGCAGTGGCGTGATCTTGGCTCACTGTAACCTCCACCTCCCAGGTCCAAGCGATTCTCCTGCCTAAGCCTCTCAAGTAGCTGGGATTAAGGCACATGCCATCGCGCCTGGCTAATTTTTGTATTTTTAGTAGAGATGGGGTTTCACCATGTTGGCTGGTCTCGAACCCCTGACCTCAGGTGATCCGCCTGCCTCAGCCTCCCAAAGTGTTGGGATTACAGGCATGAGCCACCACACCCAACCAACACTTTTATTTCAAAGACAAATAAAATTTGAGTTAGGAGGAATAAGTTCAAGGGATCCATCGTATAACATGGGGACTATAGTTCACAACAATGTATTGCATACTTGAAAATCACTGACAGCAGATTTTAAATATTCTCATCACACACATAAAAGATAAATATATAAGGTGATACATATGTTAATTAGTTCAATTTAGCCACTCTGCAATGTGCACGTATTTCAAAACATCATATTGCACATCATAAATATATGCAATTTTTGTCAATTTTCAAAAATATAAAAAGAGGCCGGGCATGGTGGCTCACACCTGTAATCCCGGCACTTTGGGAGGCCGAGGTGGGTGGATCATCTGAGGTCAGGGGTTTGAGACCAGTCTGGCCAACATGGTGAAACCTCATCTCTACTAAAAATACAAAAATCATCCAGATGTGGTGGCACGTGCCTGTAATCCCAGCTACTTGGGAGGCTGAGGCAGGAGAATTGCTTGAACCTGGGAGGTGGAGGTTGCAGTGAGCCGAGATGGTGCCACTGCACTCCAGCCTTGGTGACAGAGTGAGACTCCATCTCAATAAATAAATAAATAAAAATCCATCCTGCCAAATCCTTTTTTAAGAATTTTGTTGTTTCCATTGACATATAATAACTGTCCATATTCCTGGGATACACAGTGATATTTCAATATATATAATGTATAGTGGTCACAGCAGGATAATTGGCATATTCATCATCTCACACCTGTACCATTTCTTTGTGTTGGCAACATTTAATATCCTCTCGGCTACTTGAAACTGTATATTATTGTTGCCTAGAGTCATCCTACAGTGCTATAGAACACTAGAACTTATTCCCACTCTCTACCTGTAACTTTGTATCCTTTAACAAATCTTACTTTTAAGTAGGCAGTTGGGTTCACAGTTTCATGCAAAACTCATGCCTGCAAATGATGTACAACAGTCTCCCATGTGAAAAGGCAGCTAAAAATGATAAAGTTCAGGCTTTGCTTCTGGTACTTAGTGATTTGTATTTTGTAGCTTGCCCACTTCCCAAAAACTCATGATCCATGAGTCGACCAAGAGTATTTTCAGACCAGTAGTTACCATTTTAGGGAGACCAAAAAAAAAAATGCTTTTTTGAGAAGAAGAATATTCCCTTAGTTGTACAACATTGGGGCAAAGTGATTTTGATGAAATCTGTAGTCTAACAATGACTTGCATTGATAGAGCTTGCTACAGACAGGATTTATGTTACCCCCAAATCAAAATTGAACCCCCCAGGTGATGGTGTTAGGAGGTGAGGCCTTTGGAACGTGATGAAGTCAGGAGCCTCATGAATGGCACTAGTGCCCTTATAAAAGGGACCTCAGAGAGCTCTCTCACCCTTTCCACCATGTGAGGACACGGCGAGAAGGTGCCAAGTCTATGAACCAGGAAGCCCTCACCAGACAATGAATCTGCCACACCTTGATCCTGGACTCCAGAGCTGTGAGCAGTAAATGTCTTTTGTTTAACCCCTTTCCCATTTGCCCCGAGAATACTCTTGTCTCTAATCCCAATGCAACAGAAATGTATATGATTTTACATTAGGATTAGACACAAGTTCTGTTTAGAAATAACTCTAAGAACAATTTTTGCATTTTATTTTCACATTGAAAATCAATTAGATTTTCTTCAGCCTCAAAGAGCGAGCGTGTTTATGTAAAATTAAATGAGTGCAGGCAGCAAGCTGTACCTTTTTTTTTTTTTTTCTAAACGGGAAATGGGTTAAAAGCCATTCACTGTATGGTATTTTGTCATAGCAGTCCAAATGAACTAAGTCAGAGCTCCAATGGGGTACCCCAGAGGATAGGAAACATTGGTGTCATCTTGCTACTGTTTTGATGTTCTTTTTGTAAAGGAGGAAGGAAGGAAACACTCCATGAATTCTATCTGGGCCAGACCTTTTATCTTTTTTTTTTTATTATTTTTTTTAAGACAGAGTTTTGCTCTTGTCGCCCAGGCTAGAGCGCAGTGGTGCAATCTTGGCTCATTGCAACCTCCGCCTCCGGGGCTCAAGAGATTCTCCTGCCTCAGTCTCCCAAGTAGCTCGGATTACAGGTGTGCACTACCACACCCAACTAGTTTTTGTATTATTAGTAGAGACGGGGTTTCGCCATATTGGCCAGGCTGGTCTCGAACTCCAGGCCAGGCTGGCCTCAAGTGATCCATCCACCTCGGCCTCCCAAAGTGCTGGGATTACAGGTGTGAGACACTGCACCCAGCCCCAGATAATTTTTCTTATTTATTTATTTACTTGAGACAGAGTCTCCTTCTGTCGCTCAGGCTGGAATGTGGAGTGCAGTGGCGCGATCTCGGCTCACTGCAACCTTCACCTCCTGGGTTGAAGCGATTCTCCCACTTCAGCCTTCTGAGTAGCTGGGATTACAGGCGTGTACCACCACACCCGGCTACTTTTAGTATTTTTAGTAGAGATGGGGTTTCACCATGTTGTCCAGGCTGGTCTCGAACTCCTGACCTCAGGTGATCTGCCCACTTCGGTCTCCCAAAGTGCTGGGATTACAGGCGTAAGCCACTGCGCCCAGCCCCAGCTAATTTTTTTATTTTTTGTAGAGACGGGGTCTCGCTCTGTTGCCCAGGATGGTCTCAAACTCCTGGGCTAAAGAAATCCTCCCACTTCAGCTTCCCAAAGTGCTGGAATTATGGGTGTGAGCCACTGCGCCCAGCAGGAAGCACTTCTTGGGTGTCAAATGTGTTTACCCCAAGTGACTTTCCTGAGGCTGCCGTAATACAGTACCACAACCTGAGTAGCTTAAAACAACCGGAATTGATTGTCTCCTGGTCCTGGAGGCCAGGAGTCTGAAATCAAGGAATGTCGGGGCTGCGCTCCCTCCGAAGGCTCTAGGGGAGGCTCTAGGGGAGGCTCTGGGGGAGGCTCTAGGGGAGGCTGTACAGGAGTCTCTGGGGGAGGCTCTGGGGGAGGCTCTAGGGGAGGCTCTAGGGGAGGCTTTGGGGGAAGCTCTAGGGGAGGGTCTGGGGGAAGCTCTAGGGGAGGCTCTGGGGGAGGCTCTAGGGGAGGCTCTAGGGGAGGCTCTGGGGGAAACTCTAGGGGAGGCTCTGGGGGAGGCTCTAGGGGAGGCTCTGGGGGAGGCTCTGGGGGAGGCTCTAGGGGAGGCTCCAGGGGAGGTTCCTTCCTGCCTCTCCCAGCTCCTGGGGACTCCAGGCATCCCTGGGCTTATGACCGCATCGCTCCAGTCTCTGCCTCCATCTGTACGTGGCCTTCTCCTCTGTGTCTGTGTCTCCTCTTTCATCTGTTAGAAGGACACCTGTCATTGGATGCAGGACTCTCCCTAACCCAGGATAAGCTCCTTTTGGAATCCTTAACGAATAGTATCTGTAAAGACTCTATTTCCAAATCAGATCCCATTCACAGGTTCTGTGAATTTAAAGGGGTTAGGATCCTCAGGTGGAGGATCCTTCCTGCCTCTCCAGCTCCTGGGGGCTCCCGGTGTCCCTGGGCTTGCTGCCACATCACTCCAGTCCCTGCCTTCTTATGTGGCCTCCTTCTCTGTGCCTGTCTCCTCTTCTGTCTCTTAAAAGGATACTTGTCAGGGGACTCAGGGCCCACCCTAATCCAGGATGAGCTCATCTTGAGATCCTTAACCTACATCTGCATCACTTACTTCACACACATCCTTCAGTACATCTGTGAAGACCGGATTTCCAAATAAGGCCCCATTCACAGGTACTGGGGGTTCAGCTTTCAACATATGTTAGTTGGGCATATGATTCAACCCTCAACAAAGGAATGTGAATCCATGGTAAACTCTTCTGTGCTTTCAAACATTTATCTAGCCCCTTCACTATACAGGCTTTCTCTTTCTGCAAATTTATTTTTACAAATAATAGCCATAGCTGTGATTGTTGAAGCACTCATGATGTGCCATCCACTTCTTAACTTCTTTGCAAACTACAATCATATAATTGCCACCCAAATCCTACCAGGAAAGTACTACTGTATTTTATAAATGTGGAAACAAAAGTTTGGAGACATTAAGACAAGTCTAATATTTCACAGCTAAAACATGGTGGGTTTCCACTCCGAAGTATATCTCCAAGAGAAATGAAAACATGTGCTCACGTCTGCTCACGTAAACTCTCAAACACACATTCACAGCAGCATTATTCATGGTAGCCTAAAGGTGGTAACAACCTCAAATGGCCTGTCAGCAAATGAATGTGTAAACTAAATGTGGTCCATCCATATCATGGAATATTCTTCAGCCCTAAAAAGGACTGAAGCTCTGACACAGGCCACCACATGAGTGAACCTTGAAGGCAATTTGCTAAGTGATGGAAGCCAGTCATAAAACGCTGTGTTCTGTATGATCCCATGTAAAGGATAATTCAAAACAAGGAAGTCTATAAAGATGGAAAGTAGATTTGTGGTTGCTTAGGGATGGGGGCAGGGGGTGTTAAGGTGGTTATAGCTAAAGGGTACAAAGTGTCTTACCAAAGAAATCAAATGCTCGGCTGGGAGCGGTGGCTCACGCCTGTAATCCCAGCACTTCGGGAGGCCTAGGCAGGTGATCACCTGAGATCGGGAGTTCGAGACCAGCCTGGGCAACATGGTGAAATACTGTCTCTACTAAAAATACAAAAATTAGCTGGGTGTGGTGACGCGTGCCTTAATCTCAGCTACCCAGGAGACTGAGGCAGGAGAATCGCTGGAACCCTGGAGGCAGAGACTGCAGTGAGCTGATATCACGCCACTGCGGTCCAGCCTGGCAACAGAGCGAGACTCTGTCTCAAAAAAAAAAAAAAAAAAAAAAAAAAATCAAATGCTCTAAAACTGATAGTGGTGATGGTTGCACAACTCTGAATATACTACGAAACACTGAATTGCATGCATTAAGTGGGTAAATGATATCATATGTAAGCTATATCTCAATAAAGTTGTTAAAAAAATAGTTTCTACCCAAAGGAAAATAAATCATTCTACCAAAAACACACACGGACACATATGTTCATCACAGCACTATTCACAATAGCAAAGACATGGAATCAATCCAGGTGCCCATCCATGGCAGACTGGATAAAGAAAATATGGTACCTCTACACCAAGGAATACTACACAGCCATAAAAAGAACAAAATCATGTCCTTTGCAGTAACATGGATGGAGCTGGAGGCCATCATCCTAAGGAAATTAAGGCAGGAACAGAAAGTCAAATAGCACATCTTCTCATTTACAAGTGGGAGCTAAACATTGAGTACCCATGGACATAAAGATGGGAACAATAGACTCTGGGGACTGCTAGACGGGAGAGGAAGGAAGGGGGACAGCGGATGGAAAGGTACTTACCAGGTACTAGGCTCACTACCTGGGTGACAGGTCCATTAGGAGCCCAAACCTCAGCATCATGCAATATACCCAGGTCAGAAACCTGCACATGTAGCCCTGAGTCTAAAATAAACATGTAAAAAATTAAAAATTAAATAATTTTAATTTAACTTAAATTTTTAAAAAATTGGCCAGGCACAGTGGCTCATGCCTGTAATTCCAGCACTCTGGGAGGCCGAGGTGGGCAGATCACTTGAAGCCAGGAGTTCGAGACCAACCTGGCTAACATGGTAAAACCCTGTCTCTATGAAAAATACAAAAATTAGCCTAACTTGGTGGTACATGCCTATAATCCCAGCTACTCAGGTGGCTGAACGAGGAGAATCTCTTGACCCCGAGAAGTGGAGGTTGCAGTGAGCCAAGATTGCAGCACTGTACTCCAGCCTGGGCAACAGAGTGAGACTCTATCTCAAAAAGTAAAAATAAAAATAAAAAATTAGCTGGACATGGTGGTGTGTGCTTTTCATCCCAGCTACTTGAGACCGTGCCACTGCACTCCAGCCTGGGTGACACAGAGAGACCCTGTCATAAATAAATAAATAAATAAATAAACAAATAAATAAATAAATAAAATTAGAAAGACCCATAAGAGCATTACTCCACCAAAAACCAAAAATACTTCAAATGAAAAATAGCATGTAATTTTACCTAATGTGGAAAAGACAATGATTTGAAATGCATCGAAGTTTTGTTTTAATAAAATAATGATGAAGTAGTGGGTTGAAGATTCAAGGCCAGACTCACACCTGCGTACCTTCTCATCCTCTGAACACAATAAGGACACATTCTCTCCGTTGTATAGCGCCTTTTATAATCCATTGCACACCAAAAACTTTATCATCATTTCCCTGTTGCAGTTTCAATTTCTTCCCAGGTACTTTTCACAGCCCGTCTGTATCTTCTCTTCGTTAAACTTCTTCTTCCTATCTATAGATCTGTTTCACACAGAACTAACATCTGTGACCCAAATGGCACACTGCTATTTATTTAAATCTAAGATCGCAGATCTGGAAGAAATCATGAATAATCTAGTCCAGGTGTCCTGAGTCGTAGGTTAAAAAACATCTCAAGTGGAATCAACCCAAATGACCATCAGTGGATGAAGAAAAACACAACGTGGTCCATCCACACAAGGGAACATGATGCAACCCTAGAGAGGAATGCGGCTCGGAAACAGGTTACAGTGTGGGTGCACCTGAATAACAGCACACTCAGCGAAACGAGTCAGACACAAAAGACCACGTGCTATATGATGCCATTTATATAAAGTGTCCAAAATAGGCAAATCCACAGAGACGGAAAATACATGGCCATTAGAGGCTGGGGAGGCGGAATGGGAAGTGACTGCTAGTGGGTACAGGGTCCCGTTTTGGAAATATGAAAATGTTCTGGAACTAGATAGAGACGTGGTTGTGAACATACTAAATCTCACTGAGCTGTACACTTTAAAATGGTGAATTTTGCCAGGTGCAGCGGCTCTCGCCTGTAATCCCAGCACCTTGGGAGTCCAAGGTGGGTGGATCACCTGAGGTCAGGAGTTCGAGACCAGCTTGACCAACGTGGTGAAACCCCGTCTCTACTGAAAATACAAAAACTAGCCGGACATGGTGGTGGGCGCCTGTAATTCCAGGTACTTGGGAAGCTGAGGCAGGAGAATTGCTTGAACCCAGGAGGCAGAGGTTGCAGTGAGCTGAGATTGCACCACTGCACTCCAGTCTGGGCAACAGAGTGAGACTCTGTCTCAAAAATAAATAAATAATAAAAATAACAAAATGTTGAGTTTTATGTTCTATAAATTTCCTCTCCATAGAGAAAAAATTAGTCTTCTCCTAAGTCTCAAAACCTACGGTGGGCATCACTTCAGTTACCCCAAAAGTTAAGAGCCAGGGCCAGGCACAGTGGCTCATGCATGTAATCCCAGCATTTTGGGAGGCCAAGGTAAAAGGATCACTAGAGCCCAGGGGCTCAAGACAAGTGGGGCAACACAGCACGACCCCAACCTTACAAAAAATAAAAAACTAAGTGGGTATGGTGGAGCACACCTGTGGTCCCAGGAACTCAGGAGGCTAAGCTGGGAGGATCGCTTCAGCCCAGGCAGCCAAGGCTGCAGTGAACCACGATTGCACAACTGCACTCCAGCCTGGGCAACAGAGCAAGACCTCATCTCCAAAAAAAGTTTAATTTAAAAAGAAAGTTAAGAGCAGAGACAATCCTGTCCTCCCCATCCCCACATTGTCCAACACTCAACAGACAAACAGATACCAGTCTTCCTTTATATTTTTTTCTTTTTTGAGACAGAGTCTCACTCTGTTTCCCAGTCTGGAGTGCAGTGGTGCAATCTCAGCTCACTGCAACCGCCGCCTCCTGGGTTCAAGCAATTCTCCTGCTTCAGCCTCCCAAGTAGATGGGATTACAGGCATGTGCCACCACACCCGGCTAATTTTTGTATTTTTAGTAGAGATGGGGTTTCACCATGTTGGCCAGGCTGGTCTCAAGCTCCTGACCTCAAGTGATGCGCCCACCTTGGCCTCTCAAAGTGCTGGGATGACAGGCCTGAGCCACCGCGCCCAGCCCTTCCTTTATATTTTCGCATGGCTTCATCTTAAAAGATTTATCTGTGCACCTCTTTGGGGAAATTTTTGCAAACAAATATTTCTGTCTGGCCATTGGGAATTTGAAAGATGTTTAAATCTTATTGACTTTACAATCTTTCGTGGGTTTCCTAGAAGACAACATAGAAACCTGATGGACGTAGAAGGGAAGGGTAATATAGAATTAGCAGAAAGTTTGTCAATTAAGATCCATACTTATTTATAAGATAATAACATTGGCCTCATCATGAAAAAAGTGCAGGTAAGTGGCACACCAATTATATCCCAGCTAGAAGTAACAATCAATGGTGTGAAAAGATAATTCTACTTATCATGTGGTCAGAAACACCTGAAAGTACCTCAAGCATATAGAGCTTCCAGTGCTGGGTGACCAGGGGAGAAAACCATGAGTTTTCAAACCTGTCCCAGCACATTCCTGAAGTTTTCACTTACTTTTTTTTTTTTTTTTTTTTTAAGACGAAGTCTAGCTCTGTTGCCCAGGCTGGAGTGCAGTGGTGCTATCTCAGCTCACTGCAAGCTCCGCCTCCCGGGTTCAGGCCATTCACCTGCCTCAGCTTCCCGAGTAGCTGGGACTACAGGCGCCCATCACCACGCCCGGCTAATTTTTTTGGATTTTTAGTAGAGACGGGGTTTCACCGTGTTAGCCAGGATGGTCTCGATCTCCTGACCTCGTGATCCGCCCGCCTCGGCCTCCCAAAGTGCTGGGATTACAGGCATGAGCCACCGTGCCCAGCCAGTTTTCACTTACTTTTTTTTGGTGGGGGCGGGATTGGGGGCAGGGTCTCCGTCTGTTGCCCAGGCTGGAGTGCAGTGGCATGATCATAACTCACTGCAGCCTCAAACACCCAGTCACAAGTAATCCTCCCACCTCCCAGCCTCCCAAGTAGCTGGGACCACAGGCATGCACCACCATACCTGGCTAATTTCAAATTTTTGGTAAAGACAGGGTCTCACTATGTTGTCCAAACTGGTCTCAAACTCCTGGGCTCAAGGAATCCTCTGCCCTCAGCCTCCCAGAGAGCTAAGGTTATGGGCATGAGCCACTGTGCCCCGACTTCCACTTACTTACTTTGGAAACAAGCTGCATCCCACTAGAGAAGTCCCAGCATCTGCAGGTGCTGTATAGGATGACGATGAAGTTCTTCCTACTCCATCAAGACCATCAGCCAAAGGAAAGAGAGCACATTGCTCCAGGCTGGAGTAGGTGTTACAGACTGAACCATGTCCCTTCAAAATTCATATGGGGAAACCCTAACCCTAATGTGGCTGTATTTGGAGATAGAGTCTATCAGCAGATAATAAAGACTCAATGAGCTCATAAGAGTGGGGCCCTCATCCTATAGGACTTGTGTCCTCATAAGAAGATGAAGACAGATCTCTCTCTCTCTCTCTCATTGTGATAAGAACCCTTAATATGAGATTTACCCTCTTAAATACTTAAGTACATAATAGAGTATTGTTAACTATAGGCATGATTCTGTACAGTAGATCAGAGCTTATATGTCTTGCATAACTGAAACTCTGTACCCACTAAACAATTCCCCATTCCTTCTTCTGCCAACCCTGGACAACCACAGTTCCCTCATTCTCTCTCTTTCTCTCTCTTTCCATCTCCACCACCGCCTTTCTGCTTTAGGACAAAGGAAAGGCCATGTGAGGATACAGTGAGAAGGTGGCCATCTGCCAGCCAGGAAAAGAGTCCTCACTAGACCCCAATCTTAACAGCATCCTGTTCTTGGACTTCCGGCCTGCAGAACTGTGAGAAAATAAATTTCTGAGGACTGTGGGACCTAGCAGACTAATATGGTGAGTGTTTGTCCCCAGACAGGAATGCCTGAAGTTGGGACTCTTGGACTCAATAGAGCTGTATACGTCCATTCTCACACTGCTATGAAGACATACGTGAAACTGAGTAATTTATGGAGAAAAGAGGTTTAATTGGCTCACAGCTTCACAGGCTGTACAGGAGGCATGGGTGGGGAGGCCTCAGAAAACTTACAATCATGGTGGAAGGCGAAGGGGAAGCAGGCACAATCTTCACATGCCCAGCAGGAGAGAGCGAGAGTGCACAAAGGGGGAAGTGTCACACATTTTTAAACAACCAGATCTTGTGAGAACTCACTCACTACAAGAACATCAAGGAGGAAATCCGCCCCCATGATCCAATCACCTCCCACCATTCGGAATTACAATTCAACAGGAGATTTGGGTGAGAACACAGAGCCAAACCATATCAAGAGCTAGGTCAGGATCAAGCGTCTGTCTCCTCATTTTATAAGGATAGCAAAAGCATTAGCTGCAAGTTACTGAATTCACATGGTTTAACTGTACAGACTGCACCCAAAGGTTATTTCAGAGACAACACAGATAAGCTTTTTGAGACCAGGTTGTTTCCAAAGGTAAGGGAAGATTGAACTACACACTGTTTGCAAAGCAGCTAACTTATGTATGATACACTATGCACAACTACCGGAAAAGAACATACAGGAAGGTGTTGGAAATGAACTCTGTGGCTCCTCCCCTCTTCCAGATGTGGTTTTAAAAAATGCCCATTTTCTGTTCCTCAAAAAATTAAAAATAAATCTACTGTGACCCAGCAAGCCTACTCGTATTTGTCCAAATGAAATAAAATCAAGATCTCAAATAGACATCTGCACCCCCATGTTCACTGCAGCATCATTCACTATAGCCTGGGCATGGAAACCATCTAAGTGTCCGTGGATGGATGAATGCGTAAAGAAAATGTCATGCATATATACAGTGGAATCCTATTCAGCTTTAAGAAAGAAAGGCAACCAATCATTGGCAACAACACAGATGAACCTGGAGGACATTATGCTAAGCAGAATCTGCCAGGCACAGAAAGACAAATACTGCCATGTCTCACTTATATGCAGAGTATAAACTCATGAAACTCATAGAAGCAGAGGATGAATGGTGGTTGCCAGGTGCTCCGAGGAGGGGCAGTAGGGAGTTGTTCTGTGGGTATAAAGCTTCAGTTATACAAGACGAATAAGTTCTGATCTGCTGTCTACAACACTGCGCCTGTAGTTAATAATACTGTATTCTGTACTACTCAGCCATAAAAAGGAATGAAATAATGGCAATTGCAGCAAGCTGGATGGAATTGGAGACCATTATTCTAAGTGAAGTCATTCAGGGATGGAAAACCAAACATCGTATGCTCTCACTTATAAGCAGAAGCTAAGCTATGAGGATGCAAAGGCATAGGAATGGCATAATGGACTCTGGGACTCAGGGGGAAGGGTGGGAGGGGGGTGGGGGATCAAAGGGGACACACTGGGTACAGTGTATACTGCTCAGATGACGGTGCACCAAAATCTCAGAAATCACCACTAAAGAACTTATACGTGTAACCAAACACCACCTGTTCCCCAAAAACTATTCAAATGTTTTAAAGAGTTAACAAGTAATAATAATACTGTATTGCATACTTAAAAACTTGAGAGGATAAATCTCATGTTAGATATTCTTACTGCAATTTTTTTTAACGTGTCTGTTTCCTGGTTCTATCCAAATCTTCTGATCTGCCACTATCTGACTCTCTGTCACCTAAGAATTTCCTTCAGTGGCCCCCACTAAGACGTCCCGCATCCTACTCAGCCATGGGACACCTGCAGCTTTATTTCAGGTCACACAGGCTAATGTCAGGGAATCCACTACTCTCTGTCAAACCATAGGTACACAGCATTTCTTAAGTCCAAGATGTCTCTATACTTCCACTGGCTTCTCTTGTCATAGTCCAACTCCATGCCATACTGAAGTTTGAGGAGGTTCATTCTTTTGTTTTCCAATTCACTTTAGAAAAAAAATTAAATAAATAAAACACACACTCTAGAATCTCATCCTTTCTCTCCCCAAGAGGTAAAATCTCAGAGCAGGTGCCCTGGGAAACTGCTGGGAAGATTCTAGCCTTGGATGAGGGTTGGAGCATGTGTTCCTAGTGAAAACTTTTAGAATAAAATTGGACCACAGCCACCGGGTATGGGTATAGGAACACATCCAGGTGAGGGGGATAGACAGAGCAGACCAAGATGGGAAGAAGAATTTGTAAATTCCCTCAGCTGTAGGAGTCCTGAGACAGACCCTTTGTATGGGGTGCACCTGGAAACATTCAAGACTTAGTCCAGAGTCCTCCTGACCTGAGAGCCAGGCCCCCCTACCCGAACTTGGAGACACCTCCATAGACAGCCATCAAAGTCTAAACAATGGGTAAACGATGACCCAGAACAGTCTTCCCATGGTGCAGGCGCAGCGGTAACTTCCAGGTCATGTCAGACATCTCTTGGGCTGCAAGACCTCCCCACTCTCTTCCTCCTCGTCCTCATTCTCCTCCTCTTCCTCCTTTTTAAAAAACCATCTAACACCTTCACATGCTGCTGAGAAGACACGAACCCACACCAACCTGTGAAACTTAAGTGTGTCCAGGAGTACCTTCTATTTTGTTGATTTTTTTTTGCTACATTATATTAGAGCCTTGAATTAATCATATAACTGCACAGAAATCTGTGTGGATAATGTAAAAGAGTTCTCAGGGTGGGAATACCCTTCCTTCCTCCTCCTCCCCTCCTCCTCCAGCTCCTTCTTCCTCTCTCCTCTTTCACCTCCTCCCTCCAACTTTTCTTTCTTTTTCTCCTCCTCTTTCTATTCCTCCTCCTCCTTCTCCTCCTATTGTTCCTTCTCTTTCTCCTCCTTCTCCCTCCAATTTTTTCTTTTTCTCCTCCTCCTCCTCCTTTTCCTCCTCCTCCTTCATCTCCTTCTCCCTCATCTTCCTCTTCCTCTTCTCCTCCTTCTCCTTCCCCTCTTCCTTTCTCTTGCTTCCTTTTATCTTTCCTCCCTCCCATCTTCCGTTCCTTCCTTCCTTCTTTCTTCTCACTTTGAGCACTCCACACAACCAACCCCACACAGTCAAGCATTCCCAGATATGTGTCAAGAAAATGTGACGAAAGACATATAAAAAAGAGTACCAATCAGCCAAAAAAACAAAAGTGGGTCTGATACAGGTCAGATATAATTATGAAACCACCAGTACCTCTATTCCAGGATGGGATGGAGGTTGAAAGCTGATGCACAGCCAACATGAAACAGTCTCAACCGCATGACCAGCAATTCCACTCCTGGGTAAATACAGAAAAGAATCGGAGGCCAGACACAGTGGCTCACATCTGTAATCCCAGCACTTTGGGAGGCAGAGACGTGCAGATCACCTGAGGTCAAGAGTGTTCAAGACCAGCCTGGCCAACATGGTGAAATCCTGTCTCTACTAAATCTAAACCTGTAATCCCAGTTACTCAGGAGGCTGAGGCATGAGAATCGCTTGAATCTGGGAGGCAAAGGTTATAGTGAGGTGAGACCGTGCCACTGCACTCCAGCCTGGGCGACAGAGTGAGATTCCATCTCAAAAAAAAAAAAAAAAAAAAAAAGGGGGCGGGGGGCTGGGCATAATGGCTCACGCCTGTAATCCTAACACTTTGGGAGGCCAAGATGGGAGGGTCACTTCAGACCAGGAGCTCGAGACCAGCCTGCCGATCAACACACCGAGACCCCCATCGCTAAAAATGAAAAGAATTTAAAAAATAATTGAGACTCCAACAGATATGTACACACCATATTCATAGCAGCACCATGGGTCGGGCAGTGTGACTCACGCCTGTAATCCCAGCAATTTGGGAGGCCAAGGTGAGCGGATCACTTGAGCCTAGGAATTTGAGACTAGCCTGGTCAACATGGTGAAACCCAGTCTGTACAAAATATACAAAAATTAGCCGAGGCTGGTGCACGCCTGTAGTCACAGCTACTCGGGAGGCTGAGATGAAAGAATTGCTTGAGCCAGGGAGGCAGCGATTGCAGTGAGCCGAGATCATGCCACTACACTCCAGCCTGGGTGACAGAGCAAGACCCTGTCTCAAAACAAATGAACAAATAAATAAATGAAGAGCAGCTTCGTGCACAAGAGCCAAAAAGTAGAAACAACTTAAACATTCACTGGAGCACGAATGCAGTTACATAAATGTAGCTCACACATACGACAGACTATGATTGAACAATAAAAAAGACTGGAGCTCTCACACATGCTGCAACATGAATGAACTTGGAAACATGATGCTAAGTTTAAAAAGACAGACACAAAGGTCTCATATTGTATGATTCTATTTATATGAAAGGCCCAGAATAGGCAGAGAGACAGATAGCAGAGTGGTATTTGCTGGAAGCTTCAGGTGGGGAGAGGATTGCAGGGTGAGGGGCTGATAACTATTGGGTGAAATTTCTTTGTAAGTAATAAAAGTGTTTGATTAGGCATGGTGACTCACGCCTTTAATCCCAGCACTTTGGGAGGCTGAGGTGGGCGGATCACTTGAGGCCAGGAGTTCAAAACCAGCCTGGTCAACATGGTGAAACCCCATCTCTACTAAAAATACAAAAATTAGCCGAATGTGGTGGCGGGCACCTGTAATCCCAGCTACTTGGGAGGCTGAGGCACAAGAATCACTTGAACCTGGGAGGCGGAGGTTGCAGTGAGCCGAGATGGTGCCACTGCACTCCAGCCTGGGTGACAGAGTGAGACCCTGTCTCAAAAAAAAAAAAAAAAAAAAAAGTGTTTGATCGTTGATTGGCATGATCATGGCACAACACTGTTGTGCACCAAACACGAATTCACTGTTGCGAATGCACTAAATGCCATCAAATTGCACAAAGTGGCTAAAATGGTAAATTGTAGGTTACATGCATCTTGCAACAATTGAAACAGAAAACTAAAACCACACAGTCTCAGAGATACTACACCCATCCCTCCATGGCTGGTGGCTGACATCCTGCTGGGACCTGGAGCCAGGAAGAAGGCCCAGGATGGGCAGTGGTTTCCTTGTGGCTTCATCAGCAGTTTACTATGGACACCCTTTATTCGCCGTGACATTTTTTGGAGCGCTTTGTGGTATCCAGGTCAAACCCTGAAGGAAATGGGATCCCGTCTACTGCTCCTGTCTTTGGGATTGCGTTTCTCCCAGTTCCCAGCAGTGGGTGCATCTCATCTATCCTCTGAGCTCCTCTGAGGCTGAGACTCAGGCAGCAGGTGGGCGCCAGGAGCCCACCTGTGTACACCCGCCCAGCAGGGACCCTTCCTCCTCTTGGAACTGCTTGCTTTCCTGGGTGCCCCGCTTCCCAGCCATCCAGAGAGTTGCGGAGAGCAGGCACCTGGGAAGCACTGGAGTGGTGGTGTTACCGCGGGTGAAGCCATACCGGGCTGCAGCAACCTCAATTCCTGCCTCCTCAGGAGAAAGAATTTGACTGAAGGGCATAAGGCAGAAGGAGAGATTGAGGCAAGTTTGAGAGCAGGAGTGAAAGTTTATCAGAAAGCTTTATAACACGATCGAAAGAAAGGAAAGTATACTTGGAAGAGGGTCAAGTGGGCAACTTCAGAGTCAAGTGCATGGTTTGACCTTTAGACTTGGGGTTTTATGCGTTGACTTTTAGACTGGAGTCTTGTGTCCCTTCTCCGCTGAGTCTTCCTTTGGGGTGGGCTGTCTGCATGCACAGTGGCCTGCCAGCACTCGGGAGGGCAGCATGCGCAGTGTGTTTACTGGTGTTGTACGCATGCTCACTTGAGGTGTTCTTCCCTTACAAGTGAAGTGTTCCTAGAAGGTTGTAGACCAGTTAAACTCCGCCATTTTGCCTCTTAGTGTGCGTGCTTGAGCCCACTCACTCACCTCCTGAGATCATATTGGGAAGCTGCTGACCACCAGTTTTAGGTGTTTTCTATTTACTGGGAGACGGCCTTTCCCTGGTGCTGACTGTGACCAATTATTATTTTAGAGACAGTTTATCAACCGCCTGACCATCACCTGATGGTCTTCTGACATTTCTGGTGTGTGTGGGGAGGGAGCAGGGGGAACCCATCTCCTGCCCTGTTCATGCCTGACACGCTACCTACCCTAACAGTAGTGTCAGAGGTGTGTGAACCAGAACAACTCCATCTTAACTAGGAGCTGGGTAAAATGAGGCAAAAACCTACTGGGCTGCATTTCCAGATGATTGAGGGATTCTAAGTCACAGGATGAGATAGGAAGTCAGCAAAAAATACAGGTGATAAAGACCTTGCTGATAAAACAGGTTGCAGTAAAGAAGGCGGCCAAAACCCACCAAAACCAAGATGGCCACAAGAGGGACCTCTGGTCGTCCTCACTGCTACACTCCCACCAGCACCATGACAGTTTACAGATGCCATGGCAACGTCAGGAAGTTACCCTATACAGTCTCGGGACCCCTGTCCTGTAACAGTAGGAGGCACAAGATCCCAAGTTTGTTTAAATCCCCTTAGGGCACCTCCCAAGCCTTGCAGTGACCTGCCTTGCTGAGGGTGGGAGACCTGGCCCATATCCTATCACCTGAAGGATCTCATTGTTGGTAGCCTCAGGTAGGACCCACCTGTCTGCAAAAAGCAAACAACAAAAATTTTAAAATCCAGGCTCTCCTTCTGCTTGGGGTGAGGCTTCTGTAGACAGATCTAAGGCAGGTCTTCAAAGGGACAATTTGAAAGAGGAGTCGTGAGGTCTGCCTTTTCCCAAAGCCTCCTCCCCCTGGGGACCTGCAAGGGCAAGGACGGGGAGATTGGATTCCATCGACATTGCATCTGCTTTGTTCTGAAAACTCCCCAGGTAGCTCTGCGGAGCCGGTTGCCTCCCTAAAGCCCCACACCCAGTCTTTTCTCTTCTTTTTCTTTCTTTTTTTTTTTTTTTTTTTTTTTGAGAGGTCTCCGAGCTAGATGCATTCAATTCTTTCTGTATTCAACAACATAACCCTCTAAAAAAAACCTGTCTGCCGGGTTTTAAGTATTCCAGTAGAGACGCATGCAGAGAAAAACATTTGCAGTGAAATGAGAGCTGTGACTGATGTTTCTGTTCCTTAGATCCTGGGGAAGCAGGAAGATACTCCAAGGAAACATCAGAAACCCAGGAGGCAGACAGAAGAGGACCCTGGTTTCCCGAACAGCCAAACCATAGCACTCACTGCTCTAAACTGCCTTTCTGAGAGCTGATTATTTTCCACATTTGAAAAATGGCCAAGCTGAGTCAAAAGATCCTCCCGTGAAACAGCTAGCTCACCCGGGGGTAATTCTAAGCGCTGTAGATTCCTCCAAACACCTGTCTTTGCAAACCAAGCAACTTTTCCAGTGTACAATAAGACAATTAAGAGGAACAAAGCCATTCTAGCCCTCTCTTCACTCACCTTTTTCTTTGTCTATGTGATTTCAACATCAAGTTAATTGGCAATTGCGGTTACCATAAAGTGCTTCCTTGCTAGTTTTAGAGTGTCTTTCAAATTGCCCATGTATTTAAAATTGTCTTCTTCTTGGAAGATTAAGCCCTGCCTGAAAGCTTTTGTTTCAAATTGTTATTGATTGAATCATACAGCCTTCAAAGGGAGGGAAATTCTAACACAGGCTATAATGCAGATGAATCTTGAGGCTGTTACGCTAAGTGAAATAAGCCAGGCACAAAAGGACAACTAGAGTGTGGTTCTGCTTATTTGAGGCCGTCAACTTAAAAGGAAGAAGCTGAGGCAAAATTAATATAAATAGAGAGTTTATTTGAGCCAAGCTTGAGGCTTGCAAACTGGAAGAATAGATTCAAGTTGCCCTGAATATACACTTAGACGCTCTGATTAGCAGCCGTTGCAAGTGGATGTGTTTGAGACAGGGTCTCACTTTGTCGCCCCGGCTGGAGTGCAGTGGCATGAACACGGCTCACTCCAGCCTTGACCTCCTAGGCTCATGTGATCCTCCTGCCTCAGCCCCCCAAGTAGCTGGGACTACAGGTGCACGCTACCACGCCCAGCTAATTTTTACACTTTTTATAGAGAAGCGATTTCACGGGGAGTGGATACAAAATTGTTTGTCAGAAATTCTTGCTGTTTACAGAAATAATACTGATTCGTGATTGGCTGTCTCTCGTTAAGCCATAGGGTGTGGGTTGTGGTATCCAGTGTGGTATTATTAGGTTAACTTATAGTTATGTGTGACAATGGCAAGCAGTTTCAATAGATGTATACATAGCTCAAAGCGGGGACTAGGACACGATTGCTGTCTCGTCTTAATACATTTCTGGGCCTAATAATTTGAAAGTGCTCAAATTCCTCAGATAAAAGTACTTCTCTTTCATGAAAATACTTGGAATAGTCAAAATCATCAAAGCAGAAAATCGAACAATGCTGCCAGGGCTTGGCGGAGGAGGAAATGAACAGATGAGGACACTATGCAACTGCTATGTGTATTTTAACACAATCAAAAAATAGAAAGCTGGGTCCAGTGGCACTGGATTACAGTGCCTGTAATCCTAGCACTTTGGGAGGCCAAGGCGAGCGGATTGCTTGAGCCCAGGAGTTGAAGACTAGCCTGGGCAACATGGCAAAATCCCTTCTCTACCAAAAATACTAAAAATATGTCGGGTGTAGTGGCATGTGCCTGTAGTCCCAGCCATTCCAGAGACTGAGGCGGGAGGATTGTTTGAGTCTAGGAGGTGAAGGTTACGGTGAGCAGACATGGCACCACTGCACTCTAGCCTGGGTGACAGACAGACCCTGTCTCAAAAAAAAAGAAAAGAAAAGAAAAAAAAAAGTGAAAATGTGCCATCCCCTTGTTATAAAACCATGATAGTTTTTATAAAGGGCTGTTCCCCTGCACACACTCTCTTGCCTGCCACTATGTAAGACATGCCTTTGCTCCTCCTTCACCTTCTGCCATGACTGTGAGGCCTTCCCAGCCACGCAGAACTGTGAGTCCATTAAACCTCTTTTTCTTTATAAATTACCCAGTCTAGGTATTTTCTTCACAGCAGTATGAAAATGGACTAATACACACACCCAAAGGTATTATGTAATAAATTATGAAGGATCTTTCTGGTCCTCTTCGCATAGAAAGATCCAGGAATGACCTCCCCTTTATGAAAATACTGTCAGAGGCATTTGAACCAGAGTGACTCCATCTTGAATAGAGGCTGCGCAAAATGAGGCTGAGACCTACTGGGCTGCATTTCTAGGAAGTTAAGCATTCTAAGTTACAGGATGAGATGAGAGGTCAACACAGGATACAGGTCACAAGGACCCAGATGATAAAACAGGATGCAGTAAGAAGCTGTCCAAAACCTAGAAAAACCAAGATGGTGATGAAGGTGACCTCTGGTCGTCCTCACTGCTCATTATATGCTAATTATAATGAATTGGCATGCTATAAGACACTCCCACCAGTGCTATGACAGTTTACAAATGCCACGGCAATATCAGGAAGTTACCCTATGTGGTCTAAAAAAAGGAGAAGCCCTTAGTTCTGTGAGCTGCCCACCCCTTTCCCAAAAAACTCATGAATAATCCACCCCTTGTTTAGCATATAATCAATGTATTAGACTATTCTCACATTGCTATGAAAAACTTCCCAAGACTGGGCAATTTATAAAGGAAATAGGTTTAATTGACTCACAGTTCCTCAAGGCTGGGGAGGCCTCAGGAAACTTATAATCATGGCTTAAAAGGAGGCAGGCATGTCTTACATGGTGGCAGGCAAGAGAGCAGGTGCAAGAGAAAGCAGGGAAAACTGCCTTATAAAAGTATCAAATCTCTTGAGACTTCGCTCACTATCATGACAACAGCATGGGGGAGACTTCCCCCATGATCCAAACACCTCACACCAGGTCCCTCCCTCAATGCACAGGGATTATGGAAATTACAACTCAAGATGAGATTTGGGTGGAGACACAGAGCCAAACGATATCAATCCAGAAGTATCTATAAGTATAATCAGCAGAGCAGCCCACACTGCTGCTCTACCTATGGAGTAGCCATTCTTTTATTCCTTTACTTTCTTAATAAACTTGCTTTCACTTTATGAACTTGCCCTGAATTCTTTCTTGCATGAGGTTCAAGAATCCTGTCTTAGGGTGTGGATAAGGACCCCTTTCCAGTAACAGTACCAACTAATATCCAGGCCTCTGTGGCCCCTTGCTTCTGGAAAGGTAGTACTTTGGTCTTGCTCCGAGACCTCTCTGGTTTTTGCTTTCCCCATTCCTGGACTCAGGGGAAAGAAATAGTGTGTGGGTGGAAAAAGGATGCCTGATGCTGTAGTTGCATTGGAGTTTCCATAAATGTCCTGATAGCACAAAGGGAGGAGCAGCAGAGTACTAAAAAGCCAGTAGGCGTGACTGGAACACTACTCGAAGACCAGGAGCCCTACTGCACAGTAGGTTGCAGAAGTGTCCAAAACAGATGCTGTTTCTACCCATTGGAGTCTATAGTCAGTGTCCCCAGGGACCATGATGAGGGGGAACGAGGCTCTCCAGGAAGCTATGAGTGGCTTTTCTCTCTTAAAGCAGCAGTAGGAAGAATCCAGAGACTAAAGCCCACAACCAGCCACTTGTGCAGTCTATTGAGACTGGGGTTTAGAGTCTTGACAGCTCAATGCAGATACTTTCATTACCAGCTCTGAAACAGTCCCTATAATTTTCATGAATTAATAATAGAGGAAGAGAGGAGAGAAATGAAAATAAAGCAAGCTTGCAGCCCATGCAGCATTCATCCTGAGTTCAGCCTACTCTCTGCCCTGCAACCTCATGGTTGTCTGATGCCTCTTGTCCTAGAAGCACACAGATGTTAGGTTATAGTGCCCTGTAACTGCTCTGGAGACAACAACTTGTACATTAGGAAACATTACATTTTCCCTTTGAGATATTCTTTCACAAATTGGCTTTTCCTATTCCTACAATCATCACTGTAGCCAGGCACGTGCAGAGGTGCATGCTTGGCTATAGTCATAGTGATAGGAATCTATACAGGGGATAAAATTTCACAGCACTACACATGCACACACATTTCACATAAAACCCATGGAAATAATGTAATTTAGTGAAGAGTATTTGATATGGTTTTGCTGTGTTCCCACCCAAATCTCATCTTGAATTTTGAATTGTAGCTCCCATAATTCCCATGTGTTGTGGGAGTGACCCAGTGAGAGATCACTGAATTATGGGAGCAGTTTCCCCATACTGTTCTTGTGGAAGTGAATAAGTCTAATGAGACCTGATGGTTTTATAAGGGATTTACCCTTTTGCTTGGCTCTCATTCTCTTTTGCCTGCTGCCATGTAAAACATGCCTTTCATCTTCCACCATGATTGTGAGGCTGCCCCAGTCATGTAGAACTGTGAGTCCATTAACCTCTTTTGCTTTATAAATTACCCAGGCTCAGGTACGTCTTTATCAGCAGAAGAAAACAGAATAATACAATATTGTACCAATGTCAGTTGACTGGTTTTGATGGTGTACAATAGTTAAATAAGATGTTATAATTGGGGAAAGCTAAGTGAAGTGTCCACAGGAACTCTATGTATCATTTTTGCAATAATTTGTGTGTCTTAAAAATTATCTTAAAATAAAAAATTAAAAACACTTAATGAAATGGATGACAGGTCCATTCCCACCCATTCGAATCAGAGAAGAGGAAAATGCCAAATCACTATATTCTAAGATTTGTTCAACTAGAGAGGCAGTGAGTGGATCAGCCCCTTTGGACTATTGCCAGAGGTGACCAGTGGAAATTGATCCTATAGACTCCTGCATTCACAGCATACATTCAGTCTTCCGATCACTTGAATCAGATCTGGGTCAAATCGAAAGCTCATTGGTTGTTTATGATGAACTGATATAGCCAATTCTCATTATTCACAGCAGTCATTTTATAAAATCGCCAAAAACACTGAATTAGCAAAGACTGAACCATTGATCCTACTAGAATTATAAGGTTAGGTTCCTGCGAGTGTCTGGTCACATTTTCATCAAATTATCAATACACAACCTTGTTTTAGGTGTGTTTCTGTTTAAAGGCACATTATTGAATACATATTGTTGACTCATTCTCATTGAACTCACGGCCAACAACTGTAACTCCTGCCTGAACACCTGAAAGAAGTATCTCTAACACACATATTTTCTCTGTAAGCAACATCACAGCCTTCTTGCACTTAGGAACACTTGACAGCCCTCCAGCACAATGCTTAGGGTCATTTTAAACAGCAAAATTACCAGCAGAAAGAGGCTGCATTTTGCAAAAATGAAAAAAGCATGGCACTCCATAGACCACAACAAGGCACTTGTTTATAGTATGAACTGAAATAAGAAGGCAGAGCATTGCCTTGTTCAAGCTTAGCCAGAAATGTACAAACCAGGTGACTCAAATTATTTATTGCTTTAAATGTTCACGAAAGTGCAATGAGTATTAATTTGGGGTTACAAAGAAATTAGAGCAAGTAGCTGAATTTGCAAAGAGAGCATCTGCAAATAATGAAGGTTGACTCCACTTGGGTAACCCCCAAAAAACCTTGACCTCTGGCATTTACACCCTTGTGTATACCTTTCTGTTGAACCAGAGTAGCCCTGGGATATGCTTTATCCAACACTATATGGCAGAGGGTGGCTGCACTCACCCCAGGTCTAAGAAGAACTGAAAGCTTCTGCTTTTGTGACATGGGGTAAGTCACCCTCTAACTACCTTGAGACAGCCATATTGTAAGAAGCCTGAACGATCCCTGTGGAGGAGAATTGAGGCCAGGCCAGTCAATAGCCATACTGAGCTCCTGGCCTTCAGACAGCATTCCTCTGCCAGGCCAATGCATGGGGCCATCTTGGGAGTAGAATGCTTCAGTCATGCCAAAGATGTTTCTGCTTATGTCCCAGGGAGCAGAGAAGTGCTGTGTCCACCAAACTCTGCCATGTGGCAGGATCCCAAGCAGATGACTGAAATGGGCATAGTCATGGCCCTTTTTCATCTCTTCTTTCTCTACCTGATATACAGCTTGCTTCTAGGAGATGGTTGCTTTGACTTCTAAGACTGTTTACCCAAACCCCACTTGCTTTGAAATGCAAATGTGTGCATTCTCAATGCAAGGGAGCTCTTCCAAGGATTGAAGAAATAAAACAGGATGCCACCCTTCAGCTCTCTTGAAATTTCTTTAGACCAATGTCAGCCATCAAACAAAAACAGTCACTAGAGGGTCTGTATTTTTCTAAGACTGTTTGTTGCCATTTTCTACTGTTTTTAGCTATGTTTTGCATCTGGGTGAGACTAACATGGGTTATGTGATGACCCAATATTTATTGTTTACTATTGCTACTCAAGTTCTTTCTTACTAGGTTCTCTCCAGGTGGGAAGGAGGCAAACATTGACGTGATGCAAAGTTGAACATTTATTCTATGACATGAAGGTCAATCAACTCAAAGCATATTAGTGATGACAATTCTTCATTTAACACATCTCCCCTCTCCAAGTCCTGGAAGGAATATGACCTGAAATAAATACAAGTACACAGGATTTATAAGTGGAATCTCCTTGTGTATACATAAAAAAGGGTGGTGAACACACAAGATTCTGTGCATCCTCAAGAAACAGCCTCATGTGGCCCCAGTAGCTTTACAATGGGCAGGTCTGGACAGAGCAGCCCCAAATCTGTTAAACAAAAAACAAAACTCCTTAATCACATGGGCGCCATGATGGTGATAACCCACGTATACCTAACTCTCTAGGGCTCCATGATTAGAGGTTTAAACTGGGAAACAAACTAGCATTGCCTTTGGTTGGAATGAATTCTTAAGCTCATTAGTTACATGATAACTCCCAGAAAGTTCTGCCACACATCGGTAGGGTGTCTAGGGATCTTCCGTACAGCCCAGTTCCCAAAATAAGATTGGTAATGATGTCAGAAAGCATGTTGCTAAGGGAACCCTGCAGAGGGAGATAAAGAGGAGTTGTTTGAACAAATGCACCAGAACAGCCAAGTTAATAGATGGCCAGTTTTGCTGGAGACAAAGGAATAAAACAAAGCCACCTGCAATGCGTGGTACCTCCGTGTGGGCAAAGTGGATCCGAGCTAAGAGTCAGGTTACCGGCAAATTTCTACATACGCCTCAGAAAGAGTGGCCAAAAGGCAAACTCAATACGTGTAAGAATTCTCAGGACAATAACAGCTTGGGTTTCCTCCTATTTCCTTACAAAGCACCTCCTTGCTACTTGTCCTGGGCTCCTTTGAGACACATCACCTGTAGGGAAAAATACTAACATCAGGCATGCATTTTTGCTTGATCACAGTAACTTGGAAAGTTGAATGATTCATTATAAAATTAGAAGAGAGAATTAGTAGAGCTGGGTCTTCTGCTCAGGGTCCCACAAGGCTGAAATCAACAGAGCTGCAGTCTTATCTGAGTTTTGGGGTCCTATGCTGAGCTCTCTGGATATTGTCAGGATTCAGTTCTTTGTGATTATAGGAAGAAACTGAAAGTGTAACTGTGTGATTGGTTTTATTCTATGCCTCCTGGTGTGAATGGAAAGTGATTCCTGTCAGGAGAACTTGCTTTCTACCAGTTTCACACATTGCCTGGGTCAGAACTATTCATTTGGAGCAGAGTAAACAGTAATTCACGGTTTGTTGTTGCCAGTAAACCAGATGCAAGAAAGGGGCAGGACACTGCTTAGCAACTTCATGAATAAAATTATGCAGTTAGCAGAAACTGGGCTGTGGGAACCCATAATCCAGCCCAGCCCTCCTAAGACTATAAATGCCTCTAGGGAGGTACATGGGAGGCACAGAATGGATGGTGATTCCTTGCATTTTGGTATCCTAGAATACTCCTGTCTTAATCCATTCAGGCTGCTATAACAAACTAGCATAGTCTGGATGGTTTAAACCACAGACATTTATTGCTGGCAGTTCTGGAGGCTGAAACTCCAAGATCAAGGTGTAGCAGAATCTGTGTCTGGTGGGGACCTCCTTCCTGGTTCATAGATGGTGACTTCTTGCCATGTTTTCAAATGGTGGAAAGAGGTAAAGGAGCTCTCTGTGGTCTCTTTTAGAAGGATGCTAATCCTATTAGTGAGACTCCGCCCTCATGACCTAATCACCTCCTAAAAGCCACCTCCTAATACCATCACCTTGGGAGTTAAGATTCAACCTATGCATTTTGGAGGGACACATTTAGTCAATAGCAACTAAGTTTCCCCTGTAAATAAAGTGGCCATTCGAGAGTGGGTGAGCCTTTCAGAAACTTTTCCAAGGAGCCATGTGGGAGTATTCAGCGAGGCATTTTGATATGAAATATTTCATCTTTCTTCTAAGTGAGATTCCAATTTCTTGAATTATCACAGTAGATAGTAAATACTAACAAAGTATCTCCTCCACACAAAGGTGTTTGGCATTTGATAGCTGGAGCATATGACTCATGGCCAGGCTTTTTCCACCCATGGACAGCCTTCTAAGGAAGGACTCCCTGCTCATTTCACATCAGAAATGAGCAGTGTATTAGTTAGCTATAGCTTCATAACAAATGATCACAGTCTTTGTGACTTAACACAACATACATTCACAATCTCACACCATTTCCAGGCACAGTATGGCTAGGTATTCAGCTTAGGATCCCACAAGGCTGAAATCAACAGAGCTGCCATCTTATCTGAGTTTTGGGATCCTCTCCTGAGCTCTCTGGCTACTATCAGGATTCAATTATTTGTGGTTATAGGAATGAAGCCATCAGTCCATTTCCTGCCATATGGCTGTCTTCATCATGTGGTAATTTGCTTCTTCAAGGCCAAAAGGAAAATATTTTTGTTGTTTAAAATCTATCTGGCTTCTCCTGTCTTTGGCCTACAGATGTACTTTTAAAGGATTCACCTGATTAAATCAGGCCTACCCAGAATAATCTCCTTTTAATTAACATAAAGTCACCTAATGAGAGACCTCAGTTACTTTGTTTTTATTTTTCTTTTGTTTTTTGTTTGAGGTTTCTTTTTTTTTTCAGATGGAGTTTTGCTCTTGTAGCCCAGGTGCGATCTCAGCTCACTGCAACCCACCTCCCAGGTTCAAGTGATTCTCCTGCCTCAGCCTCCTGAGTAGCTGGGACTACAGGCACCCACCACCACTCCTGGCTAATGTTTTTGTATTTTTAGTAGAGACGGGGTTTCGCCATGTTGGCCAGGCTGGTCTCGAATTCCTGACCTCAGGTGATCTGCCCCCCTCAGCCTCCCAAAGTGCTGGGATTACAGGCGTGAGCCACCAAGCCTGGTGGAGACCTCAGTTACTTTGTACAAAATACCTTCACCTTTACCATATAATGAAACTTAAATACAGGAGTGACATTCATGCTATTTCACAGTCCTACCCACACTCAAGGGGAGAAGAGTACACAGGGTGTTTGCATTGAAGGCAAGAACCTTGAGATCATTTTATTTTGCTTTCATTTTAGATTTAGAAGGTGCACGTGCAGTTTTGTTACAAGGGTATGTCGTGTAATGCCTGGCTTTGGGCTTCTATTGAATCCACCACTCAAATACTGAACCTAGTGCCCATTGTTTCCATCTTTATGCCCATGTGTATTCAGTGTTTAGCTCTCACTTATAAGGGAGAACATGTGGTATTTGATTTTCTTTTTCTGTGTTAATTCATTTAGGATAATGGCCACCAGCTACATTCATGTTGCTGCAAAAAACATGATGTCGTTATTTTTTGTGGCTGCATAGTATTCCATGGTGTATATGCACCACATTTTTTTAATCCAATCTACCATTGGATTAAAATTGGATTAAAATCCAATCAACACTTATTATGTTGGTTCCATGACTTTGCTATTGTGAATGGTGCTGTGATAAACACACGAGTGTGTGTGTCTTTTCAATATAATGATTTCTTTCCCTTTGAGTGGATACCCAATAGTGGGATTGCTGAGTCAAATGGTAGTTCTATTTTTAGTTTTTTGAGAAATCTCCATACTGTTTTCCATAGAGGTGATACTAACTTACATTCCCGCCAGCAGAGTATAAGAGTTTGTTTTCTCTGCAACCTTGCCAGCATCTGTTATTTTCTGACTTTTTAATAATAGTCATTCTATTTCATTTTGGTGTTAATTTGCATTTCTCTGATAACTAGTGATGGTGAGCTTTTTTTCATATTTTTTTGTTCACTTTATGTTTTCTTTTAAGAAGTGTGAGACTGGCCGGGCACAGTGGCTCACGCCTGGAATCTCAGCACTTTGGGAGGCCGAGGCGGGTGGTACCTGAGGTCAAGAGTTCGAGACCAGCCTGCCCAACATGGTGAAATCCTGTCTCTACAAAAATACAAAAATTAGCCGGGTGTGATGGCAGGCGCCTGTAATCCCAGCTACTCGGGAGGCTGAGGCAGGAGAATTGCTTGAATCCTGGAGGCAGAGGTTGCAGTGAGCCGATGTTATGCCATTGCACTCCAGCCTGGGCGATAGAGCGATACTCTGCCTCAAAAAATATAAATACATAAATAAATAAATAAAAATACAAAAATTAGCTGGGTGTGGTGGCACACGCCTGTACTCCCAGCTACCTGGGAAGCTGAGGCAGGAGAATCACTTGAAATCAGAAAGTGGAGGTGGCAGTGAGTCAAGATCACCCCAGTCACCCCACTGCACTCCAGCCTGGGTGACAGAGTGAGACTCTGCCTCAAAACAAAAACAAAAACAAAACAAAACAAAACAAAACAAAACAAAAACCTATGGGCAGAGATAAAAGAGCCTTGGGCCTCCTTATTAATTTCCTTCTCTAAACTCATGGCAGATCCACTGACACCAGCCTTCCTGTCTGGTCAGCCTTCCTGCCTGTCAATTGCCTATAAGTTAAAAAGCAGATCCCTGCAGTCTACAGGACTTTCTCCAGAGAGAAGCCCTAGTATCTCTGCCCCAGATCTTTCTTTGAGAACAGAAAGAAAACAAACCTCAGGCAACTATCTAGAGTTGAGGCACTCAACATACAAGCAGGAAATAAGAGTCCCACATTGACAGAAACACCAGCTCCCTTCATAACTTTAAGTATAATCCCATTGACACTGGGATGTGAATTGAACCAGAACTGAATAAGCTCTGTAAGTTTCATCAAGACAATTGCATCCCAAGTAGCCATCGGAGAACAGATGATAACGTCTCTGTGGTTGCAGTTTGAACATTTTTTCTTCCTGAAGAAAGATGAAAGTCCTTTTTTTTTTTCAGTTGGATTAGATTGGATTCCCTTTGTATCCCTCAAGGAACTCTCTCAGTATAGGCTGAAGAAGGTCAGAGGAGAGAATTCCATCATCATAATTCCACAGAGAAAGGCCAAGTTTCAGGACGTCTTCAGGTTAAGGGTGTCCAGTGTGGTGTGGATTTCAGGGTCTTACAAAGTGACGTGGGAAAACCCCAATACATGTCTCTTTCCTCTTCCTACACCCCTTCCTACTACTAATCTAATTAACCCATCTCTCTTCCTCCCACTGTGAGCTTCACCTCTTCCTTCTTCCACTCTGTGGTAGACTCCTAACTGCTTAGCTAATGTCTCCTCTTCCCATTGTCCATATTATCAGGAGTTTCATCGTTTTAGGTGGTCATCAGTTTAAAGGCTACAATCCCAGCTTCCCCCATCGCTACAGGATTTCTTTTTTTTTTTTTTTTTTTTTTTGAGACGGAGTCTCGTTCTGTCACCCAGGCTGGAGTGCAATGGCGTGATCTCGGCTCACTGCAACCTCCGCCTCCCGGGTTCAAGCAATTCTCCTGCCTCAGCCTCCCAAGAGCCGGAATTATAGGCGCATGCCACCACGCCCGGCTAATTTTTTGTATTTTTAGTAGAGATGGGGTTTCTCCATGTTGGCCAGGCTGTTCTCGAACTCCCAACCTCAGGTGATCCGCTCACCTTGGCCTCCCACAGTGCTGGGATTACATGCGTGAGCCACCGCGCCTGGCCAACTATGGGATTTCTAATGGAGTCTCTTGGGTGAAGCCTCCATGAAAGCTATGAAAAATGGAGTGCATTTGGAGATTTCTCAAAAACCTTAAAACAGAACTACCATTCAACCTAGCAATTCTATTACTGGATATATAACCAAAGAAAATAAGTCCTTCTACCAAAAAGATACATGCACTCACATGTTCATTGCAGCACTATTCACATTAGCAAAGACATGGAATCAACCTAGATGCCTGTCAGTGGTGGATTGGATAAAGAAAATGTGGTACCTATGGCCAGGTGCAGTGGCTCACACCTGTCATCCGAGCACTTTGGGAGGCCGAGGCAGGTGGATCACGAGGTCAGGAGTTCGAGACCAGCCTGGCCAACAAGGTGAAACCCCATCTCTACTAAAGATACAAAAAATTAGCCGGGCGTGGTGGCATGCGCCTATAATTCCAGCTCTTGGGAGGCTGAGGCAGGAGAATTGCTTGAACCCGGGAGGTGGAGGTTGCAGTGACCCGAGATTGCGCTCACTCCAGCCTGGCGACAGAGCGAGACTCTGTTTAAAAAAAAAAAAAAAAGAAAGAAAAAGAAAGAAAAGAAAAGAAAAAAAGAAAATATGGCACTTACACACCATGGAATACCTCGCCACCATAAAAAATAAAATCATGTTTTTGCAGCAACATGGATGCATCTGGAGGCCATTATCCTAGGCAAATTAACATATGTTCTCATTTATAAGTGGGAGCTAAACATTGGGTACTCATGGACATAAAGATGGGGACAACAGACACTGGGGACTACTGGGGGGTAGGAGAGAGGGGAGAAGAGTTGAAAAACTAACTATCGGGTACTATGCTCAGTATCTGGGTGATGGGATCATCTGTACCCCAAACAAACGTCAGCATCACACAATATACCCATGGAACAAACTGGTGCATGTACCCCCTGAAGCTAAAATGAAAGCTGAAATTATGTAAAAAAATAGATGGAGTACTTTGGCGGGGCGTGGTGGCTCACGCCTGTAATCCCAGCACTTTGGGAGGCTGAGATGGGCGGATCACGAGGTCAGGAGATCGAGACCATCCTGGCTAACACCGTGAAACCCCGTCTCTACTAAAAATACAAAAAATAAGCCAGACATGGTGGCAGGCGCCTGTAGTCCCAGCTACTCGGGAGGCTGAGGCAGGAGAATGGCGTGAACCGGGGAGGTGGAGCTTACAGTGAGCCGAGATCGCACCACTGCACTCCAGCCTGGGCGACAGAGCAAGACTCCATCTCAAAAAAAAAAAAAAAAAAAAAAAAAAAAAAAAAAAATAGATGGAGTACTTTTTGTGTCCTCCCTCTCTTGCATCTTGGACATGATGTCTAGGGCTCAAGGCGCCATCTTGAAACATGAACTGATAGAAATGTAGCTCAGAGACAGACGAGTGGAGGAGAAAGACAAAAAGATCCTGGTCCCTGAAAACCATGTAACTGTCACATAGACCCTGCCCTGCCCTTTTCAAAACTTCTCCAAAATAAACCTCTGCCTTGTTGAAGCTTGTTGGATTTTCTTTGATATGTGGGTGAATCTACTCTTAATAGACACCCAGTCTTTATTGGAAAAATAGAGTTCTTTCTCTTCCCGTGCCCCACCTTTGACTTCTTACAAGCAGGAAAATTAGATTAAAGGAATATGGAGGATTAAGCAAGAAAAAAGATTAAAGGATATGGAGAAGAAGGATAAATAATTTTGGCGAAAAATCCAAGTACAATGGATAGATTTTTTTCAAATTTTAATTTTACTTACAATCAGTACTAACATTACACTTTCTGCTTTGTGCAAATACCATGCCATTTGTCTGTTCCACAGCAAGGAGACCGAAATCATTACTTACTTATAATACCTAATGGTGGAAGCAGCTCTCTCTTAGCAATTACACAGATGCATTGAGTTGAAGCCTGGTTTCATCCATCCCCACTTCTTCCTGGGAGAAATTCAATTTCCCATACGTCGTTGCAAAGGAAAGCACATGTCAAGAGAAATTATTTGTTATCCATTTAGAGTCTGGCTATCCTCAGCTCCAGGGAAAGATTGCAAAGAAGGAAAGTCCTCAAGAGGAAGATTAATTTTTTATATGTATTGTGAATATCCCCTGAGCATGATGAAGGAGAAAGGGTAAAGCAGGCATATTTCATAAATGCTCCCTGAGTGATTCTGATAGAGCACCACTCTTCTCGTGTCCTTTACCTACTGACGTAGTTTGGATATTTCTCCCCTTCAGATCTCATGTTGAAATGTGACCCTCAGTGTCGGTAGTGGGCCTGGTGAAAGGTGTTTGGGTCATGGGGCAGATCATTCATGAGTGGCTTGATGATGACTTTTTGGTAATGGGTGAGTTCTCTGGTCTATTTGTTCCCAGATGATCTTGTTGTTAAAAACAGCCTAGTACGTCCTCTCCTTTCTCTCTTGCTTCTTTTCTCACTGTGTGATCTCTACACACGCCAGCTGCCTTTCCTTTTCCACCATGAGTGGAAGCTTCCCGAAGCCCACCCCAGAAGCAGATGCTGGTGCCATGCATTTGTGCAGCCTGCAGAACCATGAGCCAAATAAACCACTTTTCTTTATAAATTACCCAGCCTCAGGTATTCCTTCACAGCAACACGAAATGGACCTAGACACCTACTAAGAGCCATAGCTCTGGCGAACTGGGAAGGCATCGTCTCTCTTAGGCAACATGCATTGGGGCAAAATGGTACATCCATGTGATCGTTTTGTTTTCTGTTTTTATTTGCTACTTTTCTTTTCTTTTCATTTAATTTTAGAATCAGAATGAGTCCATGTGACCTTTCTGCAAACAAAATCTTCTACTCCCACACTCAGCCCGGGCACAGAGAAATGAGAAGGCAGGAGGATTGCTTAAGCCCAGGAGTTCAAGACCAGCCTAGGCAACGTGGTGAGAACCCATCTCTACAATTTTTTAAAAAAATTACCTGTGCGTGGTGGTGTATGCCTGTAGTCCCAGCTACTCAAGAGGCTGAGGCAGGAGGATCGCTTGAGCCCAGGAGGTGGAGGCTACAGTGAGCTATGCTCGTGCCACTGCACTCCAGCCTGGGTGACAGAGTGAGACCCTGTCTCTAAAAAAAACAAAGCTTATCCTTGTTTAGTACTGATGAAGATCACCACGGTGACAAGGTGGGTTTAGGGAGTTGGAGGGGGGGACTTCTATAAATTGAATCCGAAATCTAAAAATTATTGATTATCAGTCTTATTTGTTTATGTTGTACAAAGGGCCTGTATGATCTTGCAATTTCCAGCAGGTCTGCACATGTCATGAGTCACTGTCCAGTCAAGGGAGGCTTGCCTTGAGTCAGGGGTCCAGCCCCAATCCTTTGAGCTATCGCTGAGTGTTAGAGGTTGGGGACAGGATCATACAATAGGTAATAGGATAGGGAAGGTTGGCATTTTCCCTGTTGCAGGTGAGATGTCTTTTCACATCTCACATAGCTGCATGAGATACTCATGCAGCTCCCAACTGAATCCCCTTTAGAGATAATTGCCTTGGAGCTGGTTGGTTCAAGGAGAATTGAACAGCCTGGGCGTGGTGGCTCACACCTGTAATCCCAGCACTTTGGGAGGCCGAGGCAGGTAGATCACCTGAGGTCAGGAGTTTGAGACCAGCCTGACCAACATGGCGAAACCCCGTCTCTACTAAAAATATAAAAATTAGCCGGTCGTGGTGGTGGGCACCTGTAATCCTAGCTATTTGGGAGGTTGAGGCAGGAGAATCGCTTGAACTCAGGAGGCGGAGGTTGCTGTGAGCCGAGATCGCACCATTGCACTCCAGCCTGGGCAACAAGAGCAAAACTCTGTCTCAAAAAAAAAAAAAAGGAGAATAGAACAATGTATTTTAGTCAAACATACTTCTGCTTTATCCAAATTTTCATTACTGCTCCTTCTACAGATATTCTATGTTGATTCCAATATGCATGCTTACGATTTTGTTATTTTTGAAACTCTGTCCCTGTAAGCTGTTTGCTAATACAAATACTTGCCAGGTGAGTTACCTTGATTTTTGTCGTCTGCACACTAAGGACCAGATAGGGAAGTGGGAATCATCTTCTAACTCATAGATGGATAATGGCTACCAAAAACAATTGCATTCTATAGGTTCACCCATAGAGACAGAAGGCAGATGAATTATTGCCAGGGGCTGAGGGAAGGGGGAAAGGGGTGGGACTAATTAATGGTATGAGGACTCCTTTTATGGTGATAAAAATGTTTTGGAACTAGATAGAGGTGATTGTTGCCCAACATTGTGAATGTACAACATGCTACTAAATCATATTCTTTAAAATCATTCTATATTAGGTGAATACATATTTTTAAAAAAGAAAGAAATTACATTTGAAATCCCAAAATTTTGATAGGAAGAGATACATATTAAGCATAAAGCCATTAACACTTTGCTTCACCATATTTACCCTGTCTCCTTGAGTCATTTGTAAATTCAGTATGCTGTTGTTAAGTGGCAGACGGGATAACAGACCCCAAAACAGCCGGGCTTGGGGAGGAGCCAAGGATCTCCATCTGGCCCACTGGCAAAAGAGTCAACAATGGGCAAAGAACCCAAGGGCTGGCTCAGTCAGAAAGCAGTGTCCCTTCCCAACAAAGGCACCGAAATTGTCAGAGGCTTTTGAACAAGAGCAACTTCATCTTGAATAGGAGCTGCATAAAATGAGGCTGAGACCTACTGGGCTTCATTCCCAGACAGTTGAGGCATTCTAAATCTAAGGATGAGACAGGAGGTCAGCACAAGAGACAGGTCATAAGGACCTTGCTGATAAAAACAGGTTGCAATAAAGAAGCTGGCCAAATCCCACCAAAACCAAGCTGGTGATGAGTGTGACCTCTGGTGGTCCTCACTGCTACACTCCCACCAGCACTATGACAGTTACGAATGTCATGGCAACATCAGAAAGCTACCCTATATGGTCTAAAAAGGGGAGGCACGAACAATCCACCCCTTGTTTAGCATATCATCAAGAAATAATCATAAAAATGTGGAGCCAGCAGCCCTCGGGGCTGTTCTGTCTATGGAGTAGCCATTCTTTTATTCCTTTACACTGTTAATAAACTCGCTTTTGCTTTGCACTGTGGACTGGCCCTGAACTCTTTCTTGCACAGAATCCAAGAATCCTCTCTTGAGGTCTGGATCAGGACACCTTTCCTGTAACAAAATGAATGAAGATGAGCCATGGCAAAGACTGTCTACTTTCCGTTCCTCGTTGCATAGTGATACCATTGATTTACCATTATGGAACCGAATAATTCAATGCAACTCTCCGATGATGCTTTTCAACCCAGTCACATTTTTATGTAGACTAAAAATTAAAAACAGACAAAAGGCAAAACTGTAGAAAAAGTAAAAAGATCAGTGTTTGTCAGTGTCCTGGGGGAGAGAGAGGAGGAGGAACACAGGAAGCATAGGGGATTTTGAGGGCAGTGAAACTATTCTGTACGATGTATCTGCAGATACTATTCCATATCTACAAGTCAGTCTCTATTTATCAAAACCCATAGAACTGCACAGCACAAAGAGTGAGCCCTCATGGAGACTGTGGACTCTGGTGAATGATAATGTCCCACTATCAGCTCATCAATTGTAACACATGTACCACACTAATGCAAGGTGTCAATCATGGGGCAAACTTTGTTGTATATACAGGCAAGTGGGTCTAGGGGAACCCTAGACTTTCTGCTCAGTTTTTTAATAAACCTGAAACTGCCCCAAAAGCAAAGGCTATTCATTTAAAAAATAGAATATATGGCCTTTGCAGCAACTTGGATGGACTTGGAGGCCATTATTCTAAGCGAAGTAAGTTGGGGATGAAAGGCAAATATCCATGATATTAAGTGAGTATGTTCTCACTTACAACTGGGAGCTAAGCCATGAGGACGCACAGGCATAAGAGTGATATAATGAACTTTGGGGACTTGGGGGGAACGGGGGAAGGGGGCGAGGGATAAAACACTACATATTGGGTATAGTGTATACTGCTCAGGTGACAGGTGCATGAAAATCTCAGAAATTATTAATACCACTAAAGAACTTATCCGCATAACCAAAAAACTACCTGTCCCCAAAAACTGTTGAAACAAAATTTAAAAAAAAATGAAAAATAAAGTTAAAAAAGTTAACTAAATAAAATAGACAAAAGGAAAACCACCCACCTTGCGCCTGCATGTGCTCTGCACAACTCCTTTCATTACAAGCATTACAGAACAAATAAAAAAAGATGATTGAAAAAATGCAGGGATGGCCGGGCGCAGTGGCTCACACCTGTAATCCCAGCAATTTGGGAGGCCGAGGCAGGCGGATCACTTAAGATCAGGAGTTCAAGAGACCAGCCTGGCCTCTTGAACATGGCAAAACCCTGTCTCTACTAAAAATACAAAAATTAGCCAGGCATGGTGGCACGTGCCTGTAATCCCAGCTACTCGGGAGATTGAGACAGGAGAATTGCTTGAACCTGGGAGGTGGAGTTTCCAGTGAGCCAAGATCAGGCCACTGCACTCCAGCCTGGACAACAGAGAAAGACTCCATCAAAAAAAAAGAAAGAAAGAAAGAAAGAAAGAAAAAGTGCAAGGAGTCATTATATTTTTAGTGAAACCAATGATGATGATGATGATGATGATAATAATAATAGGCTGGGTGTGGTGGCTTATGCCTGTAATCCCAGAAATTTGGAAAGCTGAGACAGGAGGATCGGTTGAGCCCAGTAGTTCAAAATTAGCCTGGGCAACATAGGGAGACCCCGTCTCTACAAAAATTAGCTAGGTGGGCCATGCACAGTGGCTCACGCCTGTAATCCCAGCATTTGGGAGACTGAGGTGGGCAGATCACGAGGTCAGGAGTTCGAGATCAGCCTGGTCAACATAGTGAAACCTTGTCTCTACTAAAAATACAAAAAATTAGTTGGGCGTGATGGCAGGTGCCTGTAATCCCAGCTACTTGGGAGGCTGAGGCAGGAGAATCGCTTGAACCTGGGAGGCAGAGGTTGCAGTGAGCCGAGACTGCACCATTGCACTCCAGCCTGGGCGACAGGGTGAGACTCTGTCTAAAAAAAAAATAAATACAAATAAAATTTGTACAAAAAATAAAAAATAAAAACAAACAAAAAAAAATTAGCTAGGCCTGTAGTTCCAGCTACTCAGGAGGCTGAATAAGGAGGATCACTTGACCCTAGGAGGTTGATGCTGCAGTGAGCCATCATTTGCTCCACTGCACTCCAGCCTGGGAGACAGAATGAGACCCTGTCTCAAAAATAATACAAATAAGAATAAGAGCACATGTGACCCTAATTGGTGACTGCATATTTCAGCTCTGGGATTCGGGGGTCTCCTGCAAGAGCCAGGCTGGAATTCATCCTGCTGATGGAGTGATCCTTCTGGATAGGTTACATATTTGAACACATTCCCATCTGCTTGAGATTTTCTACTTTTGCCTACAAATTATCATTTTCCTGCTTATGGCCATGACACAGAAATTAACATATCAGATGCTGGAAGTTTGAGGCCAATGTTAAAAATAAATTGACATCCTTAGAGGGGATATCTCTTGGCAAATATGTTATTTGTGGTTCTGCAAATGCTGATATTTCTAGATACCATCCACTTTGTTTTTTACATTAAAGTCTTTATGAACTTTAAAAGAAAACGTGCTTAGCAAAAATGTCCTTAAATTTCATAAATGCATACTGACTGGTTTTTCCTATATTTTAAGAAAAGATCCAATTTTTATATATTTTTCTAAGCATGATAACTTTTTTTTTTTTTTTAAATGGAGTCTCACTCTGTCGCCCAGGCTGGAGTGCAGTGGTGTGATCTCTGCTCACTACAACCTCTACCTCCCGGGTTCAAGCGATTCTCCCACCTCAGCCTCCCGAGTAGCTGGACTTACAGGTGCACGCCACCATGTCTGGCTAATTTTTGTATTTTTAGTAGAAATGGGGTTTCACCATGTTGGCCAGGCTGATCTCGAGCTTCTGACTTCAAGTTATCTGCCCACCTCGGCCTCCCAGAGTGCTGGGATTACAGGCATGAGCCACCGTGCCTGGCCAATAACATATTTTTTAAAATGATAACAGCCAGGCACGGTGGCTCACGCCTGTAATCCCAGCACTCTGGGAGGCTGAGGTGGGAGGATGGCTTGAGCCCAAGAGTTTGAGACCACTCTGGGTGACATGGCGAAACCCCATCTCTATAATAAAATAATAATAATGATAAAATTTTAAAATAACAATAAGAATAATAAGCAGTATTTGTTTAAAATGAGTAGACATCCCAAACCAATCTTCATCTCTACACATCGTCAGCCAAATGCAGGTTTTTAGCTACAATATAAATGTATATTTTTCAAGCCAAATTCCCATTTTTCAAACCCAAAGCCAGCATACTACTCCTGACATTTTGAAGAATTTGGCAGAAAGTGTTTTCGTTTTGTGAATGGCATAAGCTCCTTCCTGCCTAACCACATTCCAAAATACTCGGCCATTGTTTGGTTGGGGGAAAGCGTCTACTTTCTAAAAGTATATTACAGAGTTTTTAAGGGGCTGACTGTTTTTACTGATGATTTATGGTCCCTTTTAAAGCCTCTTAATTCTCTCTGGCACTATTAAACCAAATTCATGACCCACCAAGATGGTGTCAAAGATAAAACTCTCTGAGATTCATAATTGACAGTCAACTGGGAGACCACGCCTAAGAAATTAATAGTTCATGTGATACCAACATTTTAAAACAAGGAAAATGTAGAAAACATTGCTTGCTTTTTATATCTTCTCACAACTTTCAGTCTGGGGCAGGTTCAAGCAAGTTCAGTCAAAGAAAAACATTTGTTGCAAAGTTGTCTTTAATGCTCTCATGTCATTTATCATAGTTGAAAAAAAAATTCAGTTATAGAGTTGAGGCCTGCTTCATCAAAACTTAAACCTTTATGCTTCAAAGGGCACCATCAAGAAAGGAAATTACAACCACGGCAGGGAGAAAATGTTTGCAAATCATGTACCTGATTAGAGACTTGTGTCCATAATATAGAAATCATCCTTTTCACTCAACGATAAAATTACTTTTAAAATTCAATTTACGAGTGGGTAGGGGCTGGGCATGGTGGCTCACACCTGTAATCCCAGCACTTTGGGAGGCCCAGGTGGGCAGATCACCTGAGGTCAGGAGTTTGAGACCAGCCTGGCCAACATGATGAAACCCTGTCTCCACAAAAAATGCAAAAATTAGCCGGGTGTAGTGGCTCGTGACTGTAGTCTCAGCTACTAGGGAGGCTGAGGCAGGAGAATTGCTTGAATCTGAGAGGCAGAGGTTGCAGTGAGCCAACATAACGCCACTGCACTCCAGCCTGGGTGATAAAGTGAGACTCCCTCTCAAAAAAAAAAAAAAAAAACAAGTGGGTAGGGCCAGGCGCAGTGGCTCACTCCTGTAATCCCAACATGTTGGAAGGTTGAGGTGGGTGAACCACTTGAGGTCAGGAGTTCAGGACCAGCTTATCCAACATGGTGAAACCCCATCTCTACTAAAAATACAAAAATTTAGCTGAGCATGGTGGCGTGCACCTGTAATCCCAGCTACTTGGGAGGCTGAGGAATGAGAATTGCTTGAGCCTGGGAGAAGGAGGTTGCAGTGAGCTGAGATCGTGCCACTGCATTCCAGCCTGGGCAACAGAGAAAGACTCTCTCAGAAAAAAATAAAAATATAAAATAAAAACATAAGTGCGTAAAGGATTTGAATTGTACATCCCTCCAAAAAAGATACACGAGTGACCAATAAACACATGAAAAGATAGTCAATATCACTGGCCATCAAAGATATGCAAATTCAAGACACCATCAGAATGCTTACACACCACTGGTGGGAATGTAAACTAGTTCAGCCCTTGCAGAAAGCAGTTTGGAGATTTCCCAAAGAAGTCAAACTAGAACTACCTCTTGATCCAGCAATTGCATGACTGGGTATCTATCTAAAGGAAAAGTAATCATTTTACCAAAAAGACACCTGCACTCATATGTTTCTAGCAGTACTAGTTACAGTAGCAAAGACATGGAATCAACCCAGGTGCCCATCAATAGTGGATAAAGAAAATGTGGTACATATACACCATGGAATACTACACAGCCATAAAAAAGAATGAAATCATGCCCTTTGCAGCAACATGGATGGAGCTGGAGGCCATTATTCTAAGTGAACTAACACAGGAACAGAAAATCAACGCATGTTCTTACTTACAAGTGGGAGCTAAACATTGTGTACTCACAGACATAAAGATGGGAAAAGTAGACCCTGGGGACTCCTACAAGGGGGAGAGAGGGGGAGCAAGGGTTGAAAAACTAACCATTGAGTACTATGTGGGTGACAGGCTCAACAGAAGCCCAAACCTCAGCACCATGCAATATATCCATGTAACAAACCTGTACATGTACCCCTTAAATCTAAAATTTTTCTTAAAAACCCACCATCAGATTGACTTCATACCCACTAGGACAGCTAGCATCAAGGTCGGATAATAACAAGTGCTGGTGAGCAAGTGGAGAAATTGGAACCCTCCTAGAGTGTTGGTGAGAATGTAAGATTGTGCAGCCGCTGTGGAAAACAGTCAGACGGCTCCTGAAAAATGGGGTTCTTCATAATTTTTAAGGATATAAAGGGGTCCTGAGACTAAAAATTTGAGACCCACTCCTTAATGAAAATATTTTCTCATATGTAACTTGTATTTGTTGAATTCTTTTCAATTCAATTGTTGTATTCAAGTAACAGAAGAGACATCATCTCTACAGAGAAGTTGATTTTTGTCTTTATTTTCTCTCTGAGCCCATGAGAAAGACACATAGGGCCTCCTGTAATAGCCACTGAATTATAAGAGACAAGATAAAACACAAATGATGACAGCAGGAAACAGACATACTGAACAAACTCGTTAGCTAACATGGAGTTATAGCTACTTGTAAGCCGATTTAAGTGCTTTCCTTTGCCATATTGTATGCTACAACATCAACTCTGAGATCTAAACTGGCTCTAACTCTATTCAACACTATGTACTAAAGATACATAAGGCAGTGGTCTGTTTTTTATAAATAAAGTTTTATGGGAACACAGGTGCTCCTGTTCATTTAAGTATTGTCTATGTCTGTTTTCCACTTCCTCGACAGAGTTGACCTGTTGCTACAGAGACCACGTGGTCTGCAAAGCCAAGAATACTTAGCATTTAGGCCCTTACAGAGTAAGTTTGCCAAACCCTGCTAAATGATATGAATTGGACCCAGATTTTGCAGAAATTGCAAGGGTAAGCATGCAGGAAAGAGAAACAAAAAGTAGAAATGGGCAGATCTGGGTTCAGGGGGACTTGCAATTCTGGGGTGAGGTCACTGGCCAAAGAGGCTTGCCCAGCTCTGAAGCCACACCAGGTCTGATTTTGGTATGTCGGAACACAGTCTGCTGCATGGAGCTGAGAGACTGAAAATACAGACAATGGCTAAGCCATGTATAAATAGAGAATCCTGACCCAAGATCTACAGCAACCAGCCTAGAAATCAATCCACTGCCTATAGTAACCAGTCCCAAAAGCCAGCCTACTAGCTGCAAATCATGCTTGTAGTAAATCAGACCACTGTCTCTAGTAACAGTCCAGGAAGCCAAACAATGACCCCTGTAATCATTGGCCCCAAATGACCACGACTTGTTTAATAACTGACAGCGTTCCTAATTTTTGTCCTACTTCTAAATTAGGACCAACAAGAGACTGCCACACATGCACTTGTAACCAATAACATGGAATGTCCTGCCTGTAGTGAGCCTCCTACAGCTCCCTGTGCCAGCCACCTCCAGTCAGGGCACACCTGAAGCCTCCCTTTTTCTCCACTATGAAGCTGTCCTGCTTCTCTGCCTGCCTGTGAGTCTCTGCCAAATGCTTTTTAGTATATGAATAGTGGGTAGATGGATGAATACATATTGAATGGATAGATAAATGAATCATGGATAGATTGATAGATAGATGGATGGATGGATGGATGCATAGATAATGGATGATTGGATGAACATAAAATGATGAATGAATGGATGGATGATGAATGAATAGATGGTGTGTAAATTAATGTATGGATGGATGAATAGAAAATGGATTGATGATGGATGGATGAATAGATGGATGGAAAAATGAGATATAATAGATGGATGAGTGATAGAAAGATTGATTGATGGGTGAATAATGAATGGGTAGATGAATGGATAGATAGATGGATGAATTGATAGATGGATGATTGATGGATGAATTGATAAATATATGATGGAAGAATGGGTGGATGATGGATAAATGGATGGATGGGTGGATGGGTGGGTGGATGGATAGATTGATGTATGGGTGGTGGGTGGATGGGTGATGGATGGAGGGAGGGGTAAATTGATGGTGGGTGGACTGATGGATGGATGATGGACAGATGAATAGATAATGTATAAATGGATGATGAATAAATCAATGGATGGATAGATAAATAGATAATGTATAAATGGATGGATAGATGGTATATAACAGGTGGACCAATGGATGAATAGATGGATGGATGGATGGAAATATAATGGGTGAGTGGATGAATATATAATGGATGAATGAATGAATAGGATGGATGGCAGATGGATTGATGGATGGATGGATGGATGGGTGGATTGATAGATGGATATATAATGTATGCATGAATGGATGAATAGATGGAAAAATGGATGGATGAATGGAAACATAGATGGATGATGTGGCTGAACCCCTTGCTATGGTAATCTCTGAAGATGCAACCTTCATTTCTTCTCATGTTGTTGGTCTTTGTTTATTTCCACAAAGCAAAGCAGCAGGAGCTAGCAATTGGTGCAAAATTCACAATTAAGTCAGCAGCTGAGTGCTATACTTAGATAGTTGAAGGCAACAGAGGGCCAAAATACAAGAGCAAGATCAATTTCACCAAGAGAGAGTCCCAAGGGCCAAGTCTGACATCTCTTTCTAGCATGGAAATTGGTTGGTTCAGTGAAAGTTAGGGAGAAGACTGTCAAGCTACTTATGGATGAGGAATTTCTGGGTCATCAGATACTGACATGTCCCAGCCCTAAACTCTGATTCCTCCAGCTGGTGAAGATATCCTTAGCATTGGCTCAGGCCCAGTGAGAGCTGAACGCAAAGGCAGAAGGGCTGTAGTATCCATGACAGGGAGAGGCTGAGAAAGGTAGCAAAAGACACACAAAACAAATAAAAAGAGAGGAAACCTCCAGGTTTGACTCAACCGTGGAGAAGTGAGAAAGAAGACCAGCTTAAAAAATAGAAATGCTTACAGAATAGTTCTTCTTTTTTATTCCTTAAAGGAACTGACTGCTTTTTAAAGGAACTGAGAAACTGGGAAACAGACTAGTGCAGAGTTATAAATAGAACCATCGATAGACAGTTCATAACCCCAAGTAGACTACCTATGTTAGGTGTTACAACTTCTCTCAAACAGCAAGGTACCAGGAAGCTCACACTTCATCTTCAGGGGACTCAGTCCACTTTTAGAAGATTACGTTTTGTATAACTTAAAATGTTCGTGACTCTTCACACTCATCTGCAAATACAGGGATAATTTTTTAAGACTTTATTTTGACACCTATAAAAATGGTGCCTAATTCTGCAACACCCAGCCAAACGTCATTGGCTTATATGGAACTATTAAAAATACATAAAACATATATTTATTATATAATGACTAGATTACTACCTATTATTTACTAAGTAGCAAACATAAGAAAATGTATCATTATTTATTATTACCAGGCACTCTATCAAACGTAGGAAAATGTATTATTATTGATATTAAGTAGTGCTTATCATTGCTTAGTTATTAAATGCCAAACATGACAAACCCTTTACATAAAATGTCTTGATTTCACAAAAATCACCTGAGATTCAGGACCAGAATCTAACCCCAGGTCGATTGGACTTTTTGTCTGTTTCGAGACAGGGTTTTGTCCTGTTGCCTAGACTGAAGCACAGTGGGACAATTACAGCTCACTGTACCCTCACCCTCCTTGGCTCAAGTGATCCTCCCATCTCAGCCTACAAGTAGCTGAGACTACAGGTGTGCACCATCATGCCAGGCTAATTTTTATTTTGTAATTTTTTGTAGAGACAGGGTCTCACTATGCTGCCCCAGCTGGTTTCAGACTTCTGGCCTCAAGAAGTCCTCCTACCTCAGCCTCCCAAAGTGCTGGGATTACAGGCATGAGCCACCATGCCCAGCCTCAATTTGATTTTAAGGCTAATTTGCCTAACAGTGACAGTCTATTGGAAACATACACAGAAAATAGGAAAAAGAAGAATGCCGCTTTCAGAACCACAACTACCTTTGAAGAAGAGAGAATCGACTTGAATGGAAACCTTGATGTTTCACTGGGTACCCCAGTGGGCTGGATGTGTGTTTTGGGAGCAGAAGCTGGAGAGGGCTGAATGGATTTTCAAAATCAGTGAAGGAACAGCAAGAAGGAAATTCCAGGGAGCCAAAGAGGGGTGAGAAACAGGATAATGCGTTGTAAACTCATTCCCTGCTTTCTCCCTCACCACTGTATTTTGCTGTGTTTGTTATGCTACACTGGGAAGGCTGCATCAGTGTGGTGTGTTTGCTTGAAAGTTGCAGAAGAGGTTGGCTTTCATTACAGATTCTGGGGTGTGTGTGTGGAAGCAGAAATCCAGAGTACAGGGCTTCTATAAGAAGGTAACGTTCCTTCCAGCCTCCAAGGAAGTCACAGAAATTGGGAAACAGATTTGAATTTTCATGAGAAGTAAAAATAGGAGCTTGAGACAATTTCATCTCCACCTCAGGGTGCCAGGGGCCCCAGCCAACATTGGCACGCAAATGTTCCTGTATGAACAATGCACATACACAAACACACAATTTTCTATACAGCCTTGTCCGACATCACAATTTAGACACAAAGGGATTTGCTTAAATTAATTACACAGGGACAAAACATTAGTGTCAGGGCCAGACCTGGAGCTTTTAGAACTCTGGTTCTTTTTCCATGAGGCTATCCATGTTCCATCTATATATTCATCCATCCATTCATTCACCTAACATTCATCTGTGTATCCATCCATCCATCCGTATTCCATCATCCATTCCATCCATCCATCCATCTGTCATCCTTTTATGTATACATCTAACAATCCATCCATTTATTAGCTATTCATTCATCCATCCTAGATCCATCAATTCATTATCTATTCATCTATCCAACCATCTATCACCCATCTACCCATTCATCTATTATCTACCCTCATCCATCCATACATTCATCCAATATATTCGTCCGTCCATCCATCCATCCATCCATCCATCCATCCATCATCTTTCATCCATCCATCTACCATGCATGTATCCATCATCAATTTATTCATCATAGTCCTTGGTGATGGTTTTGAATAAGAAAATCCTCATTAATCTGAATAGGAATTGGTCCTGTCCTTGATCAAGCCCAGTAGGTTGGAACCTGGAAGCAGGACAGGTTCATAAGAGTGAGGACACATTGGAGCAACTATGGACACAGGCAAAGCCCTGCCTAGGGAAGTATAGTATTAATAGTTCCCTAAAACAACTGAAAATAGAATTCCACTTCTGGGTATATACCCAAAAATATTGAAAGCAAGATCTCAAAGAGATATTTGTATGTGCTCATAGCAGCATTACTCACAATAGCCAAAAGATGGAAGGATCCCAAATGTCCATAGATGAATAAATAAGTAAAATGTAGTATATGAATGCAATGAAATATTATTCAGCCTTCAAGGGAGAGAATTCTGACATATGCTACAATATACTTAAATCTTGAGGACGTTATTCTAAGTGAAACAAGCCCGTCATGAAAAGACAAATAATATATGATTCCACTTACATGAAGTCCTTTGAGGAGTCAAATACTTGGAGACAGAGTGCAGAATGGTTGTTGTCAGAGGTTGGTGGGGAGGGAAAATGAAAAATTATTACTTAATGGGGACACGATTTTTGTTTGGGGTGAAGAAAGTGTTTTGAAAATAGATCATGGTGATAGTTGCACAACAATGTAAATGCACTTAATACTACCAAATTGTACAGTTAAAAATAATGTAATTGGTAAATTTTATGTGATGTACATATTACCACAATTTTTTAAAGTTTAGCCTAGGACATCAAATGGCAAGAATTTTTGAGGAAAGAGTGGAGGGACATACAAACCTGTGTGGGGCACAATTACATAAGCAAGAGGGAAAAGCAGAAGGAAGACCAGTAGCTAAAGATGACTTTCCTGTTGACCTACATGAGCCACCAAACTGGATTTTTGATGTTACATGTTGCTCAGATCACGGTGGGTCTTAGAAACTGAGGTGAAAAGTCAAGAGTCAGTTTTGCACAGAGGAGACCATCGGGACAGAGAACCAGAAGCCTGTCATGCTGATCATCAGCCTCCCATGTCTCCCCATTCCCTGATGGTGCTAAATGCTTCCAAAGCCTTGGTTTAGAAATGGAAGCATTCTCATTTCTATTCAGGGGCCTGGAGGGATAAAAACTTGCTTTCCCATTTAGGCAGAAGGAACTCAATTTTGGTCTCCTCAAACATACAAAATAGATAGATTGACAGATGGATTGATGGATGGATAGATAAATAGATGATGGACAGATGAATGGGTGGGTGGATGGATGGATGGATGGGTGAGTGAGGTAGGTAGATGGCTGGCTGGCTGGCTGGCTGGATACCTGGCTTGCTGGCTGGCTGGCTGGCTGGCTAGATGGATGGACAAATGGAAAGATGGATAGAAAGATGGATGGGTGGATGGATGAATGAATAACAGACAGATGAATGAATGACAGACGGATGAATGAAAGGATGAATGATAGACGGATGAATGAAAGGATGGATGGAATGGTGAATGGGTGGATGAGTAGAGGGGTGAGTGGGTGAGTAGTGTGGGTGTGTGAATGAATGGACAGAATGATGAATAGTTGGATGGGTGGGTGAATGTGTGGGTGTGTGAGTAGCATGGATTAGTGAATGGATGGATGGATGGATGGAATGATGGACAAATTGGTGGTAGATGGATGGGTGGATGGATGAAATGATGAATGGATGGGTGAGTGGATGGGTGGGTGGGTGAGTAGCATGGGTTAGTGAATGGATGGATGGATGGATGGATGGAATGATGGACAAATTGGTGGTAGATGGATGGGTGGATGATGGATGAAATGATGAATGGATGGGTGAGTGGATGGGTGGCTGGATAGATGGGGAGATGAAAGGATGGATGGAATGATGAATAGATGGATGGATAGGTAGGAGGATGAGTGGCATGGATGTGTGGATGGATGAATGAAATGATGGATAGATGGGTAAGTGGATGGGTAACTGGGTGCATGGGTGGGTGGATAGATGGAATGATGGTTGGGTGGCTTGTTGGCTGGCTGGCTGGTTAGATGGATGGATGGATGGATGGATGGATGGATGGATGGATGGATGAATGGATGAGTGGGTGGATGGATGAATAGATGGATGGATGGTTAGATGGATTAATGGTTAAATGGAATGATGGTTGGTTGGGTGGCTGGTTGGCTGGCTGGCTGGCTGGCTAGATGAGTGAGTGGGTGGATGGATGGAATGATGTATGGATGGATGAGTGGGTGGATGGATAGGTAGATGGATGGGTGGGCGGATGGATGGAGGGAGGGATAGCTGGGCATATGGGTGGATGGATGGGTATATGGGTGTGTGGATGGGTGTGTGGATGGATGGATGGATGGATGAGAGGGTGGATGGATAGGTGGGTGGGTGGATGGATGGATGGATGGAGGGGTAGGTGGGCATGTGAGTAAATAGATGGATAGGTGGGCATGTGTATAGATGGTTGAATGGGTAGATGGATGTATAGATGGATAGGTGAGAGGGTGGGTGGATGGATGGATGGCTGGATGGATGGGTGAATAGATGACTGGCTGGATGGGTAGGGGGGTGGATGGATGGATGGGTGGGTGGATGGATGGATGGAGGGGTAGGTGGGCATGTGAGTAAATAGATGGGTGGGTGGATAGGTAGATGGATGGATGGATGGATAGGTAGGTGAGAGGGTGGGTGTATGTATGGATGGGTGGGTGGATAGATGGATGGATGGGTAAGTAGGTGGGTGGATGGATGGAATGATGGATGGATGGATGAATAAATGTGTGGGTGGATGCATGGCAGTTACAGTTGTGTGTGTGTGTATGTGTGTGTATGCACATGTACATTTATGCTTATAAAACAATGACAATGTGCAGAATTAAAATCTATGAGAAATCTAAAATTCCCCTCCTTTCCCTCATTTTTACTCCTTCTATTCCTTAGCATCTACCACAGCTGTAACAAAACTGAACAAATTTGGTTTGACCTCTTTTCATTGTGCCTCGTTTCTAAGTGACAAACAGAAAACATGACAAAACCCCCAAACATTAGCAAGGGAAGGTCAAGACAATGGACTGGACTCACCAGTGCCTTAAATGATTGGCCCCAGGGAATCCCGAGGTGACATTGCAAAGGCTTCTTCCAAGCTCCACATCAGACTCTCTCTCCACTTAGCAGCATTTAACCTACAAGCTAAGAAGATTCCATGCCATTAGTCTCTTAGCTGCACAAGCCCAGACTGGCTGAGTTCCTAACTGAAGAAGCTGGCATTTGTCTCCAAAATTGGCATTTGTCTCCACATTCATTTCCAAAATAGGTCATGCCTTTAGGATAAAAGGCTTAGAGGAAATAATGAGAAAGGGTGTAACCTCCAAACCGTTCTGCTGCTTCCTCCATGAGTCTATGTGCTCGGCAGGTACCTGGGCTGTTCCTTTCATGAGTTCTGTAATGCACCCTTGCAGGGGGCACCCGAAGGCACAAGTCTGCATTTTGTACTACTGCAACTTGCCCTTCCCATAGGAAGGTCACATTGTAACCCGTTACCCCCATTTTTCTTTTTTTCTTTTCTTTTTTTTTTTTTGAGACAGAGTCTCGCTCCGTCGCCCAGGCTGGAGTGCAGTGGCCTGATCTCGGCTCACTGCAAGCTCCGCCTCCCGGGTTCACGCCATTCTCCTGCCTCAGCCTCCGGAGTAGCTGGGACTACAGGCGCCCGCCACTACGCCCGGCTAATTTTTTGTATTTTTAGTAGAGACGGGGTTTCACCGTGTTAGCCAGGATGGTCTCGATCTCCTGACCTCGTGATCCACCTGTCTCGGCCTCCCAAAGTGCTGGGATTACAGACATGAGCCACCGCGCCCGGCCATTACCCCCATTTTCCTGAGAGAAAGAGAATGAGTTTTTAAAATTATTTTTTCCTCTTTTTTGTCTTTTCTCCTTTTCCCCTGTTCATCACTTCCTACTTAGCTCTTTAGAAATGCAATTATAGGGCTGGGCACGGTGGCTCACACCTGTAATCCCACCACTTTGGGAGGTCGAGTTGGGCGGATAACGAGATCAAGAGATGGAGACCATCCTGGCCAACATGGTGAAACCCCGTCTCTACCAAAAATACAAAAATTAGCCGGGGGTGGTGGCGGGCGCCTGTAATCCCAGCTACTCAGGAGGCTCAGGCAGGAGAATGGCGCGAACCCGGGAGGCGGAGCTTGCAGTGAGCCGAGATCAGGCCACTGCACTGCAGCCTGGGCGACAGAGCGAGACTCCGTCTAAAAAAAAAAAAGCCCCTACTTTCTGTGCCAGAAGCAAAGCAGTACTCTTAAGGCAGGAAGCATGTACTCCTTCCCCTAAGCTAGCTTTGGAATAAAAAGTCACTTTCTTTATCAGACCTCACTCTTGTTAATTGAACTCTGCCAGCAGTGAGTGACTGAACCTGAAATTCAGTTACAACACAGGGGCTGATATCACTATGGGATATCCCCTTAAATGGGAAAACGGCTTTAGTCCATTCAGCTGGACTTCAACCCAGAATTCACCCAAAATAAGGCCACAGACCTGGCCACACTCAATATATCCAATGCAAGGAATCATGACGACATTTCCAAGGCTGTCTAAATTTTTGTGCTTCTTACCTAGAATTCATTAATTCCCACAATCCAGGATATATTAAAAATTAATAGAGGCTGGGCACGGTGGCTCACGGCTGTAATCCCAGCACTTTGGGAGGCCCAGGCATGTGACTCACTTGGGGTTAGGAGTTCGAGACCAGCCTGGCCAACATGCTGAAACCCTGTCTCTACTAAAAAATACAAAAATTAGTTGAGCATGGTGGTGGGCACCTGTAATCCCAGCTACTTGGGAGGCTAAGGCAGGAGAATTGCTTGAACCTGGGAGGTGGAGGTTGCAGTGAGCTGAGATCATGCCACTGCGCTCCAGCCTGGGCGACAGAGCAAGATTCCATCTCAAAAAATAAAAATAAAAATAAGAGCAATAAATAAAAATTAATAGGGCCAGGCATGGTCGCTCATGCCTGTAATCCCAGCACTTTGGGAGGCTGAGGCAGGCAGATCACCTGAGGTCAGGAGTTTGAGACCAGCCTGGCCAACATGATGAAAATCTGTCTCTAATAAAAATACAAAAATTAGCAGGTGTATTGGAGTGCCTGCAATCCCAGCTACCCAGGAGGCTGAGGTGGGAGAATCTCTTGAACCCAAGAGGCAGAGGTTGCAGTGAGCTGAGATTGCACCACTGCACTCCAGCATGGGCAACAAAGCAAGACTGTCTCAAAAAAAAAAAAAAAAAAAAAAAAAAGATAGTATTCTGTCTTTCTTTTTTTTTTTCTCAGTGTTTCCCCAAAACTCCCAGGCAAATACCCCAGTGGATTTAGCTCAGAGGCAGAGAATAAAAGCATGTAGTTCTTTCTTGTGATCTTAGTGTGTTTGTCTTTGGGGAAAACAGAGTGAAACACTTTAAAATTACTGAGCACCAGAAAAGTATACTAATCATGAATGGGCACGAAAATCATGCTTCTCATGCATTTGCACGTCAAGATCAATTTATTATACTTGGCAAAAAGATGAGAAGAAAATAAGTGGGTTATTATTTATATAACCATCATCATTTTTTCCCATAGGATCTAATATTCAGAGTCCTATAATACATAGGGGGGTTTGTCTTTCAAAAAGAAAGAAGGAAGGGAGGGAAGGGGGGGACCTACCATTTATTAAGAAGCTTGTCTACATTAGGCAATAAATGAGCTTTTCCCAAATTCCCAAATGAAATCCATGTTAGTTTTATAATGCTGCTGTAAAAAATCACCACAAACGTATGTGCCTAACACAAACAAATGTATTACAGTTTTAGAGGTCAGAAGCCCCACACGAGGCTCATGGAGATAAAATTAAGGTGTCGACTGGGCACAGTGGTTCACACTGGTAATCCCAGCACTTTGGGAGGCTGAGGCAGGAGGATTGCTTGAGGCTAGGAGTTCACGACCAGCCTAGGCAATATGCAAGACTCCCTGTCTACAAAAAAATACTAAAAATTAGCTGAGTGTTGTGGTGCCTGCCTGTAGTCCCAGCTACTTGGGAGGGTGAGGTGGAAGGATCGCTTGAGCCCAGGAGCTCAAGGCTGCAGTGAGCCGTGATTGTAGCACTGTACTCCAGCCTGGGTGACAGAGAAAGTTTCTGTCTCTTATGAAACCCAGGAGTGCTGGTTCTTTCTGGAGGCTGTGGGGAGGATCCGATTCCTTGCCTTCTTTAGCTTCCAGCGTTTCCAAGCTCATGGCTCTCCCTCACTCGCATCTCAGCTTCCATTTTCATGTCTCCTTCTCCAACTTGGACCCTCCTGCCTCCCTCTTAGAAGGAGCCTGTGACGGCATTTAGGGCCAACCTGGGTCATCCAGGGGCATCTCCCATCTCAAGATCCTTAACCTCATCTCATCTGCAAAGTCCTCCTGACCGTGCAAGATCAGCTGTTCCCAGGTTCCAGGGATTCAGATGTGGACATCTTTGGGGAATCATTATTCTACCTATCACAGTAGCCTATATGCTTTTTCCCCCAAAACTCTCTGAAGTAACCACTGTTATCTCATCAGGCAAAAATTCTGAGACCCAGCCAAGTGAATTACTGTGGATAATATCACGTCAACTAGAAAGTGGCCCCAGGTAGTCAGACCATATGCTTTTTCTTTTTCCTTCAACTTTTATTTTAAGTCCGGGGGTATCAGTGCAGGCTGTGCAGGTTGTTTCAGAGGCAAACGTGGGCCATGCTGCTTTGTTGTTTTTCACTTTTTAATAATCGCCATTCCGACTGGCATGAGATAGCAACTCATTATGGTTTTCATGTACATTTCATTACCCAGGTATTGAGCCTGGCATCCATTAGCTATTCTTCCTGATGCTCTCCCTCCCCCTGCGCCCCCTTACAACAGGCCCCAGAGTGTGCTCTTCCCCACAATGTGTCCATGTGTTCTCATCGTTCATCTCCCAATTATAAGTGAGAACATGCAGTGTTTGGTTTTCTCTTCCTGTGTTAGTTTCCTGAGGATAACAGCTTCCAGCTTCATCCACATTCCTGCAAAGGACATAATCTCACTCCTTTTTATGGCTGCATAGTATTCCATGGTGTCTATGGACCACATTTTCTCTGTCCAGTCTACCACTGATGGTCATTTGGATTGATCCCGTGTTGTTGCTATCATGAATAGTGCTGCAGTGAACATACACGTCTATGTATCTTTATAATAGAGTAATTTACAGTCCTTTGAGTATATACCCAGCAATAGGATTGGTGGGTTAAATGATAGTTTTGCCTCTAGATCTTTGAGAAATCACCACACTCTCCCACAATGGTTGAACTAATTTACACTCCCACCAATAGTGTAAAAGCCTTCCTTTTCCTCTGCAACCTCACCAGCTTCTGTTGGTTTTTGACTTTTTAATAATTGCCATTCTGACTGGTGTGAGATGGTCTCTCATTGTGGTTTTGATTTGCATTCCTCTAATCAGACCATATCTTATCTTATTGTAAGTCCATCTTCTTGTTACAATGAGCTGCCTCCCAAAGTTCCTTCCAAAGATGTCCAATGTTACATCAGAAATGGGGTATTAAGTCACATCTTTATCATCACCCACCTTCAAGTGTAACTGAACTCATGAAGACGTATTCACTGAGCATCTGTGCTGGGTCACACTAACCACCCTCAGAGAGCTAGTCAAACAGAGCAATATCCTGCCACATATAATCAAATAGCAAATATATTCACTGAAGATATGGTGAATGACAAAAAAATGAGCCTGGGCAGCATAGTGAGATCCTACCTCTGCCAAAAAAGCAAATTTCAGTTAGCTGGGCATGGTGCCGCCCACCTGTGGTCCCAGCTATTTGGGAGGCTGAGGCAGGGGAATCTCAAGCCCAGGATTTCAAGGCTGCAGTGAGCCATGATTATACCACTGCACTCCAGCCTGAGCAACAGAGTGAGACCCCATGTCTGTAAAAAAAGAACCTCCCCCTCAAAAAAAGACACAAAATGTCAGTTAGACAGGATGGATAAGTTCAAGAAATCTATTTTATAGCATGATGACCACAGTAAATAACAATATATTTTATCGGCGGTGAATGGTGAAGACATTCACTGTTAAGTGAAAATTACTATGAGAGTAGATTTTAAATGTTCTCACCACGAAAACATAACTATGTTAGGGAATGTTAATTAGCTCAATTTAGCCATTCCACAGTGGATATATGTATCAAAACATCATAAATACATACAATATTTGATTTGTCAATTAAAAGAAGAATATGCCAATATAAATGTGTTTTAAAGTAAAAAAAAAAAAAAGAATATACAGAAGAAAAAAAGAATATAGAAATATGTAGAAAAGAAGGCCAGGAGCTGTGGCTCCTGCCTGTAATCCCAGCACTTTAGGAGACTGAGGAAGGTGGATCACTTGAGGTCGGGAGTTCGAGACCAGCCTGGCCAACATGGTGAAATCCCATCTCTACTAAAAATACAAAAATTAGCCGGGTGTGGTGGTGGGCGCCTGTAATCCCAGCTACTTGGGAGGCTGAGGCAGGAGAATTGCTTGAACCCAGGAGGCAGAAGTTGCAGTGAGCCAAGATCGCACCACTGCACTCCAGCCTGGGCAACAGAGTGAGGCTCCATCTCAAAAAAAGAAATATGTAGAAAAGAAATATTGAAAAGAATAAATATAATAATGTATTTAAGCAAAATAACTGAAACAAATAATTTACAAGCCAGGTGCTGGTCCCAACTATTCAGGAGACTGAGGCAGGAGGATCCTTTGAGCCCAGGAATTTGAGCTCAGCCTGGGCAGCATAGCAAGAACCCATCTCTAAAAAAGAAAAAGATGAAGAATTTACAATTCTTACATCTACATTGTTTTTGTTTTGTTTTGTTTGAGATGGAGTTTTGCTCTGTCACCCAGGCTGGAGTGCGATGGCACCATCTTAGCTCACTTCATCCTCTGCCTCCCAAGTTCAAGGGATTCTCCTACTTCAGCCTCCTGAGTAGCTGGGACTACAGGTGCCCGCCACCACGCCTGGCTAATTTTTGTATTTTTAGTAGAGATGGGATTTCACCATGTTGGCCAGGCTGGTCTCGAACTCCCGACCTCAAGTGATCCACCTTCCTCAGTCTCCTAAAGTGCTGGGATTACAGGCATGAGCCACCATGCCTGGCCCAACAATTCCTACATCTACATTGTTGAATGGGGCAGTGACAGGGAAACCAGCTGTAGCCCAATTCAAGATTGGATTGCTCAAATTGGGAGGCATCATCAGCATAATGAGTTGGAAACACCAAGTATACGAGTTTCCCATTGCTGCTGTTACAAATTCTCACACACTTAGTGACTTAACACAATCAATGGACTATCTTACAGTTCTGTAAGTCAGAAGTTCAGAATGGGTCTTACAGGCTGTATTAGTCTGTTCTCACATTGCTAAAAAGAACTACGTGAGACTGGCTAATTTATAAAGAAGAGAGGTTTAATTGATTCACGGTTCTGCAGGCTGTACAGGAGGCATGGCTGGGGAGGCCTAGGGAAACTTACAATCATGGCAGAAGGCGAAGAGGAAGGAGGCACATTCTGTATGGCTGGAGAAGGAAGAAGAGAGCAAAGGTGGAGGTGCCACACACTTTTAAACAACCAGATCTTGTGTGAACTCGCTCACTATCATGAGAACAGCAAGGGGGAAAAATGCCCTTATGATTCAACCACCTCCCACCAGGCCCCTCGTCCAACACCATGGATTACCATTCAACAGCCGACTTGGGTGGCAATATGGTTTGGCTGTGTCCCCACCCAAATCTCATCTTGAACTGTAGTTCCCATAATCTCCAGGTGTCATGGGAGGGAGCCAGTGGGAGGTAATTGAATCATGGGGGCAGTTACCTCCATGCTGTTCTCATGATAGCGAGTGACTTCTCATGAGATCTGATGCTTTTATAAGGGACTTTGCCCCGCTTCACTCTGCACTTCTCCTGGCCGTCGCCACGTGAAGGATGTGTTTGCTTCTCCTTCCACCATGATTGTAAGTTTCCTGAAGCCCCCAGCCATGCTGACCTGTGAGTCAATTAAACATCTTTCCTTTATAAATTACCCAGTCTTGGGTATGTCTTTATTAGCAGTGTGAGAAGGAACTGATACAGGTGGGGACAAAAATTCACATCACATCATAGGCTGAAACCAAGATGTTGGCAAAACTGGTTCTTTCTGGAAGCTCTAGGGGTAAAATTAATTTCCTTAGCTTTCCCATATTCTGGAAACCACCCACATTCCTTGGCTCACGGCCCCTTCCTTTATCTCCAAAGCACATCATTCCACCTCTGCTTCCATCCTCATGTCTTCGTCTCTGACTCTGACCTCCTACTTCCCTCTTATAAGGATGCCTGTGATGACATTGGACATATGTGGATTATCCACGATCATCCCCCAATCTCAATATCCTTAACTTTGTCACAACTGCAAAGTCCCTTTGACTATGTAAGGGAATGTAGCCACTAGTTCCAGGGATTAGGGTATGGATGTCCTTCAGTAACATTATTCTGCCAACATCACCAAGCTTCTGTGTGGAAGTCCCCTCTCTATGGGGGTAATGCTTCTAGCCCTTGGTCAAGGACCACAGAATGCCTCTCACTAGTTTCTTCCTGCATCTCCACCTTCCCACGAAGAGCCAATTTCCATCAGCAGTGATGACACAGAAGCTATCTCGCTGCTTTTGAACTCTCCACCACGCAATTCCAAGCTCTCAAAAATTCTTGCTTCGTTTTAACGTAGCAAACTCAGCTGTTATTTTTGACAACACAGAAATGAAATCAATTGACCTGTGTTGTTTAATCATTTAATCAAATTTTAAAGTGGATAATATACCTTTTTTGGGGGTGGGGGACAAGGTCTTGCTCTGTCACCCAGGCTGGAGTGCAGTGGTGTGATCATAGCTCACTGCAGCCGTGACTTCCTGAGATCCTTCCACCTCAACCTCCCAACTAGCTGGGACCACAGGTACACACCACCATGCCCTGCTAAATTTTGTATTTTTACAAAAATTACACATGGAACTTTGTCAGAGTCTAAATTTTAAAATTAATTTTAAATTAAAATTAAATTTTAAATTAAATTTAAAGTTGTCATCTAAGTTGTTATTAAAAGTTAAAAAATAACAGATGCTGGCAAAGCTGAGAGAAAAGAGGACATTTATAGACTGTTGGTGGGAGTGTAAATTAGTTCAGCCACTGTGGAAATCAGTCTGGACATTTCCCAAAGGACTTAAAACACAACCACCACTTGACCCCACAATCTCACTACTGGGTATATACACAAAGGAATATAAATCATTCTACCATAAAGACACATGCACATGTATGTTCATTGCAGCACTATTCACAATAGCAAAGATATGGAATCAACCAAAATGCCCATAAATGACAGATTGGATAAAGAAAACATGGTACATACACACCATGGAATGTTATGCAGCCATGAAAAAGAAGGAAATCACATCCTTTGCTGCGACATGGATGTAGCTGGAGGCCATTATCCTAAGCAAATTAATGCAGGATCTGAATACTAAATACTGCATGTTCTCACTTCTAACTGGGAACTAAACATTGAGTTCACATGGACACAAAGAAGGGTATGATAGACACTAGGGCCTACTTGAGGGTGGAGGGTAGGAGGAGAATGAAGATTGAAAAACTACCTATCCAGTATTATGCTGATTACCTGGGCAATAAAATCGTCTGTACACCAAAGCTCCACAGCATGCAATTTACCCATGCAACAAACCTGCACATGTACCCCTTGAACCGGAAATAAAAGTTGGAAAGAAAAAATAATAGGCCAGGCGCGGTGGTTCATGCCTGTAATCCCAGCGCTTTGGGAGGCCGAGGCGGGCGGATCACCTGAGGTCATGAGTTTGAGACCAGCCTGACAAACATGGTGAAACCCTGTCTCTACTAAAACTACAAAAATGAACCAGGCATGGTGGCAGGCGCCTGTAATCCCAGCTACTCGGGAGGCTGAGGCAGGAGAATCACTTGAACCCAGGAGCCGAGATCACGCCACTGTACTCCAGCCTGGGCGACAGAGCGAGACTCTGTCACAAAAAAGAAAAGAATACTTCTTTTTTAATTTAATTTTATTTACTTATTTATTTATTTTAGAGACACGGTCTCCACTCTGTCACCCAAGCTGGAATGCAGTGGTGCAATCACAGCTCACTGAACTCTTGAACTCCTGGGCTGAAGTTTTCTCCCACCTCACCCACCCGAGTAGCTGGGACCACAGGCACATACCATCATACACAAAACCAATTTTAATTTTTTTGTAGAGACAGGGTCTTACTGTGTTACCCAGACTGGTCTCAAACTCCTAGCCTCTGGCGATGCTCCTACCTCAGCCTCTAAAACTCTGGGATTACAGATGTGAGCCACCATGACTGGCCTCTAATTTTAAATGTAGTTTTTATTCTTTTTATTCTTGTCAAAGTGATACATGTATAAAGCTCAAAAGATGAAGCCAAACCTTAAGCTTATGTCTTGCCCTCAAGGTTCACTCCTATTTTTTTTCTGGGATCTACTTTATATTTTGAAATAACATATTTGCCCAGAAATCTCTTGTGTTTCTTAACTTTAGATGGTATCTATTAACTTTCTGTTTGTAGGATGATGGCTTTTCGTTTTTTGCCCAATCACCATTCCCTCAAGTGCCTGCACACATACACACACACACACACACACACACACACACATTTCCTTTCTATTCAGCTTCCTGATATGGCTACATCACCAATGTTTACTAAATGAATACCCAAACTTACATTATGTGAGTTCTCTAAATACTGAGATGTGCCTAACTTCCCTTCCTTGTATACATTCTTGAATTTCCTAAGCTTGCTAGCTGTTCATGGTTTGCCTTCTAAAATTCTTTTCACAGACTTATTACGAGACTGAAAATCCCTTCCAAATACCGTTAACACCTAAGGTAGTCACATCATGATGGTGAACACAGCCTCCTGGGACCCTACAACTTCCTTCTCCAACCTGGATTCAAGGCTTTCTAAGACACCCCCAGAGCTACTGTCCCCAGGACATCCCGTTTCCAAACAGCCTGGGTTTGTAGCCTGGATTGCTTCTTGTGGTATCTTGATCAGATAAGTCTGCGTCTCTGCAGCTCAGTTTCCATGACTGGTTGGAAAATGAGAATAATAATAGTCACGTGCATTAAATGTGATCGTGGTTGTAAAATGTTAAGGCTAGCTCCCTACTCACTGTGTGCAGGATGTTATTTTTATGGTCATCCTGAAAATTCCCCCCAAATTTCTTCACGTTAGCTGCATCAGTTCCTGAATTCCATGTCTCCCTCATGCTCAAATTGCCCTCATTTCCTCAAATCCAGTTTTCTAAGACATTACCAGCAAGAGTGCATGGGGGTTACCGTTAAGAGGCATTCTGCAGCTACGTGAGCTCCAGCCTTCATGCTCAGTCCCTCATGTGGCATGGCTGGGTTGTGTATGCAATCCTAGACATTTCCCCCCAAAATGGTGAAGGCATCACTGTTACTATTGAGCTTCCAGTGCTGCTGAGCCTGAGGCAAAGTCGAATCCCTTTTTTATTTTTTCTCAACCCTTTGCATCTCTCTCTCTCTCATTTTCTTTTTTTTTTTTTTTAGACGGAGTCTTGCTCTGTCCCCCAGGCTGGAGTGCATTGGCACGATCTCGGCTCACTGCAAGCTCTGCCTCCCGAGTTCAGATGATTTTCCTGCCTCAACCTCCCGAGTAGCTGGGATTACAGGCACACACCACCACTCCCGGCTAATTTTTGTATTTTTAGTAGAGATGGGGTTTCACCATGTTGGCCAGGCTGGTCTTGAACTCCTGACTTCAAATGATCCACCCACCTCGGCCTCCCAAAGTGCCTGGATTACAGGCGTGAGCCACTGTGCCCGGCCTCTCATTTTCTCTCTCATTCTCTCTTTCTCTCTCTTATTCTCTCTTTCATTCTCTTTCTCTCTCCCACTCTGTTTCTCTCATTCTCCCTCCCAGTCTCTCCGTCTCTCTTCTTTTGCATAATTCTGTCATTCTCTTTCTCTCTCATTCTCTCTCCCACAATCTCTCTCTTTCTCTCCCTCTTCTTTCCCTCTCTCTTTTTGCATGACTCTGTCATTCTCTCTCATTCTTTCTCCCACTCAGTTTTCTCTCTTTTTGCATGACTCTGTCACTCTCTCTCTCTGTCATTCTCTCGCTCTGTGTCTTTCTCCCTCCGCCTCCCCAGCCCCCACTATTCTAGAGTCTTTTCTCTTCCCCCTTCACACACTGAAATGTCACAACAATGCGAGCCATTTTCCTCCCAGTCTCATGGAGACCCAGAAACTTAGAGGTTCTCCTATATTTGAGTAAAACATTCTCATTTCAGGCTGAGCGCGGTGGCTCACACCTGTAATCCCAGCACTTTGAGAGGCCAAGCGGGGGCAGGTCTCTTGAGTCCAAAGTTTGAGACCAGCCTGGGCAACATGGCAAAACCCTGTCTCTACTAAAAATACAAAAAGAATTTGCCTGATGAGGGGCTGCATACCCATGGACCCAGCTACTCAGGGGGCTGAGGTGGGAGGATCACTTGAGCCTGGGAGGTCAAGGCTGCAGTGAGACATGATTGCACCATTGCACTCCAGCCTCGGCAACAGAGCAAGACCCTGTCTCAAGAAAAAGAGAAAAAATATCATTCTCATTTCAAGCCATTTATCCCCTCTTTTCTCACACATAGAAGCAAGCTTGGTTTCATTTCTCTAATTTTCGATGTAGCATGTTTAAGCAGTAGGAGAGATACCTGGACCTCTAGATGCTAATTAACATTGGCATTGATGAGACACGTCTGCCTACTTAATGAACACGTTCTGATCGCTCCTGTTTTGAGGCAGTATGCTGAGAGTCAGAAATAAAAAGGCTGAGGGAAACATTATATTCTCCTTTCCAGATGATATAGTCTAATGGGAAATGCAGGTTTATGAACAAATAACCAGGACTTACTGTTAGACATAGTACATAGCACATAGCAAATTTAACAAAATAGTTTATCTTTGCTGTGTGTTTGTGTGTGTGTGTGTGTGTGTGTGTGCACGCGCGCATGGGTGTCTGTCTCTCTTTTTCCCCCTCAGCAGACAAAAGACGAGGATGACCTTTAGAAGGCTTGGAGGCAGATGGATGCTGCGGTGTGAATGTGTGTGACCCCCAAAATTCCTATGTTGAAATGCTAACCCCCAAAGTCATGAGGTTAGGAGGTGGGACCTTTGGGAGGTGCTGATGTCATGAGGGTGGGGCCTCATGAATGGGATCAGTGCCCTTAGAAAAGGGACCCCAGAAAGCTCCCTCACCCTTTCCACCATGTGAGGACACAGTGAGAAGGTGCCATCTATGAACCAGGAAGCCCTCACCAGACACTGAATCTGCCACACCTTGCTCCTGGACCTCCAGCCTCCAGAACCATGAGCAATAAACATCTGTTGTCTACAAGCCTCCCAGCCCAAATGGACTAGGACTCTAAGCTAGCAGTAACTGTCATGGCAGGCAGGACGGAGATGGAGGCAATGAACTCATGGCAATACACAGGACAACCCAACAAGAAGTCCCAGAAATCTTAACCATCTCAGGAATGGGAGACAGCAGGTGGCTCTCAAGGTGCAGACACAGGCGGGGCTGGAGACAGGAGCTTTGCACAGCAGTGCTTGTCAGAAGAATTCTCCTCCTACTCCTTGCAGCCAGATGAACACATCTCGACAACTTGGACAAACTTACTTGTAATTTTAACCAGTGATGAATAAGCAAAGATCTAGATTCATGGACGCCGGAGAGAGCTGAGAGTAAAGGTGAGATAATGTGCCAGAAAAAATAAGATTAAGAAAAAGTCTGACACTCCCAAATATGTACCCCAAAGAAATAAAAGCAGTGAGATGCAAAACAGTACATACGCACTCATGTTCATAGCAGGGACTGAGTAGCACACTACAGTGTTCACTACACCAGGGATGCTCTCTCTCTACATATATGTTTTTGTTTTTTTTTGAGACAGGGTCTCACTCTGTTGCTCAGGCTGAAATATAGTAGCACGATCACAGGTCACCGCAGCGTCAACCCCCCAGGTTCAAGCAATCCTCCTACCACTCACTCCCAAATAGCTGAGACTACAGGTGTGCTGCACCGTACCTGGCTATTTTTTGTATGTTTTTTAGAGACAAGGTTTCACTATGTTACCCAGGCTGGTCTCAAACGTCTGAGCTCAAACAATCTGCCCACCTTGGTCCCTCAAAGTGCTGGGATTACAGGCATGAGCCACCGCACCCAGCCCATGTTCTATCTTTTATTTATTTATTTATTTATTTGAGACTGAGTCTCACTCTATGGCCCCAGCTGGAGTGCACTGGCATGATCTCAGCACATGGCAACCTCTGCCTCCTGGGTTCAAGCGATTCTCATGCCTCAGCCTCCCGAGTAGCTGGGATTACAGGCGTACACCACCACACCTGGTTAACTTTTGTATTTTTGGTAGAGATGGGGTTTCACCATGTTGGCCAGGATGGTCTCGAACTCCTGACCTCAAGTGATCCACCCGCCCCAGCCTCCCAAAGTGCTGGGATTACAGGCGTGAGCCACTGTGCCCAGCCTATTTATTTATTTACCTTTTATTTTAGGTTTGGGTGTACATGGAAAGGTTTGTTAATCAGTAAACATGTGTCACAGGGGTTTGCTGTACAGATTATTTCATCACCCAGGTACTAAGCCCAGCACCCAATGGTGATCTTTTCTCTCCTCTCCCTCCTCCCACCCGCCCCGCTCAAGTAGACCCCAGCGTCTGTTGTTTCTTTCTTTGTGTTCATGAGTTCTTGTCATTTAGCTCCCAGCTCTATATTTTTCACCAACGGAACCAGAAAGCTTTTCTGAGTAATTAATTGCATGATGACCTCAGCAATATCTAAGAAAAATGATTCTGGAAGCTGTGGTGGGGGGTGGGGTTGACGCTTTAAAGAGAAAGCTACAGGAAGGGTATGGCAAGTCTGTGGTCATGGGCTGAAGTAGTCCTGGGCAGGAGATGAATGACAGAGATAGACAGGAAAGTCTCCACCATGATGGTGCTGATAAAAGCAAAGTCAAGAGGATGTGGTGACCGATTCTGCATTGTAAAAAACAAGAGGAAGATAAAGATGACGTCCAAATTAGTGCCTGAGAGGACTAAACAGAATATGTACGTAAGAGATATATATATATATATATATATATATATATATAGATAGATAGAGAGAGAGAGAGAGAGAGAGAGAAAGTGTGAAAGAGAGAACGAAGACGATTAGATTGGGGGGTGGTGTAGAAATGAATTCACTTTTTATTACTTTTACTCTATAAAATGCATTTTAGACTCTGAAATTTTACAAGGAAATAGTAAGAATTAAGGAAGTCTTTAAAGTGCCACTTGAAAATCATGTTATATTGCAAGTACTACACTGGCTTTAATATTCAAGACTCTCATTTCTTTTTTTTTTTTTTTTTTTTTTGAGACAGAGTCTCACTCTGTCGCCCAGGCTGGAATGCAGTGGCCCAATCTCAGCTCACTGCAACCCCTGCCTCCCAGGTTCAAGCAATTCTCCTGCCTCAGGCTCTACCTCAGATTACAGGCATGCGCCACCACGCCTGGCTAATTTTTGTATTTTTAGTAGAGATGGGGTTTCACCATATTGGTCAGGCTGGTAAGACTCTCATTTTTTTTTTTTTTTTTTTTTGAGATGCGGTCTCACCCTGTAGCACAGGCTGGAGTGCAGTGGCTGGATCATGGGTCACTGCAGCCTTTAGCCCCCTGCTCAAGAGATCTTCCCACCTCCATCTCCCGAGTAGCTGGGACCACAGGCACATGCCACCATGCCCAGCTCGTTTTTGTATTTTTTTGTAGAAATCGGGTCTCACTATGTTGCCCAGGCTGGTCTCAAACTCCCGGGCTCGAGCAGTCATCTCACCTTAGCCTCCTAAATTTCTGGGATTATAGACATCAGCCACCGTGTCCAGCTAAGACTCTCATTTCTTACCAAGACCTGATAGTATGTCTTATTTGGGTTATTAGTTGAATTTTAGGTTATTTCATTAAGTACATGAAAATAATTAAAATGGATGACCAGGTGCAGTGGCTCACATCTGTAATCTCAGCACTTTGGGAGGCTGAAGTGGGTACATTGCTTGAGCCTAGGAGTTCAAGATCAGCCTGGGCAATATAGCAAGACCCCATTTCTACAAAAATATTTTTTAAATAGCCAGGTGTGGTGGTGCATGCCTGTAGTCCCAGCTACTCAGGAGGCTGAAGTGGGAGGACCATCTGTGCCCAGGAGACAGAGGCTGCATTGAGCCGTGATGGCACCACCGCACTCCAGCCTGGGTGACAGAGTGAGACCCTGTCTCAAAAATAAATAAAATAAATGGACTCATAAAATAAGTTGTTTTCATTCTTAAAAGGACAAGATATTTTAAAATAGCTTCACATGACATGAAGTCCACTTGTCTTCTTGAGTAGAGAAAGTTAACACCTTTGAGGGATGTCCACTGGTATCTAGGATGTGTTGCGTCACAAAACAGGGTGGGAAAATGTAAACAAAAACAAAAACAAAAAAACAAGCTGGTTCTCAACAGTCCTACCACTGACTGTAATTTTGAGGTTATTTTCTTCATGGATATCTTTGTTCCTGGTCTGTTCCAGTTCTGAAATTCTGATTGACTTCTTGACGCAATCACATGACATCAAAATTGCTGAAAAAGTCCCATCACTACAGTGTGAGTAAATCAGCTGGTAGAATTATTTTCTTTTCCTTTCACTCATGGGTGAGTATATCGTATTTTGTACAGTTCAAGAATAATAGAACGAACACCTACATAAATGCAATTTAAATCAAAACATGCATCCCATACCTCAAAAGGGCCTTGTGTGCCTCTCTCAACCCAGAATTTATGTTAACCACTTATGTTATTCATCAATTTGTTTTATATATAGTTTAGTGATGTGTCTCATCTCTACACTGTATATTATGTTGTCTGTGTGTGTTTTTGTTTTGTGCTGTTTTTTAGAGACAGGGTCTCACTGTGTTCCCCAGCCTGGAGTACAATAGTGCGATCATGGCTCACGGCAGCCTCAAAGTCGTGGGCTCAAGCGATCCTCCCATTGCAGCCTCTCAAGTAGCTGGGACTACAGGTAGCACCACCATGCCAGGATAATATTTTTATTTGTATATATTTGTAGCATTCATTTTTAAAAAAATTTATTCATCATGAGTAAGATTGAGCATCTTTTCACATGTTTGAGTCACTTTTTTTTTGAGACAGTCTCGCTCTGTTGCCCAGGCTGGAGCGCAGTGGCACTATCTCGGCTCACTGCAACCTCTGCCTCCCGGGTTCAAGCGATTCTCCTGCCTCAGCCTCCCGAGTAGCTGGGATTACAGGTGTGCACCACCACGCCCGGCTAATTTTATTTTTGTTTTTGTAGAGACAGGGTGTCATTACGTAGCCCAGGCTGGTCTTGAACTCCTGGACTCAAGCAATAATCTCGCCTCAGCTTCCCAAAGTGCTGGGATTATAGGCATGAGCTGCTCCCGGCCTGTGTTTTTTTTTTTGTCTTTGTTGTTGTTGTTTTTCAACCTCTGATATATTACTTTATTTTTATTTTTATTTATTCTACTTTAAGTTCTAGGGTACACGTGCACAACGTGCAGGTTTGTTACATATGTATACATTTTTAGTAGATTTTATTTTTTAGAGCAGTTTTAGATTGACAGCAAAATTGAGAGGAAGGTACAGAGAGTTCCATGGACCCCCTACCCTGAACATGCATCACCTCCCCTGCTGTCTGTGGCAGCTGATGAACCGGCATTGACACATCATTGACACCAGAGCCCATCGTTCACTTTCGGGTTCACACTTGGTGGCGGACGTTCTGTGGGTTTGGGTAAATGTATAATAGCATGGATATACCACTATAGTGTCACGCAGAGGAGTTTCACTACACTAAAAATCCTCTGTACTCCGCCTATTCATTCCCACATCCTGGCAACCACTGATCTTTTTACTGTCTCATAGTTTTGCCTTTTCCAGAAAGTCCTATAGTTAGAATCGCATGTAGCCCTTTTGGATTGTCTTCTTTCAATTAGTAATATGTCCGGCTTATAGCTCATTTCTTTTCTCTTTTCTTCTTTTTCCTTTGTTTCTTTTTTTTTCTCTTTTTTTTTTTTTTTTTTTTTTGAGACAGGGTCTCACTCCATTGCCCAGGCTGGAGTGCAGTGGTGCAATCATAGCTCACTGCAGCCTTGACCTCCTACGCTTAAGCAATCCTCTCACCTCAGCCTCCTGAGTAGCTGGGACTACAGGTGCACACCACCACATTTTAAAATGTTTTATAAAAACAGGATCTCACTACGTTGCCCAGGCTGGTCTCGAGCGCCTGGGCTCAAGGGATTCTCCCTTGGCCTCCCAAAGTGCTGGGACTACAGGCACAAGCCACCACATCTGACCCTTATTTCTTTATATATATATTTTTTATTATTTTTTTCTCATTCTTGCTGTCATCTTACTCTTTTTTTTTTTTTTTTTTTTTTGACATGGAGTCTCGTTCTGTCACCCAGGCTAGAGTGCAGTGGCATGATCTTGGCTCACTGCAACCTCCACCTCCTGGGTTCAAGCGATTCTCCTGCCTCAGCCTCCTGAGTAGCTGGGACCACAGGTGCCCACCACCATGCCTGGCTAATTTTTGTATTTTTAGTAGAGACGGGGTTTCACCACATTGGCCAGGCTGGTCTCAAACTCCTGACCTTGTGATCCTCCCACCTCAGCCTCCCAAAGTGTTGGGATTACAGGCGTGAGCCACCATGCCCGGCCTGTTTTTTGTTTGTTTTTGTTTTTGTTTTTTGAGACAGAGTCTCACTCTGTCAGCCAGGCCTGGGGTGCAGTGGTGCGATCTAGGCTCACTGCAACCTCCGCCTCCCTGGTTCCAGCGATTCTCCTGCCTCAGCCTCCTGAATAGCTGGGATTACAGGCACACGCCACCATGCTGGCTAATTTTTGTATTTTTAGTAGAGATGGGGTTTTGCCATGTTGTCCAGGCTGGTCTCAAATTCCTGACATCAGGTGATCTGCCTGCCTCGGCCTCCCAAAGTGCTGGGATTACAGGCGTGAGCCACTGCACCCAGCCTCTTCTTTCTTTTTAATGCTGAATGATATCCCATTATCTGGATGCAACATGGTCTATTTGTCTATTCACCTACTGAAAGACGTCTTCCTTGCCTCCAAGTTTTGACAATTATAAATAAGGCTGTTGTAAACATCCATGTGCAGGTTTTCGCGTGGACACAAGTTTTCAATTCTTTTGGGTAACCATTGAGAGTGATTGCTGGATCATATGCCAGGACATATTTAGTTTTGTAAGAAACAGCCAAACTGTCTTCCAAAGTGACTGTACCATTTTGCATTCCCACCAGCCATGAATGGTCATTCCTGTTGCTCCACGACCTCATCAGCTTTTGGTGATGTCAGTGTTCTGGCTTTTGGCCATTCTCACAGATGTGTATTGGTATCTCATTGTTGTTTTAATTTGCATTTCCCCACTTTGCTTGTTTCCAATCTCTATATAATCATAATGACATTGTATGGAGTTTTTTTCAAGCTATTTCCTTCACCATTGTTTCAAGAATTACACCACTGAAGTAGGTAGCTGTGTTTCTGTTGTTCTTTGCTGCATATTGTTCCATGATCTGAATATCCCACATTTTTTTAAACATCATGAACATTTGGATTGTTTCTCATTGATATGGTTTGGCTGTGTCTCCACTCAAATCTCATCTTGAATTGTAGCTCCCATAATTCCCACATGTTGTGGGAGGGACCCGATGGGAGATAATTGAATCATGGAGGCAGTTTCCCCCATACCGTTCTCATCGTAATGAATAAGTCTCAAGAGATCTCATGGTTTTATAAGGAAAAAGCCTTTCACTTGGCTCTCATTCTCTCTTGCTTGCCACCATATATGACGTGCCTTTTGCCTTCTGCCAAGATTGTGAGGCCTCCCCAACCATGTGGAACTGTGAGTCCATTAAACCTCTTTTTCTTTATAAATTACCCAGTCTTAGGCATGTCTTTATCTGCAATGTGGAAATGGACTAATACACCCATCTTGTAATACTATAAGCAATGACATCATAAGCAATTTAATTTCATGTATATTTCCTATTACACATTTGTACAAGATTTTCTATGGTAAGAAACCAGAGTGGAACTGCTGTGTCATTGGCACATCCTCATCTTTACTAAGTAATTCTACATGGTTTTTCAAAGCAGCAGTAATATTTTCCACATCTACCAGCAGAGTATACATATTCCAGTGCATCTCTGTCTGCTCAGCTTTGGTACTGGGAGATAGCAACTGTGGTTTTAACTTTCCTTCCCTGACTACTACTGAAGCTGAGCAGCTTTCATTTGTTTATTTGTAATTTAGATTTCCTCTTCTGAATGTTCTTCCTTGACTTGTTCTTGATTTTTTTTTTTTTTTTTGAGACAGGTCTCACTCTCTCACCCAGGCTAGAGTGCAGTGGCATGATCATAGCTCACTGTAGCCTCGACCTCCCAAGTTCAAGCAATCCTCCCACCTCAGCCTTTCAAGTAGCTGGGACTTCAGGTATAAGCCACCACACCCAGCTAATTTTTGTATTTTTTGTAGAGATGGGGCCTCACTATGTTGCCCAGGTTGGTCTCAAACCCCTAGGCTCAAGCAACCCACCCACCTCAGCCTCCCAAAGTGCTGGGATTACAAGCGTGAGCCACCACACCCAACTTGTTCTTGACTTTAAGGAGACCACTTTTAATATCCCACTCTTTAGTATGACATACATTTTTCCGTAGAAAGCTTTTATCAGATTAAGGAAGTTTGTATTTATTCCTAGTTTGTTAAATCCTGAATGGGTGTTCAGTTTTATCACAGCTACTTTCTGTATCAATTGATACAAGAAATATTTTGTTTCCATTTTGTTTTCTTTTCTCCTTTAATCTGTAAATATTTAAAGTACAATCATAGATTGTCTATTGTTGAAACTTGCCTAACATTTGTACCTCACAAAGAGTGAGATTGGTCTATAATTTCTTTTCCCATGCTTTCTTTGTTGAGTTTGCTGAGTTTGAATATCAAAATATTCTTGGCCTCAAAATAGTTTGCATATGTTGCTTCTTTGTGTTTTGTCTGCTGGAGCTTAAATAATACTTGAATTTACTGCTGCCTGATAATACCAGTTAGGTCTAGCATTTTCTTAGTGAGAAGCTTTTTAACCACTCATTCAATGTATTAAATTTCTACAATACCATTTGGATATTCTATATCTACTTGAGTCAGTTTGGTTAAATATATTGTTCTATGAATGTGTCCATTGTGTACGAAGTTTTTAAACACATTGCGATAGTTATTCCTAATATCATCTTATTTTTTTTATAAACTCTGCTACATCTGGAGTTATATTTCTTTTTTCTTCATAATGTTATTCATTGGCATATTCTGTTTTTTTTGTGTGTATGATGGAGCTTTGCTCTTGTTGCCCAGGCTAGAGTGCAATGGCGTGACCTCTGCTCACTGCAACCTCCACCTCCTGGGTTCAAGTGATTCTCCTGCCTCAGCCTCCTGAGAAGCTGGGATTAGGTGCCTGCCACCACGCCGGGCTAATTTTTTTCTATTTTTAGTAGAGACAGGGTTTCACCATTTTGGCCAGACTGGTCTTTTTATCTGCAATCTTACCAGATTTTATTCATTCTACTCTTTTTATTGTAGTTTATTTTTAACTTGATTATAAATTAAAATTTGATTTAAAGTAAAATGAAGTTTATTAAAATTAAATGTTAATAAAAAATAAAAAGCTAATTGTATTTAAAATACATAAAATAAAAAAACTAGTTAATGTACTACAAATAAGTAATTAAATATAATTCAACTAATTTTATTTAAATGAACATTTAAAAGAAGCAATTAAATGCTTAAATGCTTTTTAACACTTAAAAGAGGCGATTCTACTAAAATTAATTTCACTAAAATTAAAAAGATTTCTAACTTCAGCTACTTCCATCTTCTCTCATTTTCTTCTCTAATTTGTGAATTCTACTGGTTTTCACTTATTTCCTTCTACTGTTCTGGGTAATTCTGCTGTTCCTTTTCTAACTTCTTGAGTGGGACGCTTAGCATACTTTTCTGTGCCATTTCTTCTCCTTTAGGATAAGCGTGTTACTGAAGTTTTCAAGTACCTCTAGTGACGCATCCGCTGCATCCCGCGGCTTCTGAGCTGCGCATTTGAGTTCCAAGGAGTCATGAAGGCAGCTTGAAAACGTTTTCTTGGGAAACCGAAACTGTCTGTGTCAATGCAATGGGCGCTGGGCGTAAAAGAGAAAACTTCTCCATGTGGGAAGGCTACTCTGTTCTCCTCCATTCTCTGCAGTGAATTTGGAAAGAACTGACATTTTGTCTACTTTTAGGAAAGTATCCATGCACTGGAGAGCTGGAAGCAAGAGCGAGATGCCCCCAGATCCTAAACAGGGAATCCAGCCATTTGCTGAAGACAAAAACAGGCACGTGGAAATGAGTCCCTTTGACCCTGTACTCAAAGTATCTCCAACCACATGGGTAAAAGACCAAACATGGCACAAACAGTCCCATGTGGGAAGACCGCCCCAAGGGGCAGAAGTCACCAGGCCTGCATTTTTGCACGTGGTTTAGACTATTCTCTGACTGTTCCCCCTGCATCCCAGGCTCTTCTGCGCAGAGGAGGGGGTGCATGGCCTGTGCTGGCTTGGAGGAGGAGGGGGCTGGGGCAGAGAGCCCTGGGGAAGGGCTATAGGCAGAGAACATCAACTCAAAGGTGGTAGGTACCCAGGTCTGCTCTCCCCGAGGGAGAGAAGTGGGAGGGTCTTGCCAGCCTGAGAACACACCGGCTTTGTCTTTTTGGCAGAACAAAGACTTCTTTCGGAGAAGACTGACTGAGTGGCCTAATTCCTTCTCATCTGTGTGTGCAGCTGGCCCTCAATATCCTCAGGGAGTTGGTTCTCGGACTTCCACTGATATCAAAATCCAAGGATGCTCAAGCCCCTTGTAGCAAACGATGCAGTATCTGCATATCACCCAGGCATATCCTCCCATACACTTTAAGCCATCTCTACTTATAATACCTAATACAGTGTAATTGTTTTGTCAATTGTTGAGACACAGTATCATTTTTCTGTTTGTTTATTTAGAGACAGGGTCTCACTGTCACCCAGGCTGGAGTGCAGTGACACCATCATAGCTCACTGCAGCCTCCAACTCGTGGACTCAAATGATCCTCCCCACTCAGCCTCCTGAGTAGCTGGGACTACAGCCACACATCACTACTTGTAGCTAATTTTTTTAAATTTAATTTTTGTACAGACAGGGTCTCACTATGTTCTCATGCCTCAGCTTCCCAAGCACCTGGGATTGCAGGTGTGTGCCACCATGCCTGGCTAATTTTTTTTGTGCGTGTATATTTTTAGTAGAGATGGGGTTTTGCTATGTTGGCCAGGCTGGCCTCGAACTCATAACCTCAAGTGATCTGCCCACCCCGGCCTCCCAAAGAGCTGGGATTACAGGCATGAGCCACCCCGCCTGGCCAACTTCAGGATTTTAAAGAATAGCATCATGGATTTCTACTTCCCCTTGACACAGCCCTACATTCACTTCTCATCCTCAACTCTCCAGCCCTCCGCTCCGTGAAGGCCAATCCTGGTGATCTGCTGGGACTGAAGCCTTTTCCCATCACATGGCTGAGATGACCTAGAATGTAAAATTGCCAAACGTGCCCTCAGCCATCTCCATGGGATCTGCAGCTTGCCCGATAGCTGGCCTCCAGCAACTCCATGGAGGACCTGGGACTCCAGTTCCCACTATATTCTGAATCTCTGCTGTATGCAGTGGTGCACGCCTGTAATCCCAGCACTTTGGGAGGCTGAGGCAGGGGGATTGCTTGAGCACAGGTATTCGAGGCTGCAGTGAGCTGTGATCGCATCACTGCACTCCAGCCTGGGAGACAGAGGGAGACCCTATTTCAAAAAAAAAAAATCTGAGTCTGACTCTTTTGTGGAAAATGAACTCTTATCATCCTTTGCCTTTTTAACTTCCTCATGTCTTGTGAGTAGTTTGTCTCTGCAACTGTCTTCCTTAATATCTGTCCTTAGCATCACTCACAAAGACACCCGCAAATGCCCTCTCTCCTTTCTACACCTCTAACTTTCACAAGCAGTTCCACCTGGAGGAAGCCCCATCTCCAGTTCTACAAATGATTCAAACTCTCTGCCTTTTGTGCAAATGAGCTGTATGCATTTCTCACGGCTGCCTTCACCAAGTACCACAGGCTGGGTGAGCTCCACCTCAGAAACTTACTGTTCTTACAGTTCTGGAGGCCAGAAGAAGTCTGAGATCAAAGTGTCGGTGGGGTTGGTTCCTTCTGAAGGTGTGGCCCAGCACAGTAAGGCCAAACATCTACACCAAGGTTTGCAGCGTGAGAAAGGAGGGCATGTATTTGTAGGGTACCAAGCAAGGAGAATCATGCAGCTCATGCTTAAGACCTGACCTCCTAGCTGGGCAAGGCAGCTCATGCCTGTAATTCCAGCACTTTGGGAGGCCAAGGTGGGTGGATCACTTGAGCCGAGGAGTTTAAGACTAGCCTGGGCAAAATACTAAGACCCTGTCTCTACAAATCATTAAAGAATTAGCTGAGCGTGGTGGTACACTCCTGTAGTCCCAGGTCCTCAGTAGGGTGAAGCAAGAGGACCACTTGAGCCTGGGAGGTTGGGGCTGTGGTGAGCTGTGATGGCACCACTGCACTCCAGCCTGGGCAAAAGAGCAAGACTCTGTCTCAAAAAAAAAAAAAAAAAAAAAAAAAAGGCCGGGCACGGTGACTCACGCCTGTAATCCCAGCACTTTGGGAGGCTGAGGTGGGTGGATCACGAGGTCAGGAGATCGAGACCATCCTGGCTAACAAGGTGAAACCCTGTCTCTACTAATCTACTAAAAATACAAAAACAAAGTAGCCGGGAGTGGTGACGGGCGCCTGTAGTCCCAGCTACTCGGGAGGCCGAGGCAGGAGAATGGCGTGAACCCAGGAGACGGAGCTTGCAGTGAGCCAAGACCGCGCCACTGAACTCCAGCCTGGGGGAGAGAGCGAGACTCCATCTCAAAAAAAAAAAACAGCCCCACCCTCCCCCAATGGATTACAGGTGAGGGTTTTTCAAGGTGGGAGGCAGAGGTTACAGGCAAAGTTATAAAGCAATATAGGGAGGTTATATAGTGGTTTGACCTAAAAAGGCAGAACATCTCGAAGCAAGGGGGACCCGCAGGACATAGGTAGATTCAAAGATTCTCTGATTTGTGATGGGTTAAGGAAGGGAAGCTTTGTTTAAAAGTCTAGAGACAAAAGAAAAAAACTGTTAGCTCTGGTCTGTGGGCATGACCTCCTCCAGGCCCCTCAGGAAGGAATTTAGAACAAAGTACATTGGTCAGAGTTCAGTCCTCAGTTCCCCTTACCTGAGGTCCGTGCCAGCAGATCCGATTGGTGGGGTCTGGGTTCCTGAAAAACAGCTCGGGGACGTATGCTAAGATGCTATCTTTCGTTCCCATAGAAAGCCAAGCATCTCATGACTCTAGCTTCCTCGGCTGTTGTTTTAAGCTACCATTACCTTTTTACTTACCGAGTTGCTCATTGACTTCTCGTGGCCATCCAGGTGCCTGGAATTTTCTTTGAAGGAACTCAAGATTTGTCTTTACTTCCATGCTTCATGGGCCCTCAGGCCCTTACAAAGGGAGAACCTGCTCCATCCCACTGTCAGAGGCATTTGAACCATCTTGAGTAGCCGCTGGGTAAAATAAGGCTGAGACCTACTGGGTGGCATTCCCAGGAGGCTAGGCATTCTTAGTCACAGGATGAGACAGGAGGTCGGCACAAGATACAGGTTATAAAGACCTTGCGGATAAAATGGCATGCAGTAAAGAAGCCGGCCAAATCCCACCGAAACCAAGATGGTGACAAGAGTGACCTCTGGTCATCCTCATGGCTCATTATACACTAATAATAATACATTAGCACACTAAAAGACACTCCCACCAGCAGCACGACAGTTGACAAATGCCATGGCAATGAGACAGTCAAGTATAAAGCGGTCCCCGGAGAAACTCCAACCACTGTGCGGGCACTGGGAAAATGGGCTGGAGCCACGGAGTTCACGCCCTTTGCAGCGGGGAGGAGACTGGCCTCTTCTGTTTCAGGTGGAATCCAGGATTCAATCTGTGAGGGGGAGACCAGCTAGCGGGGACTCTCGCTTTGCTGAGAGTCCCTGTTTCTCTTTTTTTCCTTTTTGCCCAATAAATTCCATTTTTCTCACTCTTCAAAATGTCTGCGAGCCTAATCATGGCCATGTGGCAAGAACCTGGCTTTTATCTGAACTAAGGAGAAAGTCCTGCAACAGCAATACCTGGAAGTTACCTTATATGGTCTAAAAAGGGGAGGAACCCTCAGTTCTGGGAATTGCCCATCCCTTTCCTGGAAAACTCATGAATAATCCACCCCTTGTTTAGCGTATAATCAAGAAATAACTGTAAGGACCTAGCTACTCAGGAGGCTGAGGTGGGAGAATCTCTTGAGCCTGGGAGGCAGAGGTCGTAGTGAGCCGAGATCATGCCACTGCACCCCAGCCTGGGCAACAGAGCAAGAAAGACCCTGTCTCAAAAAAAATCAAAAACACGAAATACACAGGTGCTTACGCCGGGCATGGTAGCCCATGCCTGTAATCCCAGCACTTTGGGAGGCAGAGGCGGGTGGATCAGCTGAGGTCAGGAGTTCAAGACCAGCCTGGCCAATATGAAGAAACCCCGTCTCTACTAAAAATACAAAAATTAGCTGGGCATGGTGGCGAGCACCTGTAGTCCCAGCTACTCGGGAGGCTGAGGCAGGAAAATCGCTTGAACTCGGGAGGTGGAGGTTGCGGTGAGTCAAGATTGCACCACTGCACTCCAGCCTGGGTGACAAAGTGAGACTTCGTCTAAAAAAAAAAAATGTTCACCTAATCTTTTACAGACCATCCCCCTCTTTGTGAACTGTACCTGCCCTTGGGCCTTCTGCATCTCTTAGGCTTGTTAAACACTGGACATGCTGTTTATATCCCCCGTGACATAAGGCTTAGCACAAAATGAAAGGAACCATTTTTGTGGGTACCATTTCTTAGGTGCCTCATGTGAATAGAATCCTGCAGTATTTGTCTTTCCGTGCCTGGCTTCCTTCTCTCAGCACAAGGTTCTCATGGTTCAGTCGTGTGGTTGCATTTCTTAGGATTTCCTTTTATTTATTTATTTTTGAGCCAGAGTTTCACTTTTGCCCAGGCTGGAGTGAAGTGGCGTGATCTTGGCTCACTGCACCCTCCGCCCCCCAGGTTCAAGTAATTCTCCTGCCTCAGCCTCCTGAGTACCTGGGATTAAAGGCGCACGCCACCTCGCCCAGCTAATTTTTTTGTATTTTTAGTAGAGATGGGGTTTCACCATGTTGGCCAGGCTGGTCTCAAACTCCTGACCTCAGGTGATCCACCCACCTCGGCCTCCCAAAGTGCTGGGATTACAGGCGTGAGCCACAGTGCCTGGCCAATTTCCTTTCATTTTAAATGCTGAATAAGATTCTATTATATGTATACATCATATTTCCATTGTCTTAATTAATAGCTGTTTGTCAGAATTTATGATTTTCAGATAGATTGAACATTATTCTCATTTATTTGGATTAGAGCAATTATTCACAACTGGGGGTGATTTTGCCCCAGGGGGCCTCTGTCAGTGTCTGGAGACATTTTGATTGTCACAACTATGGAAGGGGGGGCGCGGCTACCTGAATCTGGTGGGTAGATCTCAGGGATGTTGGTCAAGAGAATAACAAGGGGGCTACTGTGACCAGGATCGCCGCGCCACAGAGACCCCCCAACAACCCCAAATGTCCACAGTGCTGAGGTTGTGAGATCCTGGATTATGAGATAGTGATTTCACAAGCGGGGAAGTTAGTGCCACATGTAAGGAGGCGAGCTGTCCGAAATTCCTCTGTTTTCACTTCTCTTGGCTAAATGTTGTATTTTAGATCTTCTTGTCCAAAGATAAAAATGTTTGTGTAATTTTCTCTATCACTTGCCAGAGAATGTAGACAACAGTTGAATCAGAAAATGCCTTTTTAAAGATTTTATTTTCGAGAAACAATCTTGCTCTGTCACCCAGGCTGGAATGCAGTGGCATGGTCTCGGTTCTCTGCAACCTTCGCCTCCCGGGTTCAAGTGATTCTCTTGCCTCAGCCTCCCGAGTAGCTGGGATTACAGCCTCGCCACCATGCCTGGCTAATTTTTTATATTTTTAGTAGAGACCGGGTTTTGCCATGTTGGCCAGGCTGGTCTCCAACTCCTGGACTCAAGTGATCCACTCACCTAGGCCTCCCAATGCTGAGATTACAGGCATGAGCCACCGCGCCCAGCCAGAAAATGCCTTTTAAATGGAAAATACAAAACACTTAAAGCTTTAATTTTTGTGTGTGTGTGTGTGTCAGGGAGACTTAAGAATTTGAATTCTTAAGCTTATACAATTTATATATGTGTATGTATGCATATATATATATATACATACATATATTTTGCTTGATTTTAAAGAATTTTATGTGACTCAGCTATCCAGGATATACTTTAGGGAACACATTTGGGTTTTCAAATATGTCTTGTAATATTGATAAGTGTGTCTGGAGTAAATCTCATGAATGTATTTCCATATGTAAAAATAAATGACCATGCTCCCTTAAAGAAATCACAGAATGACTAGGTGCGGTGGCTCATGCCTGTAATCCTAGCACTTTGGGAGGCTGAGGCAGGCGGATCCACCTGAGGTCAGGAGTTTGAGACCATCCTGGCCAACATGGTGAAACCCCGTCTCTACTAAAATACAAAACTTAGCCGGGCGTGGTGGTGGGCGCCTGTAGTCCCAGCTACTCGGGAGGCTGAGTCAGGAGAATCACTTGAACCCAGGAGGCAGAGGTTGCAGTGAGCTGAGATCACGCTGCTGCACTCCAGCCTGGGCGACAGAGTGAGAGTCTGTCTCAAAAAAAAAAAAAAAAAAGAAAGCAATCACAGAATATCTGGGAAATGATTGAGTGACTGCTGGAGGACCAGCCATTTCAGGAAAATGAAGAGGATAACGACGAAACCCTGGGTTAAATTGATAATAAATTTCAATTCCACCTTTGTTTTTGAGAGAGAGTCCCCCTCTGTTGCCCAGGCTGGAGTGCAGTCGCACAATCTCAGCTCACTGCAACCTCTGCCTCCCGGATTCAAGCGATTCTCCTGCCTCAGCCTCCCGGGTAGCTGGGATTACAGGCGTGCACCATTACGCCTGGCTAATTTTTGTAGTTTTAGTAGAGACAGGATTTCACCATGTTGGCCAGACTGGTCTTGAACTCCTGACCTCAAGTAATCTTCCTGCCACGGCCTCCCAAAGCGCTGGGATTACAGGCGTGAGCCACCGTGCCCGGCCTCAATTCCATCTTATTAAATCAAAGAGGGAGTATTCATTGTGGCTGTCAATTCCATATTTATGATACCACTTGCCTCATTTACTCCTATCTTAGGGCCAGGTGCAGTGGCTCATGCCTGTGATCTTAACACTCTGGGAGGCCGAGGTGGGAGGGTTGCTTGAGCCCAAGAATTCAAATCCATCCAGGACAACACAACGAGATTCCAATTCTATAAAGTTTTTGTTTGTTTGTTTTGTTGTTGTTGTTGTTGTTTTTATTAGCCAGGCATGGTGGCAAGTGCCCATAGTTCTATCTACTTGGGAGGCTGAGCCTGGGAGGTCAAGGCTTCAGTGAGCCATGATTGCACCACTGCACTCCAGCCTGGGCAACACAGTGAGACCTTATCTCTTAAAAAAAAAATTAAATTACTCTTGCTTTAATAAAAGTTGGCTTATGAAGTACAGATGATAATTGTACATTGTTTCAACATTTGAATTACTTTATTAACATTATCCATATAATGACCACAATTCATTTCTGAACTTGTAAGCCTTCTTTTTTTTCTTTTCAAGACTATGCTTAAATCGGGTATTAATTTAATGCAGATAGCAATGTTGTTTTATTCATAGCATTTGTGGATGCTTCTCAATTGGCTTTATGTCAGTATGTTGAAAGAATTTTCAGGTCAATGAAAATCAGACGAGTTAGAGGAGAGATCCTAAATTGTTCCAACGGCATCTCTCCAAGATAAGAAATGGCATGAGTAATAGTAAGAGCCAGTGACGTTCACTGAACCTCAGCACCCAGCTGGGTGGAACTGGACAAATTACTCACAATCAGGTCTGGTTGTTCTGACAAGATCAGAGGTCCGTGCAACGAATATTGTTTCTCCCCTCACTGCGATCTTCATTGCTCAGTTAAAGCACATGCAAGCGCACACTCATGAACGAGAACATTGACGTGACTAAATGCTAAGGAGTGAATCAGCTCAAATATCTTTAAACATTAAGCAAAACAATTCAGCAGCATGGTCTACATATTTTGAGAAACAATCTTATCTTGCTTTGCCTAATGTTAAACCGTCTATTTATACAAAGTAATTTTCTCTTTGAGGCAAGATTACTTTGGAGAGAATTGTTATATTAGAGAGAGGATGTTGGGAGTTTAGAAGCTGCTGCTCCTGGAGAAAAGCTGTGTTTGCTGATTCCTTCCCCAAGAAACTAAGATGTTCTTAGTTATTCTGGTAACATTTTAAAGATGTATTGAAATGAGCTTAAGAAGGCTTTAGAAGAATCAAGCCTACTGTTTGTCTTCCTGGATTTGTCTAAGAATGCCTTGCAAATGCCAGCAACCCCAACATTTGTAAAATTGTTGTAACGTTACCTAAACATGCGCAAACAAAAATAGGTGAAAACTCCTTAGATTTATACAGCCTTTACAACTTAAAAAACCCCACAAACACAGCATTCTTTTTTCCCCACTGTGGTTTCAACAATGGATTTCTTGCTATATTATTTTCCATGCAAATATAATTTCAGTTTCCCTCAGTGGAGTCTCTTTCCTGGGGTAAAAAGAAAACTTGAGACAAGTTTTATAAAACATGCTGGTTTGTGGTCTCTAGCATTATAGATTATAGATTGTTACAGAATCCACATCTTATTACAAAATTTACCGCTCTGAAAATAATATTGGGTCCTTTCTCGGGAACAAGAATTACTGTATCTCTCACCCTCATAAAAATTTATATATGGCTCTATTTGCCTTTTAATTGATCTCTTTTATTTATCTATTTATTTTTATTTTTTAGAGATGAAATCTTGTTCTGTTGCCCAACCTGGAGTGCAGTGGTGCCATCATAGCTTACTGCAGCCTGGAACTCTTGGGCTCAAGCAATCCTCCCACTTCGCCTCCCCAGTAGCTGTGACTACAGGTGCACCATCATGCCAGCTAATTTTTCTATTTTTTGTAGAGATGGGGTCTTGTTATATTGCCTGGGCTGGTCTTGAACTGCTGACTTCAGGCAATTCTCCCTCTAGAAGCGCTGGGACTATAGGTTCATGCCATCATGCCTGGCTAATTTGATCTTTTCAGACTTGTTTTTCTTCCAAAGATCTGTGCCAAGCTCATCAGTAAGGATGTAGCTCATTTATAGCAGGCGTGAGTCTCTCAGAAGGAAAAGCTTGCAATTTGTCGACTCTCTTATTTTTCTTTCAAAATAGGAGGCGATCCAGCTCTCATCACAGTTAATGAAAAATGTCGGGCCTGGCGCAGTGGCTCAAGCCTGTTATCCCAGCACTTTGGGAGGCTGAGGGGGGTGGATCACCTGAGGTCAGGAGTTCAAGACCAGCCTGGCCAACATGGTGAAACCCCGTCTCTACTAAAAATACAAAAATTAGCTGGGGATGGTGGTGCGTGCCTGTAATCCCAGCTACTCAGGAGGCTGAGGCAGGAGAATCACTTGAATCTGGGAGGTGGAAGTTGCAGTGAGACAAGATGGTGCCACTGCACTCCAGCCTAGGTGACAGAATGAGACACTTTTTTTTTTTTTTTGAGACGGAGTTTCGTTCTTGTTGCCCAGGCTGGAGTGGAATGGCACGATCTTGGCTCACTGAAACCTCCACTTTCCGGGTTCAAGTGATTCTCCTGCCTCAGCCTCCCAAGTAGCTGGGATTACAGGCACCCGCCACCACGCCCAGCTAATTTTTTTTTTGTAGTTTTAGTAGAGACGGGGTTTCACCATGTTGGCCAGGCTAGTCTCGAACTCCGACCTCAAATGATCTGCCCACCTCGGCCTCCCAAAGTGCTGGGATTACAAGCATGAGCCACCGTGCCCAGCCTTGTGATACCCCTATCTTTACAAAAAATACAAAAATTAGCCAGGCATGGTGGTGTGCACTTGTAGTCCCAGCTACTCAAGAGGCTGAGGCAGGAGGATTGCTTGAGCCCGAGAGGTGGAGGCTGCTGTGAATCATGTTGCACTACTGCACTCCAGCCTGGGCAACAGAGTGAGAACCTGTCTCAAAACACAAATAAATAAAAGAAATAAATTAAAAGGGAAATACAGCCATATATAAATATTTACGGAGGGTGAGAAATGCAGTAATTGTTGCTCCTGAGAAAGGTCCCAACATTATTTTTACAGCTGTATATTTTGCAAGATGTGGATTCTATAACAATCTTTAATCTATAATGCTAGAGACCACTAACCAACATATTTTATAAAACTTGTCTCAAGCTTGTCTTTGTACACCAGGAAAGAGACTCCATTGAGGGAAACAGATTATATTTGCATAGAAAATAATATAGCAAGAAATCCATTTTCTTTTTTTTTGAGATGGAGTCTCACTCCTGTAGTGCAGGCTGGAGTGCAATGGCACGATCTCGGCTCACTGCAGCCTCTGCCTCCTGGGTTCAAGCGATTCTCCTGCCTCAGCCTCCTGAGTAGCTGGGATGACAGGCACGCGTCACCACGCCCGGCTAATTTTTGTATTTTTAGTGGAGACAGGGTTTCACCATGTTGGCCAGGATGGTCTCAATCTCTCTTGACCTTGTGATCCACCAGCCTTGCCCTCCCAAAGTGCTGGGATTACAGGTGTGAGCCACCATGCCCGGCCTTAATGGTTTGTTTTTTAAAATTATTATTATTTTTTTTTAACATTTTAAAAATTTTTTGTGGGTACATAGTAGGTATATATATTTACAGGGTATATGCGATGTTTTGATACAGGCATGCAATACGTAATAGGCACATCACGGATGATGCAGTCTCCAGCCCCTCAAGCCTTTATCCTTTGTGCGTGCGTACGTGTGTTTAATTTTTAGAGATAGGGTCTTGCTCTGTCATTCAGGCTGTAGTGCAGTAGTACAATCACGGTTCACTGCAGCCTCGACTTCCTGAGCACAAGTGATCATCCCATCTCAGCCTCCCAAGTAGTTGGGACTACTGGCACACGCCACCACGCCCAGGTAATTTCTAAACTTTGTATAGACACAGAGTCTTGCTGTGTTGCTCAGATTGGTCTCAAACTCTTGGCCTCAAGCCTTCCTCTTGTCTGGGCCTCCCAAAGTGCTGGGATTACAGCACCTGGCCCCAACTTGACCTTTGTTTGTAGAACTACTCAGAAAATACGGCTGAATTGGAAATTGGGTGGTGCCAAGTGAACCCCACTCAATCCTTCTGTCGCCTTCTCTTTTGGGAAACTACTTCATTCTTTTGCCAGGGAACGGCTCTGAAAACAGAAGCTTGCATTCTAAGGTGTTATCCCTTTTTCCCAGGCCAGTTTTCTGTGGGGCCTTCACTCTACACCCAACAGAGGATTTCAGAAACACTGTATGGCAACTCTTACAAAGACACTTATCTGCCAGCGTCCAGGAAACAAATCCTGCCCAGTCACAAACTGACACAAATCCCAGTGAATCAAAAGGTTCACTTCCTTTTGGAAGGGAGGGGGCTTTAGCTTTCCTTCCCCAGCCCTACATTCAAACCAAGGTGAGATAAAGCATTAAATAGCTCAGATTACCTTCTAAGCACAGAGCTGGGCATGGTCTTCAAAATCAGTCAAGTTTTTTGTTCTTTTTTTTTTTTTTTTTGAGACAGAGTCTCACTCTGTCACCCAGGCTGGAGTGCAGGGGCACGATTTCAGCTCACTGCAGCCTCTGCCTCCTGGGTTCAAGTGATTCTCCTGCCTCAGCCCCCCGGGTAGCTGGGATTACAGGCATGCGCCATCATGCCTGGCTGATTTTTGTATTTTTAGTAGAGACAGAGTTTCACCATGTTGGCCAGGCTGGCCTCGAACTCCTGACCTCAAGTGATCCTCCCACCTCGGCCTCCCAAAGTGCTGGAATTACAGGCATGAGCCACCGTGGCCAGCCTTAACTTACATTTTTAAAGTCCATATATTTATGTAGTACTTTATGATTTTATTTTTAAACATACATTTGACCTATCGGGAGTTTATTTTGGGGCTAGGTGTGATGGCTTACACTTGTAATCCCAGCACTTTGGGAGGGTAAGGCAGGAGGATTGCTTGAGGCCAGGAGTTTGAGACCAGCTTGGGCAACATAGTGAGACCCTGTCTCTATTTAAAAAAATAACTAATAAAAACCCTTTATTTTGATATAAGGGGCAAAGAAGGAACCTGGCTTATATTTTAAAAAAATGTAACTCACTAGGCTGGGTGCGGTGGCTCACGCCTGTAATCCCAGCACTTTGGGAGGCCGAGGCAGGGGGATCATGAGGTCAGGAGATCGAGATCATCCTGGCTAACACGGTGAAACCCCATCTGTACTAAAAATACAAAAAATTAGCTGGGCGTGGTGGCGGGCGCCTGTAGTCCCAGCTACTCGGGAGGCTGAGGCAGGAGCATGGTGTGAACCCGGGAGGCAGAGCTTGCAGTGAGCCGAGATTGCACCACTGCACTCCAGCCTGGGCGACAGAGCGAGACCCTGTCTCAAAAAAAAAAAAAAAAGTAACTCACTATGCAGCTGTCTGAATACCATCTGTTTGGAAACATTTGTTCTTTCTAAGGCTTAAAAATGTCACGTGCTTGCTGGATGACTTCCGGACTCCAATGTAACGTATTTCTCAATCTCTTTCCAATATAAAACTATCTTCAGGGCCGGGTGCAGTGGCTCACGCCTGTAATCCCAGCACTTTGGGAGGCCAAGGTGGGTGGATCATGAGGTCAGGAGCTCGAGACCCGCTTGGCCAATATGGTGAAACCCTGACTCTCCTAAAAAATACAAAAATTAGCTGGGCATGGTGGCGCACACCTGTGGTCCCAGCTACCTGGGAGGCTGAAGCAGAAGAATCGCTTGAACCCAGGAGGCGGAGGTTGCAGTGAGCCGAGATTGCGCAAGCACACTCCAGCCTGGGCGACAGAGCAAGACTCCATCTCAAATAAAATAAAATAGAATAAAATAAAATAAAACTATCTTCAAAACTCTGGCTTTGTCAGGAAAAAGGCTAGTTCCCATCTGATGACAAGTATTTTTTTTTTTTTCAAAATTTTACGATTCTGTGTCTCATATTGATTCTCCCAGATAAACTTTAACTTCACTTGGCCAAGTTCCCACATTCACTTTGACGGGGAGGATGCCACATGGAATCAGCCGGAAAGAATGAGCTGAAGTACATGTTTTCCTCCAAGGTCAGGGTATTTGTTTTTCCTATGCCCTTCAGCAGTTTTCAGGTTTCCTTTGTATTAGCCTCGTACCGATAAGTATTGATGACTAGCTGGACAGGACCTGTGAAACACTGTGATTCATGGATGAGACACAGTACATATCCTCTTATCGCTCCCCTAGAAAATGAGATAAATTACAGAATCACAGCAATTTAGCAAGTCCTAAGATAACTCTAACCCCATCCATCACTTTACACACACTGGTTTCCAAATCTCTCAATTGGTATCTTTTATGAAATCATCTATCGTGTGTTCTGAAGTCTGTTTCATCATTACAAGAAAATTATTCATGTTTGTAGTCAAGAAGGAGAATCACATTAAAAATGAAGATTCTAGTAACTCCGTCTGCCACACTTTTTACATTTTCTCATCATTTTACATTATATTTTTATATCTGTAAGATTGGAGTGTATTATAAAATTTGGATTGCTGCCTATATGTCTTAAAATGTAACCATAGTTTTCTCACTCTGTTCCTGTTTATGAAGAGTTTGAAGATTTCCTCACATAAACAAACCAGCGTAAATGCACGCCTTCTCGTATTTTAAGGTGCTGAAGGTATTGCCTTGTCCCACTGCTAAATTTGACTGGCTTTAAAAAACAAACAAACAAACAAATAAACTGTGTTGAATAATGGGTAACTAGGCTGGGCATGGTGGCTCATACCTGTCATCTGAACACTTCGTGAGGTATAGGTGGGAGGATCACTTGAGTCCAGGAGATCTAGACCAGCCTGGGCAACATGGCAAGATCTCATCTCTACTAAAAATTTTTCAAAGTTAGCCAGGCATGGTGGTGCATGTTTGTAGTCCCACTTACTCAGGAGGCTGAGGTGGAAGGATTGCTTGAGCCCAGGAGTTAGAGGCTGTAGTGAGCTATAACTGCGGCACTGCACTCAAGCCTGGGCGATAGAGTGAGACCCTGTCTCAAATAAATAAATAAATAGGTAATTATAACCATGAAGCTTTTGCTGCACTGTGGAATTTAGTTTTGAAAAACAAATTCCTAGCTATAGAACGAGTGGACCAACACATATAATCATTTCTAACACTCTAAGGCTTTGCCCTAATTAACATTACAACCAAAAGTATATAAGAATTCTGTCATCATTATGGAACACTTTATCTTCCTAGTATTCGGTAGATTAAAAATAAACAAACAACTGCCACATTTGTTCTTAGTTGCATTTCTTTGACGGTTCTCTCTCTGCCTCTTTCCCTCCCTCCCTCCCTTCCTTCCTTCCTTCCTTCCTCCCTTCCTTCCTTTTTTTCTTTCACAGGGTCTTGCTCTGTCTCCCAGGCTGGAGTGCAGTGGTGCAATCATGGCTCACCGCAGTCTTGACCTCCTGGGCCCAAGTGATCCTCCTACCTCAACCTCCCGAGTAGGTGATACTATAGGCACACACCACCACACCCAGCTAATTCTTTTCATTTTTATTTTTTGTAGAAATGGGATCTTGCTATGTCACCGAGGCTGGTCTCAAATTCCAAGGCTCAGGCGATCCTCCCACTTTGACCTCCTAAAATGTTGAGATCATAAGCGTGAGCCGCTATGCCTGGCCCAGTCTGGCCTTTCATCTCATGCACTATGTAAGCTTGCTGTAAACGTATTTTCATTTTGTTTTATATTTCAACAACTGTCTTGACATTTTTAGGTAGTCATATCTATTAATCTTTACCCCTGTAGTTCGATCGCTATGAAGCTTAGAAAGTTCTTTGGAGCCCACCAGGGACTGGGCTTGTTTCAAGTTTGATTTATGTCCCCAATTTCAATTTAATACTTCTGGTATTTATTTCAGTTTCTTTTCTTGTGATGTCTTTGTGGTATTTTTAATTACGGTGCAAGGTGAGAATCAAAATCAGCTTTTTTTCCCAAAAATAGTGAGTGATTGAAACTCCTTTGTTACTTATTATGCTTAGAGACATAATGTGACTTGATGTGTTATAATTTTTCTCACGTTACTGTGTTGCACTTTGTGTTACCTGCAAGCTTCAGGGAATAGCCCAAAGCCCATCAGCAGAAAGAGAAGTAAAAGGATCTAATTCAGGCCGGGCATGGTGGCTTATACCTATAATCCCAGCACTTTGGGAGGCCAAGGCAGGAGAATCGCTTGAGTTCACAAGTTTGAGACCAGCCTGGGAAACATAGCGAGAGCCCTTAAGACCAGCCTGGGAAACATAGCAAGAGCCCATCTCTATAAAAAACTAGCCAGGCGTGGTGGCGTGCACCTGTAATCCCAACCTACTTGCGAGGTCGAGGTGGGAGAGTCGCTTGAGCCTAGGAGTCTGAGGCTGCAGTGGGCCATGATCACACCACTGCCCTTTAGCCTGGGTGACAGAACAAGACTCCATCTCTTCCAAATAATAAATGAATAAAAAAGGATCCGACGCAAGTGAATTCCAAATAACAAGGCCAGTGTCGTATCTTATAGGATACAGGAGAGTTGGTTAAGAGTTTTCACACACGTTTTTGCTTTCCCACACGTTTTTGCTTTCCCACATTGACATTATAGGGATCTAAATATTTAAAGGAAACCTCATTAACATATTACAGAACACAGCGATGGGTGTCCATGGTTATCTTACTCTCTTTTTCTTTTTAAATGGAGATGGGTCTCACTATGTTGCCCAGGCTGGTCTCAAACTCTTGGCCTCAAGTGATCCTCCCATCTCAGTTTCCCAAATCGCTGGGATTATAGGCAAGCGCAACCACATCCAGCTAATTGAAAAAAAATTTTTTTTGTAGAGATGGGGTCTTGGTATGTTGCCAAGGCTAGTCTCAAACTCCTAGGCTCAAGCAATCCTCTCGCCTCGGCCTCCCAAAGTGCTGGGATTACAGGTGTGAGCCACTGCAACAACCTCTGATGAATTCACTCTGAAGTCATCTTGCTTACTGACTTGCTTCCATACACATCATTTCTATTATTCTTCGAGTGAAATGTTACCTGTGACGTTCAAATCTGGAAATCCAGTTAAACAATAACATGAACACATCCCATTAGCTTCCCTTTTGAAGGAAGGATTTTTCTTTCTGGTGCTTTTGTTTACCGCTTTGGAAACATTATTCACCTGCATTCCTTCAATACCATAGTTTGCATTTTCCATAAACTTTACCAGTATCCCAGAAATAAAAACTATCATGTGTCTCTTGGATGAGGAGTAAACGCAGCCCATTCTAATTACAGGCTCATCTAGGCGTTTCCTAATGAATGGTTACCAGCGAAGACAACGAGGACATCCTCAAGGCTTTCTATTGGATTTTCTTTGGAATCGCTCAAGAAAAGCCTCCAAATAAACAGGCATGTTTAGAAACATTATTTTTAGAAGTCGGCGCTTGATACATGAACAAAATCGCTTTGATTGCATTCTACGTTTGCAGATTTTTAAAACTTAGTTTGTAGAAAGAGTGGCTTAGGGTTTTATGTTGTGAATTTTAACTAAATGACGTTCTGTCCAACTATAATATTTGGCCACCCAGGGATGAATTAATCCCTATAAACCCATTGAGAATTCAAGACCCTCTAACTTGGGAACTGAGTATAATACACATGTGGAAAATTTCATTTCACTCAGAAGTCCTATAATTTTTCATTTTTTCAAAAGTTGGTTTTGGTTTGTTTTGTCTTGTTTTCTTTTAGCTTTTAAGTTCAGAGGTACATGTGCAGGTTTGTCACATAAGTACACTTGTGTCACGGAGGTTTGTTGTACAGATAATTTCACCACCCAGGTATTAAACCTAGTGACCCTTAGTTATCATTCCTGATCCTCTCCCTCCTCCCACCCTTCACTCTCCAAAATGCCCCAGTATGTGTTGTTCCCCTCTATGTGTCCATGTGTTCTCATCATTTAGCTCCCACTGATAAGTGAGAACATGCTGTATTTGTTTTTCTCTTCCTGTGTTAGTTTGCTAAGGATAATGGCCTCTAGCTCCACCCATGTCCCTGTAAAGGACATGATCTTGTTTGTTTGTTTGTTTGTTTTTGCGACAGAGTCTCACTCTGTTGCCCAGGCTAGTAGCACAATCATAGCTCACACAACCTCTACCTCCTGGGCCCAAGTGATCCTCCCATCTCAGCCTCCCAAGTAGCTGTGACTACAGGCATGCACCACCAGGCTGGGCTAATGTTTAATTTTTTTTGTAGAGACAGAGTCTCATCATGTCTGCCAGGCTAGTCTCAAACTCACAGCCTCAAGAAATCCAAGAGGACATTTCTTTTTTTTTTTTTTTTGAGACGGAGTCTTGCACTGTGGCCCAGGATAGAGTGCAGTGATGCGATCTCAGCTCACTGCAACCTCCGCCTCCCAGGTTCAAGCGAATCTCCTGCCTCAGCCTCCCGAGTAGCTGGAATTACAGGCACCCGCCACCATGCCTGGCTAATTTCTTTGTATTTTTAGTAGAGACGGGGTTTCACCGTGTTAGCTAGGATGGTCTCGATCTCCTGACCTTGTGATCCGCCCGCCTTGATCTCCCAGAGTGCTGGGATTACAGGCATGAGCCACCGCACCCGGCCAAGTTTCAGCTGTTTTTAAAAGGCGTCCCTTTGGACATTATTATTATTGTTATTATTATTATTGTTTTTTAGACAGAGTTTTGCTCTTGTTGCCCAGGCTGGAGTGCAATGGCGTCATCTCAGCTCACTGCAACATGATCTCATTCACTCGCCTGCCTCCCAGGTTCAAGCAATTCTCCTGCCTCAGCCTCCCAAGTACCTGGGATTGTAGGCATGCACTACCACGCCTGGCTAATTTTGTCTTTTTAATACAGATGAGGTTTCATCATGTTGATCAGGCTGGGTCTCGAACTCCTGACCTCAAGTGATCCACCCACGTCGGCCTCCCAAAGTGCTGGGATTACAGGCGTAAGCCACCGTGCCCAATCCCATTGGACATTATGTCTCTAGAGAATCAGGCCCTGAAAAATGGCAAAAAGGTGGCTTCTAAGACTGGGAATGATGGTGATTCAGCTGGGCTAAGACCACAGCAGATCTCTGATAACCGTGGTTTTACATACATTTATAAAATCAATTTCATCATCTTCAATTAGTCACAATGGGCCCGGCCCATCAGCAGAGGCAGAAGTACTGAAGATTGTACTGGAATGTAGCCAACTCCTAGGCTATAGTGAAGTCCTAACATGTAAAGCCAAAACTAACCCATGATGGTACCGTCCTGTGACAAGGAAAAAATGAGAAGAGAAGATTGCAAAGCTACCAACAGTGAATCAGTCCTTGTAAGGAACATGCTAGGCATTGGGGATGACTCGATAATGCATGAAAATACTCAAGCCCCAATAAATGGCTCATCTGAGAAAACGAGAATGAACTATGTTGAGCATGAGAAAAGACGGATTCTATTCCTGGGACGCAGTAGGCACGCAACCAAGGGCATTACCGTAATTATGGTGATATCTGAGTACTAAAATTTGAAACTGTATTGCTGTAACTAAACGTTTATCAGAATTCCCTTCCTGCCTTCTAAGACCAAATCATAGGTGGATATATCCTCAGGAAATGATAGAGTTTCCATTCCTGGCGTGGTCTAAACAGGAATTGATCACTGTATTGCTTGGAGGACCCCTTTCCAGATGCCCTGGGAAGACCTCTTACACTTGGTCAAATAACAAAGTATGGAGGCACTGTGTGTTTCTGAAGCTATGGTTTTTGTTGTTGTTGTTGTTTGTTTGTTTGTTTTTAGTTCATGTCTTTTATTAACTCATACACAGTTACTTGTCTTCTGGTTTGTTGAAGCAGTAAGTCAGACAACATTTGCCGCAATAATGTCTGTCAAAGTGGCTTACCAGAAACACTCCAGCTCCACATTCGTCAGAAGGGCACTAATTTTGTCATTCTCATCCACCTTATAACATTTCAGGACATCCAGCTTCACCTTCTTTCTCTTGTGCTTATTCTTCTTGGGAGTGGGGTAAGACTTCTTCCTTTTCTTAGCAACACCACAAAGTCTCAGCAAAAGATGAAGAGTAGGCTCCTTTTGAATGTTGCAGTCAGACAAAGTACGTCCATCTTCCAGTTGCTTGCCAGCAAAGATCAGTCTTTGCTGATCAGGAGGAATTCCTTCCTTATCCTGGATCTTGGCCTTTACATTTTCTATCGCATCTGAGGGTTCAACCTCAAGGGTGATGGTCTTCCCCCTTAGGGTTTTCACGAAAATCTGCAGTTTGGTGGCAGCTTCACCGCAGATGGCAGTGAAAGGGAAGCTGAAGCATATGTTTAGGTCAATAAGTTGCAACATAAATATATATATACACACACACATATATACACACATATATATACACACAAACACATATACACATATATATACACACACATATACATACATATATTTTATATATTATATATGTTTAACTCAGAATATATATATGTGTGTGTGTATATGTCTGCGAAGGTGGCTAAACACTTCACGTATATACACACACACTAGAATATATATTATATAAAATATACTAGAATATATATTTATATAAGTTATATATATGCAAATTATATATATAAATTGTAAAGTTGGCCGGGTGCGGTGGCTCAAGCCCATAATCCCAGCACTTTGGGAGGCCGAGGCGGACAGATCACGAGGTCAGGAGTTTGAGACCAGCCTGACCAACATGGTGAAACCCCGTCTCTACAAAAAATACAAAAATTAGCCAGGCGTGGTGGCGGGCACCTGTAATCCCACACACATACACAAACATATATATACACACACCATGGAATACTATGATTCCATAAAAAAGAATGAAATAATGTCTTTTGCAGCAACGTGGAAGGAAATGGAGGCCATTATCTTAAGCAAAATTACTGAAAAACAGAAAGTCTGCATTTGTACCTCCTCAATATATAAAAATGAAAAAATAAAAAATAAAATTAGAAAAAAGATTTTATATCACCATATATAGAAATATATATTTTATATATCATTTATGCAAAATATATTATATATCATATATATGCATACTTATGTACACATACATATACACAAATATATAACATATTTAATTCAGTATATATAATATATGGAATGGCTATATATACATTATATATACACACATACATACACAAACACACACATACAGTATACATGCTTAAAGAGTGTTCAGCTCCCTTCAGAGATTGTATGATTTTTTTTTTTTTAGTTAGGATCTCACTCTGTTGCCCAGGCTGGAGGGCAGTGGTGCAGTCATAGCTCACTGCAGCCTTGACCTCCTGGGCTCAAGGCATCCTCGTGCCTTTGCCTCTGTGCTGGGATTATAAGTGTGCACCACCACACGTGGCTAGTTTAAAAAATTATTTTTGGTAGAGATGGGGGGGTGGGTTCCAATGTTGCCCAGGCTGGTCTCGAACCCCCATGCCTCCCAAAGTGCTGAGATCACAGGTGTGAGTCTCTGTGCTAAGCCAGATGGTACAATTTTGATTCTTCTCATATTTAACAACACCTGCACCTATCATTGTATTGAATTTATAGCTCATTCTGGTTTAGGGTCAGGGACTTATTCCTTCCGAATGGCAGAGTTCAGCAATTCCTGACTCCACCGCAAATTAATGCCACTTCATTAAGGCGGTAATGACCCTTCCATGCCTAACTCACAGGGATTTTCCTTTTTTGTCTCTCAAGTAATAGGCTGTGGTTTCTCAAGGATTTTTATGATCCTTCCAGATGAAAGCTGTTTTGTCAAGCAAGGTGTTGTGAAACGTGCAGGGTCTATTTATAAGAAGAGGTAGCTATGCGGTCAAGTTCAGGGTGGGTTCGGTGGAATCAGACCAACCAGCAGCTCAAGCAGAGTTTAACGCTGCAAATCTGTGCCACGTTCTTCTTCCTGCGTGCAATTTGCAGGCAAGGACATCTGCTTAATTGGGTGTGAAACCCGGGCCTTGATTAAAAGGACTTTATGAGGCCGCAGCCTTGCATTTCCAAGGTCAGGCCCTAGTGGAGAGGGCGCGCGTTCCGCGGGGAGACACGAACTTTTCCTGAGTGCGCGTTCCTTGCTGGCCCTGAACCCCTCGGCCAGGCAGGGCTTGGCAGGGCCGTTTCCTGTCCTAACCAGGATCAAGGGATTGCGCGGCTTGCTGGTGAAGCTTGGCAGGGCCGTGACCTGTCCTAACCAGGCTCAGGGGATGGCAGGGGCCTGCTGGTGTCGCATATGTTTTGCATTCCAGCTCAGGATTTTGCAGAGCATAGGGAGCGGGTGTCACCCCCGGGGGGAAATGCCACCCACAAAATGCAGGTGGAGGCTGGGCGAGGCTGGCAGCCAGGGGCCAGAAATCCAAAGCCTGAGCCAGGTTCAGACTTCCTGACTCCCCCTCCCCGTTAGCTGTGGAAGGATGGCTCGGCCTGGTCCCCCTAAAAATGTGTCCGTTCTGACTTAGAGGCCGCTTTGGCTCTCGGAAAGCCCCCCTGACCTGCGGACTGAGGGACTGGAGACCCCCTCCAATCGCAGAATCGCTGAGATCCCTCAAAACAAAGGCGTTTGCAGTTTGACCCCTTGCTGCTCAAACTGTGGTCGGCGAACCGGCAGCCTGGGCCGCCCTGGTCGCGGGTCAGGGGCGCAGCGTCCAGGCCGTGCCAGGCCCGCAAGTTAAGCACTGTCTGCATTTCCCTGGGGAAAGGGGTGACCAAATATCTAGCTATATTTGCATTTCAAATCCACACGGATATGGGTTTTAAATATAAGTATGTCCAACTATTGCCTGAGCCACACTTAAGCCAGGAAAAAAAAATCTTTGGGGTTTCTGAAATTGAAATGCCTCTGCACAATTCTTTATAGGGTTGTCGCCGGGGTGTTTGAAACAGTGACCAATCAAGTTTCACGCACTACATTTGGTCGGGCGATCTCTCAAATCTGTCTTTCCCTAGTTTTTTAAAGGAATGTTTATTTGTAAAGAATTCTAGATCCACAGGAAGCTGCAAAGAAACGCACAGGGTCGAGCCCGCCCTTCCCCGCCCCTTCCAAGTAGAAATCTAGAATCACCAGAGTCCTACAGCAAAACCAGGACGCTGAACTCATCCCGAAGACCCGGCAGCCCCTCTTGGGGATCCGCCCTCATTCCAAATTCTCTCAGGTCCCAAACAAGCACCCGCAGGAGTACTGAACTTTTTGGGGGGAGGGCAGAGGGGATCTGTATGCAGATTGCCAGCTGAGCAATCCTATTTTCTATGACTTAAAGCCAATCAGAGGCTGGGCGTGGTGGCTTATACCTGTAGTCCCAGCACTTTGGGAGAACGAGGCAGGCGGTTCACTTGTGCTCAGGAGTTCCAGACCAGCCTGGCCAACATGGTGAAACCCTGTCTCTACTGAGAAAATACAAAAATTAGCCGGGCTAATCCGAGCCCCTCTCTTCACCAAACGCCAGTTTCACTTTTTAGTTTTGAACTTCACTTCTGCTGAGCTACGCCCTCCCTGTCCCCGGGCCCCCTCGCCTCCCCATCTTCCGGGCTTGGGTGCAGCGACGCGGGTGGCCCGCCAGTGCGTCCCCGAGGAGAAGTCAGCCTGGGTCCCACCCCAGGGGTGCCCCGGGCGCGGAGGGGGCGTGGGCACCTCCCCAGCGCCGCACGCCCGGGTCTCCGGCTCCTGGGCTGGGTCGGGGCGGGGGCGGAGCGCGCGCGAAGGCGACGCCCCCAGCCCCGCGGCCGGGTTAGGGCGGGGAGAGGCGCGGTCACGCCCAGGCGGCTTCCGCCCGCCCCAACAGCGCGCACGCGGCTACCGAGCTGGAGGAGGCGGCGGGCGCGAGACCCGGAATGCGCAGGGCCCCCGCCTCGCCCCCCCCAGCCCGGGCCGCGGCCCCCGCCTTCCCCGCAGTCGTCCCGCACTCGGTGCCCGCCCCCCGAGGCCGGCGGCTGCTCCCACTCGGGGCCGTTGCTGCTTGTGCCGTGAGCGCCGCCCAGCCATTGTCCCCGTCGCTCCGTCAGCCGCGCCGGACCGCGCACCAGGAGGCGAGAGCGCGCATGGGGAGCCTCTGTTGATGCCGCCGCCGCGCCGCCCTCCGAGGCTGCGTCCCGGGAAGCCCGGCTCCCCGAGCGCTCCGGCCTGGCCCGGTGCCCCGGACCTGAGTGCGTCCCCATGGAGGCGCCCGGGCTGGCCCAGGCGGCCGCGGCGGAGAGCGACTCCCGCAAGGTGGCGGAGGAGACCCCCGACGGGGCGCCCGCGCTCTGCCCCAGCCCTGAGGCGCTGTCGCCGGAGCCGCCTGTGTACAGCCTGCAGGACTTTGACACGCTGGCCACCGTGGGTGAGTGAGTGCGGGCGGGGACTCGGCCCACAGGGGCGCGCGGCGTGGCCGGGACGTTGTAGTAGGACAAAGGGCCCTGGGTGCCGACCTCCTGGGGAGGGCCCTGACCCGCTACTTCGGCTCGGAGTCCCCGTGCGGGGCTGCACCTGCGCCCCGGGTCTTCCCGGGTGGAGCGCACTCCCCAGCCCCCCAGCCCAGGCAAGTACCCCCGACCGGCCGGGTGCCTAACCTGAAATGCCGACGGCTCCTCTCGGAGACCACCCTCCACCCCCAGCACACACAGCACTCTGGGGCCTGGGCCGTCCGACGTCACAAAACCTCCTGCGGGTCACCTCGCCTGGGGGACCTCGTGCTCCCTCCCTGGCAGCGGCCCCAGGGACACTGGCGCGGGGTGCGAAGACCCCTGCAGGCCTCCCCTAGGCCAGCCTCCCTGTGTGCCCAGAGGCAGGGAATGTACAGATTTCTCCAGGGGCTGCAGGAGCAGCTGGGCTGTGGGGGACAGGTGTCCCGGGGCGCTGTGGGGACGAGGACGGCAGCGCTGGGGACGGATCCTAACATGTCCTGACACCGCCTGTGCTCTTCGTCTTGTGCCTCTGAAATGGGTAATTCTTGTATCGGACGCTTTATCCGTTTCCTTTGTCCTCTGTCTTTGAACTTAACCCCGAATGGGCAGCTTGACAGAGAGGTTTCGAGTTCTCGGTGCTCTTGCATCCGGACACGCGCTGCTTTATGGAGCAGCCCTGAGTGGGTCAGAATATCCCAACTGAACGTGGGCGCTGGATTTAAACAGTTGTCATCGGCCCGCCTGTGCCACTTAGGGACTCCGTATGGCTAAGTGGGGTGTTGGCTGTCAAGAAAATAAATGGGAGAGTAGAGGGGGCTGTCCTGGGTGTGTTGGTGAGGCGTCGGCTCTCAGGCCCTCTAACTCCTGTTTGTCCTCATTTTGGAAAGGAGGAAGCTGGGCTGGGAAGCCCAAGGGCTCGAGGCCATAGCTTATGACTTAGGAAGACCAGCGGGCATAGCCAGTGGGGCCTTTAGAACCGCTGAGGAAGAGGGGACTTAGCTTCCTTCAGTGACCTCTTTGCCACTTAGACCTTGAGGAAGGGCCCACGAGGAAAGCCTGAATTTGGAAGGACAGAGTGGGAGGAGGCCCTCTCTCTTTCTCCTCTCCCTCCCTCCTCCTCTTTATCTCATTCTCTCTCTCTTTTCTCTGTTTCTCTTCTCTCTCCCTCTTTCTGTCTCTGTTCAAGTCTCTCTGCATTTCTCCTCCTCTGTCTCTTGGTGTCTCTCTCCCTGTCCCCTTCCGGTCTTGGTTTTTCTGTCTCCCTCCCTCCTCTCTCTCTGCCTTCCCCCTTGTCTTGGTCCCCCCGGAAAGCTGTCCTGGTCTAATCTTAGAGCTGGGTGTGTTTTGCGCGGAAGAAGGGTGGGGCAGGAACCCTGACTGGCGCAGCCGCCACAGTAGGTGGAAATACAACTCGACAATGGAAAATTGATGAGGTCCAGCCGTTCCTTGGCACTCAGCACCAGCGTTTGTCATTCTTTGGGGCACCCACATGGGTCCCTTGGGAAAGGTGGAGCTGGGGCTGGAGGCCGGGGCAGAGAGCAGGATGCGGGCAGGAGGGCGGCAGAGGTGAGGGGTTCTGGTGTCACAGGGGGCCACTCAGTTTGACGTCAAGTCAGCTTAGGGTGCCCAGCGGGTAACCTCATCTTTAAAAATAGAGTGTCGCTGCCTCTGGGGACCAAGCTGGCTGGGCGGGGAGTCAGCTTTTTTTTTCAGTCCAGTCAGTGCTCTCTTAATGAGGATGAGGATGATGCTCCTTTCTCAAGGATAACTTCCTGTGAGCTCCAACGATGTGACAGGAGGGCTAGGTATCCCACACTCATTGGACAGCAGGGGACCAGGACCCAGGGGTGTGTGTGTGTATGTTTGCATGCACGTCTGGAACACTCTCTCATGACAACTGCACAGCTTTGGTGACATTATCTGCAACCTTTTATCCAAGCCCGTTTCTTTATTGTTGGTTAAAGAGCAATCTGAGTGTGATTCACCTAAAATAATACATTTTATAAAATCCTAAGCCTTTTAGATCCTTCACGATTGTGTCTCTAAGCCACAATCTACAGCAGCTTTGGACTGTTTTCCAAGGCGTGATGGAGAATAGTGAGGGGTGAGCTTGAGTCTCAGTCTGGAGTTGAAACCCAGTCTGGGTGGGTGTGACCTCTCTTCATCCTAAACTGTCACTACAGGAACATAAGTTTGCTTTTAAGTGCTCTTTCGCCCTCATTCCGAATTCTCTCAGGCCCCAAACAAGCACCCGCAGGAGTACTGAACTTTTTGGGGGGTGGGCAGAGGGGATCTGTATGCAGATTGCCAGCTGAGCAATCCTATTTTCTATGACTTAAAGCCAATCACAGGCTGGGCGTGGTGGCTCATACCTGTAGTCCCAGCACTTTGGGAGGCCGAGGCAGGCGGATCACTTGTGCTCAGGAGTTCCAGACCAGCCTGGCCAACATGGTGAAACCCTGTCTCTACTGAGAAAATACAAAAATTAGCCGGGCGTGGTGGCGGGCGCCTGTAATCCCAGCTTCTCAGGAGGCTGAGGCAGAGGAATTGCTTGCACCCAGGAGGCAGAGGTTGCAGTAAGCCAAGATCACACCACTGCGCTCCAGCCTGGGCGACAGAGAGAAAAAGAAACTTGTCAGCGTTCTAGATTGACCAGTTTTCCTCAAGGTCAGGTAGTTAGGAAGAAAGAGTGCAGTTTGCAGTTGTGAAAAGTCTGATAATGGATTCTTTTTTTCTTTTTTATGCGTGAAGGGATTCTGGAGTACGTCTGGTCTAAAGGCCGATTTCGTTTTAGGAACTTTGGATCAGAACAGTCATACTAGTCCTCAGAGAAAAAATGGTTTTCAATCTGGTTCTTCAAATTTCTTGTTCATATAACCAAGCCATGCTTGTTCCTATGATGGAGAACAATTGTGCTTTAAAAAAAGAAATTTCAGGGCCAGGTACAGTGGTGCGTGCCTGTAGTCCCAGCTATTTGGGAGGTCGCGGTGGGAGGATGACTTGAGGCCGGGAGTTCCAGACCAGCCTGGGCAATATAGTGAGACCCTCATCTCTTAAAAAAAATAGTAGTAATAGTTAGCTGGGCATGGTGGCGCATACCTGAGTTACCTGGGAAGCTGAGGCAAGAGGATCACTTGAGCCCAGGAGGTCAAGGCTGCAGTCAACCACAATCGCGCCACCGTACTCCAGCCTGGGTGATAGAGCGAGATCCTCTCTATAAAAAATAAAATAAGAAAATGATATTATGGAAATGAAAAACTCACCCTATGTAGAGAGAAGAGGATGAATCTGTGCAGCCATCTACCAGCCTTATTTTACCAATTTCCTACTTAAAATGACCACTTGAGAATTCCTTTCTCTATATATCAGATAAAAAATACTTGGGTTTTTTCCCAGAAGTGTCCTTATGGAATCATTTGGCATCTACAACCCAGTGCTTGCTTGTCATGGGTACCCCAAGTGTTAACCTGTCAGGAAGGAGGTAATTCAACAGGTAAACCAGTGGCCAGGCCTTGGGTCCACATTTCATTTTCCTTTTCTCAGCCTAGTTCTGCATTTACTCATCTACAGAGGGAAATAATGACGGAACCTGTCCTACACGATGACGATGAGGAAGACTCCAAAGTTCCTAGACCCCTATTAAAAATATATATTTTTTGAAATACAGACTCACAGGGGATTTCAAAAACAGTACCTGGAGTCTCATGGACCCTTCAGCCAACTTCCCCATGGTGACGTCTTCATATCCGTGGGACAATATCAGAACCATGTCATCGATGTTGGTATATCCTTATTAAAGAGAACACATACCTCGTTCAGCTTTTTTTTTTTTTTTTTTTTGAGACAGGGTCTCACTCTGTTGCCCAGTCTGGAGTGCAGTGGTGCGATCTCGGCTCACTCCAGCCTTGAACTCCTGGGCTCAAGCAATCCTCCTGCCTTGGCCTCCCAAAGTGCTGGGACTATATACAGGCATGAGCCATCGTGCCCGGCTTGTTCAGGCTTTATTAGTTTTCAAAAGGTGCTCATTTGTGTTTGCGAGTGTGTGTGTAGAGTTCTGTGCAGTTTTACCCAGTGTGTGGATTTGGCAGCTACCACCCTCCAAACCATGGTGCAGGATGAATTCCCTCACCACAGAACACCCCTCGGTCTTGCTCGACACTTTTTTTTTTTTTTTGAGACAGAGTTTCACTCTTGTTGCCCAGCCTGGAGTGTATTGACCACAACCTCTGCTTCCCGGGTTCAAGCGATTCTCCTGCCTCAGCCTCCCGAGGAGCTGGGATTACAGGCATGTGCCACCATGCCTGGCTAATTTTATATTTTTAGTAGAGATGGGGTTTCTCCATGTTGATTAGGCTGGTCTCAAACTCCTGACCTCAGGCGATCCGCCCGCCTTGGCCTCCCAAAGAGGTGGGATTGCAGGTGTGAGCCACCGTGCCTGGCCAGACACTTTTTTTTTTTTTAAACTTTCACACACTATACAATCTGAAAATATTTTATTTTCTTAAGAGCTAGGAGATCTTCATAATTAATGATACATGGTTCTCAGATCTAAAGTGCTTATACTGGTAGGTTTTCTCTTGTCCTTGGTTCTCCTGAATTGGCCAGAATTTCCTTTCCTCTCCTTGTTGCTGGGTTCTTATTAATGCCTCAAGTTAGTCGGTTCAGGCAGTTGTAGCAAAACACCACCGACTGGGTGGCTTATAAACCACAGACATTTATTCACAGTTCAGAGGCTGGAGGTCCAAGATGAAGGCATGGCAGATTTGGTGTCTGGTGGGGACCTGCTTCCTGGTTCATAGATGGTGCCTTCTCGCTGTGTCCTCACATGGTGGAAGGGGTGAGGGAGCTCTCTGGGGCCCCTTTATAAGGGCAGTGATCCCATTCATGAGGCTCCAACCTCACGACCTCATCACCTCCCTAGGGCCTCACCTCCTGACACCATTACCTTGCAGGTGAGGATTTCAACACAGGAATTTTAGGGGGACACAGACATTGAGTCCACGGCATCCCCACCCTGTCTGTCACACAGCATGCTGCCGGGACGAATGGCATCTGAACTGGTGAGATTCTACTGTGTGCATAAATCAGCAGCCTTGTGGGCAGTGTTGACATAGCAATTAGGAGTGTTGTTTGTAGCCTAACAATACACAGAAAGTGGAGCTCAGCCCTTTGATCTTATTTACCTTATGTGGGTGCTCCGTGTGAGACAGGCTCATGCATGTGTGAATGACAGTTTCCTTTAAGTGCATCACGCAAATGCCAAGAGATGAGATCAAATATTACACATCAGAGAACATTTCCAAGGATAGAAGTCCTGCCGGTTTCTCCTCTTCATTGTTTATTTCATTTTATTTTTTTAATTTAAGTTAAAATACATGTTAAATTAAATTTAAGTTAAATTAAGATACATGTGCAGGACTTATTTTAAATAAAAGAGACAGGGTCTCGCTGTGTTGCCCAGGCTAGACTTGAACCCCTGGGCTCAAGCATTCTGCCTGCCTCCGCTGCTGGCACATAAATGCCAAGTGTGCAGGGACCTCTGTGTGTTGGAGCCACTTTCATCTCCCACATCCAAAGAACAGACCCGGCACTTAGTGTGTGCCCAAGACCATCCACCGCATGAATAGAGAAATCAACCCTCCTCATGTGCCTGGGGTTTCCTGAGGTGGGAAACCTTCAGTGCTAGCTGGGAGAGTCGCAGGCAGAGACAGGGACAAGCTGGTCACTCTGTGTGTGAATAAATAAATGAATGGATGATGGCATTATCGGCAGTTGTTCTTTATGACACTCACTGATGCCAAGTACTGGACGGGTACAATATGTACATTAGTTTCTCTATGGGCAGAAGCTCCACCATGACAACATTAGTGTTATTTTCTTTTTGCTTTTTTGTTTAGAGACAGGGTCTTACTCTGTCGCCCAGGCTGGGGTGCCGTGGTGCAATCAACAGCTCACTGCAGCCTCGACCTCCCAGGCTCAAGCAATCTTCCCACCTCAGTCTCCCAAGTAGCTGGGACTGCAGACGTGCACCACCACACTCAGCTAATTTATGTATTTATTTTTGTAGAGATGGGCATTGCTATGTTGCCCAGGCTGGTCTCGAGCTCCTGGGCTCAAGTGATCCTCCCGCCTCAGCCTCCCACGTAGCTGGGACTACAGGTGCATCCACCATGCTTGTAGCCTTATTTTCTTAATGGGAAAGAGGGTCTGAGAGAAGGGATGCTGTGTGCCCAATGGGTTTCGCCTGCAGCACGCTGCCTCCTCCCCGGGAAAGCAGGGCGTGCACATTGGGATTGGACGACAAAAGCAGAGTCATCTACAGTTCATGGGCACGCTGCAAAGAAGGGAGACGTTAAACTCTCGAAAGCAGCAGACACCCCCCACCAGGAAGAGACATACTTGTAAAAATCAAAGGAGGGCGAAGGCATGAGAATCGCTTGAGCCCAGGAGGTTGAGGTTGCAGTGGGCTGAGATCGTGCTACTGCATTCCAGCCTGGGTGACAGAGACCTTGTCTCAAAAAATAAAAATTCAAGGGAGGCCAGGTGTGGAGGCTCACGCCTGTACCCAGCACTTTGGGACTCTGAGGTGGGAGGATCACTTGAGCCCAAGAGCTCAAGATCTGTCTGGACAATATAGCACTACCCCATCGCTACAAAAAAAAATTTTTTTAAGTAGCTGGGTGTGATGGAATGCACCTGTAGTCCCAGCTACTAGGGAGGCTGAGGCAGGAGGATTGCTTGAGCCCAGGAGGTGGAGACTGCACTGAGCCATGATGGTGCCACTGTGTTCCAGCCTGGGCAACAGAGCAAGACCCTATGTCAAAAATAAAGAAAGTATCAAGGGAGATGAGTACACAGTGCCTGGCACACTGTAGGGTCTCCAAAAAGTAAACCTTTTCTATCCATCAGTTTCCTCTTCTCTCCAGCATGAAATCGCATATGTAAAGTTGAAAAAAAGAGTGAGAGATATATCTTAAAAAGGTAGTAATGTTGATGACATTGTGGTTTTTTTTTTTTTTTTAAAGAAAAACCGGCCGGGTGCGGTGGCTCATGCCTGTAATCCCAGCACTTTGGGAGGCTGAGGCAGGCGGGTCATGAAGTGTCAGGAGATCGAGACCATCCTGGCTAACACGGTGAAACCCCGTCTCTACTAAAAATACAAAAAAAAATTAGCCGGGTGTGGTGGCGGGCGCCTGTTAGTCCCAGCTGCTGGGGAGGCTGAGGCAGCGGAATGGCATGAACCCGGGAGGTGGAGCTTGCAGTGAGCCGAGATCACACCACTGCACTCCAGCCTGGGCGACAGAGCAAGACTCTGTCTCAAAAAAAAAAAAAGAAAAGAAAAACCTTGGGGGAAATACAGAGGAAGCCCTAAGGCATCCCTTCCAAAAAGCTGAAAGTGCTTTACTTAGAATTGTGACCTCGTTTTCCCTGTTAGAAAAGTCTGTGGTTAGAAGCTTCCTGGTAAGCCCAGTGTGAGAAGGTGGAACCGATGTTTCTGTGTGACGGGTTCCCTCTGCCTGTTTCTCCAGGTGGCCTCCCCGTGGTCCTCTACTGTGGTGGGTCCAGTCCCAAAACCAAGTCTGGGGCCACCATCATCATATTTGTGTCCCCCACCCCAAGATTCTTATGTCAAAACCCTAATCCCCAAGGTAATGGTGTTAGGAGGTGGGGCTTTTAGGAGGTGATGGGGTCACTAGGGTGGGGTCTCATGAATGGGATCAATGTCCTTATAAAAGGGACCCCAGAGAGCTCCCTCACCCCTTCCACTATATGAGGACACAGTGAGATGGCACCGTCTGTTAATTAGAAAGCCGGTCCCCACCAAACTCTGAATCTCCCATACCTTCATCTTGGACTTGTAGCCTCCAGGACTGACAGCGGTAAATGTCTGTTGTTTCTAAGCCCCAGTCTGCCGTGTTTTGTGATGGCAGCCGAAATGGATTTAGATGGGGCTCTATTCACCCCACGCGGCAGGGTCCATGGAAAGGCAGCTGCAATGCGCTGGTCTATCATTACCTCTTTTATGCTCTTTCACACTGTCTTAGTCTTGCGTGGCTGCTGGAATGAAGGACCGCAAATATAGTAGCTTAAAACCACATACAGTGAAGAGATACCTGCACTCCCAGGTTCACTGCAGCACGAGTCACACAACAGCCAAGATAGGGCAACAACCCACTTGCCCGTCAGCAGATGACTGGGTGAAGAAAATGTGGTCTCTACACAATGGAGTACTATTCAGCCTGTAAAAAGAATAAAGTCCTGTCATTTGCAACAATGTGGATGCAACTGGAGGTCATTATGCTCTGAGAAATGAGCCAGGCACAGAGAGACAAATACGGCATTATCTCACTCCTTTTTTTTTTGGACAGGGTCTCACTCGGACACCCAGGCTGGAGTGCAGTGACGTGGTGTCACTGCAGCATTGACGTCCCAGGCTCAAGGGATCCTCTCACCTCAGCCTCCTGAGGAGCTGGGACTGCAGGTGTGCATCACCACGCCAGGCTATTGTTTTGATTTTTTTTTGGTAGAGATAGTCTCGTCATGTTGCCCAGGCTGGTCTTGAACTCTTGGCCTCGAGTGATCCTCCCAGTTTAGCCTCCCAAAGTGCTGGGATTACAGGCGTGAGCCACCACGCCCTGCCTGACCTATGTACTTTAGAATCCCAGAAGCAAATCTTGTATCCTACTGGAGGAGCAAGACAGAAACACAGGTGCTAGAGGGCAGATTGTTTGCACAGAAACCTGGGCATGTGGATGAATTTGGTAATACGTGTGTGCGGGTAAACTTGGCAGGCCCCTTTTTTTCCAGGGTTCCCTTGTGCAAGAAGAATGAAACTAATGCAACCAATACTTTCAAGAAGCTCCTCCTTTCTGGAGCGTTTTCACGCTGCATTTCTTGGGTGGGCATGTTTTCCCGGCGTCTCCGATTCTGTGCTGTGTTGGGTGAGACAGGATGATGGACATTTTGCTTCCCCATTAGGATCTTAAGTGAAAGTCCAGTTGGCATTTGCATTTGATCTGAGTAGGAGAAAACATGATAAATAGCCATTAGAGGCCGGGTGTGGGGGCTCACACCTGTAATTCCAGCAATTTGGGGGCCGAGGTGGGCAGATCACTTGAGATCAGGAGTTCGAAACCAGCCTTGCCAACATGACAAAACCCCGTTTGTACCCAAAAATACAAAAATTAGCTGGGCACCGTAGTGGGTGCCTGTCATCCCAGCTACTCAGGAGGCTGAGGCAGGAGAATCACTTGAACCCGGGAGATAGAGGTTGCAGTGAGCCGAGTCTGTGCCACTGCACTCCAACCTGGGGTGATAGAGTGAGACTCCATCTCAAAAAAAAAAAAAAAAAAACAACCAAAAAAACCCAAAAACACATTAGATGCATTTGAAGCCTCCCAGCAATTCTCCCATGATGGCAGAATAGGCATCCAGGAGACTCACCCTACCCTGTCTGAACACCTTTAGCGAAGATGTAAATGATTTGCAGAGGAGACTCAGGTGCGAGGATGGAAATTCCTTCCCCCTCCAGCACTGATGGCTTCCACCTTCCTGTGGTCTAAGGAGACCACACAGAGGTTATCAGTGTGGGAGGCTGTTGCCAGTATGGTGAGTTTCCTATGGAGGAATTTCCTGTGGGACACCTCTGGGCAGTTCTTCCAGCCTTTCATGTCTTCTGTCAGATGATACAGTGGCCAGGTCAAGGGATTATCATGATTTTATTTGTTTTGTTTTTTAGAGACAAGGTGTTGCTCTGTCGCCCAGGCTGGAGTGCAGTAGGGGTGCAATCAATAGCTCAGCTGCAGCCTCAAACTACAGGGCTCAAGTGATCCTCCTGCCTCAGTCTCCCAAGTAGCTGGGACTACAGGGACACACCACCATGCCCAGCTCATTCTCTCATAAGGTGGAGAGAAGAGAAGAGAGGAGGACATAAAACTGTCCATATGACTAGTTTGGGCCTTTCCATCCTGCTTAATCCAGAACTGTCAAGGTTAGACCCTGGTCATTCTTTAATATGTTTGAAAAATACGGCTGGGCTTTGGCTCACACGTGTAATCCCAGCACTTTGGAAGGCCAGGGTGAGAGGATCACTTGAGTCCAGACGTTTGAGACCAGCCTGGGCAACATAAGAAGACCCCACTGCTACAAAGGGGGAAAACAAGTCAGCCACGCATGGGGACGCATGCCTGTGGTCCCAGCTATTCGGGGGGCTGAGACGGGAGGATTGCTTGAGCTCGGGAGGTAGAGGCTTCAGTGAGCTGCGATTGTGCTACTGCACTCTAGCTTGTGTGACAGAGTGAGACCCTGCCTCAATTAAAAAAAAAAAAAAGAAAAATAGACCTTCCTTCTATACAATGTCTTCCCTGCTGGCCTCCATGCCCTCGTACCTGTTTAAAAATCCACTGGAATTTTTCACCAGGACATAGAAAAAGGAAGTTGTCTCACGCAGTTCCTGTTAAATTGCACAAGTCCACACAGATCCTTGCAACCCACGCTACCATTTACTTAGCATGCGTTGTGTGTGGGCATTACATTATTCTCCGAGGTAGTTATTTTGGATGTTATACTGGGGAGGTACCCCATCAAAGAGATTTGGAGGGCAGCCTGTGGAGGGTTCTTTTAAAATCGTTGACAACTAATTTGGTGGATGTTTTCACCTTGGTGAATCATTCCCTTGGGAGTCATTTTGCAGAACAAAAGGGTTGCACACAGGTGTGGCCAGAGAAACCTTGGCACAGAAGAAAGAAGTGCTTTGTCATGCTTAGGGCACCTGGGATCTCTTTGGATGGGCAGGCAGAGGGGGACCCTGTGAAGCCTGCCTGCGTTTATTTGGGTATGCATGCTTATGTTGGAGTCTTGGCAATGAGAGGACAAGAGTGGAGGGAACAGAGCTGTTAACAGAAAGGGGTCCATATCCAGACACCAAGAGAGGGTTCTTGGATCTTGTGCAAGAAAAAATTCAAGGCAAATCCATAGAGTAAAGTGAAAGCAAGTTTATTGAGAAAGTAGAGGAATAAAAGAATGGCTCCTCCATAGACAGAGTGGCTTCGAGGGCTGCTGGTTGCCCATTTTTATGGCTATTTCTTGATTATATGGTAAACGAAAGGTGAATTATTCGTGCCTCCCCTTTTTAGACCAAATAGGGTAACTTCCTGACGTTGCCGTGGCATTTGTAAACTGTCATGGCGCTGATGGGAGTGTAGCAGTGAGGACAACCAGAGGTCACTCTTGTCACCATCTTGGTTTGGGTGGGATTTGGCCAGCTTCTTTACCGCAACCTGTTTTATCAGCAAGCTCCTTATGACCGGCATCTTGTGCTGACCTCCTATCTCATCCCGTGACTTAGAATGCCTTAACCATCTGGGCATGCAGCCCAACAGGCTTCAGCTTCATTTTACCCAGCTCCTCTTCAAGATGGAGTTGCTCTGGTTCAGATGCCGCTGACAGAACTAGCTTATGGTTGGAGACAATGTCATAGGGAATTATTCTTCAAAGATCGCAAAATCCAGCTTGGATGAGATTCCAAAAATCAAAAGGTGCTGAGAAAGCAACTTGTCTAGAATTTCCTCTTCATGGGCTGGTTGATTTTGTTTACAATGACACCTTCAGAAAAAGTAGGCGACACACAGTGGCTCACGCCTATAATCCTAGTGCTTTGGGAGGTCAAGGAGGGAGAATCATTTGAGGCTAGCAGTTCTAGACTAGCCTGGACAACATAGTGAGACCTTGTCTTTACAAAAAATAAAATCAGCCGTGTGTGGTGGCGCATACCTATAATCCCAGCTGTTCAGGAGGCTGAGGCAGGAGGATCATTTGAGCCCAGGAGTTGGAGGCTGCAGTGAGCTATGATGGCGCCACTGCACTCCAGCCTTAGTGACAGAGCAACATTCTGAAAGAAAAGAAAGAAAAGGAAAAAAAGAAAAGGAAATAAAAGATGAAGAAAGAAAACAGAAGAAAAAAATAATTTATATAGAAAAAAAGTCCATAATGACTCAAAATATTCCCTGGACACTGGAATAGAATGATTTTGTTTATTAAAGCTTTTCTTTAGTTCGTCCTTAAACAGTTTAGTATTTTCTTTTGAAAACAGATTGTGTCTTGTCAACTTCATTGATTTTCGGGCTGGGCTTGGTGGCTGAACACCTGTAATCCCCCAACACTTTGGGAGGTTGAGGTGGGTGGAGCGCTTGAGGCCAGGGGTTCGAGACTAGCCTCTAGCCTCGGCAACATGGTGAAAACCTGTCTCTACAAACAACAACAACAACAACAACAAACAATTAGCTGGGCGTGGTGGCACGTGCCTGTAGTCCCAGCAACTTGGGAGGCCGAGGTGGGAGGATCACTTGAGCCCAAGAGGTCGAGGTCGAAGTGAGCTATGATTGCACCATTGTACTCCAGCCTGGGTGACAGAGTGAGACCATGAAAGAAAAGAAAGAAAAGAAAAAAGAGAAAGAAGAAGGAAAAAAAAAGAGAAGAAAAAAGTAAAAGAAAAACATAGAAAAAAAATCAGTAACGACTCAAAATATTCCCTGGATAGTTGAATACAAATAGTTGTTGTTGGACGTGATTTTATGTATTAAGGCTTTTGTTTAGTTTATCCTTAAATAGGTTAGGATTTTATTTTGAGAATAGATTCTGGTTTATCAATTTCATCAGTCTTTGCAAAGAAACAGCTTAGGGTTTCCTTTATGTTTCTCCGTTAACTTCCTGTTTTCAGTTACATTGCGTTTTGCTCTGGTTTTTCTTTCGTTTTTTCCACTCGTTTTAGGTTTCTGGAATTTCCTGAAACATTGTATTTTGATACAGATTCTGAGCTGGTGCTTTGGCTGTCACAAGCCAGAGGGTCCTAGAAGAAGTAGAATTGTAACCGAGGAAAACTGTTAGGAAACTCCATCCCTTTTGACCTTCAAAGGTCACCGCCTAATTTTGGTTTTTTGTAGTCTGATGTGTTCATAGCTTGTGACTATTAGGCTCTGATTGAGCTCTGCTTTTTTTTAAGTTTCTCTTACTCAGCTGGTGCTGTTTTAGCTCCAGCTTCCTCCTCTGTGTAATCAACACTCCCAGTCTCCTCTTCACCCAAAAAGCCACAGAAATAAGTGCAGAAAACAAGGCAGCCGCCACCTGCTACAGAGGCATGTCCTTAAATACGATGCATTTCAGGACAGCTGTGTGAGTTCCGGGAGCTTGTCTTCCTTCAAAGGGAAAAGTAAAAATAAACAGGAAGGTTGCACTGAAAGCATTCTCAATTGAAATTGTGCCATTTGGCTGTAGTGTTTCTGATGCTCATTTAGAACTTTGGAAGTTGTGGGATGGTGGGCAAGTGTGTGACCTGGGATGGAGATTCTCTACCTCTTTAAGAGTGAAACCCTGGCTGGGCGCCGTGGCTCACTCCTGTCATCCCAGCACTTTGGGAGGCCAAGGCGGGTGGATCACCTGAGGTCAGGAGTTTGAGACCATCCTGGCCATAATGGTGAAACCCCGTCTCTACTAAAAATACAAAAAAATAGCTGGGCGTGGTGGCAGGTGCTTGTAATCCCAGCTACTTGGGAGGCTGACGTGAGAGAATCACTTGAACCCGGCAGGCGGTGGTTGCAGTGAGCTGAGATTGTGCCACTGCACTCCAGCCTGGGTGACAGAGTGAGACTCCACCTCAAAAAAAGAAAAGAAAAAGAAAAACTTTAAAAAATGCCGGGCACGGTGGCTCCCGCCTGTAATCCCAGCACTTTGGGAGGCTGAGGTGGGTGGATTGCCTGAGCTTAGGAGTTTGAGACCAGCCTGGGCAACATGGTGAAACCCCGTCTCTCCTAAAATGCAAAAAATTAGCCGGGCGTAGTGGTGCACGCCTGTAGTCCCAGCTGCTTGGGAAGCTGAGGCAGGAGAATTGCTTGAACCTGGGAGGCAGAGATTGCAGTGAACCGAGATGGTGCCGCTGTACTCCAGCCTGGGCGACAGAGTGACACTCTGTCTCAAAAAAAAAAATAAAATAAAAATTAGCTGGGCGTGGTGGCACACATCTGTGACAGAGCGAGACTCCATCTCAAAAAAAAAAAAAAAAGAATTTTGGAAGTTGTGGGATGGTGGGCGAGTGTGTGGTCTGGGATAGATTCTCCACCTCTCTAAAAGTGAAAACCTGGTTGGGTGGGGTGGCTCACATCTGTAATCCCAGCACTTTGGGAAGCTGAGGTGGGCGGATCACTTGAAGTCAGGAGTTTGAGACCAGCCTGGCCAACATGGTGAAACTCTGTCTCTACCAAAACTACAAAAATTAGCCGGGTGTGTGGTGGCGGGCATCTGTAATCCCAGCTACTCGGGAGGCTGAGACACGAAAATCGCTTCAACCCGGAAGGCGGAGGTTGCAGTGAGCCGAGATCACACCACTGTGTATGCCACTGCACTCCAGCCTGAGCGGCAGTGAGACCCTGTCTCAAAAAATACACACACACACAAAAACAAAAAACAAAACACATGTAGAAAAAACCACAAAGACAAAAACAAAACAACAACAACAACAACAAAAAGTGAAAACCTACTTCTTTTTCTGGACACGGTGGCTCATGCCTGTAATTGCACCATTTTGGGAGGCCGAGGTGGGAGGATCACTCTCACCTTTCAAGGCCCAGGAGTTCGAGACCAGCCTGGGCAACACAGCAAAACCCCATCTCTCTAAAAATAAAAAAGAGAAAAAGAGAAAAATTGCTTCTTTCTATGTAGTTGGTGAGTTTTTTCAGTAGGATGCTTTGCATTTCTTCCTGCGTCTGTGGCTCTGTGGTATGCCAGCATATACGATAGTCACTACAAGATCCGTAGTTGTACACCCAGCCATACGCATCACAGGTTTTTGGCTGATTTCATGACAACGCTTAAGGCTGCTGAAAACACTCTAATTCTTTGGATGTTGGCAAATGTTCAGATGAAACTAAGCGGCTGGCCCACCCACCTGCTCAGGAAAGAATGGCCGCATTGTGTGGGAAAGGAATCCTCTGTTCCCTAGCTGGCTGCCTGGTGTTCTTGTTGAGTGAGCAGAACAGAGAGTGCCCCTGGGTAGACCTGTGTGTGCTCCAAAAGGCGATTTTGTCAATTGTTCCCTTGGGATGCCCTTGTTCCAGAAAGCATGTTCTGTGTGACTCTCAGCTGGGGTTCCCAGACTGTGTAAAGAAAACATGGTGATTCATGGCTGTGTGCGGTTGCCCATGCCTGTCATCCCAGCATTTTGCGCGGCCGAGGCGGGAGGACTGCTTGAGCCTGGGAGGTCAACGCCAGCCTAGGCGACACAGTAAGAACCTGTCTCTACAAAAACAAAAACAAAAAAGTGTAGCCGGGCATGGCGACGAGCACCTGTGGTCCCAGCTACTCAGGAGGCTGACGCAGGACGATCGCCTGAGCCTGGAAGTTGGAACTGCAGTGAGCCATAATCACACCACTCTACTCCAGCCTGGGTGACAGAGTGAGACCGCATCTTAAAAAAAAAAGAAAAAAAAAAGGACATTGTGATTAATGAAAACAAACATTGCCTGGTGATAAGGAAAGTAAGAAGTAGGATTGTTCTCAGATTAGTGACCCAGGAGATAAAGGAGTAACAGAGTGTGCAGGAAGCAGGTCTCCAATTTAATAGCAGGATGGTGAAGATAGAGCAAGTGACTTCTTTCTATTTTTTTTAGAAACTGGGTGTTGCTTTGTCACCCAGGCTGGAGTGCAGTGGCGTAATCATAGCTGACTGCAGCCTTCACCTCCTGGGCTCAAGCAGTCCTCGTGCCGCGCCTTCCCGAGTAGCTGAGACTACAGGCACATACCACCATACTTGGTTAATTTTTTGTATTTTTAGTAGACATGGGGGTGTGGGGATGGTTTGCCGTATTATCCAAGCTGGTCTCAGACTTCTGGCCTCAAATAATCCTCCTGCCTCGGCCTCCCAAAGTGTTGGGATTACAGGCATGAGCCACTGTGCCTGGTGAGTAGGTAGCTTTTTGTTTGTTTGTCTGTTTGTTTGTTCTGTTTGTTTGTTTTTGAGACAGTCTTGCTCTGTCGCCCAGGCTGGAGTGCAGTGATGCAATCTTGGCTCACCCCAACCTCCACCTCCCGGGTTCAAGTGATTCTCGTGCCTCAGCCTCTCAAGTAGGTGGGATTACAGGCACATGCCACCATGCTTGGCTATTTTTTGTTTTTTTAGTAGGGACAGAGTTTTGCCTTGTTGGCCAGGCTGGTCTCAAACTCCTGACCTCAAGTGATCCGCCTCCCTCGGCCTCCCGAAGAGCTGGGATTACAGTTGTGAGCCACCGCGTCCAGCCAAACAAAAAAAAGTCTGTCTTATAAAGAAGATCCCTAATTTATGATGATTCCATTTATGATGGTTTGAGTTATGGTAGTTTGAGTTAGGATAGTTCGATTGAAGATTTTTTGATTTTACGATGGTGAGAAAGACACAGTCCGTGGAACCCGCGCTTCGAGTACCCATGCAACTGTTCTGTTTTTAACTTGCAGTGCAGTATTCAGTAAATTACATGAGGCATTCAATACTTGATTGTAAACTAGGCTTCACGTTAGGTGATTTTGCCCAGTTGTAGGCTAATGTAAATGTTGCGAGCACGTTTAGGGCAGGCTGGGCTAAGCTGTGATGTTCGTAAGTTAGGTGTATTCGATGCATTTTTGACTTACCATATTTTCAACTTACAAAGGGTTTATGGGGTGTAATGTCATCATTGTAAGTTGAGGAGTGTCTGTATCATAGACTGGGGGGCTTAAACAGACATTTATTGCTCCCAGTTCTGGAGGCTGGGAGTCACAGATCAAGGCGTGGCACATTCGGTGTCTGGTGAGGGCTTCCTGGTTCATAGACGGCGCCTTCTCACTGTGTCCTCACATGGTGGAAAGGGTGAGGGAGCTCTCTAGGGTCCCTTTAATAAGGACATTGATCCCATTCATGAGGCTCCACCCTCATGACCTCAACACCTCCCAAAGGCCCCACCTGCTAACATCATCACCTTGGGGATGAGGATTCAACACGGGAATTTTGGGAGGATGCAAGCTTTCACCAGTAGGGTTTTCTTTGTAAAGAAATAGAAGGAAATGAAAAGGCAGGCACTGGGTAGGAGAGAGCTACAGAAGACAGCGGGGTGGTGGCACTCCAGGATAGTGCTGTCCCCCAGCATCATTTACACCGAAGAAACCTGAGGCACTCTTTCTGATGTGTCATTCTTAGGAAAACCACCATGAATCTGGCATCTAGCTATCAGTGAAACTGTGGGAGAGCTTAATGGAAGTAAAGACATGTGGTCCCAGAAATGACAGATCATTCGGAGAACCTAAGAGAAGATTAAAAGCAAAAGGGGGTCATGTGCGCTGTGACTCAAACTTTGGGAGGTCGAGTGGGAAGATTGCTTGAGCCCAGAAGTTTGAGACCAGCCTGGGCAACATAGGGAGACCCTATCTCTACAAAAAATACAAAAATTAGCTGAGTGTGGTGGCACACACCTTAGTCCCAGCTACTCAGGAGGCTGAGGTGGGAGGATTGCTTGAGCCTGGGAGTTCAAGGCTGCACTGAGCTAAGATTGCGCCACTGCACTCCAGCCTGGGCGACAGAACAAGATCCTGTCTCAAAAACAAAAACAAAAGCAAAACAAAACAAGAAAATCCAAAAGGGAAATATAAGAGAAAACAAAAAATCTCACTTTGAGACATCTTTTTTGAAGAGTTGGAGAGGATATTGTCTCCATCCACAAAAATAGGATGTTACAATAAAAGAGAAAGAGGAAGGAAGAGCTTTATATGGGACTGCTGAAAGTTAAAAGAAAAACATTGCATTAAATAAATTAGAAGGGTGATCTCATCTGTGCCTGTGACTTCAGTTATCATCTTAAGGCTTTGGGTCTCAAAGCACACATCTAGTTTAGACCTTTCTTAGGAGCCCTGAAGGGTGCATTGCCAACTACTGCCCGTTGGAGGGTCCATTTTTCCCAAGATATCCAGCAACACTCTTATATGAGTGTCCTGCTCCATTGTCTCAAATTACCATAAACTGGGGAACGCAAGCAACAGAAATTTATGCTCTCCCAGGCCTGGACACCAGGAGTCTGAAATCAAAGTGCAGGCAGGATTGTGCTCCCTCTGGAGGCTCTGGGGGAGGAAGCTTCCTGCCTCTCCCGGCTCCTGGGGGCTCCAGGCATCCCTGGGCTTGTGGCCACAGCACTCCAGTCTCTGCCTCTGTCTCCACGTGGCCTTCTCATCTGTGCCTGTGTCTCCTCTTCTGTCTCTTAGAAGTACACTGGTCATTGGATTTAGGGCCCACCCTTTTCCAGCGCGATCTCATCTCAAGATCCCTAGCTTAATCACGTTTGCAAAGTTCCTTATTTCCAAATAAGTTCCCATTCCAGGTTCTGGACATGAGGATGTGAATATATCTTTGTGGGGACCACAGTTCAGTCTACTAGAGTTGTATGCAGTTCCTTCTGGAGGCTCTAGGGGAGGATCCTTTCTGCATCTCCCAGCTCCTGGGGGCTCCAGGCATCCCTGGGCTTGTGGCTATATCACTCCAGTCTGCCTCCGTCTCCATGTGGCCTTCTCCTCTGTGTCTGTGTCTCCTCATCTGGCTCTTTATTTTTTTAAATAATTTATTTATTTATTTATTTTTTATTTTTTTTGGTGATGGAGTTTCGCTCTTTTGCCCAGGCTGGAGTGCAGTGGCATCATCTCGGCTCACTGTAACCTCTGCCTCCCGGGTTCAAATGATTCTCCTGCCTCAGCCTCCTCAGTAGCTGGGATTATAGGCACCCGACACCACGCCTGGCTTATTTTTTATATTTTTAGTGGAGACGGGATTTCACCATGTTGGCCAGGCTGGTCTCGAACTCCTGTCCTCAGGTGATCCACCCGCCTTGGCCTCCCAAAGTGCTGGGATTACAGGTGTGAGCCACCATGCTCACTGGCCATTTTTTATTATTACTCTTTTTTCCTCTTCTGTCTCTTAGAAGGACACCCGTTGTTGGATTTAGGTCCCACCCTAAATCCAGGATGGCCTTATCTGGAGATTGTTTACTTAATAGAAACTACAAAGACCCTATTTTCTTTTCTTTTTTTTTTTTTTTTTTTTGAGACGGAGTCTCCCTCTGTTGTCCAGGCTGGAGTGCAGTGGCGCAATCTCGGCTCACTGCAAGCTCCACCTCCCGGGTTCACGCCATTCTCCTGCCTCAGCCTCCCAAGTAGCTGGGACTACAGGCACCCGCCACCACACCCGGCTAATTTTTTTTTGTATTTTTAGTAGAGACGCGGTTTCACCTCGTTAGCCAGGATGGTCTCTATCTCCTGACCTCGTGATCCGTCCGCCTCAGCCTCCCAAAGTGCTGGGATTACAGGCGTGAGCCACCGCGCCCGGCCTCAAAAACCCTATTTTCAAATAAGACGCCATTCACAGGCACCAGGGGTTAGGATGTAGACATATTTTTGGGGGGCACCATTCAACCTAGTCTATCCCTCAATCTCAATACATCCCCTGGGTTAAACATGAAATGTGTCCCCTTCTTCCCCCAAATCAAAGCAACCCAAAAGACCCCTGTGCACCTGCACACCTTGCCTAAGTCGGCAGCACTCACTGCGTAGATGCCCAAACCCTAAGCTGTGATCATCTCCACCCTCCCTCTTGCAGCCTAATTGAGCCCATTCTCTGCCCAAGCACCTTATGAACAGGACTTTAACCCTCCATCTCCACCACCTTCCCATTTTCACTGGAAATTTTACTTCTTAAAGAGGCCTTCCCTGACCCCTTGACCAAGGTTAGATGCATCCCAATGTTCTCCTATGGATATGTTGTTTGAAGTCCTCAAGTCTGAACAAACTCATGTGAGGTCACCCAAGTTGTTAGACTTACTGTCATTAATGCTTCCTGCCCTCCTTCCAGCCCGACTGGAACTAAACAAAACTAAATGAGGGACCAACCTTGTGTTGTTCATTGCAGTTTCTCGGAGGTAGACAGCACCTGAGACCCAGGAAAATATCAATCATGATGGAAGTGATGCATTCATTTATTATATTGACTCCTTTTTTTTCCCAAAAGCTATTTTGTGTTCAAAACCTGGACTGCATAAACCACTTCATTGTGGTTATGGAGTGTTAGAAGCCGACACCTAATCAAAGAATTCAGTGTGTCTCAGTGGTAGGAACTCTAAAGCCATCTAACATTAAATGCAATAAAAGTTCAGTTGCTTACGACCTGGCGCCGTGGCTCACGCCTGTAATCCCAGCACTTTGGGAGGCTGAGGCGGGTGGACCACGAGGTCAGGAGATTGAGACCATCCTGGCTAACGTGGTGAAACTCTGTCTCTACTAGAAATACAAAAAATTAGCCAGGCGTGGTGGTGGGTGCCTGTAGTCCCAGCTACTCAGGAGGCTGAGGCAGGAGAATGGCGTGAACCTGGGAGACGGAGCTTGCAGTGAGCTGAGATCGCGCCACTGCACTCCAGCCTGGGTGACAGAGCGAGACTCCGTCTCAAAAAAAAAAAAAAAAAAGTTCAGTTGCTTACTCTCCATAGCCTCAATTCAAATCCTCAGTAGCCACTTGTGAGCTTGTGGCTACCATTTTGGACAGTGCAGATAGAGAACATTCCTATCATTGCAGGCGATACTACGGGCAGTGCTTGCTCCAAAACAGGGGGTCTCAACTGGGGGCCGGCCTTCCCCCACAGGGCACTTGACAGTGTCTGGGGACAGTTGTGGTTGTCACTACTGGGGGTGGATGCTGATGGCGTGTGGTGAGTGGAGCCCAGGGACGCCACTCTGCAGGTTTGCAGTGCACAGGATGGCCCTACAGAGAATCATCCAGCCTCAAATGTCGGCAGTGCTAGGCTGAGAGAACCTGCTTTAGCGTGAGAGTCAGTCTCTCTCTTTCTGTCTCTCTCTCTCTCTCCCCCTCTCTCCCCTCCCCACTCTCGCTCTCCCTCCCTCCCCCCTCCACCCATCCCATCTGTTATCTACCTACCTACCTACCTATCAATTATCTAACCATCCTAATTATCTATGTATCACCTATCTATCCTATCTGTTACCTATCTACCTACCCACCTACCCATCCATCCATCCATCCAATCAATTAATCAGTGTATCATCTTTCTCTTTCCATGTATGTATCATACCCATTGTCCATCCATCCATCCATCCATCCAGTCAGTCATTCAATCAATCAATCATCTTTCTATCTATCCATCTATCTGTCTATCATACCCATCTACCTATCTTTCTATCTGTCTGTGGCAGAGATTCTCTGCCAATGGCAATTCAGCTCCATCAGGGAGATACTTCTTCCCTGGACAAGTCTGGAGACATTTTTGTTGTCACAGCTCAGGGAGGTGCTACTGATAACAGGTGGGTGGAGTCCAGGGTCACTGCTTGCCACCTTACAGTGCACAGGATGGCCCCACCACAGAGAATCATCCAGCTCCAAATGTTAATGGACTCAGTTTGAGAAGCTGATCTCAAGGGTAATTCGGGGGAGTCCTGCGGGATTGTTGCATCCTATTGAAGGGGGAATTAATGAATTTTATAAGTGTAATGGTCGAAAAATTGTTATTTTTCTTGAAGGTAGAATGTAATGTAGCCCACTCCCCCGGGGCGGGGGGACTGGGTTAAGAGAGAATACTAACTGCTTATCCCTCCTCTATGCCCAGAGAGGCTTATCTGTGTTCCATCGTTTTACATTCCTTGAGGCACGGCGAGTTCTTGCTTCCCTCCCTAGTGCAGCTGTAAAGTCACAAGGTTGACAAGCAATTGCTGCAAAAGTATGTATTCCCAAGAATGTAAGACGTACGGTGTAACAAATGCAAAAGAGTAATTAACTGCCTTTGTTCTCGCTTCTGCAAGTACGCTTTCTGCAGCACGTAACTCCCGCCACAAACTGCTTAAAAGGTGATTGATCCCTCTGTACGGGGCTCAGACTTTCTAGACCCTAGTCCGACTGAGCTGGTGATCACCTTAATAATTATAATTATAATGGTCATCTCCTAACTGTGCTCGGTCTCTACCGTCTCTGATTTATCCCGCAACACTATCGTGGAGGTAGGCTAGGATGTATCTTTAACCTGGCTGGATTGTATTGTAGATGTGTGAAAACCAGCCCTTGTTTTTCTTGGTAGAGTTGCACTCAAATGTTATTGAAAGCTGCACATACTGTGCTTGTATAAATACACTGAGCCAGAAATCACGAACCTTTCCCTGGCTTCACATCTGTTAGTGTTGTGGGAGAAGATGAGAATTTCTTGTTTTTCTTTTCACTTCTGTGATTATACATTTTGTATTTTGTTGTTGTTTTTTGGGACAGGGTCTCGCTCTGTCACCTAGGCTGGAGTGCAGTGGTGTGATCATAGCTCACTGCAACCCCCGCCCCCAGGCTCAAGTGATCCTCCTGCCTCAGCCTCCCAAGTAGCTGGGACTATAGTCGCATGCCACCATGCCTGGCTGTTTTTTGTGTTTTTAGTAGAGATGGGGTTTTGCTTTGTTGTCTAGCCTGGTCTTGAACTCCTGTGCTCAAGTGATCCGCCCACCTTGGCTTCCCAACTGTGGGGATTACAGGTGTGAGCCACTACTCACGGCCACATTTTGTATTTCTGATGAGAAAGTGTAATTTAATACACTGTACATCGGAGAGTGTAGTTCTGAAACATCTGCATCTTTTAAATTAGGACAGTGTAAAAATGGAATGTTGTTTGACTCAGCAAAATTTTGAGGGAGTTTGTTTCCAACTGTCTAGACCAGTGAACTCACCAAACTATCTACCACACACTGCTTGGCTGAATTGGCTCTACTGTTTTTAACTGAAGTTTGAAGTAAATATTCCAAGCTTAAAAATATATCTTGTTCCTCCCCCACCCACTGGTTATAGCAGCAATATAAATAAAAAATACCTTCCCAAGAATATCCAAAGCATACATTCTTTTCTAAAGTAAACATTGTTTATAGAGATACAATTTCTATACCATAAGATTCACCCTTTAAAAACACATAGTTCTTTAGTTTTCAGTTTATTCACAGAGTAAGCACACTGTTTTTTGTTTGTTTTGTTTTTTTCGAGACAGAGTCTTGCTCTGTCACGCAGGCTGGAGTGCAGTGGTGCCATCTCGGCTCACTGCAAGCTCTGCCTCCCGGGTTCACGCCATCCTCCTGCCCCAGCCTCCTGAGTAGCTGGGACTACAGGCTTCCGCCACCACACTCGGCTAATTTTTTGTATTTTTAGTGGAGACAGGGTTTCACCGTGTTAGCCAGGATGGTCTCGATCTCCTGACCTTGTGATCCGCCCGCCTTGGCCTCCCAAAGTGTTGGGATTACAGGTGTGAGCCACCGCGCCCAGCCCATTCATTCATTTTTTGAGACAGAGTCTTGCTCTCTCACCCAAGTTAGAGCACAGGGGTGCGATCACTACTCACTGCTGTCTTGAACTCCTGGGCTCAAGTGATCCTCCTGCCTCAGCTTCCCAGGTAACTTGGACTGCAGGTGTGTAACCACCACGCCCTGCTAATTTTTTGATCTTTTAATAGAGACGGGGTCTCGTTATGTTACCCAGGCTGGTCTAGGACTCCTGAACTGATGTCCTTCCGTGGCCTCCCAAAGTTCTGGGATTATAGGCACGAGCCACCATGCCTGGCAACACACACTCTTTTTTAAAAATACTTTTTAACAGCTTTTTTTCCTGTCTATAAAATAGAAGGTCATTATACTTGTTTGCAGCAGTAATTCCAAAAATCGACTTCGTAAAGAAGAACTGCGTGTTTCACACACTTATTTCCTCCATGGTAGCATTTAATGTTCTTTTATTGATTTTACCCAGGGGGGAAAATGTCAAGGAAAAGAACTGAGTTTGAGGATGATAAATGTGTACGTTCTGATATCATTATTTTGAAACAATTATTTAATGCAATGCGTCGGTTTCACTTATCAATTTAACATAAATTGAACCTATGTTGATGAACTATTTCTATAGTCATAAATTTTAAAAGGTGAGAAAGTTATATAGTGAAATGCATCTGTTTTTGTGCCTCACCTGTGCAGAATTTGCCCTCTCCTTCCACCCAGGTGCCCATATTAATGTGTCTTGTATATTTCTCCAAAGTCCTTTCTCAATATAGAAGCAAATTATCACTTATGGAGAAGAGCCTCACTTTTTTTTTTTTTTTTTAAACAGATGGGGGTCCCGCTCTTTTGCCCAGGCTGGAATGCAGTGGTACTATCATAATTCACTGCAGCCTCCAACTCCCGGGCTCAAGCAATTCTCCCATCTCTGCCTCATGAGTAGCTGGGACTACTGGAGCATACCACCACACCCGGCTCATTAAAAAAAATTTTTTTTTTTTATAGATGGTGTCTGGCTATGTTGCCCAGGCTAGTCTCGATCTCCTGGGCTCAAGTGATCCTTCTGCTTCAGCCTTCTAAAGTGCTGGGATTACAGGCATGAGCCACTGCTCCTGGCCTCCACCCATCTATAGGTGTGGAACAAGAGCATGTTCCCTCCCAAGCTAATGTGGCAGGTAACTGGCCTCCCAGGCTGTAGACAAGATGGATGGGGGCTGTGCCCACTTCTTGAGTTAACCTTTTTTTTTTCTTTGGAGACAGAGTCTCGCTCTGTCGCCCAGGCTGGAATGCAGTGGTGTGATCTTGGCTCACTGCAGCCTCCGCTTCCCAGGTTTAAGCAATTCTCCTGCCTCAGCCTCCTGAGTAGCTGGGGTTACAGGTGCCTGCCACCATGCCCGGCTAATCGTTGTATTTTTAGTAGAGATGGGGTTTCACCATGTTGGCTGGGCTGGTCTCGAACTCTTGGCCTCAGATCATCCACCTGCCTCGGCCTCCCAAAGTGCTGGGATTACAGGCGTGAGCCAGCGCGCCCAGCTGGGTTTTACCTTTTTTGTTTGTTTGTTTTTTGAGACAGAGTCTTGCTCTGTCGCCCAGGCTGGAGTGCAGTGGTGTGATCTTGCCTCATTGTAGTCTCTGCCTCCTGGGTTCAAGCAATTCTCCTGCCTCAGCCTCCCAAGTAGCTGGGATTACAGGCATGTGCTGTCACGCCCAGCCAATTTTTTGTATTTTTAGTAGAGATGGGGTTTTCCCATGTTGGCCAGGATGGGGTTTTACCTTTTTTGAAGTGTATTTTCCATGTAGCCACCTCTCTTGGAGTGTCCATGAGGAACACGATGCTGTCCTTGGTGTCTCAGCGGAGCCACTGTGACGCTCTCCTCTTGCAAAGATTTCTGGTCATGATGTCTCAACATTGGCCTGTTTGGGGTTTTTTTTCTCCTGCATTTTAGGGAGAATTAGGGCTCATCCACCCTCACCTTCTCTCCCCCATTGAATTGGTGCATCCTGTTTTTTTTTAGCCCCTGGGATGCCCATGTTCAAGATTCCTTAAGCATCACAGTTTAAGGAAAGAAATGCAGATTATTTAAAATATGTGGGGTGAGTGTGCAGGGTGGTGATGGACAATGCATGTGTTTAATTCAGGGACTGTTGTGCCAGCTGTGTTTGAGCCTTAGGAATTCTTATAGTTGACTGGCATTTACAGTTTATTAAGGCACTTACCTCTTAGGTGTATAATCCTCAAAACATCTAAAAAATTAGTGATTTTTGTTATCCAAGTTACTTTGACATCAGCCATTTGCTGTCTCACCCACATGATTTCTCATTATGTTACCTTATTATTGGCTAAGTTAATCTGCTTACTGAGGACCTGCATGTGACTTTTCCCATTAAAAGTAAGTTAAGTCTGGGCGCAGTGGCTCATGCCTGTAATTCTAGCACTTTGGGAGGCTGAGGTGGGAGGATCCCTTGACTTTGAGACCAGCCTGGGTGAAAAAGTGAGATCTCAAAAACAAAATTAGCCAGACATGGTGGCGCATGCCTGTAGTACCAGCTACTTGGGAGGCTGAGGTGGGCTGATGGCTTGAGCCCAGGAGTTTATGCTGCAGTGAGCCGAGATTGCATCACTGCACTCTAGCCTGTGGCACAGAGTGAGACCTGTCTCTTAAAAAAAATTAATTAATTAATTAAAAATAAATAAAAGTAAGTCCAAGTGGAGATGGTTGGTGGTGTTGGTTGGATAACATTGTGAATGTATTTAACACCGTTAATCTGTACACTTCAAAATGGTTAATTAAGATGGTAAATTTTATGTTGTGCGTATTTTACCATAATTAAAAAATAGATTTGGTCTGCGTGATGGCTCACGCCTGTGATCCCAGCACTTTGGGAGGCGAGGTGGGCGGATCACCTGAGGTCAGGAGTTGGAGACCAGCCTGGCCAACATGGTGAAACCCCGTGTCTACTAAAACTACAAGAATTAGTCGGGCGTAGTGGCAGGCACCTGTAATCCCAGCTACTCTGGAGGCTGAGGCAGAAAAATCGCTTGAACCCAGGAGGTGGAGGTTGCAGTGAGCTGAGATCGCGCCACTGAACTCCAGCCTGGGTGACAGAATGAGACTCTGTCTCAAAAAAAAAAAAAGATTTAAAACAAAGTAACTATGTTCAAGGCCAGGTGTAGTGGCTCACGCTTGCAATTCTGACACTTTGGGGCGCTGAGGTGGAAGATTGCTTGAAGCCAGGAGTTCAAGACCAGCCTGGGCAACAGAGTGAGACCCCATGTCCAAAAAAAAAAAAAAAATCATCAGCTTTCATTCTGGGATCGTAAGTAGAGACATTGTTTCCCAGACCTGGTACAGATGGAACCTGCCTACGTGTCTTCAATGGGCATCTTAAGACTTATGTTTTGGACATATCAGACTTTTGGAATAAAGGAGCTGAGTTGGGAGTACAAACTCCTCTTCTTATCCATTTCCCTGTGGCAGGAGATTTTGCTCTCAGCCCCCACTTACTGGTGTGAGATCCTTGATTCTGGAAGGTGAGCTGTGCTGTTCAGCCCACAGGTCCTCATGAATGTCTACATTCAGTGCCACGCAGAATAAGAAGAAACACACACCAGCTCTGCTTCTGTGAAGCTTACTTTTTGTTGTTGTTGTTGAGAGGGGGTCTTGCTCTGTCTCCCAGGCTGGAGTGCAGTGGTGCAGTCATGGCACTCATTGCAGCCTCTACCTCCTGGGCTCAAGAGATCCTCCCTGCTCAGCCTCCTGCGTAACTGGGACCACAGATGTGCGCCACCATGCCCAGCTAATTTTTAAATTTTTTGTAGAGACAGGGTTTCACCATGTTGCCTGGGCTGGTCTTGGACGCCTGGGCTCCAGTGATCCACCTGCCTTGGCCTTCCAAAGTGCTGGGATTACAGACATGCGCCACCGAGCCTGGTTTTGCTTACTTTTTCTTTTTTTTTTTAAATTCCTCTTAGCCTATCTTGGGGGAGGCGGGTCAGTGTTATTCCGGTGTACATACAACAAAATCACCCATTTGAAGTGCACACTGGGAGGAGTCCTTGCCAAATGGATAGGGCTGGGTAACCACTGCCACATGGGACATTTGGGAAGCCGATGTTTGAATGTTTTCACGCTTACAGATGCATTCATTTACTACGTTTATTATTCTGTGTGATGTGCTTTCTGTGTGTTATTTCACTTAAACCCAGTGGGGGTAAAGATTATGATCCCTATTTGGTAGATGAATTTTAGAGAGGTTAGGGGGCTTGTCAAGGTCACACAGCTTTTAACCGTGATGGGATGACGCCTCTTGAATGAGGCTTAGTAGTGAGATGGCTGAGGAAGGAAAAAAGTAGGAAGGAGAGAAAGAGAGAAGGAGGGAAGGAAGAAAGTAGGGAGAAAGGAAGGAAAGGAGAGGGAAGGAAGGGAGAAAGGAGGATGGAAAGATGGAATGAGAGGAAAGAAGGAAGGAAACCGATGAAAGAAGGAGGGAAGGGCTGAAGGAAGGAACAGGTGCCCTGTTCAGGTGGGTTTATCCTCAGGAAGGACCCAAGATGGAAAGTGTGTATGCAAGAATTATTTTAGGCCAGGCGTTGTGGCTCATGCGTGTAATCCCAGCACTTTGAGAGGCTGAGGCAGGCGAATCACTTGAGGTCAGGAGTTTGAGACCAGCCTGGCCAACATGGTTAAACCCCATCTCTACTAAAAATACAAAAATTAGCTGGCTGTGGTGGCACATGCCTGTAATCCCAGCTACTTGGGAGGCTGAGGCCGGAGGATCGCTTGAACCCAGGAGGTGGAGGTTGCAGTGAGCTGTGATCGTGCCACTACACTCCAGTCTGGGCCACAGAGCAGGACTCTATCTCACAAAGTAGAAATAAATAAAAAATAAATAAAAACAGAGATGAGGACACAGACGCACATAGAGGACGACCCTGTGAGGACACAGGGAGAAGATGGCATCGACAAGCCTAGGAGAGAGGCCTCAGGAGGAACCAGCCCTGCCCACACCTGGGTCTCCGACTTCCAGCCTCCAGGACTGTGAGAGAAGAAAGTTCTCTTTAAGTCCTCCAGTCTGTGTTAGGTTATTACAGTAGTTCGAGCAAAGTACTTTATTTACATAGAAGTCTGCCACAATTATGAGCCCTGAAACCCTTTCCCAGGATGAACCGAGGTCAGAGTGTAATTAATAGGTACTTTTTTTCATTTACGTTTAGCCACTAGATTTTTTTTTTCAACAGAGAGTAGCGAATACTGCAGAAGCTGAATGAGATGAAGCTTAAGTCAGATCTTTATGCACCTCAGAATATTTGTACTGATGAAAAGAAATAACCAACACTTGATAGAGGGAAAGATTGAGACCCAGAAAGTAATCTCTCCCTGTGACCACTCCTACCAAATTCTTGCTTAACTACCTTATTTTGTTCGTTTGTTTGTTTTTGTTTTTTTGAGACGGAGTCTCGCTCTGTTGCCCAGGCTGGAGTGCAGTGGCGCAATCTTGGCTCACTGTAACCTCCACCTCCCGGGTTCAAGCGATTCTCCTGTCTCAGCCTCCTGAGTAGCTGGGATTACAGGAGCGCGCCACTACCACCCGGCTAATTTTTGTATTTTTAGTAGAGACGGGGTTTCACCATGTTGGTCAGGCTGATCTTGAACTCCTGACCTTGTGATCCACCTGCCTTGGCCTCCCGAAGTGCTGGGATTACAGGTGTGAGCCACTGTGCCTGGCCAACTACCTTGTTTTTTTTGGATGAAAATGTGGTTCTTACCTCAGTAAAGATTATGAAGGGATTTATGTACAGATGACTAAAATATCAGCCATTAGTTTCCTATTTGTTTTTGTTGTTGTCATTTTTTGTTTTGAGACAGGGTCTTGCTCTGTTGCCCAGGCTGGAGTGCAGTGATGCGATCTTAGCTCACTGCAGCCTCGACCTCCCAGGCTCAGGCAATCCTCCCACCTCAGCCTCCCAAGTAGTTGGGACGACGGCTGTGCACCACCACACCTGGGTAATTTTTTATTTTTATTTTTGTAGCTGGGATCTCGCTATGTTGCCCAGGCAGGTCTTGAACTCCCGGCCTCAAGTGATCCCACCATCTAGGCCTCCCAAAGTGCTGGACTTACAAGCGTGAGCCACCCTGCCCAGCCTAGTTTACAATTTGAACTTGGTTTTTCATCTCGGCTCCTTTGAAGACTTCTGTCTTCTCCCATGTTTGGGGCGGCTCTGCGTTGTGGACATTCCTTAGTGATCGGCCTGGGAAGGCTCAGACATGTCTAGGCTGCCTTTGTAGGAATAGGGATTAGTAGCTTCTTAGCCCCACTCTTTCCTGGGATGTTGCTGTTTGCTGAGGTCTGCACAGTTCAGACCACCCTGGAAGCCTCTCTCAGGTTCTCAGAGATGGTGGAGTTATACCTTTGACTGTGAGCTCGCAGCATTGCTAGGGAATGTACTTGGCTAAATTTGGAACTATTTGGTTGAATTTGTACCCCTTGGGCATATTTGCTTTGGTAACATACCACAGACTGGGTGCCTTAAAATAACAGAAGTTAATTGTTTCACAGTCCTGGAGACCACAACTCTGAAGTGCAGATGCGGCAGGGCTGTGCTCCCTCTGCGGGCTCTAGGGGAGGCTCCTTCCTGCCTCTCCCAGCTCCTGGGGGCTCCAGGCGTCCCTGAGCTTGTGGCCGCATCACTGCGGTCTCTGCCTCCGTCTCCACATGGCCTTCTCCTCTGTGTCTGTGTCTTCTCTTCTTCTCTTACAGGAACACCCGTCATTGTGTTTAGGGTCCACTCCAATTTTGGATGACCTCACCTTGAGATCTTTAACTTAATTACATCTGCAAAGACCCTTTTCCCAAATGAGGTCTCATTTACAGGTTCTGTGGGTCAGGACATGGACATATCTTTCTGGGAGACCATAGTTCAGTCCACTACAGTTGTATCCAGTTGTTTCTGGAGGCTCCAGGGGAAGCTCCTTCCTGCCTCTCCCAGCTGCTGGGGGCTCCAAGTGTCCCTGGGCTTGTGGCCGCATCACTGTACTCTCTGCCTCTTTCTCCACGTGGCCTTCCCCTCTGCGTCTGTGTCTCCTTATTAGTTCACCACTCATATTGCACCACCTTCAGGATGACCTCACCTTAATATATACCTTTTTTTTTATTTCATTTTTTAAAAAAGTGGAGCTGAGGTCTTGCTGTGTTGCCCAGGCTGGTCTCAAACTCCTGTGCTGGGATTACAGGGGTGAGCCACTGTGCCCAGCCTTTGTGTATATCTTAATCACATCTGCAAAGACCCTGTTTGCAACTAAGGTCCCATTCACAGGTACCAAGGATTAGGATGTCAACGTATCTTTTCCAGGGCACCCCATTCAATGCACACAAAGTGGGGAGAGGGGAGATTGGCTGTGTTTAGGTGACCTGTGAAAGGCCGAGCTAGCTGTGCGGCGTTGCTCTTGCAGCACAGAGGAAGAACTGGGCTCAGATGGTGTCAGCTGTTGGTGTCTGAGATCATCCGTGAATCTACTCCCGGGAATGTGCTGCAGTGAGACACGGTCCTTCTCCCGTCACCTTCCTGACCCCATCCCATATACCCACGGACCCCAAGGGAAAGTACTCAGGGTTGGTTGGTTTCTTTTCCGTTTTGTGACCGCGTGAAATTCCATGTCACGGTCCCTGTGTTTATTCCATACAGCTCTCCTGAAGTGTTTTGAGTTCTAGCAAAATTTAAAAATATAACCAAAGAAACTTAAATCCGTGTTTCTCCTCTTTCTGGACACTTCTTTAGTATGAATGGGCATCGTGATGATAAACACGGTGGCCTGCTGTCTTTGCTTCTCTCTCTGCTGGCCGCCTCCTTCCTTCCCTCCAAAGTCACAGGCAAGAGGGATTTAGGGTTTGCTGGGCTTGAGGAAGAGAGGAAAAGGCCATCTCTTTTCACAGTGAGAAATGTGTTTTCTGTTCTTTCTCATACCTCGCTTTGTACATTTAAAAAAATTATTTCTCTTTAGATTTTTGAACCAAGAGAGATATATTTATTATTTAAAAAAAATTTTTTTTTGAGACAAAATCTCCCTCTGTTGCCCAGGCTGCAGTGCAGTGGTGCAATCTCAGCTCTCTGCAACCTCCTGCTCCCTGGTTCAAGACATTCTCATGCCTTTGGAGTAGCTGGGATTACAGGTACCCGCCACCATGCCTGGCTAATTTTTTTGTATTTTTAGTAGAGGCTGGGGTCTCACTGTGTTGTCCAGGCTGATCTCAAACTCCTGGGCTCAAGCGATCCTCCCATGTTGGCCTCCCAAAGCACTGGGATTACAGGTGTGAGCTACTGTGCCCGGCCTATTTCTTTTCTAAATAGAGGCAGGGTCTCACTATGTTGCCCTGGCTGGTCTCAACCTCCTGGGCTCAAGCAATCCTCCTGCTTCGGCCTCTTGAGCAGTTGGGACTCCAGGTGCACACAACCATGCCTGGCTAATTTTTGTATTTTTTCGTAGAGATAGGGATCTCACCATGTTGCCCAGGCTGGTCGGGAATTCCTGGGCTCAAGCAGTCCTCTGACCTCAGCCTTCCAGTGTGCTGGGATTACAGGTGTGCACCACTGTGCCTGGCCTTATTTATTTTTTATTTATTTATTTTTGGAGACAGGGTTTCATTCTGTTGCCCAGACTGCAGTGCGGTGGCAACCATAGCTCACTGCAGCCTCCACCTCCTGGGCTCAAGTGATCCTCCCACTTCAGCCTCCCCAGTAGCTGGGACTGCAGGAGTGCATCATGACTCCTGGCTAATTTCTTTTAATAGGGATGAGATCTCTATGTTTTTGTAGACAAGGGGCTCTCGCTGTGTTGCCCAAGCTGGTCGAGAACTCCTGGCCTGAAGCCATCCTCTTGCCTTGGCCTCCCAAAGTGCTGGGATTACAGTTGCGAGCTACGGTGCCTGGCTGTAGATTCCCCCCAGCCCCCAAGCCGCCAGTTGTGAGTCTTCACTAACAAGGGAACCTTTCAGCATTTTCCATGGTCATGGTGATTCACCTAATATTTTAGTTCTGCTGAGTTGTCTAAACATTCGGGATAAAGGCTGTCATTTTTTGGTGACCGTAATGTGTATGTGTATGTTTACAGTTACACATGCCTGTATTTGGGTGGAGCTCAGAAGATGCCCATGGCATTTTTCTGGGAAAGTTGAAGTTTATGATGTTTGCTCTTTATTGGGAGTGTGGAGGTCGTCTTTCTCCTTCTTCCCATCCCTCCAGACAGAAAGCTGGGATGTGGCCAGGTGCAGTGGCTCATGCCTGTACTCCTAGCACTTTGGGAGGCCGAGGTGGGTGGATCACTTGAGGTCAGGAGTTTGAGACCAGCCTGGCCAACATGGTGAAACCCTGTCACTACTAAAAATACAAAAATTAGCCAGGCGGGGTGGCGGGCACCGGTAATCCCAGCTACTTTGGAGGCTGAGGCAGGAGAATCGCTTGAACCCAGGAGGCAGAGGTTGCAGTGAACTGAGATTGCGCCATTGCACTCCAGCCTGGGCGACAGAGTGAGACTCTGTAACAACAACAACAACAACAACAACAACAACAACAGGCCAGGATGTGTTTGTGTGTGAGTTGGACCCAAGGGCTTGGGAAGGATGGATAGGGTAGGGGAGGAGGGATAGATGGATGAGGGAATGCAGAGAGAGTGGCCACACTGTCAGAGGCTTTCAAAAAGCAGGAGGTTCTCCAGTGGGAGAGAGGAGACCTGAGTCCACCCCGCATTAATGTTTACAGATCAGAATTGCACACATAGAATGGCTCATAAATCTGATCCACCTTCCTCGTCTGGCACTTGGCTGGAGAAACAACTCTTTGAATGTTGGAGGAAAAGCCCACTGTATTGCACCTGCTATAAAAAGGGCGTGCCCACCTTAAAAGTAGCCACACCTTCCCGAGATTGCCATGGTCCTTCTAAGTCTCTGAAATGTATAGATCAGGTATATTTGGGAATTTGGGGATTTTTCTAAATTTGGGATGAGAATGGGTGCATGTCCTTTTTAATTATACAACACCCTCAGCAGAGTCTGGGCTGGATGTTGTTATCAAGACAAGAATATTTCTGTAGTGAAATAGGTAGATATTCACCCCAAGGAGGATCAAGCCTGAACAGTCTCACGTTAGGCAAGGTCCAGTTTTGCGGCCAGGTGTGTTGATGAAGACACTTTGAGTATTCAGAGCCTTTAGCTTTAGCCACTGTGGGTAAGGGATTGTAGAACCCATACTTAAGCTTTCCCCTTAAAGCTTTGACTTTAATCTCCACATTGCAGCCCTGCAAAAGAACAGAATCGTGTCCTTTGCAGCAAAGTGGATGCAGCTGGAGGCTGCTATCCTAAACAAATTCATGCAAAAAATCGAGAGCCAGATATTGCATGTTCTCACTTATAAGTGGGATCTAAACACTGAGTACTTCATGGACACAAAGATGGGAACAATAAACACTGGGGATTCCAAAAAGAGGAAGGGAGGGAGTGGGGAAAAGACTGAAAAACTTCCTATTAGAAACTGTTTACTACTTGGGCAACGGGATCATTAGAAGCCGAAACCTCAGCATCATGCAATATACCCATGTAATGAACCTGCACATGGACCCCCTGAATCTAAAATTAAAAGAAAAGACATAAACTCCACATCTGATTTCCCTCGTGCATAACACTACTACTTAGCTTGGAGAGAGATGGAGGGGATCTCTAGGGTGGGGAATGGACCACTTACCTTCAAGATCTCCCTTATCAGGAAGGAAAGAGCTGACCTGCCTAGAAACACTTGAAAACACTCTTTTTTTATGTCTTATTGGGCAAAGCTGGGTCAGATGGCCACCCTTAGCTGCAGAGAAGGCTACAAATAGACATTTTCTCCTCAAGTGGGATAATGATAACTGGGGAATGTGTACTGGAGAGCCTTCCAACACCAAGCGGGGAAGATCTACCAGCACCATTAAATGTTGCCTTTGTCTTCTGTGCACTTAAGCTGATAAACCTTAAACATTACAGCATGCCACTTCTGTCTGCTTTGAGTAAGGTTGTTTACCGACATACTTCTGCAGTCTGATTGTGGCGTTGGCGGGACTGACAATATCTCCCAGGGTAGCGCAAAGATCCGCTGCAGTGCATAAGTAACGTGTTTTGAGTTTTGTATGTTTATAATGCACACAGCTCAGAGAAAGCTTTAAAGAAGTCACAGAAGTGTAAAAAATCTGTTGAGTCATAGCTGTTGTTCTTAAAGTAGGCATGGAGAATTCTCTCTGTTGAGGGTCAAATACAAGTACTAAGACAGAATGTTATGCAGTAAACACAGCCAAGTAATGAATGGGTTCCTTGGGGTGGGTGATAGAGAAAGATAAATAAGGAGGAAGGAACCAGATAGAGGAAGAAAAGTCAAGGACCATATTCATTGCATTATTAGAATTTTAGGGTGTGGCAAGAATTTAATGTTTCCTAATAATATGCAAGTTCTGTTGGAAAGAAGAGCAACAGGAGACTAAAAGGTTAAAAGGTTACTCTGTTGCCCATTTCATAGGTCCAATGGCAGGATAAGCTTGGGTTGGATGCCAGTGTTCCTGATTCCTAATTGTGTTTTATCCAATTGAAACATCAGTGGCCATAGTCAAACACCTAAACTGTATCAGTTCACAGTCCTCAAAGCCCTTCTCCCACTTCCTGTCTTTGACCTGATTCCACCTAATTTTGTCCACACCATGTTGTACTGTAATAAAACCTATTTTATTTCCAAATTAACTAAGAGAATATACTTTAAAAATGTGTTACTATTTCATTATTTGTTTACTTTTTTTAAAGAAATATTTAACACCTGTCAGCTATTGACATTGTTTCCTTCTTACACTTTTTCTTTATCTTGTAGTTCACTTTCTATTTCTGCCATAATAAAATATTCAGTATCGGAAACTTCACTTAAAAAGCAAAGGTTACTTCTCCTCCTCCCTTCCCAGTCTGCCCTATAAGCTAGTAAATTCATCATTCATTAGCTTAGATATTTTACAACATGGGGATTTTAGTTTACAGCAAATACTCTAAGTAAAATTGGTAGCTTAAGTACAACTTTTTCTTTTCACGTTACCATGTGCAATCAATGGCATTCCAGACTCTTGGAAGGAAATCCATTGTATGGTTGTGGTCTTTTTTTTTCCTTCTCAAACCAGTCAAAAATACCCAGTCACAATTTAAAAAATTATCCGCCCTTGGTGGTGCACGCCTGTAGTCCCAACTATTTGGGCTGAGGTGGGAGGGTCACTTGAGCCTGGCAGGTCAAGGCTGCAGTGAGCTATTGATTGTGCCATTGCACTTCAGCCTGGGCAACAGAGAGAGACCCTGTCTCAAAAAAAAAAAAAAAAAAAGACAAAACAATATAATGTGATCTACCCTCTAAGCAAATTTTCATATATACAATTTTACTATTGTATATGTGAGCTATTTATATATAAAATTTCATTTATCAGTTCAGTATTGTTAACTATATGAACTAGGTGTATGGTAGATCTCCATGGTTTATCTTGTTCAACTAAAACTTTGTATCCTTTGACCAATATATTTCCCCTTCCCCCTCAAGCCCTACCCTCTGATAACTACCTCTCTACTCTCTGCTTCTATGAGTTTGACTATTGTAGATTCTGCATTAGTCCATTCTCATGCTGTTAATGAAGACATACCTGAGACTGGTTAATTTATAAAGGAAAGAGGTTTAATGGACTCACAGTTCCACATGGCTGCGGAGGTTCCGACAGTCATGGCAGAAGGTAAAAGGAGGAGCAAAGTCACGTCTTACATGACAGCAGGCAAGAAGAGAGCCCGAGCAGGGAAACTCCCATTTATTAAAACATCTGATCTCGTGAGACTTATTCACTATCAGGAGGACAGCATGGGAAAACCCACCCCCATGATTCAGTTACCTCCCACCTGGTCTCTCCCACAACACGTGGGGATTATGGGAGCCACACTTCAAGATTAGACTTGGGTGGGGACACAGCCAAGCCATGTCAGATTCCTTGTATAAGTGAGATCATGCAATATTTAATATTTGTTTTTCTGTGCCTATCTTATTTCACTGAACATAATGGCCTCCAGTTCCATCCATGTTGCTGCAAATGCCAGAGTTTCCTTCTTTTTTAGGGCTGAATGGTATTCCATCGTGTATATGTACCATGTTTTCTTTATCCATTTGCCCTTGGACGGACACTGAGGTTGTTTCCACGCCTTGGCTGTTGTGAATAGTGCTGTCATAAACATGGGAGTGCAGGTGTCTGGAAGATCCTGGTTCTCTTGGGTTTTGCAATCTAGCATAAAGCAGGCACAGGAGTACCAGCCAATGAATGGATAGGTAAATGGATCAATATTGATCGGTGAGATTTGCTCGTCAACAGATGTTGGTTCCTCAGAAGGATACACTTCCAAACCATCCTTTCTCTGAATGTCAGTTTCTGAGAAGCCTCTCTGCTGTTTGGGGTGGGTGTGATCACATAATACGGGAGGGCAGTTTTGTTTTAGTTGCTCATCTCTGTCTGCAGCTGTGAATGCGTTGTTTAAAAATATTGCTGAGGAATGACTTGCATGTCAGTAAGGGGCTGCTGACGCTGGGATCAAGGTACGTCAAAGGCAATTTAGGGATACTCTAGAAATCCTGCATCAGTTGCAGTGGCTCATGCCTGTAGTCCCAGCACTTTGGGAGGCCGAAGCAGGAGGATCACTTGAGCCCAGGAGTTCAAGGCTAGCCTGAGCAACGCAGTGTGACCCCCTCTTTACAAAAAGTACAAAAATTAACTGGGTAGGCTGAGGCGGGAAGATTGCTTGAGCCCAGGAGGTAGAGGCTACAGTGAGCTGTGATGGCGCCACTGCACTATTCGTTCCATTAACCCAAGAACATTTATGCTACGTGAAGAATATTTCAATATGTGCGTGAACACGTGCACACCTTGTAGGATCAGTGTGTTACAGGAAGAGGAGGAGGATGAAGAGGAAGAAGAGGAGAGGGAGGAGGAGAAAGGAGGAGGAGGAACAAGCAAAGCTTGTTTAGAGATTTTGATTTTCTTTTATATCTCATTGACTATTAGATTTCTTCATTTACATGCACCCCAGTGGGAGGAAGAGGAGGGAGAGGAGGAGGAGATGGAGGAGGAGGAAGAAGTGGAAAAGAAAAGGATGTAGAGGAGAAGGAAGAGATGAAAGAGAAGGAGGAGAAGATTGAGGAAGAGAAAAAAGAGAAGGAAGAGATGGAGGAGGGGAAGGAGGAGAAGAGAGTGTTTGGATTGAAAATGTCCCAGCAGAATACAGTAGAGCTATTGGTTTTCTTTTATATTTGTAGTGGTTGCAGTTGTTGTTGTTGTTTTGTTTTCTGTTTGTGGGCACCTATATAGCACTTCATCCCAACCCACGCCAGATTGTAGAATACGGACTCCGTACTTTGAGCAAGCCTTAATGTGCGTTAAGGAAACAGCCGTGTTGAGGAGGGCTGTGTGTTTTACACCCTGTCTGTATTTCTGATAAAACCAGAGAGCCTGAAGAGAAAAAGGCATGTTATATAAATACATTTACTATTACTCTAATGCTTCTCCATGTGGGTGTGTGGGGCGTGTGGGTGTGCTGTGTGCGAAGACTGATCTGCAGAAATTATGGCCAGTTTGTCCCCAAATTGAGGAACCATTCAGAGGCAGATGGCTCTCTCTGTCTCCCTCTCTCTCCCTCTTTCTCTCTCTGCAATTTCTGTATTCAGTGGAAAATTCCAGGTGAGCGCCTCTCACTAAATGCCATCAGCCCACGTGCACCATGACACAAAGTCTCTGAAAGTTTCACTTGGGGTCTGTGTTTGCCGTCCTGGTGCAGCCCCCCGCTGATTGCATGGCTGTGGTGGTTTCTTCCTTTGTCGGAAGACTTAATGACCTCTGTCGATTTCTTCTCTCTCCAGGCACTGGGACGTTCGGGCGGGTGCACCTGGTGAAGGAGAAGACAGCCAAGCATTTCTTCGCCCTCAAGGTGATGAGCATTCCCGACGTCATCCGCCTAAAGCAGGAGCAACACGTACACAATGAGAAGTCTGTCCTGAAGGAAGTCAGCCACCCGTTCCTCATCAGGCTGTGAGTCCCCTCCTGAAGCCTCTCCCCACGCACTCTCCCTAGACCCCTGTGTGTCTCTTCTTATAAGAAGCTGGGTGGGCCGAGACCATGGCCTGCGTGCAAAGCCTTAGGCCACAGCAGTCTCCACCTGTCAGGTCTTATCAGCCTCTGATCTTAGAGCTGGAATACCTCCAGGGCTCCTGACCTCCATGGCTGACCAGGTCCAAAAAGAAACGCTCTGTGTTCAGAAGTCCGTGCCCAAGGCCCCTTGCTCCTCTCCTGGGTGAACCAAGTATCTCTGCCCGGAAAAGGATGCAGAAATCTTTGTCTCCTCACCTCCTTGGGTTCTGCATCTATAGCTCTCGGCAGAACTGGTTAAGTTGGTTTTTAAGGGACCACAGTCACGTGGACGGGGCTGGGCTTCAGGTTTCGTTGGGTTTCTGGTTGACTGTGGATGAGAGATACCCCGTTGAGATGCAGCCCACACACTTCCAGCTGATGGTACACAACAGTCTTATGTCCTAGGGTAGGTGTGATAGTCCATTCAGGCTGCTATAACAAAGGATCCTAGACTCGGTAATTTACAAATGACAGACATTTGCCTCATGGTTCTGGAGGCTGGAAAGTCCAAGATCAAGACACGGTGGATTCAGTGTCTGGCGAGGACCCGCTTCCTGGTTCATAGATGGCGCCTTTTCACTGTGTCCTCACATGGTGGAAGGGGTGAGGGATCTCTCTGGGGTCCCTTTTATAAGGGCACTCGTCCCATTCATGAGACTTCACCCTCATGACCTCCCAAAGGACACAACACCTAACACCATCACCTTGGGGGTGAGGATCCAACATAGGGATTTGGGAGGACACAAGATATTCAGACCATTCCAGCAGGGTAATTCCATTTCCACCCAGATGCCTTAGACAAGGATGTCCTGCGTGTCTCTCCTTTCCCTCCATGGGTGCCTTCCATCCAATTCCCACGTCTTCCCTCCGCCATCTTGCTACCATGCCTCTCCTGTCCACCTATCCATCTTCTGCTTTATCTGGGTCCCGTCTCTCTGCCCTGATTTTCTGTACTGGCTTCCCTCCTACCTGGTCTTTCTCTCCCAGCCTTGCTCCCCTTGAAGACATTCCTCACTTTATAGCCTCACTGGTCCTCCCAGGTACCTCTGCAATGACCTGCCTCTCTCCTTTCATCCTCAGGGTACTCCTGAAGTATCCCATATAAAGCCCCAGCAATGCAGCATCCTCCTACCAGTATCCTCGTGGACTGGCCCCCTGCCACCACCTCCCTACAGGAGAAGGTAGAAGGTGCTGTTCACACACTCATTCCGGGGCTTCTCCCAGGCCACCCTTCTTTGACAGGCCTCCTTCTTTGCTCTCATCATTGTCCTTCACTTCCCCCATCTAAGAAACACCTACCTGTTTTCCCTCATTCACCTGCTGTCCCCGGGACACAGGGTGCCTCCCATCATGTTCTTGAAGCACCTCGTGTGTACTGGAACAAGTGCACCTGCCTTCTCCTCTAGACCCAATGCTGCCTAAGCTCCGAACAAAATCATATGCAGAGGATGGGCGCGGTGGCTCCCTTCCTCCCTTCCTTTCTTCCTTTCTGCATTTCTCTTTCTTTCTTGACAGGGTCTCACTCCTTCTTGCCCAGGCTGGAATTCAGTGGCACAATCATGGCCCACTGCAGCCTCTGCCGCCTCCCAACTAGTTGAGACTACAGGTATATGCCACCATGCCTGACCAACTTTTAAAAGTTTTTGTAGGATGAAGTCTTGCTGTGTTGCCCAGGCTGGTCTCAAACTCCTGGCCTGAAGCAGTCCTCCAGCCTCAGCCTCCCAAAGTGCTGGGATTGCAGGTGTCAGCCCCTGCACCTGGACTGAGAATGCATGTCTGTTGTCTGCCGCGTCCCTCCACCCCAACCCCCAGTTTGTGGTACTTTGTTAATGATAGCCCTGAGGAACTCACACACACCCCCTGCGCCTCCTGGAGCAGGAGAGCAGCCGAGACGATGGGCTCCTGAGTACTCTACAGTTCAGAAATCTAAAATCCCACAGAAGAACCGCATGGACATGGGAGTGGGTGGAGTATACAAGTGAGAGAATTCCCCAGGATGGAATTCTTGAGCTCCCGCAAGTTAAAAAATAGGGAGGAGCTTGTAGAACAGAGCTTTAGTTAGGTAGTTCTCCTTTCTTCAAGGCAGGATAGCTCAAGACTGTTTTCCTTGGCAGATAAGGTGCATTCCTGCAGGGACGTGGATTCTGATTTTGATATTCCCTGCTTTCAATTAAGGAACAAAGTCGTTTATATTTCTTAAGTCTTATATAAAGCCCTAGAGACTTTAGAAATTCTATTCAAAGTTACCTATGTTGGTTTATTTTTATCTTTTATATAAAAAAGTATATATATAGATTTACATTTAGAGACGGGTTTTGCTCTGTGGCCCATCTTGGAGTGCAATGGTGCAATCACAGCTCACTGCGGCCCCAACCTCCCGGGCTTAAGCCATCCTCCTTCCTCAGCCTCCAGAGTAGCCGGGACTACAGGCACCCATCACTACACCCTGCTAATGTTTTTATTTATTTTTAATTTTTAAAAAACATATGTATATATTTTTCACAACCTCTTTGGTGAAGATAATGTTTTTGTTTTTTCTCTATGAACAGGGTCTTGCTATGTTGCCCAGGCTGGTCTTGAACTTTAGGCTGCAAGCAATCCACTTGCCTTGGCCTCCTGACATGCTGGGATTACAGGTGTGCACCACCACACCTACCTCATTTTAAAATTTTCTGTAGAGATGGGATCTTACTTTGCTGCCCAGGCTAGTCTCAAACTCCTGGGCTCAAATGATCTTCCCACCTCGGCCTCCCAACATGCTGAGATTATAGATGTGAGCCACCGTGCCTGGCCTATTTCTAACTTTTAAGGAGTGAAATTTCTCTGCACCGTGACAGCTTTTGAAGAGGACATTTTGGATGCTTCATGGGTTGTCCTTTGCCCGTACAGCTCACCGGCTCCTCCGAGTGCTGGTTACAGTCGAATGTGAGCTGTTATTTGTATGTCAGGTCCGCCTGGTGGTGTTGCCAAAAAGCATGAATTTTTCCTCATCATTTAAAGTCTACATGGAATTTAAGGCCACTTTCGATATTATTCTTGGGAGGATTTTATTCAGTGTTTTGGGAGAACATGGCAGGGGCTCATTTCAGAATTCTCTGATTTGGGGCCGAGCTCGGTGGCTCACACCTGTAATCCCTGCATTTTTGGAGGCCAAGGCGGAAGGATCACTTGAGACCAGGAGTTCCAGACCAGCCTGGGCAACATAGTGAGATCTCGTCTCTTAAGAAAAAAAATTAAAAAGAAAATTCTAGCCTGGCCAATATGGGGAAACCCTGTCTCTACTAAAAATACAAAAATTAGCTGGGCGTGGTGGCGCACGTCTATAACCCAGCTACTTGGGAGGCTGGGGCACTAGAATCTCTTGAGCCTGGGAGGCAGAGCTTGCAGTGAGCCAAGATCGTGCCACTGCACTGCAGCCTGGGTGACAGAGCAAGACTTTGTCTCAAAAAATAATAATAAATAAAAATAAATAAATAAATACAGTTCTTTGATTTTGAAATAGTGCAGAAAACAAGGCAGGCCCTGAAGTCCACAGCTCTCATGAAAAGTTTTGGATCTAGGGAAGTGATTGTCAACAATGAGCCTTTAAAGACTTAATGGTGATAGCAATTTACAGGTGACTTTTCCCAAAAAATGACAGAAAATGAGTTTGCCACTTGGGCATGTTGACTCACACTTATAATCCCAGCATTTTAGGAAGCTGAGGTGGGAGTGTCCCTTGCACCCAGGAGTTTGAGACCAGCCTGGGCAACATGGCAAGACCCTGTCTCTACAAAAAGTACAAAAATTAGCTGGGTGTGGTGGGGGGGCCTGTAGTCCCTGCTACTCAGGAGGCTGAGGTAGGGGGATCGCTTGATCCTGGGAGGCGGAGATTGCAGTGAGCCGAGATTGTGCCACTGCACTCCAGCCTGGGGGACAGAGCAAGACCCTGTCTCAAAAAAGAATCCGAAAAACAATGTAGACTTGGAGGGGGTGATGTAACTTAGCCCATGAGACCGCCTTAGTGACTTGCTGATAATTGATCTTTCGGTGCCCTGCAGTATTATGATAACCTGCTATAGCATTTTGCTTTTTCTGTGCATTAACACTTTAGGGACCAAGTGGCTTTAAGAACTGGATTAAAGTTGATCCAGTGCATTCAGACACTTGGCATTCCCTGTACATAACACGAGAGAGCACGCCGGGTCTGGCCAGCCCCATGGATAAGATGCTGGAGGGTGTCCAACGTTGCATGCTGAGGAGCATGTCTTAGAGGAGAATCCTAGATCCTCTGTGAAGAATGAATTTCATCCTCCCAGCTGTGCAGCTTCTCTTCTAAATGTAAGTTGCCTTGCTCAACATCTGCTTCCCATACGGGCAGTTTTAGGCCTTGGACTTCTTGATGAAGGTATAAAACGAGGACTTTCAGCGGAGGTGCCTCCCATTTATGGCTGGAGGAGTCTCTGGGGTGGGGCCGTCCTGCACACTTCAGGGTGTTGGGGAGTGTCCCTGGGCTCCACCCACCAGCGGCCAGGAGCAGCAACCTCAGTTATGAAAAGCAGAAATGTCTCCATACATAACCAAGTGTTCCTTCAGGGAGGGAGGGCAAAGTTTTCTCCACTAGTGAACCACTGTGATAGACAGACGACGGACAGAGAGAGATGATAGATACGATAGGTAGGTATATGTTGAGATGGATAGGTGATAGATAATAGATATTAAGATAGGTGTAAATGATGGGTGATTGATAGGTGAGTAGATAGATGATGGGTAGCTAATAGATGATATTAAGATAGGTGATAGATAATAGATACTAATATATACAGCTATAGATGATAGATGATATTGAGGTGGGTAGGTGATTGATTGATAGATTAATGACCGATTGCATGTAGGCAGAGCTCTCATGCTAAAAGAGAGTTTCTCAACCTCAGCAGTGCTGACACATGGGGCGGGATCATGGAGGACTCTGTGGTGGGGCATCCTGTGCACTGTAGGGTGTTGAGCAGCGTCCCTGGACTCCACCCAGCAGATGCCAAGAGCACCCATCCCATCTATGACGAGTATCTAAAGATGTCTCTAGATACTGCTAAGTTCCCCCTATGGGGGGACAAAAAGTTATCCCCAGTTGTGAACCACTGTGACAGATAGTTGATGGATGGATGGATGGATGGATGGATGGATGGATGGATGGATGGATGGAGATCAACATTGAGACAGATATTTGATAGATGACAGATATTGAGGTAGATGATAGCTATAGATGATAGATGGTTGATAGATATTAGATAAGTGATTGATAGATGATAGCTATAGATGATAGCTGATTGATAGATAGCTGGTAGCTATAGATGGTAGATGGTTGATAGATATTGAGATAGATAGGTGATTGATTGATAGATTGATGATGGAACGTATTAGTAGAGTTTCTCAACCTCAGCACTGCTGACATTTGGGGCTGGAGGATTCTCTGCGGTGGAACCGCCCTGTGCACTGTAGGGTGCTGAGCAATGTCTCTGGGCTCCACCCACCAGATGCCTCTAGCACCCCCACTCCAGCGTGACAGCCAAAGATGTCTCCAGACATTGTCCAGTGTTTATTGTGGGGAGCAGAATCAGCTCCATTGACACCCACTGTAGCGGATGCACAGACAGATAAATACCTGTGCGTGTGGAGTCCCTTTCTCCCTTTTCTGCCCCAGCCCCTGAGCCTGCAGCCCCACTCTTCTGTCATGATTGATTGGCTTATGGGCCAAACAGTGGTTCCAGTGCCATATTATCTATGGCACAGCAGCCGAGCCAAGCCAGTGGGTTTGGTCTGTGGTTGCAGGGCTTAGCCAGCTTTCTTCTACAGAACTTGGAAGGCAAGAGGTCTCTCCACTCCGGGCCACATCCTTCTAGTTCCTGGATGACCGCTCGTTTCTCCATGGAGAGGAGTTCATGCCAGAACCTCTTCTTCGGGGAGAGTGGATGCATCTCTTGGAAACATCTTTTTTTAAAGTCTGCAGACTTGAGTGTGGTCCCCATTGTCATTGGTACTTGTTGGGGGTAGGAGTAAAATCATTCCTTTGTTTTACTGAGAGTTCAGGAAGAAAGAACACCATGTTCTCTCCTTTTATTTATTTATTTATTTTGCTCTCTATTTGAATTTTAAAGGCAAAAATCTAGAAATAGCGCTTCTTGCTCTGTCATCACTGCCTGCAAAGCACAGAGACCAGAGTGAAGGCAGGCAGCTCCTGGGTCTTCTCTTCCTCTTCTTTGTCCAAAAAATGATACATTGCATGTTTAGTATTTGGGGCAAAGCAGACGCTTCAAAAAGGGAGGCTTATTTTATTATCTATATTTTTCTTTTTTATTATTTTTTACCTTGATTCCCTTTTTCTATGTATGAAAAGGGAGGTTTAAGTTCTTGCAAGAGAATGCAACTGTAGTGTCTTCTGAATGGAGTTTTCCATTTGATGCCAAGCCTTCCAGTGCCTTGGTCTAAGGAGAACTGCGTAGGGTGAGAAGAGTCCCAGCGATACGTGGAAAAGGGGCCTTACCAGCTCTGGAGGGCAAGAGGTAGGGGGTGAAGACGCAGTGGACACCTAAGGAGAATTTTGCAGGAGGAGTAGGGGTTTATTGGCTGAAAGGGGTGGGTGGTGGAAACTCATTCTAGACAGGGAGTGACACGGAAGCCATGGGTCACTACGGGGCAGGAGGGACATGGGGGAGAAACTCAAATCTGAGTTCAGCCAGGAGGTGGACACAGGAATGCAGTGAACCCAGATGTGTAGGAGACTGCCATGGGGACTGGGGTATGAGGAAGGACTGGCTCTGGCTCGGCTGTGCATATAAGGAAGGACTGGCTCTGGCTCAGCTGTGCATTTGGGCTGCTGGACAGTGAGGAGATCCAGGGAGAGAGAGTGCATTCCAATTTGGGAAACTTTGAGGGCAAAACATCTGCAGCAACTGTCTCAGAAGAGAGCCTGAGGCAGGGTCCTTGGAGGGAGGAAGCCACAGGTGGATGGAGCCACCGAGGGCTGCTAGGTCACCTTGGTTAAGGGCTAGTTGCAGTGCAGCCAGGTCGGAAAGTAGAGCCGTTCTGGAGCCTCACATGGCATAGATGTTGGAGGAGATGGGATGAGGATGGCTCATTTTCTTCTTCTCACCACAAAAGCCCAGCTTTATGGCGGGCTCTGGAGAGAGGAGGACCAACTTCTACGGTAAGGCGTCTCCAAATTAGTGAGGCTGATTTGCCTGTTCATAAAAACAAAAACAAAAGCAAAAAAATCCCTTAGAGGACAAGCCATCCCCGCAGACCCTGCAAATAAAAGACTGCAGATCAGCTTCGCGGATGGAAAAGTGCTGCTGTCAGCTAAAGATGAGGACAGAGCTGCTCAGCTGAGGTCACTGGAGAGGATGGGGAGGGGACTTGGAAACCTCCCTTGTCTCAGTCGTTGTTGACGACATTGACTCTTTCTTCATGTTGACTTTCCCCCCGTTCATAGATTCATAGATTGCTCTCTATGCTGGAAAACATTCTTTAAAATTTAATTTTTTTATTTTGTTAACATATATCACATAACAGTTTACTATTTTAACTTCCTTTTTTTTTTTTTTTTTTTTTAAAAGAAATGAGGTCTTGCTCTGTTGCCCAGGCTGCAGTGTACTGGTGCAATCATGGCCCACTGCAGCCTCAACCTCCTGGGCTCAGGTGATCCTCCTGCCTCAGCCTCCCAAGTAGCTGGGACTACAGGTGCGCACTACCACGCCTGGCTAATTTTTTAATTTTTGGTAGAGACAGGGTCTCGCTGTGTTGCACAGGCTGATCTCCAACTACCAGGCTCAAGCAGTCCTCCTACCTCAGGCTCTCAAGTTGAGCTGGGACTATAGGCACATGCCACCATGCCCAGTTAATATTTTAATTTTTGGCAAACATGTGATCTTGCTTTGTTGCCCAGGCTGTTCTCAAACTCCTGATCTCACTCAATCCTCCTGCCTTGGCCTCTCAAAGTGCTGAGATTACAGGCATGAGCGTCCATGCCCGGCCTCATTTTAACCATTTTTAAAATGTACAGTTCACGGCTGGGCGTGGTGGCTCACGCCTGTAATCCCAGCACTTTGGGAGGCCGAGGTGGACGGATCACGAGGTCAGGAGATCAAGACCATCCTGGCTAACACAGTGAGACCCCGTCTCTACTAAAAATACAAAAAAATTAGCTGGGCGTGGTGGCGGGTGCCTGTAGTCCTCAGCTACTTGGGAGGCTGAGGCAGGAGAACGGCATGAACCTGGGAGGCAGAGTTTGCAGTGAGCCAAGATCGCACCACTGCACTCCAGCCTGAGTAACAGAGCGAGACTCTGTCTCAAAAAAAAAAAAAAAAAAAATGTACAGTTCACTACTCGGGAGGCTGAGGCAGGAGGATCACTTCAACCCAGGAGGCGGAGATTGCAGTGAGCTGAGATTGTGTCGCTGCACTCTATCCTGGGCAACAGAGTAAGACTCTGTCTCAAAAAAAAAAAAACAGAAAACAAAAAAAACAAAACACTGTTTAGTGGCATGGAGCACATTCATGTTTCTGTGCAACCGCCACCCCATCCCCATCCCCATCCCCATCCATCTCCAGAACTCCTTTTCATCTTCCCCAACTGAAACTCTGTCCTCATGAAACACGCCTTATTGCCCCTCCCTCCAGCCCTGCCCTGGCAACCTCCCTCGTACTCTCTGCTCTATGAATTTGGTGATTCTAGGAGCCTTATATAGGCAGAATCATACGGCATTTGTCCTTTTGCGACTGGCTTCTTTCAGTTACTGTAATGTCCTTCAGATTCCCCCGTCCTGTAGAAAGGAATTTCCCTCCTTTCTAAGCCTGAGTACTATTCCATCGTATAGAGGATACAGCATGTTGTGTTTACCCATTCATTCATCCTTGGACACTGGGGTGCCTTCCACCTCTTGGCTGTAGTGAATAATGCTGCTATGAACAAGGTTTGGCAAATATCTGTCCAGTGCCTGATTTCAGCTGCTTGAATACATTGTTTTAATTTATTATTATTATTTTTTAGAGATGGAGTCTCGCTCTGTCACCCCAGCTGGAGTGCAGTGTTGTGATCTTGGGTCACTGCAACCTGTGCCTCCTGGGTTCAAGCGATTCTTCCAACTCAGCCTCCTGAGTAGCTGGGATTACAGGCATGCACCACCACCCCCAGCTAATTTTGTACTTTTAGTAAATATGGGTTTTCACCTTGTTGACTGGGCTGATCTGGAATTCCTCATTGCCAGGTAACTATTTCACAGCCTGGTATGGATCCTTCTGTACTTTTCTTTGTGTTAAAAAAGCCCCCTCACACAAACGCACACACACAAGCACGCACACACACAAGCACACACACGTGCACGTGCACACACACATGCACGCACACATATATGCATGCACACACACACACGCGCGCGCCCCGTGCAGTTTTGGCCTCATGCCACTAGAGTATGCATCATTTTTGTCTCTTGTTTTCTTGGAGATCCCTCTGGGGTATTTTGAGGAGGAGAAGTTGTATTATTATTGTGTTGTTGTTAATCTTTAGACATTCAGGGATACACGTGGACGTTTGGTACATGGATGTATCATGTTATGGTGAGCTTTGGGCTTCTAGGGTACCCCTTACCCGAATAGTGAACATTGTACCCAATAGGTTATTTCTCAGCCCTCAACCCCTTCCCAGCCTTCCCCTTTTGGGAGTCCCCGTATCTGTTATTTCCATTTCTGTGTCCATGTGGACCCACTGTTGAGCTCCTACTTTTGAGTGAGACTATGCGGTATTTGACTTTCTGTGTCTCAGTTATTTTACTTAGGATAGTGGTTTCCAGTTCCATCCCTGTCGTTGCAAAAGACATGATTTTATTTTTTATGGTGGTGTCGATATACTACATTTTCTGTGACTTTTATATACTAAATTTTCTTTATCCAGTCATCTATTGGAATGGCTGTTACAAAAACTCAAAAAAATCCAGGCATGGTGGCCCACGCCTATAATCCCAGCACTTTGAGAGACCCAGGCAGGAGGATCGCTTGAGCCCAGGAGTTTTAGAACAGCCTGGGCAATATAGGGAGACCCTGTCTCTACAAAAAGCTCGAAGAAATAGCGAGGGATGGTGTTGCACGCCTATAGTCACAGTTCTTCAGGAGGCTGAGGTGGGAGAATTGCTCGAGCTCAGGAGTTGAAGGTTGCAGTGATCTATGGTTGCGCCACTGCACTCCAGCCTATGCAACAACAGAGCGAGACCCTATCTAGGAAAAAAACAAAAAAGTAAGAAAACAACAGATGTTGGTGTGGAAGTGGAGGAAAGGGGCCATGGATGCGCTGCTGGTGCGGAGGAGGTCTTCCAGTGCGTGCAGCAGGGGAGGTGACCTCACTTCTCCTCGAGAGGAGCTCAGCTGTGCAAGGCAGTGTTGCAGAGGATGGGAGGGTGCATGTGACCCTAGGAGCAAGGCTGTGTGCCTGTGGGCATGTACTTCCTGGTGACGTTTCCTTGGACCCCACAGTGGGAAACAGGAGCCCCTCTGCCCTCTCATTCCTCTTTCTCTGTATTTGCATTCGCTGTCTTGCTGGTCTCAAGATTCCCAAGCGCTGCTGCCAGCCCACCCCTTCAGCCTGCCAAGCTACATGTGTGCGCCCACTTGACCACTCTCTGAGCCTTCTGCTCAGATGCCTCTCACCAAAAATGAGTTCCTGCTCTTCCTCCTTGCCCCTCAGCCCTAATCAGTTCCTCATTTGCACTTCCCCATTTCATAGGTGGTCCTTCCAGCTCTTGGGGCTCACCCAGGAACCATTTTTTATTCCTTTTCTTTGACTCTGCATTCACTGTAATCCTGAGTCCTGCCCTTTTAACTTTTTTTTTTTTTTTTTTTTTTAAGAGATGTGGTCTTGCCGTCTCATCCAGGCTGGAGTGCAGTGGTGCAATCATGGCTCACTGCATCCTTGACCTCCTGGGCTCAAGAGATCCTCCCACCTCAGCCTCCCAAGTAGCTGGGACCACAAGTGCACACCACTATGTCCAGCTAATTGAATTTTTTTGTGTGTGTGTGTGTGTGTGTGTGTGTGTGTGTGTGTGTGTGTAGGGACAAGATCTCACTGTGTTGCTCAGGCTGGTCTCAAACTCATAATTTCAAGCATTTCCCCTGCCTCAGCCTCCTAAGTAGCTAGGATTATAGGTGCACACCGCCATGCCTTGCCCCTTTCCAATTCTCAAACACATCTCCAGAGCCCATCCACATCAATGATGTCTTCACAGAAGCTGCCATAGCTTATCTAAATTCCCTCCCCTTCTCTCCACTGATCTCTGATCTCTGCTGAACTCACCCCTTCCTGCTGTATCAGCCCAAACGTTTCTGATGTGAAAATAGGCAGGGCGTAGTGGCTCATGCCTATAATCTCAGCACTGTCAGAGGCTGAGGTGAGAGGATTGCTTGAGGCCAGGAGTTTGAGACCAACCTGGGCATCTTAGTGAGACCCCATCTCTAATTTTTTTTTTTTTTTTTTTTTTAAAGACAGGGCCTTTCTCTGTTGCCCAAGATGGAGTGCAGTGGTGCCATCATAGTTCACTGCAGCCTCATTCTCCTGGGCCCAAGTTATCCTCCCACCTCAGCCTCCCAGATAGTTGGGACTACAGGCCTGCACCACCAAGCCTGGCTGATTTTTAAATTTTGGGGGTCTTGCTATGTTGCCCAGGCTGATCTTGAACTCCTGGGCACAAGTGATTCTGCTACCTCTGTCTCTCAAGTAGATAGGAGTACAGGTGCATATCACCATGCCCACCTAATTTTTAATTTTTTTTTTTTTTTTTTTTTGAGATGGAGTCTCACTCTGTCCCCCAGGCTGGAGTGCAGTGGTGTGATCTTGGTTCACTGCAAGCTCCGCCTCCCAGGTTCACGCCATTCTCCTGCCTCAGCCTCCCAAGTAGCTGGGACTACAGGCGCCCGCCACCACATCCAGCTAATACTTTGTATTTTTAGTAGAGATGGGGTTTCACCATGTTAGCCAGGATGGTCTCGATCTCCTGACCTCGTGATCCACCTACCTTGGCCTCCCAAAGTGCTGGGATTACAGGCATGAGCCACTGCGCCTGGCCCTAATTTTTAATTTTTTGTAGAGACGTGATCTTGCTTTGTTGCCTAGGCTGGTTTTGAGCTCCTGGGCTCAAGCGATCTGCCACCTTGGCCCCGCAAAGTGCCGGAATTACAGACGTGAGCCACCGCACCTGGCCTCCAGCTCTTTTGTGTCTCTCCCCAATCTTCCTTTGGCCTTCAGCTGTGGGGACAGAGATGCCCCCTGCCTCCCTGTCCCCACCTTCTACCTGGTCTTACAGGACCCCCTCCAGCCATCCTTCCAAGTTTACTATGTAATGTCTGTTCCACATCAAGCCTGCAAAGCTCATGACAGTCACAAGATCTGCCGTTCCTGATACTATGTACCGAGAACATTACTTGGCACATAAGGGGCCCTTGTCCAAAACATTTGGAAACCAATAAAGAATGTGGCTGGTGAGTTACTGATTAATGTGTTGATGAATTCATTGATTGCTGAGGCTAGTATGTACAGTAAGTGTTAGATCTTGAACATACTTCTCATATCCATTGTGATAAACCCTCTTATCTTCTATTGCTTTTGAACTTTTATAGACTTGATGTCAGGGGCAGAGTCCCTCAGGTAACTGGAATCATTGAACTGATGCATTGGTTTCTAATTTTCTAAGCTCAGATTTGAAATCACCTGTGGTCACTAAACTCGTCCTATCCCACAGCCCCTGCACATGATGACTTAAGTTTTGTGAATGTTTTTTGGAGATAGTAAAGTCAGTATCTCTTTCAACATTTTGTTCCTTATCTTTAGTGATACCCAGCTCTGTACAAATTCTGTCCACGTAAGCAAAGTCTTTTTTTTTTTTTCCAGATAGGGTCTGGCTCTGTCACTGAGGCTGGAGTGCAGAGGTTCAGTCATAGCTTCAACTCCTGGGCTCAGGCTGTCCTGCTGCCTCAGCCTCTTAAGTACCTGGGACTACAGGCCTGCACAACCACACCTAGCTAATCTTTTTATTTTTTGCAGAGACAGAGTCTCCCTATTTTGCCCAGGCTAGTCTCAAACTCTTGGTCTCAAGTGATCCTCCTGCCTCAGTTTCCCAAAGTGCTGGGATTACAGGTGTGAGCCACCACACTCGCCTGCAAAGTCTTACTGATAAAAGATTTGAAGGAAGGATGTGTCAGAGAACTTCTTTTTTCTTATAATATTTACTTAATCTTATTGGTTTGGGGAAGGGCAAGAGAATCCCAGTTATCTAGATTTTTCTTTTTCTTAAAGGAGTATGTTTTTACTTGCTAACTCTCTTTGTAAACTGTTACTTCTTAAAGATGCTGAAGGGTGATCCCGCATTAGTGTATAGGTAAAAATGATGTCTCCATTTCATATATACTGATAAGGTGACTTTATTAAGCCTTGTGGTTTGTTGATGTTGATTTTACTGAGACACTTGTGGAACAGATGTATTTTCATACAACCTTACACATCTCAGTAGTTTTCCCCACTCGTGCAGTAACTTTTTCTCCCCTGCTTTCTCTCCTCCTCTCCCCACCTCTTCTTCCTTCCCCTCCTCTCCTCGTCCCTTCCCTCCTCTTCTCATTTGATACAAAGCCCTAACTCTCTTCCTCTACAGATCATCCTACCCATGGTTGAAATTGCAACTTCCCCTGCAAGCCAAGTGACCGAACCTGAGATGTTTGTATTGTCAGGGCTTGCGTATTCTACATGCCTGTGTAATCCTCAAAGTTCTTTCATTCCTTGCTTCTAACCTACCCAAATCCTTCTAATCTCCCACCATGGTTAATTATCTCTGATGCTCCTGAAAGGTGACCTGCTGCTACATTGTGACAAGGTGATGCATTATTCTTAAGAGGATCTGTGCAGATTATTATCCCAGAGTGAGGTAGATGGGGGAGGATACAGGATATATCCAAAAATGTGTTGCAAGCTAATTGATAGAGAGAGAGAGAGTGTGTTTGTATGTGTGTGTGTAAGCATGCGTCCATCTTTTTCTTACATATTTGAGCCATAGGGAAGTAGAGCCATGTATATTCTCTTCAACCAAATTAACAGTTGTAGACAGTGGTCTTGCTATTGCTTTGACTATTAATGGTATTTTCAAGAGCTCAGTGTTACCCCCAAATGTTCAGTATCACACCTTGGCTGGTCAGTCGTAGCTAAATTTTCCTTCCACCTTGCGCCCTGAAGAAATTTAGAAAGTCACCAGCTGACACAGAAGTTTATTGTAAAAGTTCACTAGTACGATAGTATTTGGACCTTGGAAAATATTTCCCCACCAGAACAGTGAAATCATGAAATCATGGTTGTCTTCTAAGCTCATCCACAAAAGTACAGTTTGACTGTCATGCATTTGAGATGCCATGTGCTTAATCACGAAATATTACTGAGAGGAACACTCTTGCCCAACCAATAACGGTGCAAAGCAGAAAAACAGGGCATTTAGCTGGGAGAAAATGAGTCGAGATGTCAGTGATAAGATGGAAGGAATGTGGGTATGTGCTGGGTCTTTTAGAACTCCAGCAGATTGCTCTGGAAAACAGCCACTACATACCAAAAGTAGCCGGTCATGGTGGCATGCGCCTGTAATCCCAGCTACTCGGGAGGCTGAGGCGGGAGAATCACTTGAACTCGGGAGGCGGAGGTTGCAGTGAGCCAAGATCGTGCCATTGCACTCCAAGCCTGGGTGACAGAGCAAGACTGTCTCAAAAAAAAAAAAAACAAAAAAAAAAACAAAAAAAACACCACTCCAACAAAATACTTCTCCTTCCTCATATAGTGTCCCTGCTTCCCTTTATGCCTCAAGACCACACATTTTGAACTTGCTGAGCTATAAGAAGTGAATGGAGAGGTGGGACACAGGTGCACAGCCTTCAGTAACTGAAGGAAAAAAAACAGAAGAAATGTCTAACCCTGAGCTTCCTGAGCTCCCTTCAGCCACCCAGCTGCTGAGGGGCAGGAATCCAGCAGCAAGGTGGAGAGCAGAAGGCATTCCTGCAACCTGTATGTGTGGGTCATTAGTCCCCCACCTCCAGCATCATTGCAGAATCTGCAAATTTAAAAGTGCGTTAGGTAAGAGCCTTTTTTATAAGAGGCCCATATTTTTGCTAATACATAAAAACATTGTGATTAGTCAAATAAATGTTCATTTAAAATTCACAGTAGCATGTGTCTATTTTTTTTTTTTTTTCCTTTTAGAAATGAGGTCTTGCTCTGTCACCCAGGTTGGAGTACAGTGATGTTGTGATCATAGCTCACTGCAGCCTCCAATTCCTGGGCTCAAATGATCTTCCCACCTCAGCCTCCCGAATTGCTGGGATGCCACCATGCCTGGCTGATTCTTTTATTGTAGAGACGGGATCTTGCTGTGCTGCTCATGCTGCTTTCCAACACCTGGCCTCAAGTGATCCTCCTGCCTTGGCTTCCCAAAGTGCTGGAATGACAGGCATTGAGCCGCCGTGCCCAGCCTATGATTTTTCTTAGCATTAATCTCTGTGTCATTGCAAGCTGTCTCCCACGTCCTTGCCTTCATTCTACATTGTTTTGGTGGAATGGCCTGTGCTAGCAGACAAGACCATCCGGTCGACCTTGAGCATCCTTCCCTGTCCTCAGGGAAGGTTTCCTGGGCCTCATTTTGTTTTCTTTGTATACCAGCGGGGTGCAGCTCATTTGAATGAGCTTGCAGGGGAGCATCTGTGATAGCATCATGATCAGATGAGACAAAACTGGCACGGGTCCTGGTCATGGTTGAAGACCTTTATGCTCCTGATTCTATTGGGTGTCTTCTACTGGTGAAGGCTCATGTGCTCATGGGAACACGGGCATGCTGGTGTCTTCCGAGTCCTCTCCAAAAACAAAGCCCAGGTCAGGTACAGTGGCTCACGTTTGTAATCCCAGCACTTCGGGAGGATGAGGCGGGAGGATTGCTGGAGCCCTGGAGTTCAAAACCAGCCTGGGCAACACAGTGAGACCCTGTCTCTACAAATAACAGTAAATAAAAATTAGCCAGGCATGGTGGCATGCACCTGTAGTCCTAGCTACTTGGGAGGCTGAGGTGAGAGGATTGCTCGAGCCCGGGAAGTTGAGGCTGCATGAGCCTTACCTGCACCACTGCACTCCAGCCTGGCAGACAGAATAAGAACCTGTTTCAGAAACAAACAGACCGGGCACGGTGGCTCATGCCTGTAATCCCAGCATTTCTGGAGGCCGAGGCGGGTGGATCGCCTGAGGTCAGGAGTTCGAGACCGGCCTGGCCAACATGGTGAAGCCCCATCTCTACTAAAAATACAAAAATTAGCTGGGCGTGGTGGTGGGCGCCTATAATCCCAACTACTTGGGAGGCTGAGGCAGGAGAATCGCTTGCACCCAGGAGGCGGAGGTTGCAGTGAGCCGAGATTGCACCGTTGCACTCCAGCCTGGGCAACAAGAGCAAAACTCTCTGAAAAACAAACAAACAAAAATCCCAAAGCCCTTAGTTCCAAATCTTGCCTCATACCCCACCCGTCCCATCTTTAGGTGAAAACGTTCTTTCATTATCAGTGCGTATCTCTCCAAACTGTATTTGTAACTTGTGCTGAGATGTTGAATGCACAGACGCACCTCAGTATCTTCTGTTCCTTCTTTCATCCCTACCCCCACCTTCCTCAATCTCTCATTGCTGCGTTTTCTTCCATTAATCAACACCTTTGTAAGGAGAAGCACCTCAGGCAAGCTCCCACAAGCAAGTGCTTCGAAATACTTCATTTGGGGCTTTTTAAAAGGGCTACCTTTTCCTAGCAGGTTTGGGATGCAGTCTGCTAGTTTATTGTTAATTCTCAGGCTTAATGATAGTTCCAGGTTACTGAATCAGGTGTGATCTCTGAAGATGTGTGTGTTGTAGGTTAGTTAGTTAGTGCTGCCATAACAAAGTAGCATAGACGGTGTGGATTAAACAACACTGATTTATTGTTTTATAATTTTTGAGGCTAGAATTTTGAGAAGAACGTCTTAACAGGGCTGGTGCCTCCTGAGCCCTCTCTCCTTGGCTTGCAGACGCTGTCTTCTCCCTGTGTCCTCACGTGGTCGTCCCTCTGTGTGTGTCTGTGTCCTCATCTCCTCTTCTTAGGACTCCAGTCCTGTTGGAATAGGGCCCATTCTAGTGACCACATTTTACCGTAATCACCTGTTTACATGACCTGTCTCCAAATACAGTGGATATTGGAAGGACACAGTTCAGCCCATAGCATACTGTTGGCTGGTTTATTATGAGACCATGATATTTACTATTCATTCATCCCAAGACAATGAGACCTTTTACCCATGTCCCAGGATACACATATCTTAACATCTGCTGTTGTCTGAATACGTCCTTTCCAAATTCATATATTGAGACAGTAACCCCCAAAGCTATGGAATTAAAAGGTGGAGCTTTGGGGGAAGTGATTAGATCGTGAGGGTGAAGCCGCTGAACAGGACCAGTGCCCTCGGTGAAGGGGCCTGAGGGAGCCCGTTTCCCCTTGGTCCATGGGAGGACAGCGAGAAGGGCCCTTCCCTCAGGAATGGGCCCTTACCACGCAGTTCATCAGCAGGCGCCCCGACCTCGGACTTCCAGCCTCCAGAACTGAGGGTAATACATTTTTCTTATTTGTAAGACCCCCTAGTATATGGTATTTTTGTGATAGCAGCCAGAATGGACTAAGACAACATCTATGTAACATCTGTGGAACTTGTACTTTAATGTCCATCTATATGCTTATCCCAGTATCTGATTATACACCTCTTAACATCTACACACGTCTTAGCATCTACCTATACTGATGAATTACACCTTTCTATATGCAGACCTCAGCACCTGTCTATACCTGTAGAGTCACATCTACACACACGCATATCCTAACATCTGTCTGTATGCACACCTTAGCATCTGTCTATCACATATATTAGCATCTATCTACACCTACATATTAACATCTACTTCCACCCATATCCTAATATCTGTCTGCACCCACAGAGCAACACCGGTCTACACGTCTATACCCATATCCTAACATCTCTCTATACCTCTGTTAATATCTATCTACGTTCATATTCTAACATCTGTCTTTACGTGTATATTAACATCTCTCTACACCCATATCCTACTATCCATCTACACCCATATTGTAACATCTGTCTCTTCCTATATGTTAACATCTCTCTACACCCATATTCTAACATCTATGTCCATATATTAACCTCTGTCTACACCCGTATCCTGACATCCATCTACACCCATATTGTAACATCTATACGTATAGATATCATCTGTCTTCACCTATATTGTAACATTGATCTCTATCCATATTCTAACGTCTGCCTACATCCATATCCTAACATCTATACCTACATATTAACATCTGTCTACACCTATATTCCAACATTTATCTATCTGTATTTTATTTGTCTATGCCCATACATTAACACCTGTCTACACCCATAATCTAACATCCATCTGCACCCATATACTAACACCTGTCTACATCCATCTACACCCATATATTAATACCTGTCTACATCCATCTACACCCATATCCTAACATCTCTCTATACCTACATATTAACATCTGTCTACACCTGTATTCCAACACTTATCCATATCCATATTGTAATATCTGTCTGCAACCATATCCTAACATCTATCTATAACTACATATTAACATCTTTCTATACCTATATGCTAACATATATCTATATCCATATTTAATACCATATGGTAACACTGTTTACACCCATGTATCAGCCCCGATGTACACCCATATCCTAACATCTGTCTCTAAGCACATCGTAACATCTGTATGTACGTGCATTCGAACACCTATCTGTACCCATATATTAACATCCGTCTTTACCCATGTGCTGATATCTGTGTGCTCCATGTCCCGACATCTGTCCCCAGCTATTACTGTCTGTCTGTACACACATTTTGGTATCTAGCTGCATCTGTACCCCAACACCTAGCTGACGGCGTACCCCCTGCCCTGCCTTGGCGGGGCCCTGAGCATGTGCTGTCTGTCCCCGCAGGTTCTGGACGTGGCATGACGAGCGCTTCCTCTACATGCTCATGGAGTACGTGCCGGGCGGCGAGCTCTTCAGCTACCTGCGCAACCGGGGGCGCTTCTCCAGCACCACGGGGCTCTTCTACTCTGCAGAGATCATCTGTGCCATCGAGTACCTGCACTCCAAAGAGATCGTCTACAGGGACTTGAAGCCAGAGAACATCCTGCTGGATAGGGATGGCCACATTAAGCTCACGGACTTTGGGTTCGCCAAGAAGCTGGTAGACAGGTAAGAGGAACGTGAACTCCGATGGAATCTACACTGCTTGGCAATGAGAAAGGTGGTGGTAGTTGTGGCAGGTCAGGCAGGGAAAGATTGGGAACCAGAGTTTAACTCTCATGTGTAGGAGACACTTGCAACCAGGGATGAGAGAGCCAGGTTGACCCACAGCTCGTTTTAGGTGGGCTGCGATTGCTGGCAAAGAGCCAGTGGGCAGGAAGTCAGTCTCCTTCACTGGCACCGTGGAGGAAATCAGAACACCACATATCCGCTATTGATCCGAAATGATGAGGAAATGAGTCATATCCAAGTTTGAATTGCCCTGACTATAAAATAGATCTGCATCGAATAGGATACAATATCTCTTAAAATTAAATGCCAGGTGCTGTGGCTCACACCTGTAATCCCAGCACTTTGGGACGCCGAGGTGGGAGAATCATTTGAGCCCAGGAGTTTGAGACCACTGTGGACAACCTAGTGAGACCCCGTCTCTACAGAAATATATATATTTAAAAAAAAGTTGATTATGGTGGTGGATCCCTGTAGTCCCAGCTACTTAGGAGGCTGAGGTTGGAGGATTATTTGAGCCCCGGAAGTTGAGGCTGCAGTGAGCTGTGATTATACCACTGCACTCCAGCCTGGGTAAAAGAGCAAGATCCTATCTCAAAAAAAAACAAAACAAAAAAAAAAAAAAAAAAAACCAAATTGAATATTCCATACACACCTGCTCACACACACGTGCACTTATTTTTTTCTGTTATCTGTATTTCTATTATGTATATATATATTTCCACTATATATGTATATTAAATAGAAATATATATAATACTATATTATTGTATATAACATATAGTATATTTTATGTACATATGATATAGTATTATATATGTATAGTATATATTATACTATATATTATATAGTATACAATGACTATGATATAGTATCATATAGGTATACTATATATTATAATATATAATATATATTATATAGCATACCTATATCATACTATATCATACATATCACTATACTCTATATAGTATATATTATACGTATTATATATTACACATACTACATATATATATTATATAGTATATTATACTATATAATATATATAATATATATATTACATAGTATATAATATATATAGTATATATCACATAGTATATAATATATATAATATATATATCACATAGTATATAATATATATTATATATATCACATAGTATATAATATATATTATATATATCACATAGTATATAATATATATAATATATATATCACATAGTATATAATATATAATATATATATCACATAGTATATAATATATAATATATATATCACATAGTATATAATATATATTATATATATCACATAGTATATAATATATATTATATATATCACATAGTATATTATATATATTATATATATCACATAGTATATTATATATATTATATATATCACATAGTATATTATATATATTATATATATCACATAGTATATTATATATAATATATATATTACATAGTATATTATATATAATATATATATTACATAGTATATAATATATATAGTATACCTATATCATACTATATGACATGTATGATATATGTGTTTCTTTTCTGGAAACACACAGACATACCCCAAAACAGTGTTTGAACAAACATCTGGGCACCCCACGGCCCATCAACACATGAAACAAACCATTACATGTCGTCTCAGCCAGTGCGGGCTGCACTAACACACACTCATAGACTGGGCAGCCTCAACAGCAGACATTCATGGCTCACAGCTCTGGAGGCTGGAAGTCCGAGATCGAGGTGCGACAGATTCTGTACCTGGAGGGAACCAGCTTCCTGGTTCGTAGACGGCGCCTTCTCGCTGTGTCCTCACATGGTGGAAGGGGCGAGGGGGCTCTCTGGGGCCCCTTTTGTAAGGGCACTCATCCCATTCATGAGACTCCACCTTCGTGACCTCATCACCTCCCAAAGGCCCCACCTCCTAATCCTATCACTTTGGGGATGATGATTTCAACATAGGAATTTTGGCGGGGGGCACATACATTCAGCTTATAATACATGTATATGTATTTTTTTTTCCATGATTGGATTCATTTAACCAGTCTGTCTTGACAAAAGACCACACACTGGGCATTTTAAAGAATAGACCTTTTCCTCTCACTGTCATGGAGGCTAAGGTCTGAGATCCAGGTGTGGGCAGGGCTGGTTCCTCCTGAAGCCTCTCTCCTTGGCTTGGAGACGCTGTCTCCTCCCTGTGTCCTCACAGGATTGTCCTCTGTGCATGTCTGTATCCTCATCTCCTCTTCTTATGAGGACACCAGTCCTCTTGGATCAGGACCCACCCTAGTGACCTCGTTTTACCTTAATGACCTCTTTAAAGATGCTCTTTCCCATATAGTCACATTCTGAAGTTCTGGGGGTTAGGACTGCAGCATATAAGGTTTAAGGGATACATTTCAGCCTGGAACAAGTATATATAGATATGTTTCCGTACACACACATACTCCATTGAGGAGAAAACAGTTATCCTTTTTTGTTTGTTTTTTTGTTTTTTTTTGGGACGAAGTCTCGCTCTGTCGTCCAGGCTGGAGTGCAGTGGCACAATCTCGGCTCACTGCAACCTCCGCCTCCCAGATTCAAGTGATTCTCCTGCCTCAGCCTCCCAAGTAGCTGGGATTACAGGTGCCCGCCACCAGGCCTAGCTAACTTTTTTTTTTTTTTTTGAGATGGAGTCTGGCTCTGTCGCCCAGGCTGGAGTATAGTGGCATGATCTCAGCTCACTGCAAGCTCTGCCTCCCGAGTTCACGCCATTCTCCTGCCTCAGCCCCCCAAGTAGCTGGGACTACGGGCGCCCGCCACCACGCCCGGCTAATTTTTTGTATTTTTAGTAGAGACGGGATTTCACTGTGTTAGCCAGGATGGTCTCAATCTCCTGACCTTGTGATGCGCCCACCTTGGCATCCCAAAGTGCTAGGATTACAGGTGTGAGCCACCGCACCCGGCCCCAGTATGTAGTCTTTTATCTCTCACCCACCTCCCACCCTTTACCCCAAGTCCTTGAAGTCCGTTGTATGGTTCTTATGCCTCAGCGTCCTCATAGCTTAGCTCCCAATGGATCTTTAATTTACATTCATAAAATCAACAGTCATAAAAAGTAAATTCACACGCCCAAGCTGCTGAAAAATACTCAGAAAGATTTTTGGTAACTACACTGAGTGTCAGTTTTTCAATTAGATTAAATTAATGAAAGTAGAATTAGATAATGACATCCGTTCCTTGGTAGACAAGCTACATTTCAAATACCCAGGATTGCACATGGCTATCGGCTTCTGTCTTGGTCAGACAAGCCTAGAAAATACATTTTATATTTCCATATTCTTTGATGTGGTGGGGTTGGGTAAGGTGATAATTACACTAATTATACTCCTAACATTGTAAAACCGTCTGCATTTTGAGAAACTTGATGTGGGGGCAGTTTTACACTAAATGACTCTCTTCTCTGGCAGCTTTTAGAAAAGGGCTCTCCTAGGAAAATTTTATGATGCGTTTACATTCAATCTGATTTTCCCCTATAGTATTTCTTGTACTACATTTCCAAAAATAAGGCACATGGAAATTAGGTGCATTTTACATGGAGTAGGAAAGATGCAGGATTTTTTAAAATATTGATTTATAGCATCTGTGCTGCCCTCTCTTGGCAGCACACGGTATATTAGTAAATTCTTTTAAAGTCATTTTATTTGCAAGTCTAATTCAAAGAAAACAGATAAAATATTTCATATATTCACTTGTTTATAAGTTTGACAAACCATGTTACTGTCCAGTTAATTCATCATATCTATTTAAATGGACGAAAATGGTTTCGTATATAACATGCAGCAATTATTTTACTTAATGAACATGTGAAAATCTTAGAAAATGTCTCATTACCATATTGATAGATTGCTTTTGCAAAGAACTGCATCTTCCTCTGTATGGGTAGTGTAGCTTCTGGAAACTTTTTTTTTGTGGGGGCTTTTTTCTCCTTTTTTTTTTTGACCATCATTGTAACGAAGCATCTCTCTGCTGGCCCGGCCCCAGGGAAGTTGTGTTCATGGGGGCAGATACATGGCCCTGCCTCTGATTCAGGATTCAAACAGTACCTGTGCCTTTTGAATAAAACTGAAATTCACCACTGTATCGTGGACCACTACAGAATAGATGGAACTAAACAGGGAGGCCTCATCTTGAATAATTTTTTTTTTTTTTTTTTTTTTTTTTTAAAGACAGGGTCTTACTCTGTCACTCAGGCTGGAGTGCAGTGGTGGGATCTTGGCTCACTGCAACCTTGGCCTCCTGGGCTCAAGCGATCCTCCCATTTCAGCCTCCCAAGTAGCTGGGATTACAGGCATGTACCACCACACCTGGCTAATTTTTGTATTTTTAGTAGAGACCTGGTTTCACCATGTTGCCTAGGCTGGTCTTGAACAGCTGGCCTCAAGTGATCCACCTGCCGCGACCTTCCAAAGCATTGGGATTACAGGCGTGAGCCACCGTGCCCGGCCTTGAATAACATTTTTGAACATATCCCAGAAAGAAGTCTGTTTCTCATTTTTCTCTCTTTTTTTTTTTTTTTTTTTTGGAGAGGAGTCTCGCTCTGTCGCCCAGGCTGGAGTGCAGTGGTGCGATCTCGGCTCACTGCAAGCTCTGCCTCCCGGGTTCACGCCATTCTCCTGCCTCAGCCTCCCAAGTAGCTGGGACTACAGGCGCCCACCACCACGCCCGGCTAATTTTTTGTGTTTTTAGTAGAGACGGGGTTTCACTGTGTTAGCCAGGATGGTCTCGATCTCCTGACCTCGTGATCCGCCCGCCTCGGCCTCCCAGAGTGCTGGGATTACAGGCGTGAGCCACCGTGCCCCGCCATTTTTCTCTTATAGCATGGGGTAAAAACATACTTAAGCATGTTGTAATGTAATCTACTCACTACATGAATTTCTTTCTTTGTTTTTTGTTTCTTTTTTGAGACAGGGTCTCACTCTGTCACCCAGGCTGGAGTGCAGTAGTGCAACCATGGCTCACCACAGCCTCGAACTTGCAGGCTCAAGCAATCCTCCTGTCTCTCAGCCTCCCAAGTAGCTGCAACTACAGGCTTGCACACCCTGCCTGGCTAATTTTTGGATTTTTTGTAGAGACGGGGTTTCACTATGTTGCCAGGGCTGGTCTTGAACTCCTAAACTGAAGCAGTCCTCCAACCTTGGCCCCCCAAAGTTTTGGGATTACAGGCGGGAGCTACGGTACTCAGCCTCTCCCTCCCTTCCTTCCTTCCTTCCTCCCTCCCTCCCTCCCTCCCTCCTTTCCTCTCCCTCCCCTCCCTCCCTTCCTTCCTCCCCTCCCCTCCCCTCCCATTCCTTCCCCTTCCCTCCCCTCCCATTCTTTCCCCTTCCCTCCCCTCCCATTCCTTCCCCTTCCCTCCCCTCCCATTCCTTCGCCTCCCCTCCCCTCCTCTATCCTCCCCTCCCCTCCCCTCGCCTCCTCTAACCCTCCCCTCCCCTCCCCTCCCCTCCCCTCCCCTAGCAACCCTGTTAACTGGATGACTTGTACCCTACTTATTTTAAACCACTGCTCTTGGTGACTTGATTTCTGACTTTCCTAGGTTGTCAGTATGTTCAGATGGTGTTCTTTTGTGACTTGCGTTCACCAGGCTCTTGTTTTCTAACAGCAATATTACGTTTGTATTGTAAATATTTTGCACACACACTTTATGTTATCTAGATAGCTCCCCTAAAAGATTTGGTGGCAAACTAGAATTATTTCTGGTTTTATGAAATGGTCAAAATAAAATACTGATGTGTTTAATTTGATTTTATAATTCAAATGCATAACACAAGCATCCCTTACCTGAAATACTTCAGACCAGAATTGTTTTGGATTTTAGATTTTTTTCAGATTGTGGAATATTTGAATTACACTTACCTGTGAGCATCCCTAATTTGAAAATCTGAAATCCAAGATGCTCCAGTGAGGATTTCCTTTGCGCTGTGAGCCTCATGTCGGTGCTGGAAAAGTATTGACTTTTGGAGCATTTGGGATTTCAGATTTGGATTAAAGATGCTCAACCTTTATACATCTGTCTTTAAACCATAACAGATGGTTTTCTTTCTCTGCAACAGCTCTTTTTTGTTTGTTTTTGGTGTTTTTTATTTCTCTGCGACAGCTTTTTGTTTGTTTGTGTTTTTTTGTGTTTCTTTTGAGACAGGGTCCCACTATGTTGGCCAGGATAGTCTTGAACTCCTGGCCTCAAGCAATCCTTCCACCTCGGCCTCCCAAAGTGCCAGGATGGTAGCCGTGAGCCACCATGCCAGGTGCAACAGCTCTTTCCTAGTTCCTCTGTTGTAGCATTTTAAATCCAGATGTTACATTGATTACTGTCCTCTGGATTTTTATTTCTAGCCTTATAGGGATAACATTGAACCTAGTCTTTCAAAATTACTACTTACCCCTTTCACACACACACACACACACACACACACACACACACACACACACACACACACAGGAGTAGAGAGAGTAATTCACATTGAAACCTTATGGCCCCATCACCCAGCTTCGATTGTTATCAAAGCTTTGTCACTTTGTTTTTTTTCTCTTTGCCCATTTGTTTCTTGAGTTATTTTAAAGCAGGTGCACTTTATCCTATCTTTAACAGATAACTCCCTTTAAAAAAGAACTTCAGTGCCATTATCACATCTGACAACTATTTAAAAAAAAAAAACCCAGCCTGGGTAACATAGCAAGACCTCATCTCTACAAAACATCAAAAACAAAAAAATTAGCCTTGCATAGGTTAAATCCAGCCCCCTATGTGTCTGTTAATAAAGTTTTATTGGAACACAGTCACATCTTGGGGGCTTTTGAGCTACCGTAGCAGAGCTGGATATTTGTAACAGAGACCATGTGATTCACAAGGCCTAAAATATTTGCCGTCTGGCTCTTTACAGAAAATATTTGCCCACCCCTGAGCCAGGCCATTTGCTTTGTGAACTGGTTAAAATTGGCCAGGAGCTCTGTCTGTGCAGTGGAATATTATTTGGCCTTGAAAAGGAATATAATTCTGACACATTCTACGCGTTGATAAACCTTGAAAACATGATATTGGACGAAATAAGCCAGACCAAAAAGGTCTCATGTCGTGTGATTCTACTTGTAGGAGGGCCCTAGATTCTTCCAAATCATAAGGACAGAAAGTAGAATGGTGGGTGCCAGGGGCCGGGGAGGTGCAGGGAAGGGGAAGATGCTGTTTAATGAGGATGGAGTTTCTGTTTGGAATGATGAAGAAGTTCCAGCAGTGGACGGTAGGGAGGGTTGAACACGAAGGTCAGTGGACTTCCCACCACCGAACTATACAATTAAAAATGCTTAAAATGGAAAATTCTATGCTGTGTGTATTTTACCACATTAGAAAATCATACATATAAAATCATAATTATGTATATAATTATAAATAACTATATAATTGTAATATTTACACATAAATAATATATCCGACATTAAATTTATATATTTAAATATATTTATCTCTTTAATATATTAAATATTTTAGTATATTCATATATAAATTTAATACATAAAGATATTAATGTAATGTGTTAATTACTAATATAACAATGTATGTATATATTAATATACTAATATATTCTAATTATAATTATATATTAAATATGTAATTTTTAGTTAAACATAATTATATTTAAAAAATAATTTAATACAATTAAATATATAATAAATGGATACAGTTTTATATTTAATATTACATATTTAATTTTATAAACATGGCTACCAAATAATTATATGTGCTCATAAATTATGGTATAAATATGTTTAGAAAGTTATATGTAGCTATAATTATACATTATTATCCATAGTTTTATATATAATTTTATAAATATATATTTATTTTTAAAATTTAAATTTATATATTAGTATGTGTTACACATTTAGTGTTTAGATTATAAGTTCAAATTTAAACATATACATTTATAAATACATAATCGTTTTATATATATTTCATAACACCAGAAAAGTCTTTCTAGTTACTTTAGACCTTTTCCCCTAGCTTCTTACTTTGAGTATTTAACGGAAGTCAAGGAGGGCCTGAGATGTCGAGTCTGTTTGCAGTCGGTGTTGTTACTTTCCCTTGAGCCCCTTTTAATTTTGCTGTAGTTCATACTAGGACGTGGGTATTACTGTGCCGAGGTTGGTGACAGGCACCCTTCTCCCTGCTGATCAGTGGTGCCTAGGAGCCATTGTCACCGAGGAAACCCCTCCCAGGGCCTGGGCTGGCCATCGGAAGCTGTCCCATGCTCGCAAACACACACCTTCTCCCTTCACGGGCCTGAAATTCTCAACTGTTTGTCCCCATCAGACAGTTCTAGGAACTGTGATTGTGTCCCCATAAAAAAAAAGATGACAAAATCTTCCCTTTTTATGAAAAACCCCACACCCTGCTGCTTTATTGCAACCCAAGATCCTATAAGAAAAGGCAATGTAGTATTTTCACCATGAGTACTGAGCGAACATCTATTTCCTGCATTACCAAACCCAGACAAAACACTGGCTCATACTTTTCTGATAAAAAGGGAAAAAATGCATTTGTATCTGTAATCAAGTGTAAAAGCTGTAATCAGCTGTCCTTCCTCCTGAGCCCTACCATGCCCCTGTTAGCTGAGTGACATGCTCACCATGTCATAAAGCCATGAGGAGAGACAGAAAGTGAGGCTGGTGACGCCACCTGCTAGGACGTAAGAGGGACTGGACTGAAACTCAGCTTGGAGATGTCATCCGTTTCTCTCTGTCTCTCTCTCTTTTTTTTTGAGACGGAGTCTCACTCTGTTGCCCAGGCTGGAGTGCAGTGGTGCGATCTCGGCTCACTGCAACCTCTGCCACCCAGGTTCAAGTGATTCTCCTGCCTCAGCCTCCGGAGTAGCTGGGATTACAGGTGCCTGCCACCGCGCCCAGCTGATTTTTGTAGTTTTTAGTAGAGACAGGGTTTCACCATCTTGGCCAGGCTGGTCTTGAACTCCTGTTCATGATCCACTTGCCTCGGCCTCCCAAAGTGTTGGGATTATAGGCATGAACCACCGTGCCTGGCCTCTTTTTCTCTTTTTATTGTGGTAAAATACACTTAAAATGTACCATCGTAACCATCTTTATTAACATTTTTTATGTTTCAGAATAGGGTCTTCCTCTGTCAGCCAGGCTGGAGTGCAGTGGTACGATCATGGCTCACTGCAGCTTCCAATGCCTGGGCTGAAGCAATCCTCCTCCCTCAGCCTCCTGAGTACTTGAGACTAGAGGTGTGAGCCACCATGACTGGCTAACTTTGAAATATTTTTGTACAGACAGGGTCTTGCTATGTTGCCTTGGCTGGTCTGGAACTCTGAGGCTCAAGTGATCCTCCCACCTTGGCCTCCCAAAGCGTTGAGATTATAGGCATGAGCCACTGTACCCAGCCTGTTTGAACCATCTTGCCGTGCACAATTGAGTGGCATTTATTGCATTTACCATGTCGTGCAACCATCACCTCTCTCTAGTTCCAGAACATTTTCACGATCCCAAAAGAGAACTTGTATCTGTTAAGCAATTATTCCCCATCCTAAGCCAGGATGATCTCATCTTAACTTGATTGCAGCTACAAAGATCGTGTTTGCACATAAGGTCCCACTCACAAATACTGGGGTTTAGGACTTTGGGGGGTGCACAGTTCAACCAGTGCAGGTGTGGCGGAAGGCGTGGGCATTAAGAACACAGGAGTCATTGGATATCTATACTTTATAGATAATCCTATCCTTAGCTCTGTTTCTCCTTCGTTAACATGGCCTCCTCCCTCCCCTCCCCCCGGCCATAGTGAAACTAAGAACAGTGAGAAAACTGAGAACAGCAGGTGTCACCTTCCTTCTACCCAAAAGCCAGGTGAGCAAAAGGAGACAGGAGCAGGGAAGTGGATAATTCACTGCCCAGACCAGTGGTCTCGACATAACACTCAGGCTGTCTCATCTCATATTCATTCACGCAGTCAGCATCTCTCCATAGCAGCGTATGTCTCTCTGTACATTCAGCTAGGCGTTGGGGCTTTTTGCAGGAAGGAGTGACTCTAACAGGGCAGGAGTCCTCCTGAGGCAAGTTAGAACCTGGATACTTATACAGCCTCATACAACCTCAGGTGTGTGTCCTTACCCTAACACGGAGCCAAAAAGAGCCTCATCTTTCAAAAGGTAAGTGGAGAAGTTGCAGCTAATGCCTGTAGCATGACCTGTGGCCTCTACCTGGGCTTCATATCAGCTAAGATCTAGGCTTTTAGCTACTTTCAGGCCACTTTGGATGGGCTAGAAAGGTGGAAATACAAAACTAGCAGGCCAGTAAGTCGCTCGTCTTGCAGAATGACAGAAGTGTCGTGCATTGAAGCAGCCAGGGTGTACTTGGAGTTGATTCAACTGCTGGGCAGGGCAGGGGAGAGCGTGTTTCTAAAATAGTGCGCATTGTACTTTCCATTTGTAGACTTAATTCTAATGAGTGAGAAGCACTTAACAGGACCACAAGGTGGTCCCTGTTCCATACTTAGCTCTAACCTGCAGATAGAGAGTAAGTCCCTTCCACATGCTTCCATGGGAGGAGAACTCAATTTCTCTCCTTGTCTTCTTTCCTGGTTTCCTGATTTATATCTGCTACATCCTGCAGTAATTTTTTTTTTTTTTTTTTTTTTTTGAGACAGTGTCTTGCTCTGTTGCTCAGGCTGGAGTACAGTGACACTATCATGCTCCCTGCAGTGTTGACCTCCTGGGCTCAAGTGATCCTTCCATCTCAGCCTCCCGACTAGCTGAGACTACAAGTGCACTTCAGCACACCTGGCTTTTTTTTTTTTTTTTTTTTTGTAAAGGAGTGGTCTTGCTGTGTTGTCCAAGCTGGTCTGAAACTCCTAGCCTAAAGCAATCCTCCTGCCTCAACCTCCCAAAGTACTAGGATTACAGGTGTGAACTACCATGCCTGACCTTGTGGTACTTTTATTTCATGGATGGCCGACAGAATTTGAAATTTGGATGGCAGCCAGTTTGTTGTTATCCCAAGGGCTTACAGATTAGTGTGGAAAAGTCTGTTGTCTGGAAAGAGATGGGGTATGGAGGTGTGGTGGGGAAGGGAAGGAAAGATAACAGTAACAACATTTTGGGTGGGTTCCTGCAAGCAGGAAGCTGAGGAGCTGAAGCCAAGATACGTGCCCACACCACTGCAAACAGTGCGGACTCAGGCAAGATGTGCTGGGTATAAAATAGGCTTTGCACATGCTTGATACATTGTGCAAAGAACTTGAGAGTGGATAAACATGTATATTACCAGACTCTGTGGAACTTGTTTTTTGTTCTCTTTACATTCAACTTACAAAATAAGGGTTTCTTCTTTCATTGATCTGAGTGGTGGGAGGGAAGGGTCTTTTGCAAAGCATCTATATATTTTTTCCCTCTGAGGGTGTTGCTTCTTTCTGCCTGTCTACAGACAGGCTCCACACACCAGGGCAGCACTTGGCAGGAAGGGTGGATGTGGCCCGCATTTGTGCTACAGGTCTGAATTGCTGAAAGCCCGAAGCGACATTCTACCCAGCAGTAGAGCGCCAATGGAGTACGGCCCAGACAAGGCCCCCTCTCTGGGGTTACTGATACTCAGCTCCTTTCCAGCCCATGAGTCTTCCAGCTTCTGCTGCAGTCCTTGTTATCTTGCCCTGACTTTATTTAGCAGATTCTTCTGTAACCAAAATGCAGGTTCAGCCGCTCGCCGTTTGCAGAGTGCAATTAGCAAGAGCGAGGTCTAGTGTAAAGAAAGTGATTTTTTATTCCAGAGCTTTCTTAGGGGAAGAAGTACAGGCTTCCTGCTTGAGGCCACCCCTTTGCTTTTGGAGCACAAAGCAGGCACCTTTAAAGGAAAATGGTATGCAGGGGAGGAAGTGTATTTCTGTCTTTACACTGGTTTCCAGGGGGCAAGAAATGTTTTTTTGGGGGGTGGGGGTGTAAAGAGCCAAAGAGAACATACGTAAGCTTTGCAAACCATCCAGTCTCAGTTACAAGTACAAACCCAGCTCTTGCACCTTTTTTTTTTTTTTTTTTTTTTTTTTGAGAGAGAGTCTCACTCTGTCGCCCAGGTTGGAGTGTAAAGTGCAGTGGCGCATTCTTGGCTCACTGCAACCTCCGCCTCCTGGGTTCAAACATTTCTCCTGCCTCAGCCTCCGGAGTAGCTTGGACTATAGGCATGCATCACCATGCCTGGCTAATTTTGTATTTTTAGTAGAGATGGGGTTTCACCATGTTGGCCAGGCTGGTCTTGAACTCCTGGCCTCAAGTAATCTGCCCACCTTGGCTTCTCAAAGTGCTGGGATTATAGGTGTGAGCCACCATGCCCGGCCTAAGCGAGTTCTTGAATTATTCTTTTCACTGCCACTTTTTTTTTTGGATAAAGGATTTTCTTTTTACTTAATTTTATTTATTTATTTATTTAAAGAACTTTTAGGTTCAGGGGTACACGTGCAGGTTTGTTACATGGGTAAACTGTATGACACTTGGTGTACTGATTATTTTGTCACCTGGGTAATAAGCATCATACCTGACAGGTAGATTTTCCATCCTCATCCTTCTCCTGTGCTTCTCCTTCCAGCGGCCAGGTGTCTGCTTTTCCCCCTCTCTGTGTCTGTGTGTCCCCAGTGTTTAGCTCCCACATACAAGTGAGAACATGTGAGTCCACTTAGGAGAATGGCCTCTCCACCTCCGTCCATGTTGCTGCAGAGGACATGATCTCGTTCTTTTTCCTTTAATTAATTAATTTTATTCTTTATGATTTATACTAAGGTATAAATAACTCAAAAAAAATGAGGTTTTTTTTTGCTTCTGAGTAACAGTGGTAACAGTACCAGCAACAGGAGCAAGGATGATAAAACCAATTCTTAGCTTCCAAGCCCGTTAAGAAATGTTTCTATGGAAAGGAATCAGCGAAAACAATGTTACTGTCTTTACACATTAAAATATGTGCACAGGAGGGTAAACGGAGCGTGGTTTTACTCAACGAAGTTATTGTAACAATCAGAGCTTCTAAGGTGACTGCATTAGCCAAGCACCACTGAGTGTTGTGGGGGCCTGTCTCTGTCGCCCATATAGGACTTGGACCCTCTGTGGAACACCCGAGTACCTAGCCCCCGAAGTCATTCAGAGCAAGGGCCACGGAAGGGCCGTGGACTGGTGGGCCCTCGGCATCCTGATATTCGAGATGCTTTCGGGGTAAGTAGAGTCTCTGTAGAGAATCTTCATCTTACAGGCCAGCACCCCCTTCCCCCACCCATTCGTCCACTCGGCATTTCTGTAACCTTGAAAACAGTACGTGAGTGTCGCAAACACACAGTGTGGCTGCACACACATCTGCTGCCCTGCTGAGGTTGGCAATGTGAATTAGCAATTGAGCTTGTGTGAATAAGAGGCAAAAAACCCAAACTTGTGAAGGAACCACCCATGCATGCCCATTGAGATTTTTATATTGAAATATCCATATCTTCTTTAAATATACAATTAACATTCTGGGCTGCTCTGAAGGTAGTGAGTTATCTCAGTTGATTTTCACAGTCAGCTACAGATTGAACTCCTTGCTCTACTCTTTTCCCCCCTTATCACTTCTGCGCTTGTTTAGTCTTAAAAAGAATTTAAAAATTAAATTAAAAAATGAATCTTCTGCACAGACCCTTTCTGAAGTAACCTGCAGAGCTCAGGGGGGCACAGGTTGGGTCAAGGTAAATCAGCCAAATACAGTTCAGTGGTTTCTGGATGAACAGCTGGCAAGGAAGGCGAGAATATGTTCTTTCCTAAAACCGTATGTCTGTGGTACAGGAAAGGGGTCCCGACCCACACCCCAGCACAGGGTTCTTGGATCTCTCGCAATAAAGAATTTGGGGAAAGTCCATAAAGTGAAAGCAAGTTTATTAAGAAAGTAAAAGAATAAAAGTATGGTTACTCCTTAGGCAGAGCAGCCCTGAGGGCTGCTGTTTGGCTATTTCGATGGTTATTTCTTGACTATATGCTAAACAAGGGGTGGATTTTTCGTGAGTTTTCCGGGAAAGTGGTGGGCAATTCCTGGAGCTGAGGGTTCCTCCCCTTTTTAGAGCATACAGGGTAACATCCTGACCTTGTCATGGCATTCGTAAACTGTCATGGCCCTTGTGGGAGTGTCTTTTAGTACCTAATGCATTATAATTAATGTATAATGAGCCATGAAGACGATCAGAGGTCACTTGTCGCCATCTTGGTTTTGGTGGCATTTGGCCGGCTTTACTGCAGTCTGTTTTATCAGCAGGGTCTTTGTGACCTGTATCTTGTGCTGACCTCCTATCTTGTCCTGTGACTTAGAATGCCTTAACCGTCTGGGAGTGCAGCCCAGTAGGTCTCAGCCTCATTTTACCCGGCCCCTGTTCAGGATGGAGTTACTCTCGTTCCAACGCCTGTGATACCTGTGTTGGGTGAGATTTGGAAGTCAGGAGAGGTGCCATCCACCCTGCAACCACATAACAGAGGTCGGTCATTTGTTGGGACGTCAGCATGATTGAGTGTTCAAGTCTAGCATATGCCTGAGACAGCTCCACTATGACTAGACCAGAAACGCAAAGGAAGCACGCAACACTTGGAAACCCAGGACGTGGGCGTCATCCTCGTTCCGTTGTTAGTGCTAAGATGACACAGTAGCGTGGCACTTTTCCAGATAGGAACCTGTAGGAAGGAGTGAGCTACGTGTCAGAGGAACTGTTGCACCATGTGGCTCTGCACGAAAGGCTCTTCTCTCTGGGATGAAGACGAGAGGAAGCCCAGCCAGCGAGGGCCCAGAACACCGGTTGGGGGAGCCTCTGCCGCGCTTTGCCACAGCCGACACTCTGCCTCCTAGGTTCTCTCTTTTCCTGTTTCCTTCTTTCTTCTGCTTGCCCCTGAGTCTCAAAGACAGACACCAGCGTATCCTCTGAGTGGCCTCCATTGTCGCAAAAGCCAGATCCTCCCTCACATCTCTCTGATTCCCTGCAGGGGGTAAAGACCAGAGTTTTACTGGGGAACCTTCCCTTTCAGTTGGAAACAAAGGAGGGAAGGAAGAGAGGCATTCTCCTGCCTGGAAGGCGTGTCTAAGCCAGGTCCTGCTGGTGGGGAGCACCGAGCGCTTGTTCCTGGGGGTGTGGAGCATGTGACATTCTAACATCCACCTCAGGAAATCCAGGCAGTCGCTGACTTTGTTTGGGGAGCAGACAGGGGTCATCGTCCCATGTGCTTATCTCTGCCCTCTTTTATAAAGAAAGTGAATCCGTTAATTCCCACACTAGCTTAGGGATCAGAACGATGTTGAACAAGCACTACCAAAGAATTCCACCACAAAACCGGAGCCTGAGATGCCGCAGGAGGAGAGTGGAACCCGTAAAAACCTGTATTTCATTGTCTAGCTATCCATGTGTATTGTTTATCATCCATCCATCCATCTACCCACCTGTCTATTTATCTATGTTTATATACTTTTCCATCCATCCACCCACCTACCCCCCAACCCCTTCATCCATCCACCCACCCACCCCGTCATCCATCCACCCACCCACTCCTTCATCCATCCATGTACCCACTCCCCCACCCCCTACCCCTTCATCCATCCACCCCCCCACCCCTTCATCCATCCACCCCCACCCCTTCATCCATCCATGCACCCACCCCCCCACCCCTCTACCCCTTCATCCATCTACCACCCCACCCCTTCATCCATCCACCCCCACCCCTTCATCCATCTACCACCCCACCCCTTCATCCATCCACCCCCCGACCCCCCCACCCCTTCATCCATCCATCCATCCATCCATCCACCCACCTACCCCTTCATCCATCCACCCACCCACCCCTTCATCCATCCACCCACCTGCCCACCCACCGCTTCATCCATCCACCCACCCCTTCATCCATCCATCCATCCACCCACCCTTCCATCCATCCATCCATCCACCCACCCACCCACCCACACACCTATCCCTGTCTATCTCTATGGTCTACCTATTTTGTAAGTATGTATGTATCTGTTTATCCATTTATCCTTATCTATCATCTAAGTTGTCATTTATATATTTATATATCCATCTCTCTCCATCTCTTTATCTCTACGATCTTTTTATCTGCCTACCTACCTGTTATCTATGTATTTACCTATCATCTATCTGTCATTCATGTACCAATCTATCCATCTACTTCCTATTTATCTATGTGCCTATCCATCTATTTATCATCTGTCTTTCTATGTAACTGTTTACCTCCCTACCTATCCATCTATCAATCATCTATCTACCTATTCATCTATCTGCTTTTCTATATATCTATGTATTTATCAATCATCTACTTACCTACCTATCCCTCTATCTCTACCTTTCTGTCTATCTAGCTATCAATAATCTACCTACCTACCGGCCTGTTGGTCTTTTGAATTTTCCATTACTCTTTGCTGAGACATGCCTACAAGTCATATAGAACCAAACTTCTCAATATGCACCCTAGCCCATTATGTCCTAGGCAAACCCAAAAGGTTAAAAATAACTTAGGCATATTGATCAGCGTCCACCCAAGGAAAAGCACCACATTTTCCTTCGGTGATAACACTGACCACACGAGGGCAGCATTGCCTGAGGATCGTTGTATCCTGTAGTCTAATGGTTTTAAATAGAGTGAGGTTCGTGTGCCCCAAATTTTATTGATTCTAGGATAGAGTAGACTATTATTAGAATACAATATACTATTAGGACATAATATTGTTAGAATACAACATAGAACTATTAGACTATAGTTAAAACAATATTAGTCTCAGGGTACGCTGAAGTTAAAAATACATAAAAATAAATTTAAAAAGAATAGAATATTACACTCTTAGAATGACTGTATTCGAATTATATAAAGTTACCAGAATTGTTAATAGGCTATAACATTGGAATATTTAAATATATTAGAATACAATAGAATAGAAAATAACCTAATTGTAATGTAATAAATCATTAGGCTAATTGAAAATGAATAATTAGGCCAGGCACCATGGCTCACACCTGTAATCCCAACACTTTGGGAGGCCGAGGTGGTTGGATCACCTGAGGTCAGGAGTTCGAGACCAGCCTGGCCAAAATGGTAAAACCCCGTCTCTACTACACATACAAAAAAAAGCCAGGCATGGTGCCTGTAATCCTAGCTACTCGGGAGTCTGAGGCACGAGAATCGCTTGAACCTAGGAGGCGGGTAGGTTGCGGTGAGCCGAGATCGCACCACTGCACTCCAGCCTGGGCAACAGAGGTGAGACTCCATCTCAAAAAGAAAAAAAAAAAAAAGAAAGAAAATGAATAATTAAATTAAATGAATAACCGTCTCCCAATCAAAGCCCAGTCTGCTGACCTGTGCATTTCATGAGGCAGGGAGCTATTGATTCACAGTAAGCCTATTTTTATTTTCCTTTTTTCTAATTAGAGTCTATTTCTGGGTGAATATTGTTTTTTCAATTTCTCAGCAGCCCTGTGTCTCTTCACATGGGTGGGTGTTTTGAGAGTTACCAGCTTCGCCGACCCCAACTCTCCCAGGCATTCCTGTGCTCTTCCCCAGCTCCAGCCGGCCTGAGCTCGCCTGGACCACCCCAAGCCTTCTCAGTCTCCTGCATCCCCTCCTGCCTGCAGTACATTTTCCTGGAAGCAGCTGCAGGCATCCTGTCCACGTACCCATCAGCTGTGTCCCTATTCCCTGGGAGCCCGCTTGTTGCTTCCCGGATGACTGGAGCAGAATCGGAGGCTCGTTATCATATGAGGTTCTGAGACGGTCTGCCTGTGGGTTGTCCACCCCTCTTAGACAACAGCCTGGCCCCTCCTTGTCTTCCCACTGCTTTTTAAACGTGCCAGGAAGCCTGACCTGTCCCCCTGCCCAAAGGCTGGCTTCCTTCCTCCTTCTTTTCTTTTTCCCTTTCCTTTCCTTCCCTTTCCTTTCCTCCCTCCCTCCCTCTCTCCTTCCTTCCTCTCTCCCTCCCTCTCTCTCTCTCTCTCCTTCCTCCCTTCCCTTTCCCTTCCCTTCTTCCTTTCCTTTTCCTTTCCCCTCTCCCTCTTCCTTTCCCCTTTCCCTTTTCCCCTTTCCCCTTTTTCCTTTCCTTTCCTTTCATTTCCTTTCCTTCTTCCTTTCCTTTCTGTTCCGCCTCGCTCTGTCACCCAGGCTGGAGTGCAGTGGCACAATCTTGGCTCACTGTAACCTCTGCTTTCTTGTCTCGCTCTGTCACCCAGGCTGGACTGCAGTGGCGCAAATCTTGGTTCACTGCAACCTCTGCTTCCCAGGTTCAAGCAATTCTCCTTCCTCAGCCTCCTGAGTAGCTGGGATTACAGGTGTGCGCCACCACGCCCAGCTAATTTTTGTATTTTTAGTAGAGAGGGGGTTTCACCATATTGGCCAGGCTGGCCTCAAACTCCTGACCTCAAGTGATCCACCTGCTTCGGCCTCCCAAAGTGCTGGGGTTACAGGCGTGAGCCACCACACCCAGCCAGGGCTGGCCCTTTCTCTTCCACTGCACATGCTGCAGGCTCACCTGTCACCTGCTCCCACAGCCCTCTGGGGCCTCCCCTGTTCTCCTGGGCCATGCCCTGTCCGACCAGCCCATCTGTTTTCTTTATACTGATTAGCAGCTCTGAAACCATCTAAATTTTGTATGTGTTGACTGCCTCTGAGAGCAATGCTCCCAAGCTGCTCTCCTCACCTCCTTGAACCCAGAAACTTCTGGTGGCTGGAGGGAGGGCACTGCTGCACATACAAGTGGAGCCGGCCTGCAGTCAGAGTCTTCCTGCTCCCTTCGCAGCCTGTGTCTGCACCTTTCCTATCGCAGCTCCATTTGCTGGATTCCCACTCTTAGCAGGATCAAGTGAGACTGTGCCTTGTCTGTGTTATTGCTTTAAGTGATTATCTCAATCTTCCACTAAGCACAGGGAAAACCATCTATTTGGTAAAATCTGCCATGTGATTAGGAAGGAGATCATATCATGATGCAGATTTTATTTTCATGGAATGAGACATGTTTAGGTCAGATGAAAATTGTGTGGCACATTCTGGAACAAAATCACTCATGCACTTTCCAAGGACCCAAGCTCAGCTCCGATTTCTTCCATCCTATTCTCTTTCCTCATCCATTTCTGTGGTTTTATTCTCCCAGAGAGTTTAACTCAAGAGTCAGGTAAAGGCTGGACGTGGTGGTTCATGCCTGTCATCCCAGCACTTTGGGAGGCTGAGACAGAAGAACTGCTTAAGCCCAAGAGTTCAAGACCAGCCTGGGCAACATAGTGGGACCCCATCTCTACAAAAAATAAAAATAAAACTAGCTGGGTGTGGTTGTATGTTCCTGTAGTCCCAGCTACTCAGGAGGCTGAGGTGGGAGGATTGCTTCAGCCCAGGAAGTCGAGGCTGCAGTGAGCTGAGATTGCACCAGTGCACATCAGCTTGGGTAACAGAGCAAGACACTGTCTCAGAAAAAGAAAAAAAAAAATCAGCTAAAGCATCAAGAACAAAACACAGGGACACACAAGACATACAGCAGAGTGCAGGGTAAGAGAAAGCCCCTGGGCCATCTTGTCTTAGTTGTGACAGCAGTGATTCTCAAAGTGGCATCCCAGAGGACTATGGGGTTCCCGAAGTGTGTTTCAGCAGATGAGTGAGATCATTTTTCCAATGACAGATCTGAATAGTGATGAATTTTCTTCATAGGTGTCAACTAAGACAATACAGCATAGCAGACAGGGTGCAGAAGATCCTAGAGAAGGTGGAATTTGGCTGCAGTGGAGCCTCTTCCACGGGGAGCATTAGGCATTGCGCAGTGGTTCTCAAACATGTTGGCCTCGGGAACCCTTCAACACACAGCTCAAAGTTATTAACAACCCACAGAACTTTCATTTCTGTGTGTTACAGCTGTCCGCGCTGACTACATTTGAAATTAAAGTAGAGACTGAAATATAAACCAACAGAATACATAAATAATATATATGAGAAGTTAAATAATCAGAGGAGAACATAAATAGCATTTTTAAATGAAAAAAATGTGTAACCACACTTTCTAGAATTAAAACCATTCAGGCTGGACATGGTGGCTCACGCCTGTAATCCTAGCACTTCAGGAGGCTGAGGTGGGAGGATCACTTGAGCCCAGGAGTTGGAGGCCAGCCTGGGCAACATAGTGAGACCCCATTTCTACAAAAAATAAAATGAAATAAATAAACCAATTAGCTGAGCATGATGGTACACGCCCAGGGTCCCAGTACTTTGGGAGGCTGAGGTGGGAGGATCACTGAGGCTGGGAGGTCAACGCTGCGGTGAGCTGTGGTCTCGTCACTACACTCCAGCCTGGGTGACAGAGAGACCCTGTCTCTAAAAAGAGAGAAAACATTTGTGAGGAGGTTGGCTGTATTTTCTGGGTTTTGTGAATCTCTTTAGTGTCCAGCTTTCACAAGGGCTGCTGGCCTCTCCTCCCTCTGTCTGCAGCCTGTCTGCTGTGCTGCGTGGCACGTTGTTTAGTTGAGGCATAGGAGAAAATTCATCACTATTCTGAACTGGAGTCAGAAAAACGATCTCAGCCATCCCTAAACTGAGGTCGGGAAGCCACCCTGGGACTCCACTTTGAGGGCCACTGCTGTGATGCCCAAGTCAACGTGCCCGGGGCTATATTTTCACCCTCTACTCTGCCCCAACCCTCACACACCCCAGTGCCTGCTCCTTCCGCTTTAACTGGCCCTCAAGTTCCCCTTTCTCATCTCCCACCTCAGCCTCCCTGATTCATCTGAGGAGCACAGATTTTATATTTATTTATTAATTATTATTATTTTTTTTCTTTAGAGGGACCCCTGCTCTGTCACCCAGGCTGGAGTGTAGTGGCGCGATCTCGGCTCACTGCAACCTCTGTCTCCTGGGTTCAAGCAATTCTCCTGCCTCAGCCTGCCGAGTAGCTGGGGTTACAGGTGCGTGCCACCGTGCCTGGCTAATTTTTGTATTTTTAGTAGAGATGGGGTTTCGCCATGTTGGCCAGCCTGCTCTCAAACTCCTGACCTCGAGTGATTAACCTGCCTCAGCCTCACAAAGTGCTGAGATTACAGGTGTGAGCCACCACGCCTGGCCTAAATTTTAGTTTTTAATCTGAAGGTATCGGGACAAGGATTTTTGAGGAAGAAGTCAAGGTGGGATGAAATTCTAGTGAAATTCTAGTGACGGCTTTCTTCTTTTCTCTAAAAACCTCTGCCTTCCTTTTCTTGAATGCATTTCCAAAGCACCTGTCTTCCAAGGCCAGCCCCGGTCCTCAGAACTGGAGCAGGTAGTGTGTCAGCTGATAGTTTAGGAGGGTGTTTTTCCAGCTGAGTAGGAGGGAGAACATCAGCTCACAGCGCCCAGGGTATCTCTGCCTGCACCATCCACTTTACTGGAAGATGTAAATAGGCGGAATGGTTACATTCAAATTTTACTGGCAAATGATAGAGCTAGTGGCACAATTGGTGTAAATTTTTTTCATTTTTCTTTTTTTGTTTTTGCAGACAGTTTTGCTCTGTTGCCCAGTCAGGAGTGCAGTGGTGCAGTCACAGCTCACTGCAGCCTGGACCTCCTGGGCTCAAGCAAACCCCCACCTCCGCCTCTTGAGTAGCTGGGATGACAGGTACACGTCACTGTACCTGGCTAATTTTTTAAAATTTTTTTGTAGAGATAGGGTCTTGCTATGTTACCCAGGCTGATTTCAAATTCCTAGGCTCAAGTGATCCACCTGCCTCGGCCTCCCAAAGTGCTGGGATGACAGCCGTGAGCCACTGCATGAGCGTTTTTTTTGTTTTTTTTTTTTTTCTTTTGAGACAGGGTCTTGTTCTGTGTCCAGATTGGAATGCAGTGGTGCAGTCATAGCTTACTGAAGCCTCGACCTCCTGGGCTCAAGCGATCCTCCTGCCTCAGCCTCCTGGGACTACAGAGGCTGTAGCTGGGGACCGCAGAGGCTGTAGCTGGGAACACAGGCACACACCAGCACGTCCAGATAATTTTTAAATTTTTTGTAGAGACGAGGTCTCACTGTGTTGTCCAGGCTGGTCTTGAACTCCTGGGCTCAAGCAGTCCTCCCGCGTTGGCCTCCCCAAATGCTGGGATGACAGGCATGAGCCACTGTGCCTAGCCTGGGCATGAATTTTTCAGGCGAAAATCTGGAGCTTGCATTCATGCTGATTAGCAGATTGTCCTTGCAAGTGTAGCTGTCACCACAGATCAATTTAACTTGCTTAATAATGCCAAATGCCATATAATGAGAATTTATTCTCCACTTGGTAAGAATTGGAAGCAGTCTGTATGTTTAGAGACAGAAATTTGAGGGTTTCAGAGGGCACTGCCCAGGCGTCCGGGGGAGTGCTGTTTCTCAGACACACACACACACTGTCTCTGCTTTTTCTTTCAGGCAAGATCATCAGTTAGTGCTCACTTATTATTTATCTTTTTCCGCTTATTAATACCTTTCCCATGATCTTATGTAATGTCTACTGTCCAAGAGCACTTCGTTTAATATTCTCCATAAATGTTTTTAGGTATGTATGGCACATTTCCTCCTGGAGTTTAATGCTCCATTCCTGTATTTGTGCATTATTCACACAGCTGAGTCGCCACCCAAACCCAGAGAGAAACAGGAATACAACTCCCCCAACTACTGTTACAGAGAACGCTGCGGGCAGGTGAGGGAGGACGGGCTCGGGAGGTTGTTAACGTCTGAGGCGGCAGGGTTGGCGCAGATCGCATGAGTGTCTGTACTCAGAGCTCTGCTTCCCAGCCTGGCCTGGGTGGTTTTTCAGTACGTTGTGGTGGCTCGTAACTCCAGGACCAGCGGCCCAAAGAGATACCCTATTGGGAAACTCACCTTCATGCTAAAGTGCAAAACAAGCAACTGAAATGTTATTTAAGAAGGAAGAAATGCTGTGTTAGGGCCACGTCGCACGCACCTAATCATTTACCTTTCTCTGGTAACTTTCATTTCCTCATGTAACCCACCCCCACTTCTCTGTCACCTCTCCCATTGATTTCCATTTTTGTACTTCATATTTCTCCTCTTTGTTTTTCTTTGAATTTTTCTCCACTGCAGTGTATTGGACAGTTCATGTGTGTAGTTCTACGTATGAATGTCCTGACGCTGCTGTTAGAAACTACCACAGACTGAAAGGTTTAAACAAGAGAACTTTATCCTCTCTTAGTCCGGGAGACCAGAAGTTTGAGATCAAAGTGTCTCAGGACTGTACTCCAGGGAAGGATCCTTTCTGCCTCTCCCAGTTCCTGGGGGCTCCAGCATCCCTGGGCTTGTGGCCACATCACTGCAGTCTCTGCCTCCACCTTCATGTGGCCTTCTCCTCTATGTCTCTGTCTCCTCTTCAGTCTCTTAGAAGGAAGGCCACCTGTCATTGGATTTAGGGCCATCCTAATCCAGGACGATCTCATCTCAAGATCCTTCAATTAATCACATCTGCAAAGACCCTATTGCTGAATAAGGTCTCATTCCAGGTCTGGGCATTAGGACGTGGACAGATCTTTCTGAGGGCCACAGTTCAATCCACTACACGTGTATCCAGTTCCCTCTGGAGGCTCTAGGGGAGGATACTCCCTGCCTCTCCCAGCTCCTGGGGGCTCCAGGCATCCCTGGGCTTGTGGCCGCATCACTGCTGTCTCTGCCTCTGTCCCCATGTGGCCTTCTCCTCTGTGTGTGTGCCTCCTCTTGAGTCTCTTATGAGGATACCTGTCATTGGATTTGGGCCTACCCTGTTCCAGGATGATCTCATCTGAAGCTCCTTAATTCTATCTGTGAAAACCCTGTTTCCCAATAAGGTCCCATTCACAGGTTGTTGGGGTAAGATCATGGATGTATCTTTTTGGGGACCTCTCATTCCGTCCACTCCACTGAATTTTGTTAAGGTCAGGAAGTGATTTGGAATCTACAGGAGAATTATTTTTGCTCATGGACATTTCTGATAATCAATGAGGGTGTCATTTGAAAGCTCCGTTTTATAAGGTATTTCCGTTGCTAGCATACCTGAATTAGAATATCTTAAGTCAAAAGAAGCTAAATGGAAAACATGACTTTGAGCCAATATGAGTATCTGTCCTGATCAATATGAGAAAATCTCAGAAGTACAACTTGTGCCACGGACATGTAAGTGTCTAGTATACACTTACTGGTTGATGAAATGGTTTGGCTTTGTGTCCCCACCCAAATCTCATGTTTAAATGTAATCCCCAGTGTTGGAGGTGGGACCTGGTGAGAGGTGGTTGGATCATGGGAGTGGTTTCTGACAGTTTAGCAACATTGCCCTAGTACAGTCTCATGATAGAGTTCTCAGGAGATCTGATGGTTTTAAAGTGTAGTACTTCCCCCTTTGCTCGCTTTCACTCATCTGCCACCATGTAAATGTGCCTTGCTTCCCCTTCGCCTTCCACCATGATTGTAAGTTTCCTGAGGCCTCCCCAGCCATGCGGAACTGTGAGTCAACTCAATCTCTTTTCTTTTCTTTTTTGTTTTTTGAGACAGAGTCTTGCTCTGTCGCCCAGGCTGGAGTGCAGTGGCGTGATCTCGGCTCACTGCAAGCTCCGCCTCCCGGGTTCACGCCATTCCGCTGCCTCAGCCTCCTGAGTGGCTGGGATTACAGGCGCCCGCCACCACGCCTGGCTAATTTTTTGTATTTTTGGTAGAGACAGGGTTTCACTGTGTTAGCCAGGATGGTCTCGATCTCCTTGACCTCGTGATCCGCCCACCTTGGCCTCCCAAAGTGTTGGGATTACAGGCATGAGCCACCGCGCCTGGCCTAAATCTTTTTTCTTTATAAATTACCCAGTCTCAGGTAGTTCTTTATAGCAGACTGAAAATGGACTAATACAGTTGACTTCTAGATGTTCTTGGATTTATCTTGGTCTTTGCAGTTTTAAGTATATATATTTTTTTAGTTTGTTTCACATATTTTGAACATTTCTAGGTATTAGTAAAGTCTGCTGGTTTCTGCAGCAGGACTGTAATCTTTTTACTACAGTCAACAAAGCATAGTATGACAATCTTGTTTTTACACATGCACCATTTTCAAGGCTGTATTTGCATGTATTTCTGTCTTTTTCCTGGTCTCCAGGGGTCAAGAAATGGTTTTCTTGGGGCAAAGAGCTTCGGTCAGCTTTGCAGACTACCCAGTCTCAGTTACAAGTACAGACTCTGCTCCTGCACCTTAAAAAGTAGTCACATAGTGAGACCGCATCCCTATAGAAAGTCAAAAAATTAGCCAGACATGGTGGCACACACCTGTGGTCCCCGCTACATGGGAGCCTGAGGTGGGAGGATGGCCTCCTGGGGGAGGTCAAGGCTACAGTGAGCTATGATTGCACCACTGCACTCCAGCCTGGGTGACAGAGTCAAACCCTGTCTCAAAACAAAAGAAAAATATGATATCTCAGGCTCTTTCATTTGGCCTGTACACATTTATTGAGCACCTGTTGTGTGCCACATACTGTTCCATGAATGAGGAATATAAAGAAATTCAGTAATGGGTGTGGTGGCTCACATCTGTAGTCCCATTACTTTGGAAGGCTGAAGTGGGAGGATCACTTGAGCCCAAGCGTTTGAGACCAGCCTGGGCAACATAGTGAGACCTTGTCTCTACCAAAAATTAAAAAAAAAAAAAAAACAAAACCCTGGCGTGGTGGTGCAGACCTGTAGCCCCAGCTGCTCAGGAGGCTGAAGTAGGAGCATAGCTTGAGCCCTGGAGGTGAAGGCTGAGTGCACTGAGCCAGGATCACGCTGCAGTACTCCAGCCTGGGGGCAACAGAGCAAGACCCTGTCTCAAAAAAAAAAAGTAGTTCACTGACATTCACTTGCAGTTTATTGAGGATGCCTTATAGTGCCGTGCAAGCAGGCTCAGTACCGGGCTGGACATAATCAGGTATTGCTCGTGCTGTAGAGTGAAGGAAGCCTCGAGAAAGGTGTCCTGTTCTTGGCCATAGTGGCGTATTCACCACTGTAAACTTTATTTTAACAATTATTTTATATTTCATTTCATTTATGTACTCCATCTCTCTCTGTCACCCAGGCTGGAGTGCAGTGGCACGATCTCAGCTCACTGCAACCTCTGCCTCTCAGGTTCAAGCAATTCTCCTGGCCCAGCCTCCTGAGTAGCTGAGATTACAAGCACCGGGGACCATGCCCAGCTAATTTTTGTATTTTTAGTAGAGACGGGTTTCACCATGTTGGCCAGGCTGGTCTGGAACTCCTGACCTAAAGTGACCTGCCTGCCTCAGCCTCTCAAAGTGTTGGGATTGCAGGCATGACCCACAGCATCCAGCCTATTTTATATTTTATTTTATTTTGAGACAAGGTCTCACTCTGTCACCCAGGCTGGAGTGTGGTGGTGTGATCACAGCTCACTGCAGCCTTGACCTCCTGTGCTCAAGCGATCCTCCCCCCTCAGCCTCCCAAGTAGCTGGGACCACACATATGCACCACCACACTCAGCTAATATATATTTTTTTAAGACTGGGTTTTGCCATATTTCCCAGGCTTATTTTATTTTTTAAATTGACACATAATAATTGTACATATTCATGGGGTAGACAGTGATGCTTTGATACAAAGAATGGAGTAATCAGATCAGGGTAATTAGCATATCCATTTCAATTATTTACCATTTCTTTGTGTTAGGAACATTCAATATCCTCTATGTATTTGAAACAATACGACATGTTATTGCTAATTATAGTCACCCTACAAGACTATAGAACACTGGAACATATTCCTCCTATCTGCTTGTAATTTTGTATCCTTTAACAAACCTCTCCCTATCTCTCACTTCTTCCCTTCCCAGCGTCTAGTATCCTCTGTTCTTCTTTATCCTTTCAGGAGATCAGCTTTTTTTTAGCTTTCATGTATGAGTAAGCACAAGTGCTGTTTAATGTTCTTTTCCTGGCTTATTTCACCTAACATAATGTCCTCCAGTTTCATCCATGTTGCTGCCAGTCAGAGGATTGTATTCCTTTTCATGGCTGAATAGTATTCTACTGTGTGTAGATACCACCTTTTCTTTACCTATCTGCTCATCTGTTGATGGACATCTACGCTGATTCCCTATCTTGGCTGTTGTGAATGGTGCTGTGGTAAACATGGGCGTGCCGATGTCTCTCCAGTATCATGACTTCCTTTCCTTTGAACAGATACCTAGTAATGTGATGGCTGGGTCATATGGGAGTTCTATTTCTAGCTTTTCTGAGGAACCTCCATACTCTTCTCTATGGTGGCTCTACTAGTTTACGTTCCCACCAACATTGCGTAAGAGTTCCCTTTTTGGCCAGGCACAGTGGCTCACGCTGGTAATCCTAGCACTTTGAGAGACCAAGCTGGGTGGATCACTTGAGCCCAGGACTTCAAGACCAGCCTAGGCAACATGGTGAAACCCCCGCTCTACAAAAAAAAATACAAAAATTAGCTGGCATGGTGGCAGATACCTGTGATCCCAGCTACTTGGAAGGCTGAGGCAGGTAGATCGCTTGAGCCTGGGAGGCAGAGGTTGCAGTGAGCTGAGATTGCACCGCTGCACTCCAGCCTGGGAGACAGAGCGAGATCCTGTCTCAAAAAAAAAAAAGAGTTCCCTTTTCTCCACATCCTCACCAGCATTTCTTATTTTTGTGTGTATGTGTCTTTTTTTTTTTTTTTTTTTAATTTTTTTTGAGACAGAGTTTCACTCTTGTTTCCCAGGCTGAAGTGCAATGGCACGATCTCGGCTCACTGCAACCTCCACCTTCCGGGTTCAAGTGATTCTCCTGCCTCAGCCTCCCAAGTAGCTGGGATTACGGACGCGTGCCACCACGCCTGGCTAATTTTTGTATTTTTAGTAGAGATGGGGTTTCACCATGTCGGCCAGACTGGTCTCAAACTCCTGACGTCAGGTTATCCACCCGCCTCGGCCTCCCAAAGTGCTGGGATTACAGTGTCTTTTTGATAATGGCCGTCTTAATTGGGTTGAGATGATTGACACCTCATTGAGGTTTTGATTTGCATTTCCCTGATGATTAGTGACGTTGAGCATTTTTTTTCATATACATGTTGGCCTTTTCCATGTCTTCTTTTGAGAAATGTCTGTGAAGACCACCTGTCCATTTTTTAATTGGAGTGCTTATCTTTTCGCTCTTGAGACATTTGAGTTCCATGCTTGGTCATGGTGGTGGATTCACCCCGGTAAACATGAGAGAGCATTGCTGTCCAGTGTTTAGTGCACAGTTAAGGAATGGGCTGGTGGCCCCTCAATAAGATGCCCAAAAAGGAGTTGCCTTCTGCTCAGCAGACGCCTCTCAAATGGTCTTTATATTCTCTCCAAGGGAGCTTCCCCTGCATCGGACTGTGGCACACGATGCCTTGCCTCTTAGAACCATCTGACTGTCACGTGCTTTCAGATCGTGACAACTTCAGTGTGCGGGGAAGAGCATGTGAAATAAATTACCTTCTGCCTGTGTGAAGCAGAAATAGCTATCGTTACAAAGCAGGGATTTTTTTCCATGCTTACTCCCCACTAAAAATACATGTTTGTTTTTCTAACAGGTTTCCTCCGTTTTTTGATGACAACCCGTTTGGCATTTATCAGAAAATTCTTGCAGGCAAAATAGATTTCCCCAGACATTTGGATTTCCATGTAAAGTAAGTAAACCGTTTGCCTCATCATGAGGTGTGTTTATTTTTAAAGTGTCTAAAATCACCGTGAAAGCACGCACTCAGCAGGATACCATATTGTGTTATTAAATGTGCTGCGCATAAACTATTTTGGACAGTTGTCTTTTCCACAAGAAAAGAAAAAGATTTTCAGTATTCTACTTTAATGATAGCTTCACATTTTAATGAGTCTTGGCCGTATTGTGTTCTTTTGGTGGTATGTTATATTTAAAATGAGCCAATGAACGAGTTTGTCATCGTATTTTATAAGAGAGCAGTTTTGGAATTTGACAAGAAGGATCCTCCTAGTTCTGTGGCTAACAGAACTGTTGATGGGTTTAGCAGAGTTTTATCCTTTCTCTCCTGCTTAAATTATGCTCAACCTCTAAGTCCTTTTTAACGTCAACATTTTCAGTTCTGAGCATGTTGCTTCAAGGATATTTACAGTTGCTGGATATTGGCAACTTTGGATGCACATTTTATAAAGGTCGTGGCAGTAGGGAAAAAATATATTATTTTCTTAAATATAAGAACGCGGCTGGGCGTGGTGGCTCATGCCTGTAATCCCAGCACTTTGGGAGGTTGAGGTGGGTGGAACACGAGGTCAGGAGATCGAGACCATCCTGGGAAACACGGTGAAACCTCGGCTCTACTGAAAATATAAAAAATTAGCTGGGTGTGGTGGTGGGCGCCTGTAGTCTCAGCTACTTGGGAGGCTGAGACAGCGGAATCGCTTGAACCCAGGAGGCGGAGGTTGCAGTGAGCTGAGATCGCACCACTACATTCCAGCCTGGGCGACAGAGCAAGATTCTGTCTCAAAAAAAAAAGAATGCTTTTGGTTTTCTGGCTACCTTACCCAATCTGGTCAACTGGTAGCCATTTTTACTGTAATAAGCACTGATTTCTGTTTGTTTCACTGTATTTTTCAGATGAGTTGATGGGTGCACCAGCCCCCTGGGCACAAACTAGAGCTAAATGCATCTAGTTGAGAATTAAACTTTTCTTTTCCATGGTCTATTTTCTTATGAGCCGGTGGAAGTTCAGTTCAGAGAAGACTTATTTCAGGGCGATGGAGCAGGTTGTTTTGAATATGCCCCTTATGGGGCCACTGGCTACGTTCAGTTGAGTTTCTTGGTGGTGAACGCACCCCATCCTAACCAGAGGTTCTTAGTCTGAACAGAAGATAAGGTCGTGTTTTATTGGCTTGAGCATGTGTTGTGTTTGACACACTAAGAGGCAGGCTTTAAAAGACTTTAGCAAGAAAACGAGGCTCCGCTTAACAATGAGTCGCCTAGAAGGGACACCCTGTCCAGTGAATGGTAAGACAGGGAGGTGTCAGGGGAAACAGCACCTCAGAAGCCGACTGCTCTGGAAGGAAATAGAAAGGATTATATAGAACCTCTCTCTCAGGCCCCAAATCCCATCTGAGTTGAGTGACATTATATTAAGTGGATGGCAAAGCACTTTTATGATCGAGTTTGGCCAGGTGAGGTGCTCATGCCTGTAATCCCAGCACTTCAGGAGCAATCCGAAGTGGGAGGATTGCTTGGGGCCAATCCAATAGTTTGAGGCCAGCCTGGACAATGTAGCAAGACCCCATGTCTACAAAAAATTTAAAAATTAGCTGGGCATGGTAGCAAGTGCCTGTAGTCCCAGCTACTAGGGAGGCTGAGATGGGAGGACTGCTTGAGCCCAGGAAGTCGAGGCTGCAGTGACCTATGATTGCACCACTGCACTCCAGACTGGATGAAAGAGTGAAACTCTGTGTCAAGAAAAGAAAAAATAATAAAATTAAAAGATATAATTATATATATATATGGGGGGGGTTTCCAATGTTCTGTGGAAACAACAACAAAAAAAGGAATTGCAGAAATAGAATAAACCAGAAGCGTAATCAAAGTCTGGTCTCTTGCCACTTGTCCTTCTTTCTCTCCTAGTTTATCTTCTTTGAGAGTAGGGAACCAGCAGCGACCATCTTGGTACTGTCTGATCTAACATGCCTCTCTTTATGCAGCTCCCAGCCCCTTCCAGTGTTCCCCACAGTGCCCCTGTTTCTTTACATACCCAGTGTGGGTTCCCCAAGAGCAGAAACAGTGATAGATAGAAGTGAACTGACAGTTCACTTCTTCCCATTATTTGTTAAATCTTATCAAATTGGCTGAGAAGCAAGACCTCAATGACTCATATCTTTCCTTTTTTTGGTAGAGATGGGTATGGGGATCTTGCTGCATTGCCTAGGCTGCTTTTGAACTCCTGGGCTCAACTGATCCTCCTGCCTTGTCCTCCCCAAGTGTTGGGATTACAGGCGTGAACCACTGCACCTGGCCTTAATGAGGCATTTTTCTTATCCAAATCACTGTCCCTGGTTGTCCATGATGCTAGAATTTTGATTCTCTGCTTTTTAAAGTCATATGTTGGTTCCTGCAACTTTTATCATTTGACCAGGTAAACATGTCGCCTGGGCAAATGGCACATCAGGATTGACATTCCTTATAGAAATAAATATCATTTAAAACAAAACACCAAAACAAAGCTTTGGGACTTGTTGCCAATTCAGTAGAGGTATTATCTGCCGGTGTTTTTTACAACACCTGAAAGTACCTGCATCTGAGAGGAGCCAGCTGGTGCCAGGATCGTAAATAAAATGTAGAATTTTGGCTACAGTGCATCAAAAGAGTGCCGGCAGATGTGTCGCTTATCCCGGGGTCAAGGGACCCATCTACAGCTGTGGACACTTCTGTCGTTCCTTTATAGGGCTTTGCATCTTCAGGGGCCTCTTCTCATCCATACTCTTTACTTTCTAGACTGCTTTATAAGAGTTTGCTTTGGTATTTTACTTTTTCTTTTAAAGAGACGGGTGTCTTGCTCTGTCACCCCGGCTGGAGTGCAGTGGCACAATCATAGCTCACTGCAGCCTCGACGTCCTGGGCTCAAATGACACTCCCACCTCAGCCTCCCGAGTAACTGGTGCTACAGGCATGCACCACCATGCCTGGCCAATGTTTTGATATTTTGTAGAAACGAGGGTCTTACTATGTTGCCCATGCTGGTTTCGAACTCTTGGTCTCACGTGGTCTTCCCACTTCAGCCCACTGCATAGCTGGGATTACAAGCCACTGTCCCCTGTATTTTAAATAAATCTTCATTTTCTTACATGCCAAACACCAAAAAAATTTAAAAAAAAATTCAAGGTCATCAAACATTTTGTTTTCTTACATGACACACACACACACACACACACACACACACACACACGTTGAAATTTATCAGGTGATCACCAAAACATTCTGAAATAAACATAGGGCTTTTTTTCCCCCCTATAATTTACACCACTGCCTGCCCCATTAGCGTATACACTTAAAGCTGATTGGACTGGGATTATAAGAAAACAAAGGTTTATCTAAAATATAAAAGCATAAATAAACCTGTCTTATAATTGCACTCCAGTGAGCTTTAAGTGTGTGTGGTAAGGGGGCAGGCAGTGGTGTAAATCACGTGGGGGACGAAGCCCCACATTTATTTGGGAATGTTTTGGGGGTATAGTGTTTGATAACCTTGATTTTTTTTTGGCAGGGGGGAGCATGTCAAAATAATGAAGGAGAAACTCACTAAGTAGTGGAAAGGTTTCTAACTTTTAGGTGATTTTTATATTCCCCATCCTGCTCAAAGCTTTTCAGCCTTACAGGATGGATACAAAATCCTAGCCTTAGGTGGGCGGACAGATGGTCTCTGAGTTTTACTTTGTGGCAGAGAAGCGGTGAAGTCTGACAAGCATCCCATCCTAATTCAGAAAGCATGGTGGCAGGAAACTGTAAAATTTCCGATCAGACAGCACTGGCGAGATTCACAATCTAGATGGTGGAGTCTGACCCTAGGACGTCACCTGGCTTGTCGGAGACTCCACAGTCTGTCACAGAACCTGGGAGTGGCTCAGTCCAAGTTCGTGCTACTTACCTTGGGGCATAGTTTATGCTGGGAAAGCCTAGACGCTTACACCGGGGTCATGGGTATTGGATTGTTTTGGGGGACTTCAATATATTATATTATTATATCATATTATGTATGTTATTATACATAATGTACTCTGTGTATTTTATGTGTACACACAGACACACATGATCATTTCTACTTCCATAAATATGCATCTTTTAGAACTCACCTAATCTCCTGGAAGTCTTCAACATCATCTCCAACTACCCATCCTAATTGAAGCAGCTTGCTGTTTTTTGTTGTCGTTGTTGTTGTTTGTTTTTGTTTTTTTTTGAGACTGACTCTACCTCTGTCACCCAGACTGGAGTGCAGTGGCTCAGTCTCAGCTCACTGCAACCTTCGCCTCCTGGGTTCAAGCGGTTCTTGTGCCTCAGCCTCCCAAGTAGCTGGGACCACAGTTGTGTGCCAGCATGCCCAGCGAATTTCTTTTTCTTTTTTTTTGTAGAGATGGGGTTTCACCATGTTGGCCAGGCTGGTCTCAAACTCCTCACGTCAAGTGATCCACCCGCCTCGGCCTCCCCACAGTGCTGGGATTACTGGTGTGAGCCAGTATGCCCAACCTCCCCACCTGCTGTACTTCTGACATGGTCTGTTATTTAAAAGGAAGATTATAAGTGAAGAAGCAGACTTAGGAGACTCATCCTAATGTGTGTGCTTATGGGAAAGCCAGCCTTTTAAAACAGGAATCCCATCAATAAGCAGACCCCCAGGACAGCGCGTGAGTGTTGATGTTGGTGAAAGCAGATGTCTTCTATTTTGCAGGGACAGCCTGACAGGCATGTTTACGTTAAGTGTCTGGATCCTCCCTGCAGGCACATATAAATTTCACCCTTTTCTACTCAGAGGTGTATTTTCTTTACAAAGATGTAATCAACCCCCTTCCCTTAGCTTCAGCCTTGCACGGGGCAACCCAGCCTTGCATAGGTGATTTAAGAGCCGGTGATGGTAGGAAATAAGCACTAGAAAGTGTTTTGCCAAAGTGGAAATTGAACTGCGGTCCTCATGTCAGATAGATCTTATCTCTGTTGCCATGCTGCGTTTGCTGATGTTGATATATAATCTGTGTACTTTTTTTTTTTTTGTCTCCTTCCCCAACATAGAGACCTCATTAAGAAACTGCTCGTGGTTGACAGAACAAGGCGATTAGGAAACATGAAGGTCAGTATTTGATCCCGTGGGTATTCAGTGGTACCCGATGTGCGTGTCTGCCGTCTAACACCCACATTGGCATGTGCAGGTATAAACCAAGGCTTAGCGGTCGTATTTAATCACTGCCCAAATTTCAAATCTGGTGTTTTATTTATTTTTTTAAATTTTACTTGAAACTGCCAGGAAAGATCTATCAAATCTCGGTTTCTGGGCCCACAACGTCAAACTGGGTCTACACCGTATCTCCCCTCCCCTCAAGCAAGGTTAATAGAGCAATAACAATGCATAAGTTATTACTCATTATTTTGTTTACTTATTTATTTTATTTTTTAAACAGTTTTACGGAGAGTGAATTCACACGCCATGCCATTTACCCATCTAAAATGTGCAATTCGGTGGCTTTTAGTATACACACGATTATGTACAGCCACCCCTGTGGTTAATCTTAGAACATCTTCATCAGTTCAAAAAAAGAAACCCTGCACCCTTCAGTTATCACTGTGCTATTCTTTCATCCTCTCTTGCCCTAAGCCAGCGGTCCCCGACCTTTTTGGCACCAGGGGCCAGTTTTGTGGAAGACAGTTTTTCCACAGACCGCACAACCTAAATCCCTTAGTTGCGCAGTTCACAATAGGGTGTGTGCTCCTATGAGAATCTAATGCCACTGCTGATCTGACAGGAGGCGGAGCTCAGGTGCTAATGCCAGCCATGGGGAGCAGCTGTCAGTACAGGTGAAGCTTCGCTCACCTGCCTGCTGCTCACCTCCTGGTGTGCGGCCCATTTTGGTTCCTCATAGGCCGTGGACCACTACCAGTTTGTGGCCCAGGGGCTGGGGACCCCTACCCTAAGCAGCCACTAATCTACTGACTTTCTCTGTAGGGTTCGGTGTTCTGGGCTCTGCTAAAAATGGAATTGTACAAAATGTAAGCTTTTGCCTCTGGCTTCTTTCTCTGAGCACGATGTCTTCAAGGTTCATCCAGGCTGTAGCCCGTGTCAGAGCTTCCTTCCTTTTCCTGACTGCATAGTATTCGATTGTGTGGGCAGACCTCGTTTTGTTTATCCATTCATCTATGGATGGACATCTGGGCTGTTTCCACCTTTTGGCTTTTGTGAATGGTTCTGCCATGGACATGAGAGTAGGTGTTTTGTGTGCGCAGGTGATGATTTTAAAAGTTGTGCATCAGGTATGATTTCCACAAACTTTTTGTGTGGAGGCAAGTATATAATTGACAAACAGACTATTCCTTAAGTAGTATCATACCTGATATGCGTGTTTTGACATCCCTGAATTTGACAGAATTCATGGACTTTTTGTTGGCCATTTCTAGCTCTGGACAACCTCAGAGGGACTTATACATGGAGGAACTTCCATATACGTCTTGACCCTGTAAATTACAGTCTGGAGAGACACAGTACACCGGGGTGTGAGGCTTGAACCACTTGGCTCTCTTGGGGCCCTCTGTGTGGTTTACGAGTCTCCAGTAGCTGCCATAAGAACTGACCACAAACTAGGGGCTTAAACAACAGGAATTTCTGCTTTCCCCATCCTGGAGACGAGGAGTCTGAGATCAAGGTGTCTCAGGCCTCCAGAGGCTCTAGGGGAGGATCATTCCTGCCTCTCCCAGCCCCTGGGGGCTCCGGGCATCCCTGGGCTTATGGCCGCATCACTCCAGTCTCTGTCTTTCTTCACGTGGCCTTCTCTGTGTCTGTGTCTCCTCTTCTGTCTCTCAGAAGGATGCCTGTCATTGGGTTTAGGGTCATCCTAATGCAGGATTATCTCTTCTCAAGAGCCTTCCCTTAATTACATTTACAAAGACCCTATTTGCATGTAGGGTTCCATTCCCAGGTACTGGGAGTCAGGACATGGGCATATATTTTGAGGGCCACTGCCCAATGTGTGATAATTGTGTCTGCTTCCTGCTAGAGGCTCTAGTGGGGGATCCTTCCTGCCTCTCCCAGCTCCTGGGGGCTCCAGGCATCCCTAGGCTTGTGGCCACACCACTGCAGTCTCCACCTCCATTTTCACATGGCCTTCTCTATGTTTGTGTCTCCTCCTCTGTCTCTTATGAGGACACCTGTCACTGGATTTAGGGCCCACCCTTCTCCAGGATGATGTCATCTCAAGAACCTTAATTTAGTTACATCTGCAAAGACCCTATTTCCAAATAAAGTGATATTCACAGGCACTGGGGGATAGGATGTGCACATATCTTTTTGAGGGACATTGTTTACCCTATAACAGTAGTCAAGCTTCTGTCCTTTACATTATTTGCGGACAGCAACGGATACCTTCAGGTCTCCGAGGAGCCTATCCAGCCAGGTTGCACGGTGTGGACTCATCTGTGCCACGGCTCTTCATAAGATTGGACGAGTCCTGTTTTAATGCCACAGCCATTTAGAAAAGAGCTGGGTCTCTTGCTGGGACTGCAGGGAATCACAGACGACCCATATCTAGAATCTGCTGGGAATGGCGTAGTGACCATCATAGGTACCTTCCAAGGGGGAAGAACAAGTTTCCCAATCAAAGGAATTGGGGAAAAGCTCACAAACTCCCAAGCTAGGTCTTAAAGTCTAGTTAAAGCTTCCTGATATGGAGATAAACTGAAAGAGACTCAAGAAAACACTGACTTTATTTTATTTTTTTTTTAAATTAACACATGAAAATGGTATTATTTAGCATGTACAACATGAAGTTTTGAAATATGTACCCATTGTGGAATGGGTCCATTGAGTTCATTAACATATGCCTTACCTCACATAATTACCATTTATTTGTGGTGAGAACACTTAAGATCTAAGAAAAAAATTGTTTTTAAGAGTTGGGGTCTTGATGTGTTGCCCAGGCTGGTCTCGAGCTCCTGAGCTCAAGTGATCCGCCCACCTTGGCCTCACAAAGTGCTAGGATTACAGGCAAGAGCCACTGCACCCAGCAAGATCTACTCTTCCAGAGATTCTTGAGAATACATCATTAGTTATAGTCACCGAGCTGTGCAAGCCACTGACTGAACTTGTTCCTCCTGTCTCTCTCACTTTGTCTCTTTTGACCAATGACTTCCCATCTCAGCCCCTTCCCAGCCCCTGGTATCCACCATTCTACTCTCTGCTTCTATGAGTTCAACTTTTTTAGATTTCCCATGTAAGTGAGGTCAGACTGTATTTGTCTATCTGTGCCTGGCTTATTTCTCTCTCTCTCTCTCTCTTTTTTTTTTTTTTTTTTGAGACACAGCAAGGCGGAGGTTGCAGTGAGCCAAGATGGCGCCATGCCCTCCAGCCTGGATGATGGAGTGAAACTCTGTCCATTGCCCCGCCCCCCCAAAAAGAACATAGAGTATAGTAAATAGATAAACCAGGGACATAGTCATTTATTATCATTACCAAGTATTAGGTGCCGTAGGTAACGTATGTGTTAGACTGTTACACGCCTGGCAGCGTAACAGGAGGGATGCATTGTCCTGTGGTTACAATGGCCATGGCGTCACTAGGGGATAGGAGTTTTTAAGATCATTATAATCTTACAGGAGCAACACTGTATATGTCATCCATTGTTGACTGAAGCATCATTTTGAGGCTCATGACTGTAGATACACACCCACACACACACTTTTTTTATTTTTATTTTTTCAAGACAGGATCTTGCTCTGTCATCCAGGCTGGAGTGCAGTGGTGCGATCACAGCTCACTGCAGCCTTGACCTCCTGGCGTCAAGTGATCCTCCCACCTCCGCCTCCCGAGTAGCTGGGACTCAGTGCATGCACCACCAAGGCTGGCTAATTTTTTATGTTTTTTTGTAGAGACCAGGTCTTACTTTGTTGCCCAGGTTAGTCTCAAACTCCTGGGTTCAAGCAGTCCTCCTGCCTCGGCCTCCCAAAGTGCTGGAATATAAACGTGAGCCACTGCTCCCACCCCCCTCACACACACTTTATATAACACACACACACTAGTTTGGATACTAATGTGAATCTCGGTATATACATATACTTTGTACTCTACATATAAAGTGTGTAAAGTACATATGTATATGTGTATATATATATATAATACATGTGTATATATTAACGTGTATGTATATAAGTATGTGTATATTTAATGTGTATATATTAACGTGTATGTATATAAGTATGTGTATATATAAATATATGTGTGTATATATTAACGTGTATATGTGTATAAGTATGTATATATTAACGTGTGTATGTCTATAAGTATGTGTATATATTAATGTGTGTATGTGTATAAGTATGTATATATCAATCTATGTGTGTATATATGTATGTGTGTGTGTATATATTACTATGTATGCATGTGAGTATATACAGACACACACATCCTTTAGTATCCAAATTAGAATTTTATCTGATGGATAAAATTTATTTTATTCTCTTATTCACAGCACTCTTATTTATTCTTATTCACAACATTGCTGAAGGGAAAACTCAACAGCTATTGTTTGTTGCCTGACTTAGCTATAGATCAAAAATACCTGTTTTGCAATAAGAAAAGAAAAAGTTGTCAAAACAACTGGATGGGAAAACAATAGAAAAAATTCACATTACTGTTTCCTTTTGAAGATATGGTTGTGGACGTATTCCTCTTTAAGGATAAGAAATTTGAAACTACAGTAATGCTAACTGATAGACGCGTTAAATTCAGATGTACTGGCTTCTGTTTCATGGAACCTACGTTTATTTCTTCTGCTGTCCCACATTTAATTGATAACGACATCACTACAAGTATAAGAAAAGGAAGCAGAGTGAGGTTTACGGATGAGCACTTGGGAGGGATTTCAGAGGTCGTGATGGCCACAGTGTGAGCCAGCGATGCCTGGTGCTACCCTTGAGCATGAAGCAGGCCGACTTGAACGCACCTTGTTAATTGCCAGGCCGTGCAATGTCGTTCCTAAGGTCTCTTAAACTGGACATCCTTGGTTTGAGTTCCCAGTCTTGTTATTTACTTGCTGGGTCCTACGGAGCAAATTAACATCATTCCTTGAACCCTAGTTTCTATGTCTGTAAAATACTGAGTAAGTTTGCCAAGATGAAAACAGGAGACAAACTGAGAAACTACTGGCTGTCCAATTTTATGTCGAGAGATGGAATCGTATTTACCTTTTTCGTCTTTGGTCCGGAATGCAAATGCATTGCACAGGAGCAGAATGACTGGATTTGTTTCTGCGGCAAAAAAGGGCAAACAAAACACTAACAGCTTTGCTTGCAGGTTTTCCTGGCAGCTCACCCTCCAGGCACAGTTCTCCAAAATGCAGCAAACTTGGTCTGTTTGTTTCAATACTAAAATAATGTAGAGATTCTTTGGGGTATTTTTCTTTCCTGCCCTGTCAAAATTCTGTACACTGACGACATGTGTTGTTTCTTTTGAAGAACGGGGCGAATGATGTGAAGCATCATCGGTGGTTCCGCTCCGTGGACTGGGAAGCTGTTCCGCAGAGAAAACTGAAGGTACAACACATATCAGTGGGTGACTCAGTATGCCCGAGCTCTTCCATTAGCAGGGACTGCCTCTGAATCCTGGGACTTCTTTATTGATGGCTGACATGTGATTAATTTATATAATACAACTATTTGTCTAAAACTGTTCATAAGCCAAGTTCCCCACTCTTTGAGTGTCTTAGTGCTAACCATCTACCTAGCTCCCACAAAGGCAGGAGCCACCACACCCAGTCATATACCACATGTTCTTTGTCCATTCATCCCTGGATGGACACTTATCCCAGATTTTGAAGCAGATTTTAGGAGACCTGGCCTGATTCCTGACTAGCTCTGTGACTGCTAAACCCTACTCCCTCCTCTTTAGTGGAAAGCGGTCAACAGGATTACAGAGATAAGCAAGCGTCTAGCACCATGGTCATCGTTCAGTGATGGTGGTGTATTACATGGAGAATATTCTTTGGAACGTTTCTGGCCAAACTGCCTATTTTTAAACATCTGGCTTTTTGGCTGGGTGCTGTGGCTCACGCCTATAATTCCAGTACTTTGAGAGGCCAACTCAGGCAGATCACTGGAACCCACGAGTTTGAGACTAGCCTGGGCAATATGGTGAAATCCCGCCTCTACAGAAAATACCAAAATTAGCCAGGCGTGGTGGCATATGCTTGTGGTACCAGCTACTTGGGAGGCTGAGGCACAAGAATTGCTTGATACCAGGAGGCGGAGGTTGCAGTGAGCCAAGATTATGCCACTGCACTCCAGCCTGGGCGACAGAGCCAGACCCTGTCTCAAAAAAAAAAAAAAAAAAAAAAAAATCTGGCATTTTTTTCAATGTATAATACTTGTCCATTTTATAAATGAGGAGACTGTGCTCAGAGAAGTTAAGCAATGTGTGGAAGGTTACACAGCTGCTAAGCAGTGTAACTATCACAGGTACATATTTATGGGGGTACATGTTATATTTTGACACACGCATAGAATGTGTAATGATCAACTGAGGGTAACCAGGGTATCCATCAGCTCAAACATTTATCATTTTTATGGGTTGGGAATATTGCAAATCTAGCTATTCTGAAATATACAATATATTGTTAACTCTGCCCACCCAACTATGCTGTCAAACACTGGAACTTATTCCTTTTATCTAACATTATGTTTATGCAATATTTCTTCATCTCCCCTTCATCCCCTAGCTATACACACTTCCCACCCTCTGGTAACTATCATTCTACTCTCAACCTTCATGACATCCATTTTTTTAGCTCCCACATATGAGTGGGAACACGCTGTGTTTCTCATTCTGCGTCTGGCTTAGTTTATTATTTATTATTTATTTTTTGAGACAGCGTCTTGCTCTGTTGCCCAGGCTGGAGTGCAGTGGCACGATCTTGCTCACTGCAGCCTCCACCTCCTGGCTTCAAGCAGTTCTCATGCCTCAGCCCCCTGAGTAGCTGGGATTACAGACGCCCAGCTAATTTTTGTATTTTTACTAGAGACGGGGTTTCACCATGTTGGCCAGGCTGGTCTCAATCTCCTAACCTCAAGTGATCCACCAGCCTCAGTCTCCCAAAGAAGTGCTGGGATTACAGGCATGAGCCGCTGCACCCGGCCTGGCTTAGTTTACTTAACATGATGGTCTCCCATTCCATTCGTGGTGCTATAAATGACAGGATTTCATTCCATTTTATGGCCGGATAGTTTTTCATTGTGTGTATGGACCACACTTTCTTTATCCTTTCATCCATTGGTGGACACTTAGGTTGATTCCATATCTTGGCTTTTGTGAACACTCTGAACTGCATATGTTACTGATGGGAGTGGTCAATGGTAGTGTTTTCACCTTTGCACTTCAGAGTTAAAAGAATGGAGAATGCTTAGAAATGCTTATTCCTAGTCCTCAGCTCAGACCAGAGTTTCTGGGGCTGGAGCCTGGGATGATACGCTTCTTTTTTTTTTTTTTTTTTTTTTTTTTGAGATGGAGTCTCACTTTGTCGCTCAGGCTCGGGGTGTAGTGCAGTGGAGTGATCTCAACTCACTGCAACCTCCACCTCTTGGATTCAAGTGATTCTTCTGCCTCAGCCTCCCAAGTAGCTGGGATTACAGGTGTGCGCCACCACATCCAGCTAATTTTTTTGTGTGTTTTTAGAAGAGATGGGGTTTCACTATGTTGGCCAGGCTGGTTTCGAACTCATGACCTCAAATGATCCACTCTCCTCGGCCTCCCAAAGTGCTGGGATTACAGGTGTCAGCCACTGGGCCTGGGCTGATGCATCATTTTGTTCAAAGTTTTACCTTTTCAAATACTTTATTGTATTAAATTGCATTAAAAAAACAATTTGAATACGTTTTATCTATCCACATTGGTCAAAAACCAAGTCAATATTAAAACAGATATATTGCCAAGTCTCCCTCTTACCCCCTCCAAGCCACCTGTAGGTAATCACCTTTTATTGTTTTTCTGTGTATCCTTCTAGAGTTTCTTTGTGCTAATAAAAACCCACATGGATACATGCATTCTTATTTTTGCCACTCATTTATACAAATCTAGAGTAGCGTAGTATGTACATTATTATAGTCTTGCTTTTTGCACTTGACTATATAATCTGGAGACCTGTCTACATACCTGGCTAGCTTCCTCATTTTTTTTTTTTTTTTTTTTTTTTTTTTTTTTTTTTTGAGACGAAGTCTTGCTCCGTTGCCCAGGCTGGAGTTCAGTGGTGCGATCTCGGCTCACTGCAACCTCCGCCTCCCAGGTTCAAGCGATTCTCCTGCCTCAGCCTCCCAAGTAGCTGGGATTACAGGCACCCACCACTATGCCCGGCTAATTTTTGTCTTTTCGGTAGAGACAGGGTTTCTCCATGGGCCAGGCTGTTCTCGAACTCCTGACCTCAGATGATCCTCCCACCTTGGCCTCCCAAAGTGCTGGGATTACAGGCATGAGCCACTGCGCCTAGCCAGCTTCCTCATTTTAAAAAATACTGCATTGTATTCCATCACATGACTGTACCATAGCTTACTTAATACTATATATATATATTTTGAGACAGGATCTCACTCAGTCATTCAGGCTGGAATGCAGTGGTGCAATCATGGCTCACTTGGAGTATCGACCTCCTGGGCTCAAGCAGTTCTCCCACCTCAGCCTACTGAGTAGCTGAGACTGCAGGCACACAGCACCACACCCGGCTAGTTGTATTTTTTGTAGAGACAGGGGACTCCCTGTGTTCCCCAGGCTGGTCTCAAACTTCTGAGGCTCAAGCAACCCTCCCGCCTCACCTTCTTAAAGTGTTGGGATTACAGGTGTGAGTCCCCACACGCAGCCTCATTCACAATATTTTAATTCAAAGATTGCCGCTTTCATAAATGAAGGGAAGACAGCTTTAGTGTTTTGCAAATCATTTTCATTTTTAGGTACAGTGACAGAAATAAAGCGGTGTGTGCAGCATCCAAGTGTCCCGTCCCTTTCTAACCATGCCTTTGTGCTTCGGCCATGTCTCACAGCCTCCCATCGTGCCCAAGATAGCTGGTGACGGCGACACTTCCAACTTCGAAACTTACCCTGAGAATGACTGGGACACAGCCGCGCCCGTGCCGCAGAAGGATTTAGAAATCTTCAAGAATTTCTGAGGACAGGAGCTCACATCTGGAAGGTATATCTTTATATTTAGTAATTCCCAAAAAATGAGACTGACTCGACCCCACATCCAGGTGAGGCTGCGTTTACTGAGTGGGGCTTAACCTCATGCACACAGAGGTCAGCAGTGAAGCAGAGCAAAGGGGATTGATTGCAAGGGTCAGCGAAATAAACACAGCCATGCCTGTGACTCCAGGTCAGCATGTGACCGTCAGAGGCATCAGCATGACAGTCCAGAATCCATGTTCTGCATCAGAACCTGCATGTCTAAATAAGACCGCTAGGTGGTTTGTGTGTGCCTGAATATTTGAGAAGCCCAGCTCCTCTGGTCCCTGTTCCAGAAACCCTGAGTGACAGGCGAGCTTCCTTAGAATAATTAACAAGTATTTTCAAAAGTCTCTTTAGGTCTCCTTTGGTTAAAAAATAAGAAGAAGAAATATGCCCTCATAGGAAATTTGCTAAGCTTAATTGAAGATGACTGGAAAAGGATTTTGAGTCTATTACTTCTTTGAGCCTTTGAAGGTCTATTATTAGTTTTTAAATAATAATAATATTTTTTAGAATCCCTCATGAAATTTGCTAAGCTTTAATTTAAGATGACTGAAAAAGGGTTTTGACTGTGTTATTTCCTTGAGCCTTTGAAAATCTATTATTAGTTTTTAAGTATGGATTAAAAAGAGCTTTCAGTTACTCCTCAATTCTAAATTGCTCGGTTATATGGCTTCAATTAGATCTTTCTTCCTGTAACACACGAGCAAGAAACATACCAGTGAAGCAAAATATTGTCAGTGATGTGTCTATTCATTGACATAGCTTGTTTTTCCCATTTTGATTTCCATTCCCGTAATTTTCCTGTAGTCTTCCCAGTTATGTGAAGTGGAAAGCCAATTGGCTAACCAACACCATTCGAAACAGACACCAAATGTCACAATTGCTGACTGGGGAGAGGAACCAACCTGCTGAAAGACGTGGTGAATGAGAGCCCTCCATCCTGGGCAGGTGTTTACATGGATGTACCAAGAGGAAAGCTGGATACAAATTGAAATAATAGACAACAAAATGATAGAGGAATAGGTGGCTATGACCTCGAGAAGATAACCTGTCTCCATGGCATGGCTTCACCTCTCAGTGTGTGATGAACGCTTTCACAGTGGTGACTGGTTTGTATTAACATGAGAGCGTGTAACTTTACCAACTTCATAAACGCTCATGAAATCCAGTTGCGGGTTTTAAAAATCATAAGATGTTCCTGAATGTGTTTACTTCTTTTTGTTTCTCTGCTCTACTCTGGGGCTTACATTTTAGCTGACTCGCCCATAACATCTTACAAATTGTGTCTCTCCAGGAAATCTTTAAAATGATGTAAAGACTTGGTTTGCTTTAGTATGAAGGACCCCTAGTTGATAAGCCACAAAAATAGAACCTTTCTCTAATAGAGACCCCTCAATTGTAAAATTTACTTAAAGAACAAAAAAGCTTCCATTTGATGGATTTTTGTCATATAATCAGTGAACAATTTCATTACATCCTGTCCCCAGCTGCCCCTACTTTCCCTGAAAAAGATTCCACACGTAGGAATAACCTTTCTCCATCTGGTATGCATTGTTGAGAAAGTATGTGTAAGTAAGTATTATTTTTGCTAAGTGGAATCATTTTTAATATAGTTTGGCTAGTGGTTGGGGCTCTGTTTAATGAATTTTTTTTTCTTTTTGAGACAGAGTCTCGCTCGGTTGCCCAGGCTGGATTGCAGTGGTGCGATCTCAGCTCACTGCAACCTCCGCCTCCTGGGTTCAAGTGATTCTCCTGCCTCAGCCTCCCGAGTAGCTGGGATTACAGGTGCCTGCCACCACACCAGGCTAATTGTTTTGTATTTTTAGTAGAGATGGGTTTTGCCATGTTGGCCAGGCTGGTCTTGAACTCCTGAACTCAGGCAATCTGCCCACCTCGGCCTCCCAAAGTGCTGGGATTACAGGCATGAGCCACTGTGCCTGGCCCAGATGCAATATTTTAATCCGTCTTAGTAATTTTATCAAGTAATTTGCACACCAAACACATCCCTGGCATTTTCAGCAACGAGCGATTAGTTGCAGGAATTTTATGCAGGAAGATATTTCTTCATGAAGCCAAATCTTCTCCTGTAAATAAGACACCAGTTCAGATGAATCACTGCACTTGAGGGCAGCTTAGAAACTATGCTGTAGCCGTTCATCTTTGTTTGAATCACCCTGTATGCCTTTCTGAATGTGGAGGAGGAATTTAAGAGAACTGACTCACTATGTCTTTTATTTTACTTTGTAATAAAATATTTTCTGTCTTGCTGTAAGGTTCTCTGAGGAAGCATGTTGAATTGGGGATCCCATTTTTCTTGTGCAGTTCATCATCTATTGGTGGATACATTTATCTATTTATGGATAAGCGTATGATAGAACATTCTTCAGGCTGGATGTGGTGGCTCCTACCTGTAATCCCGGCACTTTGGGAGGCCGAGTTGGGAGGCTCACTTGAGGTCAGGAGTTTGAGATCAAGCCTGGGCAACATAGTGAGACCCCATCTCTACAAAAAATAAAAAAGTTAGCCAGGCGTAGTGATACATACCTATTGTCACAGCTATTCTAGAGGCTGAGGTGAGAGGCTCGCTTGGGCCTGGAAAGTTGAGGCTGCAGTGAGCCGTGATTGTGCCTGTACTCCGGCCTGGATGGCAGAGTTAGACCTCATCTCAAAAATGAAAACAGGGCTGGGCGAGGTGGCTCATGCCTGTAATCCCAGCACCTTGGGAGGCCGAGGCGCATGGATCATCTGAGGTCAGGAGTTCGAGACCAGCCTGGCAAACATGGTGAAATCCCATCTCTACCAAAAATACAAAAATTACCCAGGCGTGGTGGCGGGCACCTGTAACCCCAGCTACTCAGGAGGCTGAGGTAGGAGAATCACTTGAACATGGAGGCGGAGGTTGCAGTGAGCTGAGATCACACCACTGTACTCCAGCCTGGGCAACAAGAGCAAGACTCCGTCTCAAACAAACAAACCAAAAAAACCCCTTACCTTTAAAACATTCTTCATTTCCTTTTTATTGGCCTCTCCTTTTAGAATTCAGGCTTATGGATCCTTGCAAAAAGAATTACAAAGAGAGGTTTTCTTTGTTATCACTTAGGGAAAGGAAACCTTTGTATTATCATTGAGATGATGATTACAAAATTCATCCAGTTACTGAGCAACTCACAGAATCTTTTGTCCTATTTCATGCTAGAAACAGGAAGATTGGAATCTGCCTGGAACAAAGAACTGCACCTAAGCAGACCAGAAGCAAAATGTCTTCTTCACGGCATAAGGACATCTCCACTTTTCTCTGTACCTGTGTGTATAGAAATAGATTAGAGCACAGTTGAAATTCATGGAACTGGCATTATTTAAGCAACTGGAATTCCACACTGTAGGAAGGTTTTGAAAATTGTTTGGTTGTAGATTTTATCTTATCCTTTAGTGTTGTGTTCCTACTGTGATGTCTTGGTTTTTGTCATAGACTTAAGTTTATAAGTTTGAACTGGACTTGTTCGATTATAACCACAAATTGTGTGTGTGTGTGTGTGTGTGTGTGTGTGTGTGTGTGTGTGTGTATGCCTGTGTGTATATATAGAAGTCATTATGGCAGATGCACAGAAATTGTGCAGTGATGTAAATGTTCATACTTTACAGAGCCTATAATTTTTATTTTTCAATTTGTTTTTTCAAAAATCTCTTCTCGGGGACAACATCTGAAGGGTATGTTGCATGCATTAAAAAAAATCATCTCACATGCATTTTATAGTTTTGGGGAAGAAAATATCATGGGGAGGTCTACCTTCAGTATCTTTAGTGCTTCTTACCTGGTAACTTGAGACTTTAAAAGAAGAAACAAAGAGGGGAAGATATGGGAGCGAATTTATTCCAAGAATCTACAATGACATTGAAGTTGTTGGAGGAATGTACTGTATTTAAAAAAACCTTCTGTGACACATTCAAAAATTTCATCTGAGCTGGATGCAGTGGCTTGTTCCTATAGTCCCAGCACTTTGGGAGGCTGAGGTGGGTGGATTGCTTGAGCCCAGGAGTTGGAGACCAGTCTGGGAAACGTGGTGAGACCTCATCTCTACAAAATACAAAAAAATTAGCCGGGCATGGTGGCACGTGAGTGTAGTCTCAGCTACTCAGGAGGCTGAGATGAGAGGATCACTTGAGCCTGGGGAGGTCCAGGCCGCAGTGATCCGAGATCACACCACTGCATTCCAGCCTGGGTGACAGAGTGAGACCCTGTCCAAAAAAAAAAAAAAAAAAAAAGAAGGCAATGGCTTTGTGCTTTTGAAGATGGATTGAAGAGAACGTCCACCTTAAGGCTTTAAAAGACAGTGAAGCTGGGTGCGGTGGTGCACTCCTGTAACCCTGGGACTTTGGGAAGCTGAGGCAGGAAGATTGAGCCTAGGAGTTCGAGACCGACCTGGGCAGCATAGCGAGACCCCATCTCTATATAAAAAAAAAGATGTTAAAACAGTGAAATTACAGAAACAGAACATAGCCACCCTTTTTCATCAGTGACCTTTTCTTCACGTGGAGGTCAACTCAGTAGGTGAGAATAATTAGTAGGTTCAGCAGAATAAACTCTTTACAATTAATAACTCAGTGGAAAATGATGTTCAGATGGTGAAATGTGGAAATGTTTTAGACAACTCTATTTTCAGCCTGTGCTTCTCACTCACCATCCTGTTGGGATTAACAGTTGAGGGCCATCGCTGCCTAAACATTTAGCGTGCGGTTTCCCATCAGTTTTACCGTGAATGTGAAAAGGTGAAACTGGTGCTGACTTCGGCAGCAGGTATACTAAAATTGGAATGACACAGAGGAGATTAGCATGGCCCCCTGCGCGAGGAAGATCTGCAGATTCATGCAGCATTCCATATTTTTTTAAGAAAAGGTTACACTGTGCACCGACATGTGGAGCTAGAAGGAAAAGCTTTTAAGTCTCATGTTTGCTGACTATAAAAATAAATCATAGTAATAATATTGAACATTCTACTTTAAAAATTATTAATAAAACCATAAATGAAACACTTGAGCACACTTTAAAAAGTACATAAATCCATGAGTCCATATGCCTATTTTTAGGTTGTCTGTTTTATTATCCAGGATTTCATACTCAGATGAGAATTAGCATCAGGAAAGCCTGAAATGCCTTAATTGTGAACTGATATGCAGGAAAATGAAATATGCAAGCACATTGGTGACCTTGTTCTTTACAGACGTCGTGATCAGCCTCCAGCCATACAGAACAAATGAGAAATTAGAAGCGATTCCAAGAACGTGTGATGGTGTGAAACCCACTTTGGACCATCACACACATTTCAGCATTTGAAGTGACACAAGCTACCTGGTAACTGCCCATGGCGGGGTCATAGTTTAAATGGCCCAATGTCATGTAGAGGTTAATTTAATCAAAATGAGCTATAAACATGGAGCAATCACTGTATAATTTTAAAATAGTTTACCTGGCCAGGCATGGTGGCTCACGCCTGTAATCCCAGCACTTTGGGAGGCCGAGGCAGGTGGATCACCTGAGGTCAGGAGTTCGAGACCAGCCTGGCCAACATGGCAAAACCCCCATCTCTACTAAAATACAAAAATTAGGTGTGGTGGCGGGCACCTGTAATCCTGGCTACTCGGGAGGCTGAGGCAGGAGAATCGCTTGAACCCGGGAGGCAGAGGCTGCAGTAAGCCGAGATCGTGCCACTGCACTCCAGCCTGGGCCACAGAGCAAGACTCCGTCTCAAAACATAAAAATAAAAAAAATACAAATAGCTGACCCGGGTGGGCATTCCAAAATGTCCGCATGGACGATCACGAAACAATCACGGTGCGAAATGTCCGCATGGATGATCACGAAACAATCACGGTGCAGAATGTCCGTATGGATGATCATGACAAACAATCACTGCGCAAAATGTGGAGGAAAATTCATTACCATAATCACAACATTTGTATCAGAAAAACATTACAAATTTACTTTGCTTCATGTAATTTTACGAGTTGGCAATATTTTCTTAAATTGGAATACTCTAAGAGAATAGGACATGGATATGTTACAAGAAGAAGTGTATTGGGGCAAGTCTTGTTTTTCTGAAGGGAAATGCCACCGGCCTGCTTTCATAGGCATTGATAAAGCCAGGAAGGAAATAAAGTCACAACCAAATAGTATACACTGTCTCTACTGAATTCTTCTAATTCCTTCGCAACAGAAGTCTAAATCCTGCTTAGCCTAAACATATCTATAGCCAGCGATGGGCAAATTATATTTGCTGTCAGCATGATAGAATAAGAAGCAGAAACCCCCCAGCAGTGGGGTAAGATTGCGCGCTTCATCCCCTCAAAATGCAGTTCAGCCCCACTCCCTCTCCATGCCCATCAAACAACTGCACAATCACTTGTTACTGAATTTCCCATTCAGCGTTTTGTTTCTTTCTGTCCATACTTAAAGACCAAATCATTTGTTTGCTTTGAAGAAAAAGCAAAAACAAGAACAAAAACACCAAATCATTTGAAATCACTGTCCATTAAAAAAAATCACCAGTGGAACTAAACAGTTGAGTGGTTTGGGATGTGTTCGCCATTTCTGTGTTTGACCTACATGGCCTCTAATTCTTTGGACCATTGTAACTGTGAAACTATGGCTTAATACTGTTAAAGACCCCAAGGCTCCACTCTGTAGCCAGGTGCACCTCAGGCTGCACAAATACCCCACCAGAATGTCACAATCATTCATTGCTCCAGCTACTGAGTGAACAGGGTGCAAGACAGCACTGGCTTGGGTTGTATTTTTGCAGCCAGTTAACTTTGCATCAGGTCTACACAGTCCTTGCAGCCTTTGATTTCTCCAGTTGTAGAGATTTGAAATGGGGTGCCCGGGTTCCTCTCGTTTTTCCTTCAATCTACCTAGCATGCATTTTACACACATTGGAGGAGTCGTATGCACTGTTTTTCTGTTGCTGATGGAGGCAAGCAGGCCTTCTAATTAGTCTAACTTAAACGGATGGGATTCACTTAACAAAAGCAAGAAGAAAAGCACACGAACAGGTGTCTTAATGCATTTGGATAGTTTCTTTGCGGGGTGTGTGTGTGTGTGTGTGTGTGTGTGTGTGTGTGTGTGTGTGTGTGTCTTGGTGAAGGTGAGGGGCTGTATTTTCACCAAGCCTTTTCATAATCAAGTTTGCTTTGCAAACCTTATGGCCTTGCACCCCGCAGAACAGTCCCTTCCTAATAGCAGGGATGCTCTGTCATGGTTTTCTGTAAATTATCGTGTGTTGGGAAGTTCTGTTGAGGCTTAGTTTGATCTTCCATGGTGGACACGTCTGTTCTGTATGTAAAAGGCATTACAATTGTGTTTTAGCAGATGAGACTTGAAGCCTTTCCACAGTCCTTGTGCTCTGAGATGGCTGTTGAGCTCTGCTCAACTGTCGTAGCTGAATTCTTTCTTTGCGCTGAACACTGGGCAGCCTCACCATGTTGCCAACGTGCTTCTGGGGCCCCTGTCACTGCCGCCGGATGCCGCGCACACAGGCAGAGTGCCTTGGCAGGTTTGTGCACCCCTTGGCGAGCCAGAACTGGGAACCCCGCGGGGTGACCCCTTCTCATGGGGGGTCGGGGAGGGGAGTGCCTATTTTTAATCCTGTCTGTTTGTTGCACAATGGAAATCACTGTGATTTGTACATATGCCCTAGGAAAATTTTACTGCTGTCTAATTTATGTAATAATACTGTTGATTCCAGGTTTGTTTAATAAAACTTTGTATCTTTTCAGAAGTCTGAGTTTCATCTGCTTCTGTCTCCAAACAAGCTGTGGCTTTTCTCCTTTGGTCTAATCGAGGGATGGGCAATTATCTGTAGGGGCCACATGGCAGATATTTTCTGCATTGTGGGACACACAGTCTCTGTTGCACAGAGTGCAAAAAAGCTGCTATAATTAGGCACGGAGGTGCACGCTTGTAATTCCAGTGCTTTGGGAGACCAAGGCAGGAGGATCGCTTGAGCCCAGGAGTTTCAGACCAGCCTGCAACGTAGCAAGACCCGATCTCTACAAAAATTAGAAAAATCTGTCAGTAGTGGTAGCACGAGCCTGGGATTGCTCAGGAGGCTGAGGTGGGAGGGTCACTTGAGCCCAGGAGTTTGAGCCTGCTTTGAGCTGTAATTGTGCCAATGCCCTCCAGCCTGGGTGACAGAACAAGAACCTGACTCTTAAAAAAACAAAAATCAAAAAGCCCCATAGACAATACGTAAACAAGTGGGCATGGCTGTGCTCCAGTGAGGTTTTATTGACAAAAATAATCAGAGGGCCGGATTTAGTCCAAGGGCCAGCATTTGCTGATTCCTGTTGTAGTGTGATGTTGACTTTGCAGATTGGCTTCACAGGTTGTTAAAAATGTGCTGCCCTCATCATCATGAATGAATAAAATATTTTATTGCTTACTCTTATTACTCACATATTTGACACCCAGGTTTCTGAGTGACATTCGCAGCTTGCTAAAAACATCCTGACTTCGTACATTGTAAAATCAATTGATTTGTAATTTTTGACACTCACATAGCACTTGCTATTAGCAGAGGCTGAAATATTACACCCAGCTAAGGGTCAAACACAGGCCTGTTTACTTATGACCAAGCTGTCCCTGGTCCCATCTTGGAATTCCCTGGGGAAGGGAGTCTTCCCGTGGGCTGGTATGGCTGTTCAGGGTCTGGTTCAGGGACCACTCGGGAGTTTCTGTAGCGTAGGTTCTTGGTGAGTGACAGTCTGATTTGGGAAAGGATACGGAGTGTGTGTGTGTTGGAAGGCTAGGGGAGGGGTCTTGAACCCCTTCAGCAGAACAAACATGCTTTGTACTTTGGGGTAAGATCGCTAGAGATTGTCCAGGGTTGTGTCAGTTATGTGTCATAGATATGTATTAATATTTAGCCACACCCTGTTGGAGCTCTCTGACTTTCCTAGGAGTCAGGCTCATCTTGTATACTTATTGAAAGGATCAGATAACCTTCTTCCGAGGGTATGAAGGAAAATCATAGTTAGGTGGACCCCCTCATCTTAACAAGAGGCTGTCTCGGGTATCGCTTTGCAGAGATGGACAGGAATTGCTGGAGTTTTTTGTTCTGTTTTGTTTTGCTTTGTTTTGCGGCAGAGTCTCCCTCTGTTGCCCAGGCTGGAGTACCCTGGTGCAATCGCAGCTCACTGCAGCCTCGAAGTCCTTCTCTCAAGCGATCCTCCCACCTCAGCCTCCTGAGTAGCTGGGACTACAGGTGTGCGCCACCACACCCAATTAATTTATTTTTTATTTTTATTTTGTAGAGATGAGGTCTCCGTATGTTGCCCGGGCTGATCTCAAACTCCTGGCCTCAAGCAATCCTCCCACCTTGGCCCTGCAAAGCGCTGGGACTGCAGGTGTGAGGAACTGCAGTATGGGGAGCACCCGTTTTCTGTGGGCAGTGACATGCACACTGTTACATGTGTGTGCAACAAAGTTATCCTTCAATCCTTCAAATACTGCAACGCGTGGGACACCTGCCCACTCTAACCACTGCTAAAAGACAAAGCTGTTGACACGAGAACTCAGCAGAAAACAAAATCACAGAGCTAAGGTTTCCATTCCATCTGCTCCTGCTCACACCAAGGCGCTAAACAACACTTCAATAATAAATATGTGTTACATAAGCATAACAGAATAAATATATGACTATAATATGTAAATAGATTAATGTATATTTATTACATATTAATGTAATAAATACATTAATATAATTTATGTTAATATATATTTTTAATGTATTTATGCAATACATGTATATTAAATTTAATATATACAATATATGAATATGTTACATTAACATACAATATATACACAATATATATTAAAGTACTATATATTAAAGTGCTGTATATGAATATATGCATGTACTATATTCATATACAGGACTTTAATATATCTACATATTATACATAATAAGTATACTATAATATATAGTATAGGTGTATAATATATATATAATGTATATATAATATGATTTATATAATATATATTTATATGTTTAGTATAATGTATAGAATTTTTATATATTTATTTTATATAAATACTTAGACATTTATTAAAGAACAGCATTCTGTATTTTCTGACAAAAATATTGGATGCCAGTTAAAACCATCAAATGCTGAAGACCTCCCATGAGTATATTGATGAGGGAACTGGAAATTCGATGTTTTGTTATAAGGCAGAAAACCATGATGTACTAAAACTAGTCCATCAACCCTTCTGTGGATCAAATTTTTTTAAAAAAAATTTTAATTTACATTTTTATTGACAAATAATACTTGTACATATTTTTGGGGTACATACCAATGTTTGAGTAAATGTAATGTACAGTGATCAGATCATGGTAATTAGCAAATCCGTCAGGCATCTCAATCAGGCATCATTTCTTTGTGTTGGGAACATTCAATATCCTAGATTTGGAACTGTATATTATTGTTAACTACAGTCGTCCTACAGGGCTATAGAACACCAGAAGGTATTCCTCCTGTCTAGCTGTAATTTTGTATCCTTTAAGAAAACTCGGCCGGACACGGTGGCTCGTGCCTGTAATCCCAGCACTTTGGGAGGCTGAGGTGGATGGATCATAAGATCAAGAGTTTGAGACCAGCTTGACCAACATGGTGAAACCCTGTCTCTACTAAAAATACGAAAATTAGCTGGGAATGGTGGCATGCGCCTGTAATCCCAGCTACTCAGGAGGCTGAGGCAGGAGGATTTCTTGAACCCAGGAGGCGGAGCTTGCAGTGAGCCGAGATCGTGCCATTGCACTCCAACCTGGACGACAGAACGAGACTCCGTCTCAAAAAAAAAAAAAAAAAGCTCTGTCCCCTCCTCCCCCCACCCTTCCCAGCCTCTAGTATCCTCTGTTCTACTTTTTATTTTTGTAAGAGCTACTTTTAGTTCCCATGTGAGAGAACCTGTGACATTTGCCTTTCCAGTTCTGCTTATTTCACGTAACATAATGTCCTCCAGTTTCATCCTTGTTGATGAGAATGACAGGATTTCATCCTTTATTAATGGCTGAATAGTATTCCATGGCATATATATGCTGCCATATTTTCTTTATCCATTCATCTGTTGCAAATTTATTTTATTATATTATTTTTGTTGAGACAGGGTCTCATTCTGTTGTCAAGGCTGGAGTGCAATGGCACGATCACAGCTCACTGCAGCCTCGACCTCCCAGGCTCAAGCCATCCTCCCACCTCAGCCTCCAAAGTAGCTGGGACTACAGATGCACCCCCGCCATGCCCAACTAATGTTTACATTTTTTTGTAGAGGCAGGATCTTGCTATGTTGCCCAGGTTGGTCTCAAACTCCTGGGCTTGAGTAATCCTTCTGCCTCAGCCTCCCAAAGTGTTGGGATTACAGGCTCTCACGAGCCACCATGTCTGGACTTGCAAATTTATTTTACTAGGCAAGCTACCTTTGAGAAGTCCATGAAAGAGACCATTTTCTACACATGTAAAGCTACAATTCAATTGTTAAAATTCTGATAAAAACCAAAACATGACATCTACCCTGTTAAATTTTTACGTGTTTAATCCACATTGTTCCCCATGAGCTCTGTCTTTTATTTTACACCCATCAAACAGCAAGTCCCTATTGTCCCCCCTTCTTCTCAGTCCCTGGGAACCACCGTCAACCACCCCCTACTCCACAAATCAGAGAAGACACAGGTCTGCACACCTGGGTCTTAACTTTCATCTGAAACATTTTTAGTTCTCAAGGACATCACGGAGAATAGATTCATGCTTTCATGTCTAGTTATAAATGTCTGGCTTTGAGCCGGCTGCATACTCAGCTTTTAAAATCCCCTTGGGGGCAATGTCTCGGAAACCCACTGGCTGAAAAACAATTCATAATGAATCAGGAATTGTGCGGAGGCCGTTTTAAAATGAGTGCCTTGAAAAAAGGAAAAAAAAAAATCTACAAAAGGCAAAGTTTAAAAAATGATGTCATTCCAGTAAGTGAGGAATGAAGAAAGGTAATTTGGTCTACAGAGTTCAGAGTTCTTGTTATTTTACACTGGGCTTGTTTTTAATTGAACTGATGAATAATGACCAGAATGCCTGAACATCTAGAGCTGGAAAAAGCTGGCCCTGGAGAAGGTACATCATTCGTTATTTGTGAAAGTCAGCTGCGGTAGTCAGTACAGGATACAGTAGAAGTATCCATTTCACTGTGGACAGATGTTTAGATGCCTTTTCTTTTTTCTTGGGATTTTTCTTTTTCCCACCCAACCCCACTCTACCTTTTTTCTAAGAAAAGTATCTGGTAACAATCCAACATGGGAAACTTCTGCTTCTTTCAAGAATATAACCTTTAAAATAATGGGTGCTTAACAAGACATTCTCCAAGCTCCTATTTTTCATAACTTTACTGTGGCCACAATGAGAAATATATTGTGCATATTTTACAGAACCATCCGGACTCACATACATGCAAACGCACACACGCCCCTAAAACTACAGCTGAACAAGACAATCCAAACTTAACAATATTAATAGTGTAGAAACAGGGTTATCAGATATGAATTTATTAATCATGGTTACACAGAGCACTGTTTCATTTCAAATTATTTTGAATACGAGTAGAGACCTGCAAAACTGAATCCATGGTCCTTTCTTGGGTCTTGCTTAGTGTTTGAAAAGCACTTTTCTATTAAAAAAAAGTGACAGCTCTGCACTCCGTATCTCTCTGCTTTTCCACATTAAAACGGGACTCAATATTGGTGATTTCACAAGGGAGCAAATGCCAGCTAGTCTTGAGAGGAAACTTGTTGCTTGCTTTCTCATGACATCTGTGAATTAAAAACTCAAAACCATTTCATTTCCATTGTTTAATATGGCACACAGCAGCTTTCTGGCTAAGATATGCATTTTGCAGTACATTTATTAGAATAATAGTATTCTGGCATTATGTGAGTATGATTTTCTTTTCTCCGGCCCCTGTTTCTAGACTTTGTAAATTTGTACATTGACAACTAGTTGGTCCAACTTCTTAGGTCTTTTTTTTTTTTTTTTTTTTAAAAACAACTGCTGGGCCCAAAGTGCCGTTGATATTACAGGTTGCCATTACTTTTTATGAGCTAGTTTGCGATGCCAGTTGGATGGATTCTCTTTTCCTAACGGCAGTGGAATATCTGTGTAAGCTTCTGGCGGCCGATGACTCTGTAGCCAGTCCATTTGAGAGACTTCCAACTCTCATGGAAGATCTGGGTGGACGTTGGAGTTCTGGATAGGTTTGTGTGTTCTCTTTTCCAAGGGGAAAGAAATGTTGGTGGAATTGCATGTGTCTAACTCTTAACTATTTCTTATCAGAGTTTTAGTTTTTGTGGGCTTATGAATTCATCTTGTCTCAGTAACAAAGTGTCAACAAAATGTACTGAAAAGGGTTTTCTTTTAAAAATGGCAAGAGAAACTATTCCAGGGAATAGTTTGCAAACTAGAGAGATACAGTTCTGGAGAGCAAAGAGAGGGTTTTTTCTTTCTTTCTTTCTTTTTTTTTTTTTTTTTAGTAGAGTTCCTGCCCAAGGTTCCCACTGGTCTGCTAGGCAACTGAGGAATGCAAACTTGTTTAGTTCTGATTGGTTGCTGCTTGTTGAGTTCTGACTGGTTGACACTCATTGGATTCTGAGGGGTTGATGCTTGTTGAGTTCAGACTGGTTGACACTTGTTGGGTCCTGATGGGTTTATGCTTGTTGAATTCTGACTGGTTGATGCTTGTTTAGTTCTGACTGGTTGACACTTGTTGAGTTCTGATTAGTTGGTGCTTGTTGAGTTCTGATGGGTTGGTATTCACTGGGTTCTATCTAACTGGTTGATGCTCATTGAGTTCTGACTGTTTGACACTTGTTGGACTCTCATGGGCTGATGCTCATTGAGTTCTGATAGGCGGACACTTGTTGAGTTCTGATGGGTTGACACTTATTGGGTTCTGACTGGTGGGCACTTGTTGAGTTCTGATGAGTTTGGCACTTGGGTTCTGATGAGTCAACACTTGTTGAGTTCTGATGGGTCGACCCCCGATGAGCTCTGACTGTTTGACACTTGTTGGGTTCTAACTGGTTGACACTTACCGAGTTCTGACTAGTTGATGCTTGTTGAATTCTGATGGGTTGACACAGATCACAGTCTATTGATTGATTCAGGCTGCATGGATAGGAATTGACAGTTGTGAAAGTCTCAAAGTTGTAAGAATGTTTGGGTTTTCCAGGAACTTAGAGCACATGTGTGAGCTCTTGTCAGCAAATGGCCGCTTGACCCTGTTTTGAATTTAGTCCCATTGAGTGACTTGGGATCCACCTTGAAGCACTGACTCCTTCAGGGTTCACAGAAAATGTAGGAGAACCTGCCATTTTAACCATTTGCCTGTATCTTGATCCCATATCTTTATTTTCTTACTCTTGACCTGATTTGGCCTAACGTTTTCCATCCTTTTATCTTCACTGAAGTTTAGCTTAGTTTTCTGCTCTTTAAATGTGTTCTTTAAGTGATGACAGATCATCCTCATTCTAGGCTCCAAAGATAGTAATAAGATGTACTCTTTCTAGACAGGCGGAATGAATTTTGATGGCTCAGTGTTTTTTTTGTTTTTTTTTTTTTTTTTTTTTTTTGAGACAGAGTCTCGCTTTGTTGCCCAGGCTGGAGTGCAGTGGCGCGATCTTGGCTCACTGCAAGCTCCGCCTCCCAGGTTCACGCCATTTTCCTGCCTCAGCCTCCCGAGTAGCTGGGACTACAGGCGCCCGCCACCACGCCCGGCTAATTTTTTTGTATTTTTAGGAGAGACGGGGTTTCACCGTGTTAGCCAGGATGGTCTCAATCTCCTAACCTCGTGATCCGCCTGCCTCGGCCTCCCAAAGTGCTGGGATTACAGGCGTGAGCCACCGCACCCGGCCTTTGATGGCTCAGTTTTTAAAAATTTATATCTTTTTGAGGGGTTTGGTTAGCCTTTCAAATTTGAATTAGTCAATATTTTAAATGGTTTATTTAAAAAAAATTTAATATTATAATATGTTAATATTGTCATGTTTCATATTGTAAATGTTACAGCATTTGTGACAATGAAAATAAGTCTTAAACATATCCCAGAAATAAAACCACTTAATCATGTGTAGAGTTCTCTTTATCAGTATCTACTTTGGTCATTGTTATATGGGCTTCACAATTCCATTACAATTTATAAAACTTGAGCTAGGCAACCTAGTAAGACCCTGTCTCTACAGAAAATGAAAAAATTAGCTGGACGTTGTGGTGCATGCCTGTAGTCCTAACTACTCAGGAGGCTGAGGTAGGAAGATTGCTTGAGCCCAGGAGTTATATGTGGATGTGGATTTGGATGTGGATGTGGATGGATGGATGGATGGATAGATAGATAGATACAGATGAATAGACAGATGATAGATAATAGGTTGATAAGGATAGATGATACATTGTTAGATAGAGTTTCTCATGCAAAAGCCCAGGGTTTCTCTAACTGAGCACTACTGACATCTGAGGCTGGATGATTCTCTGTGGTTGGTGCTATTCTATACATTATAGGATGTTGATAGACATCTTTGGCCTCTACTCCCTAGATACCAGTATCCCCCTTGGCCCCCACTCCTGTGGTGACAATTAAAAATGTCTCCAGACATTGCCAAAAGCCCCTGGGAGGTAAAAATCTCCCCTGGTTAAAAGCCACTACTTAGAAAAATAAGATTGGGGACCATTTGGGAGCCATGAACACAGAGCAAAACAGAAAGAACCAAGACTCGAATGGTGATCTTCCTTTAAGCTTTCACAGCAAGATTAATCTTCATGCCAAAGAAGATCCTGGATCAACAGGGTCATCCTCGAATTTTGAAATTTATGACATATCATGCCCACATGCCAAGCCAAGAATGTGAGCTCTTGCAGTGTTTTACTTGGATGGGATTAGAGCCACCGGGTAGAAAAACTGCAGACAAGTTTATCCAACCAGATGGCTGCCAAGATCAACTGGCACTGCAGAGGTGCCACTGCACTGAGAAATAGAAAAGAGGTGTAAAGATCTCTCTGGAATCTTCATTCTTGCAGTGGGCATTTGAAGGATACTTTTTTTGATGGGTCACCTTTCCTTTCTCTGAATTCATCTCAGAATTTCTACTCAATGTCGCCAAGTCAACATTTGGTCTTTTACCAAATGGAAAATATTTCTATGAGCAGTGTAGTGAATTGTAAGTAAGAGTCTGGGGAGCTTGAATGTGTCTCGAGCTATGAGTCAGAGACCTGGGTCAGGTTCTGCTTCTTACTGGGGCCATTGTGGTGGACATGTTTCTTAGCTGTTCTCCGTATTAATGGATCCATTCTTCAAATAGGGGCAGTAATTATTCCTGTGGGCTCCCTTTCTGATCAGAAACCTCCAGTAGCTCTCTGTTGCACTCAGAAGGCAAAATAACATCATAACAACAGTATAGAAAGGTCTACATGATCTGCTGTCAGTAATGTCCCTGAGTCTCTCTCCAGGGCATCAGCTCCCGATGCCTGGACTCTTTGCTGATTTAGAACACATCCCATAAGCTCCTGCCACGGGGCCTTTCCACTGGCCCTTTTCTCTGTTCTAGATACCAGCATAGCTTTCGCCTTCGCCATCTTCAACTCTTTGCTCAAATATCTTCTCAATTCATCCAGCACTTTATTTAAAATTTCAACTTGATTCCAACACTCTCTACCACTATCCCAACTTTCTTTTTTTTCCTCTCTACCACTGAGCACTTTCTACTGGTTTGTACCCTTTTCTTATTTATTTTGTTTATTATTCTTCCCACTAGAATGCAAACTGCAGGCAGGCAAGGAATTTGGTCTTTGGTTGGGTTTATTGTCATAATCATAGTAGTCATAATATCATATTAGTCATAATCATATAATATAACTATATTAGTGATGATTCTCCTTATCATCATGCATAGCTGCTGTATTTTCACTTGCAGTCATGGTGTGATATTCTACTTATGGATAAGGTGCACCGTAATTTGTCCAGTTGCCTGAGGAAGAGAGAATTAAGTGGTTTGCCATTTTTACATTACAAACAATACTACATAAAATAATCGGGGGCCGGGCACCATGGCTCACGCCTGTAATCCCAGCACTTTGGGAGGCCAAGGTGGGCGGATCACCTGAGGTCAGAAGTTTGAGACCAGCTGGCCAACATGGTGAAACCCCATCCCTACTAAAAATACAAAAATTAGCCTGGCATGGTGGCAGGCACCTGTAACTCCAGCTACTCAGGAGGCTGAGGGAGGAGAATCGCTTGAACCTGGGAAGCAGAGGTTGCAGTGAGCCGAGATCATGCAACTGCACTCCAGCCTGGGTAAAAGAGGGAGACTCCACCTCAAAAAATAAATAATAAAATAATCGGTGCACACGTATGTGTATGTTTGCATATTTGTGTCGGTGGGTATGTTTGTAGGAACAGTTTCTACAAAAGGAATTGCTGGATTAAAGGATTTACACAATTCAATTATGATCAGATATTACCAATTTCCATTTTTTTTTCCTTTGAGACAGGGTCTTGCTTTGTCACCCAGGCTGGAGTGCAGTGGTGCAATCACGGCTCCCTGCAGCCTTGGCCTCTCAGGCCCAAGCGATTCTCCTGCCTCAGCCTCCTGAGTAGCTGGGACTACAGGCATATGCCACCACACCTGGCTAATTTTTGTATTTTTTGTAGAGATGGGGTTTCACCATGTTGTCCAGGCTGGTCTCCAACTCCTGGGCTCAAGAGATCTGCTTGCCTTGGCCTCCCAAACTGCTGGGATTACAGGTATGAGCCACCTGACCTAGCCAAATTTGACATTTGTAGATTCCACCTATAAGTGAGATCATGCACTATTTATCTTCCTCTGTCTGGCTTATTTCACTTAGCATAATGCCCTCTAGCTTCCTCCAAGTTGTCAAAATGACAGAAAATTTCCCCTTGTTAAGGCTGAATAGTAGTCTGTCATATATAGATACCATATTTTCTTTACCCAGTCATCCATCGATGGACACTTAGGTGGACTCCATGTCTTGGCTACTGTGAATAGGGCTGCAGTGAACATGGGGCAGGGGGTGCAGATATCTCTAAATACCTAGTCGTGGGATTGCTGGGCCATATGCTAGTTCTGTTTGTAGTTTTTTGAGGAACTTCCACATTGTTTTCCATAATGGCGATACTAAGGTACGTTCCCACCATCTGTGAAGCTATCTCTAAATTGCATGCGTAGCAAATGTGATATTTAACTCCTTTTTGTTTGAAATACTTGCATTCAAGTAGTCAAGTAGTCAACTTCAAAGGAAAAGTTCTAAGTAAATTGTTACAGGCCGGGCGCGGTGGCTCTCACCTGTAATCCTAGCACTTTGGGAGGCCGAGGCAGGCGGATCACCTAAGGTCAGCAGTTCGAGACCAGCCTGGCCAACATGGTGAAACTCCATCTCTACTAAAAATACAAAAATTAGCCAGGTGTGGTGGCGGGTACCTGTAATCCCAGCTACTCGGGAGGCTGAAGCAGGAGAATCACTTGAACCTGGGAGGCGGAGGTTGCAGTGAGCCCAGATCACGCCACTGCACTCCAGCCTGGGTGATAAGAGCGAGACTCCGTCTCAAAAAAAAAAAAAAAATTGTTATAAACCATCTTTCCCCATTCCTCCAACTTCTGAACTTTGCAACTAATCACATAGTAAAGTGTTCCCACGTCATGTTAGGTTATTAATGCCAAATAAAACTTTTATTTGTTATGAGTGCCCATTTTGTGTTTTGTTTTATAGTCTGTAACGTGAATATTCGCTAGTAGATGTGGACCTGCCATATTTCTGTAACATTTGGAAGTAAATTAGTAGATGTTCTGAAGTAGTTTATTGTCTCTTTTGCCAATTATATTGAATAACAGATTACAGTGCATTTTATTTCTTTTTTTTTTTTGAAATGGAGTCTCGCTCTTGTCGCCCAGGCAGGAGTGCAGTGGCGGGATCTTGACTCACTACAACGTCCGCCTCCCGGGTTCAAGCGATTCTCGTTACTCAGCCTCCCAAGTAGCTGGGATTACAGGTGCCCGCGACCGCACCCGGCTGATATTTGTATTTTTAGTAGAGACGGGGTTTCCCCATGTTGGCCAGGCTGGTCTCGAACTCCCTACCTCAGGTGATCCACCCGCCTCGGCCTCCCAAAGTGCTGGGATAACAGGCATGAGCCACCGTGCCTGGCCCAGTGCATTTTATTTCTATGTTGAGAATTATTTTTGTTCCTAAGTTTACCCTTCTGCTTTGTATTAAGTGAAAGTTGCTAGTGAAAGGCATTTTTTCTACTAAAATGTACATTTAGGCTGCTGGAAATCTGCTTTTTTCCAGAACTCTCTAGTACCTCAGAGTTTTCCTACAGGCATCCCGGACTTTTGCCCCACGTTTGCTTTTTGATCTATTTCCACTACCACTGGCATTCTCATTGTGGTAGGAGTTATTAAGAAATTATTTTAGGCAGATAGAGAGGAAAAGGGGTCCTTGGAAAGTTTTCGTTTCTTTTAAAGCAGCTCCAGAAACCTTTCTTGTCTATCAGGAAAGCCCCGGCTCTTAGACTCGGCGGGCAACCTTTGATATGCAAATACAGGCGATTAGAAACTGGGTCCATCCAAACATGGCGATTCCCTCCCTCTTCTTCTTGCCCTTGCCCAATATGTGCCTGGCAGCTCGGCTGCCCACACATATCCCCACGTGTGTAGAACATCATGGCGCCCCACATTTGCATATTAAAAGGCTAGGGTGGGAAGGCCAGTTTTTTTTCGCAGCTACCTAAACGACATGCCTGGTCAAACCAATTCCCTAAGCCCTATGCAAATCAGATCGCCTACTCCAGCCTCCTCATGTAACTGGCCAGTATCCCCTGCAGGAGGGGCCTCCCCTCTCGCCTTTGGAGCCCCCTGCCTCTGTCTCTGTACAGGGGAGCTTCTTTCTTCTCCCTTCTTTCTTGCCTATTAAACTCTCCACTCCTTTAAACCACTCCACATGTGTCCATGTCGTTTTATCAAAACCAGCGCGAGGACCAAGAACCCTGGTGTTCCTCCACTCATTGGAGCCCTATCATCATCACGCCTTAAAAACCAGCCAGTGGCTGGCCAGACGAAAAGAACTCCTTAAATATCAGGCTGCCACTGTCCTCTCGAGACTCTAAGAGATTAAGTCTCCTGTATGGTTAAAACAAAAACAAACAAACAAACAAACAACAAAACATTAAGAGAATGGAAAACTCTGTTGTGGCGGACACAGTGGCTCACGCCTGTAATCCCAGCACTTCAGCAGGCCAAGGCAGGGGGATCACTTCAGCCTAGGAGTTCAAGACCAGCCTGGGCAACATAGCAAGACCCCGTCTCTACAAAAAATAAAATAAAATTAGTTGAGTGTGGTGGTGGTGTGCACCTGTGGCCCCAGCTACTTTGGAGGCTGAGGTAGGAGGACTGCTTGAGCCCAGGAGGTCAAGGCTGCAGTGAGCTATGATTGCACCACTGCACTCTGTCACACGCGTCTGTGTGAAGAGACCACCAAACAGGCTTTGTGTGAGCAATAAAGCTTTTTAATCACCTGGGTGCAGGCGGGCTGAGTCCAAAAAGAGAGTCAGCGAAGGGAGATGGGATGGGGCCGTTTTATAGGATTTGGGTAGGTAGTGGAAAATTACAGTCAAAGGGGGTTGTTCTCTGGCGGGCAGAGGCGGGGGTCACAAGGTGCTCAGTGGGGGAGCTTCTGATCCAGGAGAAGGAATTTCTCAAGGTAATGTCATCAGTTAAGGCAGGAACCAGACATTTTCACTTCTTTTTTCTTTTTTCTTTTTTTTTTTTTTGTCGAGACGGAGTCTCACTCTGTTGCCCAGGCTGGAGTGCAGTGGCACAATCTCGGCTCACTGCAAGCTCGGCCTCCCGGGTTCATGCCATTCTCCTGCCTCAGCCTCCCGAGTAGCTGGGACTACAGGGGCCCGCCACCACGCCCAGCTAATTTTTTTTGTATTTTTAGTAGAGACGGGGTTTCACCGCGTTAGCCAGGATGGTCTTGATCTCCTGACCTCGTGATCCGCCTGCCTCCGCCTCCCAAAGTGCTGGGATTACAGGCGAGAGCCACTGCGCCCGGCCCATTTTCACTTCTTTTGTGATTCTTCAGTTGCTTCAGGCCATCTGGATGTATCTGTGTGGGTGACAGAGCAAGACCCTGCCTCAAAAAAAACAAAAAACAAAAATGGAGACGGAGAAGAGTGGTGTGCTGGTGAGCCACTTCCTCTGGGTAAAGTAAAGCCCCGATTTGTAGCGTTTGCCAGTGCTGTGGTGTAAATGCTAACTCTTCCCATAATTGATTTCAAGCTGCCAGCAGTTTAACAACTAGCTCACAAAATTCTTGATTTTTTTTTTTTTTTTTTTTTTTTTTGCGATGGAGTTTCGCTCTTGTTGCCCAGGCTGGAGTGCAGCAGCACGATCTCGGCCCACTGCAACCTCCGCCTCCCAGGTTCAAGCGAATCTCCTGCCTCAGCCTCCCAAGTAGCTAGGATTACAGACACCTGCCACCATGCCCTGCTAATTTTTTTTTTTTTTTTTTTTTTGTATTTTTAGTAGAGGTAGGGTTTCACCAGTTGGCCAGGCTGGTCTCGAACTCCCAACTTCAGATGATCCACCCGCTTCAGCCTCTCAAAGTGCTTGGATTATAGATGTGAGCCACCGCGCCCGGCCTCTAGTCTTGAATATTTTAATAGTCACCTCAAAAGAGCTGGAACAAGCCAGGAGGCATCATTAATTGACTTAGGGTCCCCAGAGGAACCAAGAACCATTTGCAAGGCCGTTCCTCTTTCTCCCCTTTTTATGGTGGGCTTGGGAGCTAAGGGGCTTTATTTAAGGTCTTCTAGTCTTTTCCTTAGACTGTCCTGCCTGCTAGGAGGGTCAGGAGGAATTAGCCAAGCCAGTAAACACCACCCACCTACATCAGGAATGTGGCAGAAATGTGGCTTCTCCATCATTCTTTCTTGTTCCCCCTCCAGTATTTTAAATGGACACATTGGCACATGAAAAGAAGATAGATGAATACCTCCTGCCACACCTCTCACCCTTAAACTTGTTACTTACAGTCATTTTACATTTTAACATTGGCAAACTGGCCTCCAGAAAATATAATACTCCTCTTGTGTATACTCAATCAATAGTTTAAATAGAAAACAACCAAAAAATACTTGTGAAATCAAGTTTAGCCTAAAGCTGCCTCCTTACATATTTTAAGTTCAGCCCAAAGCTTTCTCGGTACATTGTGAACTCTAACAAGTGGAGATGTAGAAGGACCATAGCCTACTCTTATGCCCATCACTGAGTTTCAGCCAATCAAATGTAGCCAACTGTTCAAATTGCGCCCAAATAGGGCAAACGCTGAGCTGTCACCAAACTAGCTGTTTCTGAACCTCACTTCTACTTGCCGTATGTCACTTCCCTTTTTCTGTCCACAAATCTCCCACCACGTGGCTGCACTGGAATCTCAGAGCCGACTCTGGCTTGGGAGTCAGCCCAATTCGCAAATTGTTCTTTGCTCAATTCAACTCTTTTAAATTTAATGCGGCTTAAGTTGTTGTTCTCTTAACACACTTTTCCTCAGACATTTGCTATCATAAGTGTTATTATACTTTTGAATTTTCTTTGCCAATTGCATAGGTAAAAAGTCTTACATTTTGATTTGCATTTTTAAATAATTGAGGTTAATAATCTAGTATAGATTTTTCTGCAGGTTGCTTTAATTAATTTTAAAATTTCTTCAGTATTTTTTTTTAACACTTCAAGACCATTGAGTATATTTATTTATTTTTGAGATAGGGTTTCTTGCTCTGTGTCCCAGGCTGGAGTGCAGTGGTGCTATCATAGCTCACTGCAGACCCGATCTCCTGGGCTCAAGCAATCCTCCCACTTCAGCCTCCTGAGTAGCTGGGACCACAGGCATGTACCACCACACTCAGTTAATTTTTAAATTTTTTTTGTAGATCTGGGGTCTTGCTCTGTTGCCCAGGCTGGCCTCAAGTAATCCTCCTGCCTCAGCCTCCCAAAGGGCTGGGATTACAGACATGAACCACCATCCGTGGCCGCAAGTTACTTTTTTATGTTTTTTGAGATGCAGTTGGGCCCCAGGCTGGAGTGCAATGGGGCGATCTCGGCTCACTGTAACCTCTGCCTCCCAGGGTCAAGTGATTCTCGTGCCACAGTCTCCCAAGTGGCTGGGATTACAGGTGCGTAACACCATGTCTGGCTAATTTTTGTATTTTTAGTAGAGACGGGATTTTGCCATGTTGGCCAGGCTGGTCTCCAACTCCTGACCTCAGGTGATCCACCCGCCTCGGCCTCCCAAAGTGCTAGGTTTATAGGCGTGAGCCACCACCCCTGACCACAAGTTGCTTTTTAATATATGAGATAACCTTTTATATAATTTATCCATTTCATTGGTTGCTTACTTTTTTTTTTTTTTTTTTTGACGGACTCTTGCTCTGTCGCCCAGGCTGGAGTGCAGTGGTGCAATCTCAGCTCACTACAAGCTCCGCCTCCTGAGTTCATGCCATTCTCCTGCCTCAGCCTCCCGAGTAGCTGGGATTACAGGTGCCCGCCACCACGCCTACCTAATTTTTTGTATTTTTAGTAGAGACGAGTTTTCACTGTGTCAGCCAGGATGGTCTTGATCTCCTGACCTCGTGATCTGCCCGCCTCAGCCTCCCAAAGTGCTGGGATTACAGGCATGAGCCACCGCACCTGGCCTTCATTGGTTACTTCTTTTCTGGGTGATATTGTAAAATATGTATTCATTTGACGATCACTGAAAAGTAATAATTGGCCATCTTAATGATTACTATTTGCAGAACATGATAAGAGATAAGGCCCATATTATTTGAGTTTTCTTACGTTGTACATACATTGCTTATTTAAAAATATATGCTCTTCTGTATTAAAAGTACTAAAGAAGACACTAATAACCAAAACAAGGAAAAATAGTCTGAGAAATAACCATAAAACTTTTAGTGATCTTGGGTTTTGCAGCAGTAATGTGATCCTCAGGAGCAATTTGGGGAGGTTTGGAATCTCGTGGCCTCCAGCTGCATGACTCCTAAACCGTAATTTCTAGTCTTGTGGCTAATTGGTTAGTCCTGCGAGGGCAGTCTAGTCCCCAGTAAAGAAGGGGATTTTGTTTTAGGAAAGGGCTGTTATTGTCTTTGTTTTAAACTATAAACTATAAACTAAGTTCCTCCCAAAGTTAGTTTGGCCTATGCCCAGGAATGAACAAGGACAGCGTAGAGGTTAGAAGCAAGATGGAGTTGGTTAGATCAGATCTCTTACACTGTCTCAGTTATAATTTTTGCAAAGGCGGTTTTAGCATTTCCTGTGGTGGCCTCCCCTTTCCTTGAAACCACATCTAGCCTTACTATTTCATGAATGCATGTCTACTATTCATTTATTTGATGATAGCAGAGTTAGATTGGATACCTACTGTTTCCATCCCTGTTACGGTCCCGTGCACAGATGCAAACCTGTGTCAGGTATTACTATCCTCTATGCTAAAGGAAAGAGTTGAGAAAAGGGTGAATTAGAATTCTTAGAAATAAGAAGAGGACTACTTTTAGAACAGAATAATTGGAAAATTAGTATTCTTCAAAGAATCCAGTCCCAATAGTTATGGATTCCAAGAAAGAGAACAAAATGGGAACTTTCTGCTTTATAACCAGCTAGTTGTGGGTTGGTGGGAGTGATTAGGCTTTAGTTTTGGTTCTCTCAAGGCAGAATAATTATTATTATATGTTTTCATGGGTTTTTTTTTAATAGGACTGATTAAATGTAAGGCCTCTTTATTTATTTTGCAAATGCCTCGGGCTGGATCATTTTAGAATCTACTTCAGGGTTATGAGGTGGTGCCTGGGGCTCCTGATAAACTCTCATGTTTTCATTTTGTTTCAGAAAATCCAGAAGTAGAAGTCAACCTTTATTTCTAATTCATTTCAATTCCATGGCAGGTCTTTCCTTGCATGTTTAAAAGACGTGTTCTTATTTTCAGATAATTTAAATAGCTGAACATCATATTTCACAATGAGAAAGTCTTATGTTTATTTTAATTTTATTTTTTGAGACAGGGTCTTGTTCTGTTGTCCAGGCTGGAGTGCAGTGGTGCGATCGTGGCTCACTGCAGCCTTGACCTCCTGGTCTTAAGTGATCCTCTTGCCTTAGCCTCCCCAGTAGCTGGGACTATAGGCACACAACACCACGCCTGGCTAATTTTTAAAATTATTTTTGTAGACATGATGGGTTCTCACTGTGCTGCCCAGGCTGGTCTCAAACTCCTGGCCTCAAGCAATCTTCTTACCTTGGCCTCTCTAAGTGCTGGGATTACAGACGTGAGCCACTGCGCCTAGCGTTGTATGTTTAGCTACAAATGATGGGTATGAACTTTTAAAGTTACAGATACCCTCAGAGCAAATTGTCATTGTTGGAGAGGGAAGATAGAACCCTAAGCAGACTGCAATGCAACAGTGTCTGGCTTCTAGTTTCTTCAGAAGGCCAGTGGTGAAATATTTCTCCCAGACCACAGTGGAATCATTGTCATCGTAATGACTGGCTTCCAATAGTTTCCTCAGAAGGCCAACGATGAAACATCTCTCCCAGACCAAAATGGTATCTTTATCATACCCTATGGTACTTTAACAACAAAACAAAACAGCGATAGTTTCAGCTCATAAAAGTTGGGTTCCCAGATAAAATACAGGACACCCAGTTAAATTTGAATTCGGGGTAAACAGTAAATCTTGTTTTAGTGTAAGTATATCCCATACAACATTCGGGTCATACTTACGGTGGTGGGTAGGCTGTATTTTTATTTGCTACACTGAAAGCCCTACCTAAAGGGCAGTGTTGCAAATTGTTTGTGACAGATGAATAAGCAGCTAGCGTTCCCCATATTCTTTTACTAAAAAAGAAGACTAAATACAATTGACTTAAAGAAAACAAATGACAAATGTTAGCAAATAAGAGAACATGCTTCCCATTTATTGAGTGGAAGGATTGGCAAAGAGAGAAATTGTATTTTAAAATAGCCTAAAGAGTAACAAGAAAAGTAGCTGTGTCCAGGATGCCTCCATGGTCGTTGGCTAACAGTTACATTCTTCCCCGCTAGGGCTTTATCCTGACTTGGCATAGCTCCTCATATTGGAGAGGAAAATTATATTCAGCCTGCATTTGTTTCAGGACTGGACATTTGCTGAGCCCATTCTCCGCAGACATACAATGCTGCATGAGACATCCTCAGTGATTTCATGACTGTAGAGTAACTACTGGAAGATAGGAATGTGAAATTTTACTAAAGTTTTTCTCTTCCTATTAATTTAGCTTCTCACATCTCATCCTGCTGTTGCAGCGGATTTAAATATTATTTTGCCTTAAAAAATAAACGGAAGATTCCCTTCTCGGTATCTTTCAGGCTTTATAATAATAAGTAAACAGTTCTTTCCTGCCCAACTAATATTTATACAGGTGGAGTTTATTTATCTGGGCAAAGGAAAGCGTTTTGGATTAAAAAAAAAAAAAGTCAATGGCTTTTAATTTTCAGGACATTTTGTTATGGGAAAACAATTGCCTAGAAAGCAAAAGTCTGAATTTAAGTTAAGTATGGCCAACAGAAGAAAACATGTTAGTTTTAAATTGTTTTTTTTTCCCCTTGAAACGATCACTTAGCTTAGTGTCTGCAAACACAGTGGGCGTGCAATCAGTACTGATTCCTGCGTTACACAGAAAATGCGTGCAGCATGTATGTGTAGATTAACAATCACAACCAATAAAAATGTGCACATCCATGAGACTTTTCAGGACAACCACATTTTTATTGAGATTCAAGAAAAGGGAGAAACCAAGAGATAGTGGAGAAAGCAAGAGATAATATATTTCTTCCCACCTTGGAGAATAAAAAGAAGGAAAGGAGACACATGTCTGTGAGACGATTCCAGGGTCCCATGACAATGCTGATGATGGAACTGAGAACCATTAAAATCTTCCCCTGAATTCAGATGCTGAGAAAAAAGGGAAAGAAAAAAGAACTGCCAGAATCAGGATGCACAGAAGGCAGCAGTTGCTCTTCCGTTTACTAATGGGGAATGAACCACTGAGAGGATTTCCCTTTCTGGGTTTGGGACATCAACACTTTGGACTTAGGGGTAGGCTTCGTACTCACATCAACACTTTCCAGCCAGTAATCACCTGGGTTTGTTTTTTTTGTAGGAATTTACACACTGAAATCCCATGTCAGGAGCTGGTGCTCAGGTGGTAATGTGAGCGGTGGGGAGCGGCTGTAAATACAGGTGAAGCTTTGCTTGCTCACCTGCAGTCACCTTCTATTATGCAGCCCAGTTTCTAACAGGCCAGGGACTGGTATCCATGTGTAGCCTAGGGCTTGGGGACCCTGATGTGGGGCAGTAGAGACAGAGTCGTGTGTTAGAGACGCGATTCACGCACTAGAGAGACGGAGGGGAGGAAGCAGTGAGTCCCACAGAGGAAAGGCTGTGGTTTGCAGGTGTGGCAGGGTTGACCCTGCCCTAACTTAGTACACTCTGCCTTCTGCAGTGGCTCTTTTTCTTTCTGTTCTCTTTCTGATCTTAGATGATGTCGTTATGGCTGAGACTGTGCCTAAACTATATACTGCCAAAGCCTCTATTGCTGGAGGAAGATAATAACTGTATCTCTAACTTTAAAAAAATATTTAGTGTAAGAGAGAGAAAGCATGCCATAATGAATTGAATGAATTTGAAAAACTAAGCAGTCATATTTCACTCCTATTTTAAGAGTTAAATCCATCAGTGCATGTAAGGTGTTCATTGGTTTGGTTGGGAAAGGTGGAACAACTGAAAGTGGGGGCTTCCAGGTCGTAGGTAGATATATAATGCCTATATTATTTATTTTTTAAATATTTTTCCTTCCTCCATTTTTCCTTTCTTCCTTCCTCTCTCACTCCTGTCCTTCTCTCACCATTCTTTCCTTTCTTCATTTGTTCCTTTCTCTCTTTTCTCTATCTCTTTCTTTTCCTTTCTCTTTTTTTGTTTTTTCTTTCTTCCTGTTTTTTTCTTTCTCTCTCCTTTCCTTCCTGTTTCTCTTCTTTTTCTTTCTTTCTTTTCTCCTTCCTGCCTTCCTGCCTCCCTCCCTCCCTCCCTTCCTTTCTTCACTCCCTCCCTCCCTGCAATCTCTCCTACTCTCTCCCCCATCTCCCTCTCTCTCTTTCTTTTTGCATAGTTCTACAATACAAAAATAGTATGAAAGGCTGTTGTCTGTGTGAGAGTATATCCGCTGTGGTCTAGCAAAACTTGAGTTCAAGAAACTCAACACTAACAGAGCCACCTGGGAATGAAAAGAAGTGAATCTGGGCCAGCTCTTGTGTGCACTTGGGTGGTGGAGAGTGAAATAACTTCGGTATAAATTGTTGAGTGTTTGACTGCAGGAGATAGAACATGTCACATTGAAGAAAAGTGGGGATCTCTGGACTTTCATGAGAGCACACGATTTTTATGGACAGTATTTGAGGATTGAGGGGAACTTGTAGGAAGAAACGATGGAGAAGCTAAAGTCACTTGACTCCCTCTTCCTGGGTTGGAAGGGTAGGTGCTACAACTAACAAGCATCACCTAATAGAGCAGATGGGACAGGGCTGAGGTGCAAGGAAGGCTTTAAAAAAAAAGACAGGTGCCAAACTTGGAAGAAATATAATTGATGGCAGCAATCAATAATCAATAAGCTTCCCAGGAGGTCCTACCTGCACATGACTTGGCCCTTACTTTTTTATTTATTTTATTTTTTTGAGACAGGGTCTTGCTCTGTTGCCCAGGCTGGAGTGCAGTGGCAAGATCTTGGCTCACTGCAACTTCCTTCCTGGCTCAAGCAATTCTCCTGCCTCAGCCTCCAGAGTAGCTGGGACTACAGACACATGCCACTGTGCCCGGCTAACTTTTGTATTTTTAGTAGAGACGGGGTTTCACCATGTTGCCTGGGATGGCCTTCAACTCCTGGCCTCAAGTGATCCACCCATCTCGGCCTCCCAAAGTTCTGGGATTACGGGCGTGAGCCACTGCACCCACCAGCCTTTGCATTCTTACATTGGACCCTCCTCCTTCCCTGTGTTCCATCTTATTCTTCCCCTTTGCTTCTGGGGAGCACATCCTGGAGAAATTATAACAGAGGTGTGTGAAAGGACACTTTCCGGATATTCCACGTGGCGTTAGAATATGAAGGTCAACTCAGGCAGGCATCACTCCACAAGCTCATAAAATGTGTCAGATGCTTACCATGAATTGATAAGCAGCAAAATTGTTGCATATTCAGCAACATCATTGAATCTTGCAAACATTTTTGTTGAGTGAGTGATACTAATAACCAGAATGCTATTTATAGCACAATACCATTTCTATAAATGAAAAACATACACTCACAAGGCAACACCATGCATTTTATAAACCACAGGCATAGTTAAGGGCCATGTGTCAAACAGATTTCATGGAGGGACTGTGAGTTGCCAGGAGTGGAGATCTGGGGGTGAATGGGGAAGAAACAGATTAACAAGGGAAGGATCTCACCATAAGTGGTGGTGATTGTGAATAAGAAGCACAGTCATCTCAATTCTTGGTACTGACATTCAAATTAGAATGACCACCAAAAATAGTATGAATAGTTAGGATTTAGCCAGGTGAACAGAAAGGGATGGGGAAGAAAGGAAGAGTCTATCATTGGTTGGAGGTTAGAAACAACATACCGGATCTACTTCAAGGCTTATCCAGTTTGGTGCTACCACCATTACAGCTGGATAATCCTTTGTCCTGTGCATTGTAGGATGTTGAGCAGCATCCCTGGGCTCTACCCACCAGATGCCACTAGCACCCCCAATGTGGCAGCCAAAACTCTCTCCAGACATTGCTCCCTATCCTCTGTGGGTGATGGAGAGGGAATCTCTCCTTTTGAGGATGACCAGTCAAGGGAAATCAAGATGATATAAAGAGAGGAGACTGAAGAGTAGAGTCTTGGGTGTCTTACAGAAAACTTGGGATTTTATTTTGAACCATCTGCAGAATTCCAAGAGGGGATTTCATCAGACTGGCATTGGGAAGTGTTGCCTGAGTGCTTAGAGCTCTTCAGTCACTTGAGGTCACATTTCCCTTTTCTACCCAAATAAAAGAGCTGAAGTCATCCCATTGCAACAGGAACTTTTTTGTGACCTTCCCAATATTTCCAAGGCTATCTGGAAGTGGATATTGGCAGCAGTGGCACTTATATTCTCCAAGACACGTTCTCTCCAAATTCTGGCTCTTGGTGCAACCACTACGTCCTTCCTTCCTGCTTCATATTATCTGTGTTCAGAGCCCTGCCTTCATCATTCCCCTTCTTTCTCTTTGTCCCTTCTTTGTTAAACCCATAGACATTACATTCTTGTTAGTGACACAGTGAGAGCACCATAGACATCACAACACTGAACCCCAGACCTTGCTGATTGTAAAACTCCCTTCACCATCCCTATCAAGGAGAATCGCTCCATGCTTCTTTATCTTTAAGACCTGGGGTTGCTGTTGCTGTCCTGGTCTATTTGAGGTTCTTTCCCATTTACCTTCTCCCCTTTCAAGGACTGCTGCTAGGCAACAACCCCCAAATTCATTTGCTCTGTCAGGCAAAGCAATTCTGCTCCCTTCCAATGCATTTTCCTGACATACACACTAGGATACACATCTTAGGTTTATCTTTCTTCCCTTTTGTATTAGTCTGTTTTCATACTGCTATAAAGAACTGCCCAAGACTGGGTAATTTATAAAGAAAGAGGTTTAATTGACTCACAGTTCCACATGGCTGAGGAGGACTCAGGAAACTTAAAATCATGGAGGAAGGGGAAGCAGGCACCTTCTTTACAAGGCAGCAGGAAGAAGTGCTGAGCAAAGGGGGAAGAGCCCCTTATAAAACCATCAGATCTCATGAGAACTCACTCGTTATCATAAGAACAGCACGGCAGAAACCATCCCCACAATCCAGTTACCTCCACCTGGTCTCTCCCTTGACATGTGGGAATTACGGGGATTACAATTCAAGATGAGATTTGGGTGGGGACAGAAAGCCTAACCATATCACCTTCCCTCCTCTGTCTCTGCTGGTCTTAATCTTACAAATTTAGGTGGCAGACAGAGAATGGAGAAAGCCAGCAAACCAGCAGAAGAGTGAAATCCTGGTACATACATAAAGATATGGTACAACCCTCAAAAACAGGAGAAAAGAGGTAAGGTTCAGGGGAGTGGGTATCGCTGGGGAAGGAAGCTGAGCATTTTTTACATGTGTGTGGCTTGGAGAAAGCAGATGTGCAGAGCTGAGGTCATTACCCAGTAGTTGTGGGCAAAACAGGGCTTGCCAGCCTATATATGTGGTCTTTGAGCTGCTGAATTCTTCAAAATGTAATAAGAATTTGTGAATTATAAAACTGTTGTATTGGGTGATTTCCCTTACAAAAAAATCTCACCATCTCTGGATGACATCCTGGAGTAAGAACTTTCATTTAGAGTTGATTCAGTGTGATTCAGCATGCAATTCTGGGTCCTAGCATTTACACCTGCATCTCCTTAGCCCACACTGCCTCAGCCATTAACTCACTGGCTAGACATTTGAGTGTGCAAATCCTCAGCCACTCCCATTCACCATCCAGAGCTTATCAACATGACCTTACATATTAGCCCACTATTTTAGAATTTAAAATATTGCATTTCTATCATGATTACTTTTATCATGGGCATTAAGGTTCAAAATTAATGCATTGTTTGTCATGTCTTCAAATTCATTGGGCTGCTTTCATCTGTTGACTTAGGTCTTCCATCGATTCAAAAAAAATTTTCTTCTACTATTTCTTTTGGTTGAATATGCTTGTCTTCTTGAATGATTTCTTTTATATAGTCTTGCTGAATCTCTTCTCCATATTAAGACATAACGAAACAACAACAAATGTATTATCATTTTCATTACATTAAACTGGTCTCTTGAGTTTTGAACTTCCTGAGTTTTCTTCCATTTCTCAGTCTTGATATTCCGCAGGATGTAATCTGACATTTGCCACTTCCTAAGAAACTTTACCTACATCAAGGCAGGTTTTCATGTCTATGCAATTCACCATAATTTTACTATATTTTGCATGCTTTTGCATTAAGTCTGTTTCAGAAATAGCAATTATCTCTCCTCCAGGAGTCCTTATCCCTCTTTGGATGAGCAATAGTTTTTCTCTGTTGACAGGATTTGTTAAAAAGGAGGTTTAGTGGAGTGGACGTCACTCAGAAACCATTGTTCTTTTTCTTCCTCTTTCTTTCTTTCTTTCTTTTTCTTTCTTTCTTTCTTTCTTTTCTTCTTTCTTTCCTTCCTTCTTTCTTTTTTTTGAGGTGGAGTCTCACTCTATCACCCAGGCTGGAGTGCAGTGGTGCAGTCTCGGCTTACTGCAGCCTCTGCCTCCCTGATTCAAGCAATTCTCTTGTCTCATCCTCCAGAGTAGCTGGGATTATAGGCACGTGCTACTGTGCCCGGCTAATTTTTGTAATTTTAGTAGAGGTGGGGTTTCACCATGTTGGCCAGGCTGGTCTCAAACTCCTGACCTCAAGTGACCTGCCCTCCTTACCCTACCAAAGTGTTGGGATTACAGGCGTGAGCCAGCACACCTGGCCTATTGTTCTTTTTCTAGTTTTCTGGTTGTGTGAGTGTTCACCCCATGGTCAATCCTTCATTGCAACTCCTTGGGCATTAATGAGGATCCATTTTATGTCTCTTTTCTACTCTCTTTTTTTCCCCCCTGGCTTTCTTGGTCCATTTGGGCTGCAATTATAAATTTCCTTAGACTGGAAAATGTATAAACAATTGAAATTTGTTTCGATTGTGAAGCCTCACACTTCTGGCGGCTGAAAGTTCAAGATTAAGGTGCCAGAAGATTTGGTATCTGATCAAGGTTCTCTGCTTCGGAGATGGTGCCTTTCTGTTGTGTCCTTCCATGGTGGAAAGGACGAGGGAGCTTTCTGGGGTCCCTTTTCTAAGGATAGTCATCCCATTCATGAGGCTCCACCCTCAGAATCTCATCACCTCCCAAAGGCCCCACCTCATAACACCATCTCCTTGGGAATTAGGATTTCAACATCTGAATTTAGGGGTAACACAAACTTTCAGACCATAGCACTGGTTTACTGCTCTTTAGGGTTGGGGGAAAGTGGTTTGCAGATTACTTCTCCATAGCCCTTCATTTTCCTTCTGCCAAATTCTGAATGGGATAAATTCTGTGAAGTTTGGGTAATACTGTGGTATTCTGCCTAATGATATGGGTTTTCCTTGGAGATCTGTGGGTTTATATGCCCAGTCTCCTGCTACCATCCTATCTAGAAGTTTGTTTATATTTTTAAATTTGTTTATTTATATTATATATATGGAAATTGTATTCTTATTTTTATTCTGTGCCCAAAATACAGTAGAACTCCCTAAACATTTGTCTCTTAATTTAATTTGGAAAAGACATTTTATTTCCAGAATGAGACAAATTTTATTTGCTCTAGAAGTAGCACCAATCTTTCTTAGTGCTATCTGCTTATCCAATATTTCTTATTTTTTGAGACAGAGTCTCGCTCTGTCGCCCAGGCTAGAGTGCAGTGGCTCAGTTTCGGCTCACCACAACCTCCGCTTCCCGGGTTCAAGCGATTCTCCTGCCTCAGCCTCCCGAGTAGCTGGGATTACAGGCACATGCCACTGTGCCCAGCTAATTTTTGTATTTTTAGTAGAGACGGGGCTTCACCATGTTGGCCAGGCTGGTCTTGAACTCCTGAGCTCAAGTGATCCACCCGCCTCAGCCTCCGAAAGTGCTGGGATTACAGGCATGAACCACTGCGCCTAGCCTTTTCCAATATTTCTTATTAAATATCTTATAGTTTTTATAAAATGTTCAACCCTAAAAGAAATAAGTAACAGAATTTTAAAAATTCCGTGGTGCAAATAAACAGCAGACTGATGAAACATCTTGTTCTCGCTTTTCTGCCTTAAAAATTGCATGAATTCATTTTTGTTTCTTTCCACTGTGGCCATTTAAGCCTCCATCCTCAGCTTCCTGGCTCTACGGGAAGAACCCCCTGTTCCTCTCATTATAAACTTCCTCCAAACTATTCTCCATTTATAACCCATCAAAGCCTTTGAAATCATAAATTACTCTCTATAATCTCTTCTTTTTACACTTAGAATAAGAGAAAAATAATAATAATAACAAAGTACCAACACTTTTCCAAGTCTCACAAAGCCCTAAATAATCCTGTCCTTGTCCAACCCTCTGGCTCACGCTGTGCCACTCCTCTTTTGTTCCCAGAGAAAAGGTAATTTTCTTGAACAGTAAATAACAGACAAGATGAATGGGAAAATATCCCATTACACCCTTATGCTCAAGAGAAAATATGACAAGTTTTGATGAGATCCTTCTGGCTAAAAAGTTGCTAATGATAATGAAAACAAAAGGGGATATTACTTCAACAAATGCAATTTGCTAAAGAGAAAAATAAAACAAAAAAAATTTTTGCAAGAGTGTTCTTTTCTCCAAATTGATGCCATATAGATGTAATTTGGCGTGTCCAATGCAGTGACCTCTGTGGGCCAGGACACCGAGATGAAGACCTTGGGAAAAAGAGCTCCAGGGCTGGATCCCTGAGAAAATGATTACACAACATATAAATGTGGTTAATGCCTTTAACCGCAAACAGCTGTCTCCTACATCTGTCCCTCTCCAACCAATGGGTGATGGTCAGCAGCTTGCAAATCCTAGGTGTGGTTTGTTCAGACAAGGACATCCATCTGACTTTATTATAAACTAATCTTAGGAAGGGCAAAGGCCATATTGAAACAGAAAGCCCCAATATCCGAGAGGCCGCTTTCAAATATTTCCCCGCCTTGGCTTTTGTGTTGTTTCCAGCTATTTTTTCCTAAGAATGCCTTTCGCAGCACCATCTGTTTCCCTATCAGTTGCAACGCCAGGGCTTGAAGCCTGCACATGTCTTTCATCGATGTTGCAGAAGGCTCCCAATTGCACAAAAAACTTGAATGAATTCCCTACCCCGGAAAATCTGAAAATGTGGATTCTCATTTGCAGAAAGAAGCGTGCATTGCTAGATATTATCAATACAAAAAATGAAATCCACAAAAACATTTCAAAAGGCTATTTGTACTGGAGTCATCTATGACCAATAATGCTGGTTTTAGGGATGGAAAACGTTCGTGCATTCTCAAGCACAGCACATGCTTCTTTCTTTCAAGAAGGGATCATTTAGGAGAGACTGTCTTGAAGCCCAAGTTAATTGGGCTTTTGCTCGACTAACCTATAGGAAGTTCCTTTGGGGCCTGTGAAATGATTAATAAATGCAATGAACACAAGCAAATATGTAAGGTGCAGGTTTCAAAAATACAATTATGTAGAATAAGGTTTATGGAGATATGGCTCAGCACCATGGCTCGTGCCTGTAATGCCAACATTTTGGGGAGCCAAGGTGGGAAGATGGCTTGAGCCCAGGGGTTCTAGACGAGCCTGGGCAATATAGTGAGGCCCCATCTCTACTAAAAATAAAAATTTTTTAAATTAGCTAGGCATGGTGAGACGTGTCAGTGGTCCCAGCTACTTGGGAGACTGAGGCAGGAGAATTGCTTGAGCCCAGGAGGTCAAGGCTGCAATGAGCTATGATCATGCCACTGTACTCTAGCCTGGGTGACGAGAGTGAGACCCTGTCTCCAGAAAAATTAAAAAAAAAATAAGTAAATCAAAAGGTTTATAGAGATACAAGAAGGGGAGTTGTTTGGAATACAATTTTTCCCTTTAGCATTTTCTCTCAGTTTTATAACAGTTTTGATATAGGATATGCTAAATACCTCAACTTCCATGTTCGACATATTAACATATGAGGATAATTTCCTTAAAGCAAATGGAAATAAGAACTGCAGCACGTTGGTATGTGTCCTCAGTTCACAAAGAACATACACTTTACCGTTCAAAACGTACGACATTGACACAACGCGAGCAGCCTGCATTCTTAGCTGAGGTTGCACCAACTCATAAACCCACAGAACTGTAAGGCAATGTAACAAATACACGGTGAAGCCTCCCACAAGGCCTGTGAGCAGTGTTTGCTAAGATCAGCATGACTTGAGTTATAGGTACCTCTTTTGAAATTTGGTTGGCCTCCCAAGTTATAAAACTGAATACGTTTGCATAGGTTTATAGAACAGTAGGACTAGGAAAAAACCTCAGGCCAAGCCATGTTTTTCCAAATTCTGTCTAGGAATAAATGCATAAATCCTAAAATACTTTTGAGACTTTGCAGTGTCACAATTTCTTATTAGGAGCTTGGACTTCTAACCACCTTCAAAAGATGTCTCAAGTATCATGGCTGATCCAATAGAGGTCAAAACACAAAACAAACTTAAAGGAAGCAAAAACCTGTCTACCATATCTTAAGATCCAGTGTAGAATTAATACTTTAAAATATATTTAGCAGTTGGAGACCTGACTGGGCAACATGGTGAAACCCTGTCTCTGCAAAAAATATAAAAATTAGCTGGGCATGATGGTGAGTGTCTGTGGTCCCAGCTGCTGGGGAGGCTGAGGTTGGAGAATCAATTGAGCCCCCAGAGGTTGAGGCTGCAGTAAGCTGTGACTGTGCCATTGCACGGCAGCCTAGGCGAGTGAGACCCTGTCTCAAAAAATATATATAAATTTATAAATTTTATAAATATAAAATTATATATTATATATAAATTACATATAATATATAACAATATAGTATAAATATACGGTTTTATAAAGTTGTATAAAGTTTATACAATTTTTATAAGGTTTATACAGCTTTATAGGTATTTTATTTATACAAATAAAATATATATATTATATGTAATAAATCATATATTATATAAAATTTATAAATTATATAGAAATATATAGACATATATGTCTAATTATAAATGTATATAAATATATAATTATAAGTATATATTTATAATTGTCTATTTATAGATGTAATTATAAATATAATATTTATACATAATATATGTATACGTTTAGATATATTTAAATATAGCAGGGGAAACACTTTCATCTTTCGGGAGTTCACGTGGTCCTGTTAAAGTTTCGATCAATACTCTTCGATCAATGGCTTCTGGTTTTCAGCAAATCAAGTGCATGCTTCCTGCTTTTGTGGTAAAGTCCTCAAACATGCGCCCCTGCCTACGTTCATGACTCATGATTTCTGTACCCGACCCTTCACAACACCCACACTAAGTGGCTTGTCTTTCTATGCGCCGGCCCCATACCTTGCTTCCTTTACCACGTGGATGTCCTCACACTATTTGTTCTCTATGCGTTTGTGTGCAAATAAAATCCATTCTCTAATGCTGGGCATGCATGGGTCTTCCTCCATGAGATTTCGTGAAGAAAATCTTACATACTGCTGATACTGATTGCATTGATTGATCAATTCACAGACCCAGAGACATATTCTATAGAGGAGATGAGTAAAAGACCAATTAACACGGACTTCCAGACTGTCTACCCCAAACGTTGCCTTCTTGAAAGAAGGATTTCGTAGAGAAAACTCTCCCCCCAGCTCTCTCTGTGTGTGATTCATATACCCTCTAGCCAGGTACAAGGCATGCCACCTTGCAATGCTCCTTCCTGCCTTATTTCTCCCACATACCGTGGCCCTGCATGCACCTGGCTAATGGGCCAACCCTCAAAGCTGCTGAAATGCCAGCCTAAGCCACACATGACGTAACCCATTTTCAGAACGGTCGTTCCAGACACGTGGTGCCCAGATGGGAGCCCCAATTTGAGCTTCCACTTTTAAAATTTGCTTCCACTGCAGAAATTGACGTTCAAATAACCAAAGCTTACAGGGAGCCTGTTTATAGTCAATACCATAGGTTAAGATTAGAGATGATCTAATTCCTTAACCATAGATGTATTCTCCAAACGCATGAGCACAGAAAGGAAAATAGTGTGCAGGCAGCTGTTAAATTGCTCCCTGATGACTTCCCCTCTGCCATGTGGACTCTCTTCCTTTGACATGGTCTGACTAGTCTTGTATTAAAAATAAAATCTCCGTTATATTAACAAAATACAAAATATTAATATATTTCAGACTCCAACTGAAATTTATGCTGGAATCTACACCACCGGCTCTCCTGGGTCTCCACTTGTAGATAGCAGATCAGTTTTCAGCCTCCATGATTGCCCAGGCTGCAGTGCGGTGGCACAATCACAGCTCATTGCAGCCTCGACTTCCCAGGCTCAAGTAATCCTCCAGTCTCAGTCTCCCTGAGTAGCTGGGACTACAGTCATGTGCGTGCACACCCAGCTGTGTATTTCCTCTTATAGGGATATAAAATTATGTCATTCATCTTCTTGTTGACTTCTTGTAACCACCATGAAAGCATGACTCTTGTCTGTCTTATCCTCTTCCCCATCTCCAGAACTTGGCACATACTAGCAGCTCTACAATTAGTTGTTGCATAAATGGCAAATGAAGGAATATTGCATTCTCTGCCTAGAAGTCCCTGCCTCCTCTCCCTTCCCCAGAAGAAAACTTCTTACTGGCTAAGATGCTGTTCTAACCTCAGTGCTTCCAAAGGAGCCTCAGCAGGTCAAGGTCTATCACTTCATACATATTTATCCCCAAATTTCAGATATTATTTGGCTCAAGGAATGCACTGCAAATATTTACAGAATGAACCATTGAAGCAAGAAAAGAAACCTGCATGAGCAAATTCTCTGTTTCTGTTATAAGACGCTGTGTCATTCAGCTATTGGCACATAACAAAGAATCCCAAAATGCAGTGGGTTAAAAAAATCTATGTTATATACTCACTGTTATATGGGACAAAAATTCAGGCTGTACTCAATGGGTGCTTCTGAGATCTACCAAGCAGAGGCCCAGAATGATGCTGAGAATGCTGCAATGCAATTGGCAGCTTCCATGACAAATAATTTTCTGGCCCCAAATGTCAATAGTGCGAATGTTCAACAACAAAAACCTACTTCCTCTAAGTCTGAGTTTCTTAGGTACATTTCTTTTCTTTTCTTTTTTGACTTTATTTTACGTGTGTGTGTGTGTTTTAAATAATGAGATGCTTCACGAATTTACCTGTCATCCTTGTATGGGCCTTGCTAATCTTATCTGTATCATTCCAATTTTAGTATATGCGCTGCCAAAGCAAGCACATTAGGTACATTTTTATCTTCCAAGTCACTGCAGGCTACAGTTTTGCTCTTCCAACACAACATACCACTGGTTACCATTTTTTTTCTAGCCTTTGGTAGCAGTTACCTTACTATTTTCCCAACCTTCATTCACCACTCAGTTTCAAAGCCAATGAAGCATGTTTTAAGCTTTTGTATGAGCGCAACCCTCCACCCACTTCAGGTATGAATTTCAGGATCTGTTACCTATTTTTTTGGTATAAAATCAACTACAAGTTTAGTGCCTCAATATCACAAACGTTGTATTTGCTCATATGTTTGTGAATCAATAACTTGGACTGGGTTCAGATGGGCAGTTCTTCTGTTGGTCTTGCCTGGGGTCTTTCTTGCAGCTTCCATTATCTGGCAGCTTGATGAGACTGGATGGTCTAAGGTACATTCATGAACACGTCTGTTGGGCGGTCTTGTCTGTCAGCCTAGAGTACTGAGACCACCCCATATGAAGAAGTCAGGGTAGCCTTTTTGAGATGAGTCACCATGAGAAAGATTCAGCTGACAGTCAGCACCAATGGCCAGCCATGTGAATAGGCTCCCAGCTTACACCATCCATTTTCAGTCAAACTGTCAGAGGACTGGGACCACATAAGGGACCTTAAGGGAGACCCACAGAAGAACCATCCAGCTGAGCTCAGCCTGAAATTTGTGACCCAAGAGTGATGCACAAATAAAATGGTGCTTGTCTTTAGCTACTAAGTGTTGGGAGTGTTTGTTACCCAGCAATAGATAATGGATATGGGTCCTTAACTAACAAATAGATTACCTCATGCAAATGTGGAAACTCCTACTCCTGTATTTATAATTAATTCCAACATGGAAAAGAAGCTCACTATTGATTCTGTGGGGCTAAAACTGATGAGGAGGTAGTAGAAAGCCAGTGAGCAAGTGGTGGCTGGTTTGAGCTAAAGTGCCTCCTCAGGGAAGCATACTCTTCCTAAATTGCTGCATTGTGGGTCTGAACCAAGGCGAGCTTGGGTTTCTGAGGGGAGTTCCCTTACAGTAGGGGAAGTTACACACAGTGAAATAGACTTACACTCACTTGTTGCTGAATGATGGGGATACATTCTGAGAAATGCATCCCTGGGCAGTGTTGTTGTGCAAACATCCTAGAGTGCACTTACACAAACCTAGATGGTCTAGCCTACTACACACCTAGGCTATATGGTGTAGCCTGTTGATCCTATGCTACAAACCTGTACAGCATGTTCCTATACTGAATACAGTAGGCAATTGTAACACAAATCAGTAGGCAACAGGAATTTTTCAGCTCCATTATAATCCTGTGGGACCATCGTTTTATATGCTGTCCATCATTGGCCATACGTTCTGTGGCAGTGCACGACTGTATCTGTTTTAGATAGGATTTCCTTTGTTTGTAACTTTGTTACCAGGAAGGGGGTCCCGATTCAGACCCCAAGAGAGGGTTCTTGGATCTCGTGCAAGAAAGAATTGGAGGTGAGTCCATAAAGTGAAAACAAGTTTATTACAAAAGTAAAGAAATAAAAGAATGGCTACTCCACAGGCAGAGCAGCCCCAAAGGCTACTGGTTGTCCATTTTTACCGTTATTTCTTGATTTTATGCTGAACAAGGGGTGGATTATTCATGAGTTTTCTGGGAAAGGGGTGGGCAATTCCGGGAACTCAGGATTCCTCCCCTTTTAGACCATATAGGGTAATATCTTGACATTGTCATGGCCTCTGTAAACAGTTAGAGCGCTCACGAGAGTGCCTTTCAGCATTTTAATGTATTATAATTAGCATATAGTGAGCAGTGAGGACAACCAGAGGTCACTCTTGTAACCATCTTGGTTTTGGTGGGTTTTGGCTGCCTTCTTTACCGCATGCTGTTTTATCAGCAAGGTCTTTATGACCTGTATCTTGCGCTGACCTCCTATCTTATCCTGTGTCTTAGAATGCCTAACTTCCTGGGAATGCAGCCCAGTAGGTCTCAGCCTCATTTTACCCAGCCCCTATTCAAGATGGAGTTGCTGTGGTTCAAATGTCTCTGACCACTTGAATTTGATACAGTAAAATGCCTTTGCTGCATAATCTATGGTGGTTTCTCAGATATTACAGTCTCATTGGATTTTCAAACAATGAGCACTAACCATGTACATAGTCAAGGCTTGTGTGAAGAATGAAGGCATTACATTATGTGTTTGCATACCACATTTTGACTTTTGCTAGAAAGGGCCAATCTGAACTATAATTGAGATTTTTAAACATTTTTGTTTGGGGGTAATTGATTTTCTTTCATTAATCTTCTAGCTTGCATCCTTCATTCTCCTAGAAGTTAAAAGCATATATAATCTAAGGAAGATTCAGTCTGTCTGTTTTTGATTTATTTTATAATAACTCACTGAGTATTTTTTATATGTACAAGAAGTATTCTGAGACTACTTAATATACTATTTTGATCTTTCTTCTTTTAAAGCATGAAGCTACATATATATACATATATACACATATATACATATATACACATATATATACATATATACACATATACACATATATATACATATATACATATATACATATATATACATATATACACATATATATACATATATACACATATATATACACATATATATACACATATATATACATATACATATATACATATATACATATATATACATATATACATATATATACATATATACATATATATACATATATACATTATATACATATATACATATATACATATATATACATATATACATATATACATATATATATACATATATACATATATATACATATATATACATATATATATATACATATATATATATATTTTTTTCCTAAGGGTAGGAATCTGGAAGAGATTTCAGTGATGATCAAAACAGCAAACTCACGAGTTTTGAATGGTTTCTAAACTTGGAAAAAAGAACTCTCTGAACCTTCTTTCCTTTAGAGGAAAATCAGATTTTGACTCCCTGGCCTTGCACAAATGCTTATTTTTTTCTTCAATTCACCTGAGATTTAATCTTATATGATGCTTTGCTTTTCCTTCCAATTATATTTAACCTTGTTGAAACATTTCAAAAATATACAAATAATCTAAAAGATCATTTTAAACTTTATTTCCCCCGGCACAGGGAAATACTTAAAAAATATGGTTTACATTGGGTGATGATTTTCTAGAAAAATTTCATCGCAATCAGAAGGAAAGAATTGAGCAAATTGAGGGAAACATAGGGAAAGGAAAATTAAGTTTACAGTTCTTTCTACATAAGTAAATGTAAAATTAAGTTTACAGTTCTTTATACGTAAGTCAATAAAAAATTAGCAAATATTAGTAAAATTCCCCCAAAGCTCCCCACCCCCAGTAAATGCATATGTGTGTGTGCAAGAAGCATTATAATGAAACACTTAACTTCCTTTGCCCTGAACTAGAACCAGATGCCTTGGGAGGGGGTTGAGGCAGGCTGGCTGAGGGACTTGTAAGTTATGCTAAAGGGATTTTTAGAAATGAGTTGCTTTTTCCCATCTCCTTTCAGCAGTTTTCTGGAGCTGGAAATAAAGAAAAACCCCTACCCCTGACTTACTGGACCTTAGGAGTTAAAAATCACCACCTTCCTTTATCATTCCTTCATTGGCAGTTGTAAAGGGAACTAAGTAGTCTATTCATTTACTCAAACATTTATTGGGTGCTACCATTTACCACCATTGCGCCAGGTATGGAGGAAAACCAGAGAGGAAGACCCCTGAGCCTCCAGGTGCTTTTGATGTGTGTGGTGGGGGAGTGGACACGTAAACAACAATCATCATGGACTTGGTGTGTGATGGGTGCAGGGGACAGGGAGGAGCCTCAGGGAAGCTGGGCTGGCCAGGGGGCAGGCAGAAAGTGGTGCTTGGATGAAGAGACAGAGGTGGCGAAGAAAGCTGTTCCCAGAAACACCCCCTAGGAGTGATTAGATTGGAAGGATGGGTAGGAAGTGAATGAGGCCAGTCAGTGAATGTCCTTGTTTACCATGTCACCCGTTTAAAAAAAAGTTTCATTTTAAATATTTGTACATTTTACAAATCTCTATCAATCTTTCTCTGTGTGTATCAACATGCATATATGACAATAGAGATGAGAATAAATAGAAGAGATAGATAAAAATATGTTATAATAGATGACAGAGAGCTTAAGTAGATTAGACTGTCAGATAGATAATGATAGATGATACATATATTCAATAGGTAGATGGATGGGTAGATACATAGATAAATATATAGATAATGACAGATAATAGATTCAGTAGATGAATGGATGGATGATAGATTCAATAGATAGATGGATGGATGGATAGATATATGATAGATACATAGGTAATGGTAGATGATTAGAGTCAATAGATGGGTGGGTGGGTAGATAGGTATGTGATAGATAGATAAGGATAGATGATAGATTCAGTAGATGGATGGATAGATGATAAATAGCTAGCTAGCTAGCTAGATATGTACATTCAATAGATGAATGAATGGATGGATAAATGGATGAATGGATGGATGGATAGTTATAGAAAGATGATGGATAGATGAATAGATAGACAGGTAGATAGATTATTTTGACGCTTTCAAAAATTTCAGCATTTAGCTTACCATTTTTATTTTTCATAAGGTTTATATGAGAATTCATATTTTTCTGGATGGTTTAAACAGCTTTTGAAGACTTCAAACAAATATTTGTTGACTTATAATTTTATTTTTCTAGTAACTTTCTGAGGAATGTCTAATTTATCTGTTTTCCCGTAGTCATTACAGCACTATTCACAATAGCCAAAATATGGAGTCAACCAAAGTGTCCATCAGTGGATGAATGGGTAAAGAAAATGTGATTTGTATGCACAATGGAATGCTATCAAGTCTTAAGGAAGGAAGTGTTGGCATTTGCAACAACATGGATGAACGTGGAGGACATTATGTTAAGTGGAATAAGCCAGGCACAGAATGACACATACTGCATGATCTCATATGTGGAATCTTTGTATTCTTTAGTTCAAGATTCTCAATGTGGGTGCTGTTGACACTTGAGGCTGGAGGATTCTCTGTGGTGTGGCCATCCTCTGCACTCATAGGGTGTCGAGCAGCATTCCTGGGCTCCACCCACCAGATGCTGGCCACATCCACTCTCCAATGATAATAACTCAGAATGTCTCCAGACATTGCAAATGGCTCCTGATGGTTTGAAAGTCAAAGAGGGTCCAGTACCCAAGCCTTAACGTACGTTTCAAAATGACTTTGAAAGAAAGTCAGAAAAAAATGCAGCATCTATAGGGACCAGATGTCCACTTAGGAGCCCTTGGTGAGAGAGAAAGATGTATCTCAGCTGGCCTCAGTGGCTCACTCTTGTAATTCCAGCATGTTGGGAGGCTGAGGTTGGTGGATCACTTGAGTTCAGGAGTTCTAGACCAGCCTGGGCAACATCACAAAACCTCCTCTCTCCAAAAAATACAAAATGAGTCTGGCATAGTGGCATGTGCCTGTAGTCCCAGCTACTTGGAAGGCTGAGGCAGGAGGATTGCTTGAGCCCAGGAGTTTGAGACCAGCCTGGGCAACTCAGTGAGACCCTATGTCTACAAAAAATAAAAATAATTAGCCAGGAATGGTGGTGCGTGCCTATAGTACCAGCTACTCAGGAGGTTGAGGTAGGAGGATTGCTTGAGGCTGGGAGGTCAAGGCTGCAGTGAGCCGTGATTACACCACCGCACTCCAGCCTGAGTGAGACCATGTCTTTAAAAAAAAAAAAAGTATGTCCGTCCATGCACAGACCTTGCTGTGTTTATCACATTTATCAGTGCCTTGTCTACATTCTATGGATGGACATCTTCCTTTAGTTCCCTGTCCAATCCAGCTGGATTTCATTCAGCCCTCCTCAGTCAGCACAATAAGCACGCTTTTGTCAGAGGCGTTGAAACCAGAGTGACTCCATCTTGAATAGGAGCTGGGTAAAATAAGGCTGAGACCCACTGGGCTGCATTCCCAGGAGGTTAGGCATTCTTAGTCACAGGATGAAATAGGAGGTCAGTAAAGATACAGGTCATAAAGACCTCTCTGATAAAACAGGTTGCAGTAAAGAAGTCAGTGAAATCCCACCAAAACCAAGACAGTGACAAGAGTGACCTCTGGTCATTGTAACTGCTCATTATACACTCATTATAATGCATTAGCTGCTAAAAGTCACTGCCACCAGAGCCACGACAGTTTACAGATGTCATGACAACCTCAGGAAGTTACCCTATATGGTCTAAAAAGGGGAGGAACCCTCAGAATTACCCACCCCTTTCCTGAAAAACCTCATGACTAATTCACCCCTTGTTTAGCATATAATCAATAAATAACCATAAACATAGGCAGCCTGCAGCCCATGCTGCTGCTCTGCCTATGAAGTAGCCATTCTTTATTCCTTTACTTTCTTAATAAACTTCCTTTCATTTTACTCTGTGGACTCGCCTGAATTCTCTTGCATGAGATCCAAGAGCCCTCTCTTGGGGTCTGGACTGGGACCCCTTTCTGGTAATGCTTTCACTTTACATTCCTGCCATCCCTGGAGGGAGGAGGTCCTGTCTTTGCCGGAAAGCCATGCGGTGCTGGGCTATGGTTATTCGCTGTGATTTATCTGAACCCAAAAAGAAAAAACAATTTTTCCTAGGGCCACTCCTGGCCTGGAAAGATTGACCTTATGTCAGGCTGCCTTAATCCCTCCCTTATTTCCACATTGTAGTCTGAAATTATATCAAGTGTAGAGGGAAGTGAATATCTCAGGACAGAGGCTGGAACTGGGAAAATGGATGTTATCTTAGTAATGTAAAGAAAAATCATGGGATGCTACTACAAAGAACAAAACTTCGCTTGGTGAGCAGACATTTGAGAAAAAATAGACATGCATTGCAGTTTTAGACTAGAACAGTGGTTCTTGTTAAACATTATTTTATTATTTATTATTTTTAGAGATGAAGTCTTGCTCTGTTGCCCACACTAGAGTGCAGTGGTGTGATCATAGCCCACTGCAGCCTTCAAATCCCAGGATCAAGCGATCCTCCTGCCTCAGCCTCCTGAGTAGCTGGGACTACAGGTGCGTGCCACCATGCCCGGCTAATTTTTAAAAATTTTTTGTAAAGATGGGGTCTCGCTATGTTGCCCAGGCTGGTCCCCAACTCCTGGCTTCAAGCAGTCCTCCCACCTCTGCCTCCCAAAATGCTGGGTTTATAAGCATAAGCCACCATGCCTGGCCTAAATTTTTTTATTCTTAATCATTATGGGTGCATAATAGTTGTACTTCTTTACAGGGTATATGTGATATTTTGATACAAGCTTACAATGTGTAATAATCAAATTAGGGTAATTGGGGTATCTATCCTGTGAAGCCTTTATCATTTCTTTGTGTTAGGAACATTGCAATTCCACTCTCTTAGTTATTTTAAAATATACAATGAATTATTGTTAACTATAGTCTCCCTGTTGTAGTACCAAATACTATACCTTCTTGCTTCTATCCAACTGTATTTTTGCATTCATTAACTATCCCCACTCTATCACCTCTTCCTCGATACTCTTCCCAGCCTCTGGTAACCACCATTCTACTTTATCTCCATGAGTGGAGGTTTTTAACATTTTTACCTCCCATGTTTGAGTGAGAACATGTGAAATTTTACATCAGGAGTTCTTTGATTTTTTTTTTTAATTTGAATAGCTTTAGGGTACACGTGGTTTTTGGTTACTTGGATGAGTGAAGTCTAGGACATTAGTGCGCCCATCACCCAGGTGTTGTACATGGTACCTAATAGGTAGTCCTTCATCCCTCGCTGCACTCACACCCTCCCACTTCGGAGTCTCCAATGTCCATTACACTACTGTGTACGCCTTTGCATACCCACAACTTAGCTCCCACTTCTTTTTTGAAGCAGAGTCTCACTCTGTCACCCAGGATGGATTGCAGTGGCATGATCATGGCTCACTGCACCTTCAACCTCCTAGGTTCAAGCAAGTCGCCCCCACTCAGCCTTCTGAGTAGCTGGGACTACAGGTGCGCACCACCACTCCCAGCTAATATTTTCTATTTCCTGTAGAGACAGGGTCTTACTACACTGCCCAGGCTGTTCTTGAACTCCTGGTTTCAAGTGATCCTCCTGCCTCGGCCTCCCAAAGTGCTGGCATTACAGGCATGAGCCACCGTGCCCTACCAGCTCCCACTTTTGTAAGTGAGAATGTGTGGTATTTGGTTTTCTATTCCTTAGTGACTTCACTTAGAATATGGCTTCCAGTTTCATCCAAGTTGTGGCACAATACATTATTGCTTTTTTTTTTTTACATCAGGAGCTTTTAACGTGGGTCAAGTTTGTCCCCCAGGTAACATGTCTGGAGATATTTTGGTTGTCACAGCTGGGAATGGGTGCTATTGGCATTTGGTGGGTGGAGCCCAGGGACGCTGCTCAACACCCTACAGTGCACAGGACACTCGACCACAGAGAGTCGTTCAGCCCCGAGTTACCCAAGGTGCACAGATTAAGACACCCTTCACTAGGCCAGTCACGGTGGCTCGTGCCTGTAATCCCAGCACTTTGGGAGGCCAAAGCAGGAGGATCATTTGAGGTCAGGAGTTCGAGATCAGCCTGACCAACATGGAGAAACCCCGTCTCTTTTTCTTTCACTCTTGGCTGGCCACCAATTTAAAATGCAGCACTTGAAGAAGTAAATATGCATTTCTGGCCCCTGTTTTGGAAAGGTTCATTTTCATAGAAACTTGGTTAATTTTATTCAAAGTAAAACAATGAAATCAATGAGATAAGAGAGTTTAAAAGATGCTTGTTTCTGCATTGCTGTTTTACAAAAACATATTGAATTATAATATGATCGCAATTCCAGACACCTGCCTTGAAATCGTTATAGAAATTTCTCGTTTTGTTTTTGTTTTTGTTTTTGTTTTTGCTTCTCTCTATATATCCTAATAAACCATTTGTCCATCAGATAATCACAGGCAGGGAGATATATGTATTTTTCTGTTTCCCTAACTTCAAATGCTGCCTGAAAATGATGACTGTTTGGCAAGCCTAAGTTCCAACATTCCATTTCCCGGCATTATGTAATACAAAATCAGGTTTCATAGGGTTTTCTTAGATCTGTTTCCCCCTGTTTCATAAGATTTCAAGAGTCCTATAATTTATTATGTGGCTGGTGGAAGAAAACTATGCATAGACTAGATGGGTGTGTGTAACCTAAACATTTAGGGCTGTCTTGACAACGACTCAAACCTACAGAGATGCTTTGGGGAAGTAGGCGGAATGTCCTATTATCGGGAATTTTTTAAGATGAGAGCCTCCCAGTTTCTTTTAATTGCATTGAGTGGGTGAATACATCAGAAAAGGAAAGAAAGGACAAAAACACGAAAAAGAGCCCAGATTGAAAGCAGTGCTGTTTTTGCCATCCTCATTAAATCAAAGCATGTGGTGACAACAGATCGTCTGAGGTCAGCGGGCACCCAACCAGGAGGCTGATATGTTTTCCCGATAAAATACAACTAGAAGATAATGGCTTCCAGCTCCATTCATGTCCCTGCAAAGGACGTGATCTCATTCCTTTTTATGGCTGCATAGTATTCCATGGTGTCCATGGACCACATATTCTTTATCCAGTCTATTATTGATGGGCATTTGGGTTGATTCCATGTCTTTGTTATTGTGAATAGTACTGCAATGAACATACATCTGCATATATCTTTATAATAGAATGATTTATATTCCTTTGGCTATATATCTGGAGTGCAATGGCACAATCTCGGCTCACTGCAACCTCCACCTCTCAGGTTCTAGTGATTCTCTTGCCTCAGCCTCCCGAGTAGCTGGGATTACAGGCACCCGCCACTATGCCCAGCTAATTTTTGTATTTTTAGTAGAGACGGGGGCTGGTCTCGAACTCCTGACCTCAGGTGATCGGCCCGCCTCGGACTCCCAAAGTGTTGGGATTACAGGCGTGAGTCACTGCGCCAGGCCTCCTTTGGGTAGATATTACTGGGATTATGTATTATCCCAGTAATTATTGGGATTGCTGGGTCAAATGGTATTTCTAGTTCTCGATCCTTGAGGAATCACCTCTGTCTTCCACAATGGTTGAACTAATTTACGTTCTCACCAACAGTGTAAAAGTGTTCCTATTTCCCCACAGCCTCGCCAGCATCTGTTGTTTCTTGACCTTAGGGAGGGGAACAACATACACTGGGGCCTTTGGGGGTGGATGTGGGGAGGGGGAGCATCAGGAAAAATAGCTAATGCATGCTGGGCTGACAGGTGCAGCAAACCATCATGGCACACGTTTACCTATGAAACAAACCTGCACATCCTGCACATATATCCCAGAACTGAAAATAAAAATTAAAAAACAATGTGGGACATTTTCAGTAGATGAATGGCAAAGAAACTTTATGGATAATGACAAGAAAGTTTCAGGGCTAAGTACCAAACACACATGAATTATACCCTGGACTTTGTTTCTGTATTCGTATTTGACCACTGTCATGGATGGTATATGCTGGCATGCTTGGAATTTAGTCTTAGAATAAATATTTTTATTAGTGCTAAGAAAACACAACTAGAGCTTCCTTTCCAATGAAACTATTTTTTTAAAAGAAATGAAGCTCTGTTATATGCTTCTATGTGGATGAGCCTTGAAGATGCTATGCTCAGTGAAAGAAGCCAGACACAAGAGGCCACACAGTGTAGGATTCCACTTACAGGAACTTTTCAGAGGAGGCAAGCCCATAGAGCCAGTAGGCAGATTGGTGTCTTCCAGGGGCTGGGGAGGGGAGAAGGACTAGTGGCTGCTTGGTGGGTCCAAGGTTTCTTTTAGGGTGATAAAAGTGTCTTGGAACCAGATAGCGGTGGTGGTTGCACAACCTTGTGAAGGCATTAAATGCCACCGGGAGTTCACTTTAAAATCATCATTTTTAAGTTAGGGGCATTTCAATTTGATTGAAAAACAAACAAATCTGGCTGAGCGCAATGGCTCACGCCTGTAATCCCAGCACTTTGGGAGGCTGAGGTGGGTGGACCACTTGAGGTCAGGAGTTCGAGACCAGCGTGGCCAACATGGTGAGACCCCATCTCTACTAAAAATACAAAAATTACCTGGGCGTGGTGGCGGGCACCTGCAGTCCCAGCTACTCAGGAGGCTGAGGCAAGAGAATCACCTGAACCCTGGAGTGGTGGTTGCAGTGAGACAAGATGGTACCACTGCACTCCAGTCTGGGCGACAGACAGAGATTCTGTCTCAAAAATAAATAAATAAATAAATAAATAAATAAATAAATAAATAAATAAAATAAAACCAAAAACAAATATGCCAGCCCAGTTCTTCTTCAACCCAGATTTTGCAAGACAGTAAATGAGACAGCATTTGGAACCTGGCGAACTTCCCCAGTGAACCGATAGCAGCTTAGAAAGAGTTAAATGTGCAAAGAAGATACTCAATCTCCAAGTCAGGGCTACTCATACAGAAAAGGGAAACTGAGGCCAGAGTCCCAGGAAATATCCAGCTTCACACAATGCCTTAAAATGCAAAGAATTGGTGGGCTGCGGTGGCTCATGTCTGTAATTCCAGCACGCTGGGAGGCCAGGGTGGGTGCATCACTTGAGGTAAGGAGCTTGAGACCAGCCTGGCCAGCGTGTCAGGCTGTGACACAGCGTGAAACCCTGTGTCTACTAAAAATACAAAAATATTAACCAGGCATGGTGGCGGTTGCCTGTAATCTCAGCTACATGGGATGCTGAAGCAAGAGAATCTCTTGAACACGGGAGGGGAAGGTTGCAGTGAGCGGAGATCGCACCACTGCACTCCAGCCTAGGCGACAGTGAGACCCTGTCCCACCCACACCCCGCCCCCCCTCCAAAAAAAAGCACAGAATTCAGGCCCAGAAGGAGTTTAGATGTTCAGGGAGGGGGACATGATGGGAAATGGGATTCAGAAGAAGGAATAAGAGGAACATGCCATAAAAGCCTGGATTCTTGGAAAAAGCCAAGGAAAAAAGAACCTCTAGGTGACTCAGAATCACTGTGTATTAGTAGGTTGGTGTAAATGTAATTGCGGCTTGTGTCATTGAAAATAATAGCAAAAACAAAGAGAAACCAATAGGGTGAGTGTGTATCTATACCTATATCATCTATATCTATATTTATACCTATATGTCTACATCTATATATCAATAATAAAATAAAAATATTAATTTAAAAAATTACACTTAATTTAAAGAATTGCACTGTTTAAAACCAGTGATAAAACCAACAACATTCTAAGATATTTATCCAACTCGTCGAAGTTTTGTCATTCTACACGAGGGTTTCTCAATCTTGGCACCATTGACACTTGGGCCAAATTATTCTTTGCACAAATATCAATCTGTAGATATTGATATCAGTAGATACACAGACATTTATTTTAAGGAATTGGCTCACGTGATTGGGGGGATTGGAGAGTCCAAAAGCTGATGGAGTGGGCCAGCAAGCAGGGGACTCAGGGAAGGGTTACAGTTTGAGTCCAAAGGCTGTTGGGTGGCAAAATGCCTTTTGGCTTGGGGGAAGTCAATCTTTGTTCTGGTCAGGTCTTCAACGGATTAGACTAGGCCCACCCACATCATGGAGGGGGAACTGCGTTACTCCACAGATAGAAATTGTCAGGCCTCTGAGCCCAAGCCAAGCCATCGCATCCCCTGTGACTTGCACGTATACGCCCAGATGGCCTGAAGTAACTGAAGAATCACAAAAGAAGTGAAAAGGCCCTGCCCCGCCTTAACTGATGACATTCCACCATTGTGATTTGTTCCTGCCCCACCTTAACTGAGTGATTAACCCTGTGAATTTCCTTCTCCTGGCTCAGAAGCTCCCCCACTGAGCACCTTGTGACCCCCGCCCCTGCCCACCAGAGAACAACCCCCTTTGACTGTAATTCTCCATTACCTTCCCAAATCCTATAAAACAGCCCCACCCCTATCTCCCTTCGCTGACTCTCTTTTCGGACTCAGCCCGCCTGCACCCAGGTGAAATAAACAGCCATGTTGCTCAAACAAAGCCTGTTTGGTGGTCTCTTCACATGGACGTGCATGAAATTTGGTGCCGTGACTCGGATTGGGGGACTTCCCTTGGGAGATCAATCTCCCGTCCTCCTGCTCTTTGCTCCGTGAGAAAGATCCACCTATGACCTCAGGTCCTCAGACTGACCAGCCCAAGAAACATCTCACCAATTTCAAATCCAGTAAGCGGCCTCTTTTTACTCTGTTCTCCAACTTCCCTCACTATCCCTCAACCTCTTTCTCCTTTCAATCTTGGCACTACACTTCAATCTCTCCCTTCTCTTAATTTCAGTTCCTTTCATTTTCTGGTAGAGACAAAGGAGACACGTTTTATCCGTGGACCCAAAACTCCAGCGCCGGTCACGGACTGGGAAGGCAGCCTCCCCTTGGTGTTTAATCATTGCAGGGACGCCTCTCTGATTATTCACCCATGTTTCAGAGGTGTCAGACCACGCAGGGATGCCTGCCTTGGTCCTTCACCCTTAGCGACAAGTCCCGCTTTTCTGGGGAAGGGGCAAGTACCCCAACCCCTTCTCTCCGTGTCTCTACCCCTTCTCTGCTTTTCTGAGGGAGGGGCAAGTATGCCTCAACCCCTTCTCCTTCACCCTTAGTGGCAAGTCCCACTTTTCTGGGGAAGGGGCAAGTACCCCAACCCCTTCTCTCCGTGTCTCTACCCCTTCTCTGATTTTCTGGGGCAAGGGCAAGAACCCCTCAACCCCTTCTCCTTCCCCTCAGCAGCAAGTCCTGCTTTTCTAGGGGAGGGGCAAGTACCCCAACCCCTTCTCTCCGTGTCTCTACCCCTTCTCTGTTTTTCTGGAGGAGGGGCAAGTACCCCAACCTCATATCTCTGTGCCCCGATCCCTTATTTCCATGCCCCGACCTCATATCTCTGCGCCCTGACCCCTTCTCTGCTTTTCTGGAGGGCAAGAAACCCCCACCCCTTCTCCGTGTCTCTACTCTTTTCTCTGGGCTTGCCTCCTTCACTATGGGCAAGCTTCCACCTTCCATTCCTCCTTCTCCCTTAGCCTGTGTTCTTTTTTTTTTTAAACCTTTTATTTATTATTTTTTTTATTATACTTTAAGTTTTAGGGTACATGTGCACATTGTGCAGGTTAGTTACATATGTATACATGTGCCATGCTGGTGCACTGCACCCACTAACTCGTCATCTAGCATTAGGTATATCCCCAATGCTATCCCTCCCCCCTCCCCCCACCCCACAACAGTCCCCAGAGTGTGATATTCCCCTTCCTGTGTCCATGTGATCTCATTGTTCAATTCCCACCTATGAATGAGAATATGCGGTGTTTGGTTTTTTGTTCTTGCGATAGTTTACTGAGAATGATGATTTCCAGTTTCATCCATGTCCCTACAAAGGACATGAACTCATCATTTTTTATGGCTGCATAGTATTCCATGGTGTATATGTGCCACATTTTCTTAATCCAGTCTATCATTGTTGGACATTTGGTTTGGTTCCAAGTCTTTGCTATTGTGAATAATGCCGCAATAAACATACGTGTGCATGTGTCTTTATAGCAGCATTATTTATAGTCCTTTGGGTATATACCCAGTAATGGGATGGCTGGGTCAAATGGTATTTCCAGTTCTAGATCCCTGAGGAATCGCCACACTGACTTCCACAATGGTTGAACTCAATTCAAGATGGATTAAAGACTTAAACGTTAGACCTAAAACCATAAAAACCCTAGAAGAAAACCTAGGCATTACCATTCAGGACATAGGCATGGGCAAGGACTTCATGTCTAAAACACCAAAAGCAATGGCAACAAAAGACAAAATTGACAAATGGGATCTAATTAAACTAAAGAGCTTCTGCACAGCAAAACTACCATCAGAGTGAACAGGCAACCTACAAAATGGGAGAAAATTTTCGCAACCTACTCATCTGACAAAGGGCTAATATCCAGAATCTACAATGAACTCAAACAAATTTACAAGAAAAAAACAAACAACCCCATCAAAAAGTGGGCGAAGGACATGAACAGACACTTCTCAAAAGAAGACATTTATGCAGCCAAAAAACACATGAAAAAATGCTCATCATCACTGGCCGTCAGAGAAATGCAAATCAAAACCACAATGAGATACCATCTCACACCAGTTAGAATGGCAATCATTAAAAAGTCAGGAAACAACAGGTGCTGGAGAGGATGTGGAGAAATAGGAACACTTTTACACTGTTGGTGGGCCTGTGTTCTTAAGAACTTAAAACCTCTTCAACTCTCACCTGACCTAAAATCTAAGCATCTTATTTTCTTCTGCAATGCCGCTTGACCCCAATACAAACTCGACAGTAGCTCCAAATAGCCGGAAAACGGCACTTTCAATTTTTCCATCCTACAAGAGCTAAATAATTCTTGTCGTAAAATGGGCAAATGGTCTGAGGTGCCTGATGTCCAGGCATTCTTTTACACATCAGTCCCTTCCTAGTCTCTGTGCCCAGTGCAACTCATCCCAAATCTTCCTTCTTTCCCCTCCCACCTGTCCCCTCATTCCCAACCCCAAGCGTCGCCGAGTCTTTGTAATCTTCCTTTTCTACAGACCCATCTGACCTCTCCCCTCCTCACCACGCCAAGCTAGGTCCCGATTCTTCCTCAGCCTCCACTCCTCCACCCTATAATCTTTTTATCGCCTCCCCTCCTCACACCTGGTCCAGCTTACAGTTTCGTTCCGTGACTAGCCCTCCCCCACCTGCCCAGCAATTTACTCTTAAAAAGGTGGCTGGAGCCAAAGGCATAGTCAAGGTTAATGCTCCTTTTTCTTTATCCCAAATCAGAAGCGTTTAGGTTCTTTTTCATCAAATATAAAAACCCAGCCCAGTTCATGGCTCGTTCGGCAGCAACCCTGAGATGCTTTACAGCCCTAGACCCTAAAAGGTCAAAAGGCCATCTTATTCTCAATATATACATTTTATTACCCAATCTGCTCCCGACATTAAATAAAACTCCCAAAATTAGAATCTGGCCCTCAAACCCCACAACAGGACTTAATTAACCTCACCTTCAAGGTGTACAATAATAAAAAAAAAAGTTGCAATTCCTTGCCTCCACTGTGAAACAAACCCCAGCCACATCTCCAGCACACAAGAACTTCCAAACGCCTGAACCGCAGCGGCCAGGCATTCCTCCAGAACCTCCTCCCCCAGGAGCTTGCTACAAGTGCCAGAAATCTGGCCACCAGGCCAAGGAATGCCTGCAGCCCAGGATTCCTCCTAAGCCGTGTCCCATCTGTGCGGGACCCCACTGGAAATCGGACTGTTCAACTCACCTGGCAGCGACTCCCAGAGCCCCTGGAACTCTGGCCCAAGGCTCTCTGACTGACTCCTTCTCGGCTTAGCGGCTGAAGACTGACGCTGCCTGATCGCCTCAGAAGCCCCGTAGACCATCATGGACGCCGAGCTTCAGGTAACTCTCACAGTGGAAGGTAAGTCCGTCCCCTTCTTAATCAATATGGAGGCTACCCACTCCACATTACCTACTTTTCAAGGGCCTGTTTCCCTCGCCTCCATAACTGTTGTGGGTATTGACGGCCAGGCTTTTAAACCTCTTAAAACTCCCCCACTCTGGTGCCAACTTAGACAATACTCTTTTACGCACTCCTTTTTAGTTATCCCCACCTGCCCAGTTCCCTTATTAGGCCGAGATATTTTAACCAAATTATCTGCTTCCCTGACTATTCCTGGATTACACCTGCATCTCATTGCCGCCCTTCTTCCCAATCCAGAGCCTCCTTTGCGTCCTCCTCTTGTATCCCCCACCTTAACCCACAAGTATAAGATACCTCTACTCCCTCCTTGGCGACCGATCAAGCACGCCTTACCATCTCATTAAAACCTAGTCACCCTTACCCCGCTCAACGCCAATATCTCATCCCACACCATGCTTTAAAAGGATTAAAGCCTGTTATCACTCGCCTGCTACAGCATGGGCTTCTAAAACCTATAAACTCTCCTTACCATTCCCCCATTTTACCTGTCCTAAAACCAGACAAGCCTTACAAGTTAGTTCAGAATCTGCGCCTTATCAACCAAATGTTTTGCCTATCCACCCCGTGGTGCCAAACCCATATACTCTCCTATCCTCAATACCTCCCTCTACAACCCATTATTCTGTTCTGGATCTCAAACATGCTTTCTTTACTATTCCTTTGCACCCTTCATCCCAACCTCTCTTTGCCTTCACTTAGACTGACCCTGACACCCATTAGGCTCAGCAAATTACCTGGGCTGTACTGCCGCAAGGCTTCACAGACGGCCCCCATTACTTCAGTCAAGCCCAAATTTCATCCTCATCTGTTACCTATCTAGGCATAATTCTCATAAAAACACACGTGCTCTCCCTGCTGATCGTGTCCGATTAATCTCCCAAACCTCAATCCCTTACAAAACAACAACTCCTTTCCTTCCTAGGCATGGTTAGCGTGGTCAGAATTCTTACACAAGAGCCAGGACTGCACCCTGTAGCCTTTCTGTCCAAACAACTTGACCTTCCTGTTTTAGCCTAGCCATCATGTCTGCCTGCAGCAGCTGCCGCTGCTTTAATACTGTTAGAGGCCCTCAAAATCACAAACTATGCTCAACTCACTCTCTACACTTCTCATAACTTCCAAAATCTATTTTCTTCCTCATACCTGATGCATATACTTTCTGCTTCCCGGCTCCTTCAGCTGTACTCACTCTTTGTTGAGTCTCCCACAATTACCATTGTTCCTGGCCCGGACTTCAATCCGGCCTCCCACATTATTCCTGATACCACACCTGACCCCCATGACTGTATCTCTCTGATCCACCTGACATTCACCCCATTTCCCCAAATTTCCTTCTTTCCTGTTCCTCACCCTGATCACGCTTGATTTATTGATGGCGGTTCCACCAGGCCTAATCGCCACACACCAGCAAAGGCAGGCTATGCTATAGTACAAGCCACTAGCCCGCCTCTTAGAACCTCTCATTTCCTTTCCATCGTGGAAATCTATCCTCAAGGAAATAACTTCTCAGTGTTCCATCTGCTATTCTACTACTCCTCAGGGATTATTCAGGCCCCCTCCCTTCCCTACACATCAAGCTCCAGGATTTGCCCCCACCCAGGACTGGCAAATTAGCTTTACTCAACATGCCCTGAGTCACAAAAACTAAAATACCTCTTAATCTAGATAGACACTTTCACTGGATAGGTAGAGGCCTTTCCTACAGGGTCTGAGAAGGCCACCGCAGTCATTTCTTCCCTTCTGTCAGACATAATTCCTCAGTTTAGCCTTCCCACCTCTATACCGTCTGATAACAGACCAGCCTTTATTAGTCAAATCACCAAGCAGTTTTTCAGGCTCTTAGTATTCAGTGAAACCTTTATATCCCTTATAGTCCTCTATCTTCAAGAAAAGTAGAGCAGACTAAAGGTCTTTTAAAAACACACCTCACCAAGCTCAGCCACCAAAAAGGACTGGACAATACTTTTATCACTTTCCCTTCTCAGAAATCAGGCCTGTCCTCAGAATGCTACAGGGTACAGCCCATTTAAGCTCCTGTATAGACACTCCTTTTATTAGGCCCCAGTCTCATTCCAGACACCGGACCAACTTAGACTGTGCCCCCCAAAAAACTTGTCATCCCTACTATCTTCTGTCTAGTCATACTCCTATTCACCGTTCTCAACTACTCATACATGCCCTGCTCTTGTTTACACTGCCGGTTTACACTGTTTCTCCAAGCCATCACAGCTGATATCTCCTCGTGCTATCCCCAAACTGCCACTCTTAACTCTTGAAGTAAATAAATAATCTTTGCTGGCAGGACTATGCTGAATCTCCTTAGGCACTCTCTAATCAGATGTCCTAGGTCCTCCCAATTCTTAGACCTTTTATACCTGTTTTTCTCCTTCTTTTATTCCATTTAGTTTTTCAATTCATACAAAACCGTATCCAGGCCATCACCAATCATTCTATACGACAAATGTTTCTTCTAACATCCCCACGATATCACCCCTTACCACAAGACCTCCCTTCAGCTTAATCTCTCCCACTCTAGGTTCCCACGCCGCCCCTAATCCCGCTCGAAGCAGCCCTGAGAAACATCGTCCATTCTCTCTCCATACCACCCCCCAAAAATTTTCACTGCCCCAACACTTCAACACTATTTTATTTTTCTTATTAATATAAGAAGGCAGGAATGTCAGGCCTCTGAGCCCAGGCCAGGCCATCGCATCCCCTGTGACTTGCACATATACACCCAGATGGCCTGAAGTAACTGAAGATCCACAAAAGAAGTGAAAAGGCCCTGCCCCGCCTTAACTGATGACATTCCACCATGGTGATTTGTTCCTGCCCCAGCTTAACTGAGTGATTAACCCTGTGAATTTCCTTCTCCTGGCTCAGAAGCTCCCCCACTGAGCACCTTGTGACCCCCGCCCCTGCCCACCAGAGAACAGCCCCCTTTGACTGTAATTTTCCATTACCTTCCCAAATCCTATAAAACGGCCCCACCCCCATCTCCCTTCGCTGACTCTCTTTTCAGACTCAGCCCGCCTGCACCCAGGTGAAATAAACAGCCCTGTTGCTCACACAAAGCCTGTTTGGTGGTCTCTTCACATGGACGCGCATGAAAGAAATGTTCATCTCATCCAAAAACACCCACACAGTAACATCCAGGGTAACCTTTGACCACACGTCTGGGCACTGTGGATAAAATTCACCATCACACCAGCCCGGTGGATACATAAAATTCATCATCACGCCAGTCAAGTGGACGCATAAAATTCACCATCACACTAGCCAAGTGGACATATGAAATTCACCATCACACACTATGAGAAACTGAATCACAGATGGTAAGGAAATGAAGTCACAGGTCTATGTCAGTGGTTGTCAGTTGGGGTGATTCTGAACTCCATACCCAAACCCCAGGGGGCATTCAGCAATGTCTGCTTGTACTTTTGGTTAATACACCTGGGGAGAGTACTACTGGCATGTGGTGAGTAGAGGCCAGGGATGCTGCTTAACACCCTACAATGCACAGGCTGCTTCCCATAATAAAGAATTACTTGGTTCAAATATCAATAGTGCCAAGATTGGGAAACTCTGATATGCAATAATGACAAAAGTTATAACAGGTAACTTTATGACTAGTTAGACATTTAGAATGTTGTTGATTTTATGACTAGTTTAATCATAGTGTATTTTTTTAAAAGTAAGTATATATGTTTTATTTTATGAATATTATATATTTGCAATTGTATTTTGATACTTTTGCATGTTATTAAGTGACATCTCCTCCTAACTGTGTCTATGTATATATTGATCTCTCATCTATCCCATTCAGGAGGCTCCATCCTCATGACCTCATCACCTCCCAAGGGCCTCACCCCCTGACACCATCATCTTGGGGGTGAGGATTTCAGCATAGGAATTGTGGGAGACACAAGCATTCAGTTCATTGCACATGGTTGTACAGTTTTGTAAAATCCCCCAAAGTAAGATACATTCAAATTCATTTTCTGAAAGATGACTTCTGAAATTTTGTAAGCTTCAGCTCCCACAAAACCTGCATCTAATCCTAAATGCAAGGAGTGTATTCCTGGTTTTGATGGTGGTAGTTATGGCCACGGTTGTTTCTGACTTTCCAGTCAAGGAGATCCTGCGATGATCTGAGAAGCTAATGCACAGGATTCAGTGAGGAGTGAACTTGTTCATCTGTAGAATGTGGATGGCCTTTCTTTCCTTCTGGGAGCCAGCTCCCCTGTGGAGGAGAAATTCACCAAGTATCTTTTTTATTTTTAAATTTAATTTTATCTTCCTAATTTTATTTTTTTAGAGACAGGGTCTCATTCTGTCACCCAAGCTGGAGTGCATTTTTTATTATTTATTTTATTTTCCTAAGTTTATTTTTTTTAGAGACGGGGTTCTCACTCTGTCACCCAAGCTGGAGTGCATTGGTGCAGTCATAGCTCACTGCAGCCCCCACCTCCTGAGTTCAAGCGATCCTCTTACCTAAGCCCCCTGCGTAGCTGGGACTGCAGGTAGATACCACCAGGCTTGGCTAATTTTTAAAATATTTTTAGAGATAGGGTCTTGCTCTGTCGCCCAGGCTTGTCTCGAACTCCTAGGTTCAAGTAATCCTCCTACCTCAACTTCCCAAAGGGCTGGGATTAAAGATGTGAGCCACTGCTCCAGCCACGCCAAGTATACTTGTTCACCATTCTCCAATGCCCTTCATATCTGTATACATTTTATTTTGTTGGATCAACAGAAAGGATTTGGTTGAAATTCTTTGACTATACTCTGTGCAGGTATTGCAAATTTTGGTGACTATTACAGTGTCAGTTGCAGGCTAATTGTGATTTAGATTCAGAATTATGACAGATACAAAGTAGGAAGTTCATGACAGCATTCCTCTATTTGCAATTTTAAGCAAATTCTCCTTATTCTTATTTTTTGAAGGTCTAATATCTATTGGGATTTAAATTTGCAATGTGAGATAATGATGCCCTGTTTCCTAAAATACTATAAAAATAAGTTTTAGCCATATTTTCCATATTAAAAATTAAATTGCTGCCTAGCGAAGACCTCTGGAGCCAGGCTGGAGAATAACTGTGCTTATTGGCTGTCTGTTACAGTTTGCCCAGGACTTTTGTGGTTTTAAAGCTGAAGGTCCCACATCCTGGGGAAACCCTTAGCCCCAGGCAATTCTAGAAGTTTCCTCGCTGTCGTAGGAACCTATGTGTTATCCCATTCAGAGAGTCCTTGATTCAGACTGTGGTTGTCTAATTGTTGCAGGGCAGGTGAGCCCCCAAACTGGGGGCTTAGCTTGGGAGGGTTCTTGGCTTCACCCAGGAAAACATTTCAGGGTGAGCCCGTGGTGTTAGACAGCAACTTGCAGAGCAGTGGCGTGATCTCGGCTCACTGCAACCTCCACCTCCAGGGTTCAAGTGATTCTCCTGCCTCAGCCTCCTGGTAGCTGGGACTACAGGTGCACATGACCACACCTGGCTAATTTTTGTATTTTTAGTAGAGATGGGATTTCACCATGTTGACCAAGCTGGTCTCGAACTCCTGACCTCAAGTGATCCACCCACCTCAGCCTCCCAAAGTCCTGGGATTACAGGCGTGAGCCACCCCCACTTTCACTGAAGTGGCAGTGCACAGCAGCAGCAGCAGAGGTCCTGCTCCTGGCAGAGCAGGGCTACCCAATAGGCAGTGCGTCCAGAACAGCAGCTCAGAGGCAGTGCTGGAGTCATATGTATACCCACTTCTAATGGCATGCAAATTAAGGGGCAGATTATGCAGAGATTTCAAGAAAAAGAGTAGTAACTTCCATGTTCTTGGATCATTGCCACAGAAAGGGGCGGTAACTTCCAGGTGTTGCTATGGTAACAGTAAACTGACATGGCACTGGTGGGCGTGTCTTATGGAGAGGAGCTATTGCTATTGCCACTTCCCTATTTTAGCTAGTCTTCAGTGTGGTCCAAAGTCTAAGTCCCTGCCTCCGGAGTCAAGTTGGGTCTCCTACTTCATAATGAATGGCCTCTTAGGTGATGAAGATAAATCGATTGGTCTCTTTTTGTTTCACACGAATCCACCACATATTGACTGGGGAGTTTGGGATGAAGATTTAGACGACCCAACAGAGAAGTCCCCTCAAAAGCCCATGGGGCCACTCTTCTGAAGCTCCACTTCACCTGCTTCCGCACACCCCAGTCCTGCCTGATACTCAGCTTTTCTTTCTCTCGTGAATAGAGACACACGTTTTTCTCCCTTGACACCATGGAGGTTGGGATTCTGATAAGGATTAGAATGCTACAGATCAATCCTCTAGTACAGTCCTTCTCAAAGTGTGGACATTTAAGGCTGGGTGGATGATCCTCTGGGGTGGGGTGTCCTGTGCACTGCAGGGTGTTGAGCAGTGTCCCTGGGTTCCACCCACCAGATGCCCGGAGCACCAACCACCCCGGTTGCGACACCCAAAGCTATCTCCAGACATTGTCGAGTGTCCCTGGGGACATAGTTGCCTGTGTGGAGCACCGCAGGGTCAGATGAACACAGCAAGGACCACTGACAATGTGAGCATCTGTGTCACCCTCTGCTGTCACTCGCCGGAACCAGAAGGGACGATTTGCAGCCGGTACAGCTTTTTCCCATGCCGAGCTTCCTGCAGAGGCTGCTTCCCAACGCATTGGAAAGTCCCTGGCTCTCGGAGTGAGTCTCAGATCCTCCTGGCTTCATGGGTCCAGCAATTAAGTATTGCCACATACCTTTTCTTTTAGCTCTAAAAATTGTTTGTGGACCTGGGAATTAAAAAGAAAAGAAAAGTGGCGCTAAGCAGAAGAAGCCAGGAAAACCCTGCTCCATTGTTTTGCAGACGGAGACGAGAGAGAGAGAGAGAGAGAGAGAGAGAAAGCAATCCCGACGTTATGAGAATCGGCTGCACGACCATCCCATGCCTTTCAGGAAAACCAACACAAACGCCCCAGTGGAGACATTTTTAACCATTGTAAAATTTTCTAGAAATCTCAGGCATGACTGGTTCTTTTGTGGCTGGCGAATCATATTATACGTGGTGCTGGTGCATCTTGCAAAACGCTTAAAAGATAAGTGTACCACATAGATTTGAACATTGCGAATTGGAACATTTAAAAAAAATCCATGGTTGCTTAATTCTTGGAAACAGAAACAATTTAGTTTATACTCATTTGAACTGTAAACCTAGCTAGTCGTTTGTATACAGAATGTTTGCGGGTATTGCTGACTATGGCTTTGTGGATTATGAAACAGCTATAATAAATCAACAAGAAACCTTGGCAGATTTAGTTGTCTTCCTCCTTTATGCAGAGCTTTAAAAAATGTTTTATGTAATAGGTGCGTGAGATCTTTTCTGTTTAAACAGTCTGCACAAGAGGGCAGTGTATACCACTTAACAAGGTTTTCCCTGGGGACGTGGAAGTTTATTTGTGGTGGCAGAGAGGGAGGTTCAGTAGATTTTTCTTACTCCGCTATAGAAATAACTTCCCATAGAGAATTATGACTCTTATGTATCTATTATTATTGATATTTATTATGTATTTTATAGAATAAACATAATTCACCTCCACTTTTAGAAGATACAAGCTCTTTTCTTTCACTAACTCAGGAATCCAATAGTGAGACACAACTTTCCCTATGCCACATTTACTGTTTGGCTCAGATGAAAATATCAATTAGCCTTTAAAAAAGAAAAGAAAATGTCCTATGAATAAATATTCATGACAAGATGTCCATGCGAAGAGCTGATCATCAAAATACCTAGCACAGTTCATGAGGCTTTTTCCTCTAAAAAAGCATGAAATTCATCTTTTGAGGTACATTTGGCTTCCACCAATGTTGTTTTTGAGTGTTGACAAGCAAAAGTTAGATTTTTAGAGAAGGCTGGTGTTGTTGGTAGCAAAAGTAAAATCATAATGAAATTTTAAAAGATTTATTTCTTCAAGGCTTAGGTTCTTCATTTATTTATTTTTGAGACAGGGTCTCACTTTGTTGCCAGGCTGGAGTGCAGTGGCGCGAGCTCGGCTCACTGCAACCTCCGCCTCCCAGGTTCAAGTGATTCTCCTGCCCAATCTCCCCAGTAGCTGGGATTATAGGCACTCACCACCACACCCAGCTAATTTTTGTATTTTTAGTAGAGACAGGGTTTCACCATGTTGCCCAGGCTGGTCTCAAACTCCTGACCTCAAGTGATCCGCCTGCCTTGGCCTCCCAACGTGCTGGGATTACAGGTGTGAGCCACCACTCCTGGCCCCCAGGCTTAGGTTTAGTAAGCAAACAACAACTAAAAAAACAAGATAAAAAATGACATGGAAAGATAAGTTTATTTAGACAAGTCATTTAAAGCAAATCCGGGTTTAGAAGAAAATTTAGATTGCAAGTTTCCTGAGGGCAAAAAAAACCCTTCTTTTCATAGTTCTTTTTTATTTTTTATTTTATTTTTTATGAAAAAAATTAGAGATAGAGTCTTGCTATGTTGCCCAGGATGGTCTCGAACTGTTGGGCTCAAGCAATCCTCCTGCCTTGGCCTCCCAAAGTGCTAAGAGTACAGGTGTGAGCCACCACACCCAGCCTATGGTTCTTATATTTTATAAAGTATGTAATGTTTTCCTCATTTTTTGCATCTTTTCCTTTCTCCCTTCCTGTATCTTTTCTTCCTCAATATCACAATGAAAACATATTGTAAGGGCTGCATTGCCTGATGTATGAATTTCTAAACAGGGCACTTTGAACAAAGAGGATTATCTGTGGCATCAAAATTCAAGTCACCACTAGATCTTGTGATGGTCTAGTCCCATCGCATAAAGTGAAATCCTGCATTTCCAATCTAAAGCTTTCCAGTGCTTTCAGGTTGTGAAATTAAACAACTTGGGTACTTTTTAGATAGAAGCAAAATACAAATGGAAGTAGGGGGCTAAGGATTTCTCATATTTTTTGGTTTAAAAAATAATCTCCAGCCTGAGCAACGTAGTGAGACCCATCTCTAAATTTTTTTTTTTTAAATTAGCTGGGCATGGTGGCATGCGCCTGTGGTCCCAGCTACTTGGGAGGCTGAGGTAGAAGGATTGCTTGAGCCCAGGAGTTTGAGGCTGCAGTGAAGCTGTGATTGTGCAACAGAGTGAAACTCTCTCAAAAACAAACAACAGCAACAACAACATTTCAGTGACAATGATGGCCTTAGAGGCTGGGTACCTTAGAAATGATACATCTTCATGTGCATAGAAAGATCCCTTCCTTCCTTCCTTCCTTCCCTCCCTCCCTGCATCCCTCTTTTCCTTCCTACCTTCCTTCCTTCCTTCCTTCCCTCCCTCCCTGCCTCCCTCTTTTCCTTCCTTCCTTCCTTCCTTCCTTCCTTCCTTCCTTCCTTCCCTCCCTCCCTCCCTCTTTTCCTTCCTTCCTTCCTTCCTTTTACCTTTTCCTTTCCTTTTGGGGTCACACACTTAACAGCTAGTTTAATTTTGGAGGGTCTCAAGTTTGATCAGAAAAAGGCATGTTTATCCTTTAAAGAAGGCAACAAGAGTTTCTCTCTCTGTCTGACTTTACACCTCCACAATTTCACCAAGACAGAGATTTTTATTGGGTGAGCACATATACTTAAAAGAATTACTTGAGACAAAAATGAAGAACTTCATGGAGAGTTGAGGGTCTTGGAATGAGCAGAGTGACTCTTGGTGAACTCCACCTTTCCCATCTTCCAAAAAAAACCAAAAATCAATTCACTCTGAGATCTAATAATACCTCTGAATTGATCATCTACAGTAATCAAAGCATTCAGGCCATGAGAGCTGGTGTCTATGTTAGGGGTTCTGCATAGTAAACTGCAGTACACATTGAGAAAATATCATCGTCTCTAAACATTTGTTTCTCTGGGCTGATGAAAGAGTAAAGATGTCTGAAGAATAAAAAGGATGACTGTGTGGAAACATGCCCTGCCAACTTGATAAATTCACCAATGATCACAATTGAGTGTCTTATGTAATGAAAGTTGGCTCATTAAAGAATACCCATGTGCCCTCTGGGCATGCTTTGGATTGGCATCCACTTCTGTAAGCCAGGTTGTTTGAGAACAGATGAGTTAACTCTGCAACCAGAAGATTTAATGTGCGATTTTGCTCAGGGCTATTTCGCTGAGACACAGAAGATGGCAACAAGATCTATGCGATCTTTTGCCATGAGGGCAGCAAGTGGATGTGTCTCAGCAAATCTTTTAGAAGAATGCAGAACCATCTGACCAGGTTTCTGGAAATGTTCAGCTCCTCGTCCTGCCTGGAGAATCCCGTGTCTTGCAAGGCTGTTAGCAAGGAAGCACTCCCTCTCCTTGAGCTAAGGATGGCTTTTAGTGAAGGAAGGAAGGGAGGGAGGGAGGAATCTTTCTATGCACATGAAAATATATCCTTTCTAAGGTACCTAGCCTCTAAGGCCATCAGTGTCACTGCTTTTCGAAAACAAATAACATCACTGTCCAACTTATAAAACTCTTCTTCAATATAAATCTAGAACCTTCTGGAACATGTTGAGTGGAAAAGCCAAACAATGCAAATAAACTGACCACAAGCTCGTGCTTAAAATTGTAGTCCTCCTTTAAACATCAACATTGCTGTTCTTCCTTCTGGCTGCTGTGCTAGTTTTTTCAATTAGCAAACATGCTACTTATTATCTTTACTACTGTTGTTTTTCAGGAGAGAAGAGTTTAGGAAGAAATGTTGGTTTTTTTCAGATAAGGTACACAAAAGCTTATTTCACTAAAATTTAAAAGTGCATATTGAGTACATATATTTATATGTATATTTAAGTTTGCTATAAAAACATGAAAATGGTTATTTTAATTTTTTTATTTTTAATTTTTTCAGACGGAGTCTCACTCTGTCACCCAGGCTGGAGTGCAGTGGCATGATGATAGCTCACTGCAGCCTCGAACTCTGGGGCTCAAGCAATCCTCCCACCTCAGCCCCTCCTAAGTAGCTGGGACTACAGGTGTATGTCACCATGCCCAGCTAATTTTTAAATGTCTTTGTAGATACATGGTCTTGCTGTGTTGCCCAGGCTGATCTTGAGCTTTTGGCCTCCAACAATCCTCTCACCTTGACCTCTCAAAATGCTGGGATTATAGGCATGAACCATGGTGTCTCCTATCTTTTTTAATTTTTTTTTTCTTTTTTATTTTTAGACAGGGTCTTGCTCTGTCACCCAGGCTGGAGTGCAGTGGCTCGATCTCAGCTCACTGCAACCTCTGCCTTCCGGACCCAAGCGATCCTCCCACTTCAGCTTTCCAAGTATCTAGGACCACAGGTATGTGCCACCATGCCTGGCTAATTTTTTGTAGTTTTGGTAGAGATGGGGTTTCGCCATATTGCCCAGGCTGGTCTCGAACTCGTGACCTCAAGTGATCCACCTGCCTCGGCCTCCCAAAGTGCTGGGATTACAGGCCTGAGCCACCGTGCCTGGCCATGTGTCTCTTTTATAAGGGTGCTAATCCCATTTGTGAGTCTCCACCCTCATGACCTCATCACCTCCCAAAGGCCCCACCTTCCACCATCATCACCTTGAAGGTTAGGGCTTAACACATGAATTTCGGGAGGACACAGACATTCAAACCACAACACTAGGGTTGCCATAAGAAAGTGCCACCAACAAAGTGTCTGCAGAATCACAGACTTCTGTGGTCCCAAATAACATGGGAAAGGGTCTTCTGCTCCCTGTGGGACCTTCTCCTGCCATCCTCACCCTGCTGCGCGGACAGTCCTATGGCCAACCTGTGCTCATTCTCTCCTTTGTCTGTTTCCATGGGATCCTCCTGGGACAGTGACCAAAACTGAAGCTTCAGTTGACCGCAGACTTCCTGTATCTCATTTACATCCCTGGTCAATAGTAAGACCATCACAGCATCTGTCAGGACCAACCGAGGAGGCAGAGGTCAACATGGTGGACAAACGTCCCTACTGATGAGAACAGTGTAACCCCACAGGGGATGATTTAAAGCTTCGCCACCCCAAGGCAGCGTTGGCCACTTCATTGGGTACAGTGGGGTCTACATGACCTACCACACAGAATCCTAAATCCCTGCACTGGACATGAATCCTGCTGCTGGCCACTAGGTACTGGATTTTTGGGGTGAGTGTTTGGAGATGGCTAGAATGATGGGGAAATCGAGTGAAGATGCCTGTCTATGTCTTGGTATGCACAAAAAAATTATTACTATGTAGAATTTCTAGTTCATTGTTTTTTGAGACAGGGTCTCACTCTGTTGCCCAGGCTAGAATGCAGTGGTGTAATCACAATTCACTGCAAACTTGACCTCCTGGGCTCAAAGGATCCTCCCATCTCAGCCTCCTGAGTAGCTGGGACCACAGACATGTGCCACCACATGCTCGGGTAATTAATATATATATATATATATATATATAGAGAGAGAGAGAGAGAGAGAGAGAGACGGAGTGTCGTTCTGTAGCCCGGGCTGGAGTGCAGTGGCGCGATCTTGGCTCACTGCAAGCTCTGTCTCCCGGATTCATGCCATTCTCCTGCCTCAGCCTCCCGAGTAGCTGGGACTACAGGCACCTGTCACCACGCCCAGCTAATTTTTTGTATTTTTAGTAGAGACGGGATTTCACCGTGTTAGCCAGGATGGTCTGAATCTCCTGACCTCATGAGCCACCCACCTTGGCCTCCCAAAGTGCTGGGATTACAGGCGTGAGCCACTGCATCCAGCCAATTTTTATATTTTTACTGTAGAAATGAGATCTCACTGTGTTGCCCAGGCTAGTCTCAAACTCCTGGGCTTAAGGAATCCTCCCATCTCGGCCTCCAGAAGTGCTGGGACTACAGGAGTGAGCCAATAGGACTCATTTTTTTTTTTTAATCTTAGGTGAGGAGGCGGGGAAGTCACTTCTAATTCCATCCCCCTGGGGTGAGCCAATCCCCATAATCTTGGACTTGGAGATGAGATCTGCTCCAGTGCCATAGATAATCCCTGAGCTATGAATAATTATAAGGTTGAGAAGAAACTTGGAACTTTGAATACCATAAAAATAGAAGTCACAAATCAGAAACAGGTTCTCATTCATGCCCAACCACATGGAGATGCAATTTGTAGGTTACATCATGGACCCAAGACCTAGGATTCTACCATTTCACAGACTGGGAAGACTCCATTGCTACATCTGTGTCCAGATATAATGAACACAAAAGTCACTTCCCAGCTGGACATGAATGTCCCAATGCTGAATTCCTCCCCGGCAGTGATCTTGTAACCTCACTCAAATAGCTTAAAAAACAGACAGCTGTCATGTCTTCACCCTGGTCCTTCTTATCACCACAACATCTGTATTATCTCTGAAATCTTACATTTCATAGCAGTCAGCATCTGACCATAATACTTTAGCTTTAGCCCTCTCTCCCCAAGACCCTCATAATCCTTCCCCATCTCTTTGATCTTAGTCTACTAGCTCCACCTGACTTTCTTCTTTTCTTTGATGCCTCAGGCCAGTACCAGCCCTCAGGCTGCCAGCCTGGATCAACTCTGCAAACCACATCCTCTTGAGACTACCCCTGGGCTCTGATCAATCACTTACTGATTGATACGGTTTGGCTGTGTCCCCTCCCAAATCTTGAATTGTAGCTCCCATAATTCCAATGTATTGTGGGAGGGACCCGGTGGGAAGTAATTGAATCATGGGGGGTGGGTCTTTCCCTTACTGTTTTGGTGATAGTGAATAAGTCTCATGAGATCTGATGGTTTTATAAAGGGGAATTCCCCTGCACATGCTCTCTTGTCTGCCACCATGTAAGATGTGACTTTGCTCCTCATTCACCTTCTGCCATGATTGTGAGACCTCCCCAGCCATGTGGAACTGTGAGTCAATTAAGCCTCTTTCCTTTATAAATTACCCAGTCTTGGGCATATCTTTATTAGCATCATGAGAACAGACTAATACACTGATCAATGGTGGTGCCTCACCCTGCCAGGTCTGTAAGCTGCCTAGAAATAGTCTCTGCACCCATGAAAAGTTCTTGCCCACATGTCCGATCAGGGGCTGCAAACCTTTGCAAGTCATTTTTGCCTCCTCTCTGCCCCGCAATTTTCTTTCCCTGAAGAACTTACTATCTAGGTCTTAAAGGAAATTTCAGCCTTCCACGATTATCTCACACACGAATTCCTATCTTACATCCCTGTGCCCCGTCTCCCTTGAGGTCTTCTTCCATCTGGCACTTCCTTCTAGTTCAATCCCTACAGGATTGCTTGGGTAATTACAAAATTATAAATGTGAGTGTGCCATGCTCTTAAATAAAATTCTTTCTAATCACGTCCCATCATTTAGAGCAGGAATTGGCATACCGGTTTTTTGTTTGTTTGTTTGTTTTTAAACTGGCTAAGTATCTTTGGCCTAGTGGATCATCTGGTCTCCATAGCATCTACTCAACTCTGCCATTGGGTTGAAAATACAGCCACAGAAAATATGTAAATGAATGGATGTGGCTGTGTGCCGATAAAACTTTATTTACAAAAACAGATGATGGGCCAAGTTTGGCCAGTGGACCCTAGTTTGTCAATCTCTGATTTAGAGGATAAAAAACAAATTTTAAAACATGGTCCAAGGGCGATGCTCTCTCTTGCTATGTGCTCTGATGTTTACTGCTATTGCCTGAATTTCTTCTCTCTCCATCAACATATGCCAAGCAGCTGCTAGTGGCTTGTGCATACCATTTCAGCATGAAACATGCTTTGTCAGGAAGAGGCACTGTGGTGGGCTGAACTGTATCCTCCTCAAATCCACATGTTGAAATCCTAACCTCCAGGACCTCAGAATGTGACTATATTTGGAGATGGGGTCTTTAAAGAGGTGACGAAGGTAAAATAAGGTCAGTAGGGTGGTCCTTGATCCAACAGGACTGGAATCCTTATAAGAACAGGAGATGGCACAGACACACACAGAGGAACAATAACATGAGGAAAAGGGAAAAGACGATGTCTAGAAGCCAAAGAGAGAGGCCTCAGGAGGAACCAGCGCTGCCCACACTTTGATTTCGGACTTCCAGCCTCCAGGATTGTGGGAGGGTAAATGTCTGTTATTTAAGCCACCCGGTCTGTGGACCTTTGTTATGGTGGCCCAAGCATAATGCAGGCATCTTGTCCATACCCCAGACATTGTGCTGCTTTCTGCTTTCTTTGCTTATTTGGCCATAGAGCCATCCTTAGAATAACTTGTGGAATCCAGTGCTGTTGGGTTGGAAAAAGACAATGTCTCAGAGATTCGAAGTATTAAGTCCCTCCATTCCAGCTCAAATGAGGACCAGAAGTTAACTCTGCTTGGAAATCTCAGTCCCTGCCCCCACCCCTCCTTTCCTCCGCACTTGGGAATCTGGCTTAGGAGAATGGGATGGCTCTGATTTTTCCATTCTGCCTTAACCCAGTAGCTGCTACAATGGACGTATTTTTCTTGGTGCAATCGTGTTCACTACCTTTTATAATCAATGCTGTTTCTAGCCTGGCTGAGGGGAGTGGAAAATGGAGGCAGTGGTTCCAGAGTTTCAGATGGTTCCCAAACTCCAGCTATTAAATAAAAATATAGTGTGTTCTCCTTTTCTGAGAGCAGTCCAAACTGACTTTATGTTTTCATCAAGTTCTGTCCATTTCTATTTTATCTCTATTTCCTTCGCAACTTTTAAAACATGTGCTGAACATTGTTACTTTAAATGATACTTTATGAACTTTTCATGGAATTGGTGTGTGGACATTTTTCGTGAGCCAATTCTCCGAAGGGTAGAGACACTTGGCTGCACCTGGTTTTTGCCACACCTGAGATGTGTTTGCATTGGCCGAGATGTGTAGACGTTACCAGGACACAACTCCAAGTCTGTGCCGGTAAAATAGCTCTGTGTGTCTTTAAAATTCACTTGTGCATAGTTTGAAGTTGAGTAGCTTAAGAAGCCTTGTCCATTCTTGTTGCCTACGAGAGAGGAGAGAGACATTCAGTGTGTGCACTGGAATATTGTCATGTGATTGCAAAAACCAAACAATGAAGAATAGAACGTACTTAGATGAAAACAGATGGCTTGATTTGCTTTTAGTTACACCCCTCTTATTTCTAGTGTTTCCCTTCCTAGAACTTCATAGTGTTAATGTCTGTAATTGTGTCTAACTTTAGTTAGCTCTTGAATATGAGTCTAACTTTATTTAGCTCTTGAATATGAGTGTTCTTATACCCAAGATGTGAACATCAGATAAGCAAAATGCAATGGAAATTCTGCTTATAATTTATTTTTTATTATTTTTATTTTTTTGAGATGGAGTCTGGCTCTGTTGCCCAGGCTACAGTGCAGTGGTACGATCTCAGTTCACTGCAACCTCCACTTCCCAGGTTCAAGCAATTCTCCTGTCTCAGCCTCCCGAGTAGCTGGGACTACAGGGATGCGTCACCACACCTGGCTAATGTTTGTATTTTTAGTAGAGATGGGGTTTCATCATGTTGGCCAGGCTGGTCTCGAACTCCTGACCTCAAGTGATCCACCCACCACGGCCTCCCAGAGTGCTGAGATTACAAGCGTGAGCCACTGCACCCGACCTCTGCTTATAATTTAAATGCTGGCTAATGAAAATATTAAGGGGGGTGGGGGTAACACAGAAAAAAAAATCTACTTGTTACAATCCTTTGAACTGTAAATAAGTGTTAGACTGCCTTTGCACTATTATAGATCAGGTTCTTACAAGCAATGGTGTTTCTGCTTATTGCTTGTGGAAACCTGGCCAAATTCTCTAATCTCTCTGAACTTCCATTGTCTTATTTGTTAAGATGAAGATGAGAATAGTGCCCATCTCCTGGTGATGGTGCGGGTTATGGGATGTGTTTCATCTTAAGAGCTTAGTAATGTCCCTTGAAGATATTGGGGAAACCCAGTGCCTTGTTCTCTCTTTTTGCCCCTCATCTTCTATATTTTGACACTGTTGTCTTGTTCAGGTAAGTAAGTATGCCTTTGTCAAAATTCTTCATAGATAAAAGCCTTTTTAGGTCTCAGTTTCTGGGACCAGATGACAGAGTTCCCACGGCTTGGATCTTGACTCCACAAAAATGTCCCCTCTTTACTAACTACCATCAATGAGTATTCATGTGGACCCACTGAGTCACCACCCTGGTCCTAGGTCCTGCTCTCTCCATTCCACTATAAGCCCCACTGTCTGATTTTCATGGTAGACTCTGAATCTTGGTGACCTGTCCACTGTATCCAACCTCTTATCTCCCGAGTCCAGCCCTCACTTCATGTTTGTGTCATTGTTGAGTGGGGTGATGGGGCTCTACACTGCTCCGGCCGCCTACCCTGATTCTGCTGCTCACTCTAGGCAGTTGAGGCCAAACTTGACCAGCACTACAGCCAAGAAAATGCACCAAATTCTTTGAGTGGTGTTAGATTTCACATGCTGTTTTTCACAATGGAAGTTGGGCTGAACACACGCTTTTATATGTCAACATATAAAACATTAGGCATTTATTTAAAAAGTAGCCATAGAAATGAAAGTATGTATGTACTATCTATTGATCTATCTATCTATCTATCTATCTATCTATCTATCTATCATCTCTCTATATTATCTATCATCTTTCTATCATATCTATCATATGCATTTATCTATCATCTATCTATCATCTAGCTATCGTTATCATCTATCATATCTATCTATTGACTATCATTTATCATCTTCCTATCATATCTATCTACCTGTCATCTATTTGTTTATCATCTATCTGTCAGGCAGTCATCTATTATCTTTCTGTCAGTCATCTATCTAGCTATCATGTCTGTCACCTATCAATCATTTTATGTATTGTCTACATATCATCTCTATCATCTGTTATTGTATTATTCTATTACCTATTAACCTATCATTTTATCTATCATCTATCTACTTACCTTACCTATCATGTATCGTCTGTTAATCTACTATTTTATTATCTATCTTTCTATCATATTATTCTTTTTTTTCTTTTTTCTTTCTTTTTTTTTTTTTAGATGGAGTCTCACTCTGTCACCGAGGCTGGAGTGCAGTGGCACGATCTCAGTTTACTGCAACCTCCACCTCTCAAGTTCAAGCAATTATCCTGCCTCAGCCTCCCGATTAGCTGGGATTACAGGCGTGCGTCACCACACCTGGCTATTTTTTGTAGTTGTATGTGTATTTTTTAAATCTTTTTTTTTTTTGGCTTTAAGGAGCGGAGAGTTTAATAGAAAGAAAGAAGGGAGAAGAAAGATGGAAGAAGCTCCCCTGTGCAGAGACAGAGGGAGGGGGCTCCAAAGCCAAGAGAGGAGACCCCATGTGCCAGGGAAAAGCGGCTGCTTATATTATTTTTTGTATTTTTAGGAGAGACGGGGTTTCGCCATGTTGGCCAGGCTGGTCTTGAACTCCTGATCTCTGGTGATCCGCCCGCCTCAGCCTCCCAAAGTGCTGGGATTCCAGGTGTGAGCCACCATGCCTGGCATATCTATCATATTATAGCGAATATATGACAGCTGTGCTGTAAAGAGGAATGGAAATAGACACAGATTGGCTCACAGATCAGCATCCGAAGTGAATCCTTTTTGTTAAATGCTAAACTATAGATCTTACTAATTATTCAGTCATTCTTTGGATATTTATTTTGCAAACTGAATTTGTAAAATTCTATCTGTGTTACCTTAATTATTCATGTTATGACTCTGACAACTTGCTGTGTTCCTTACCTTGAATTTTAGCCACATTCCAAGAGTTAACTTTACCCTTTCCATGTATACAAGGTTTCTCCACTTCTTATTCTCCTATGCTCAGCACACATTTACTTTGAAGCAAACCCTACCTGCTTAATTTTTTCTTTAAAGTGAAATGTCACTGGTTTATTCACCAAGTAGTCTTCTGAGGGCTAAAGAAAACTACTTCTTTCTTCTTTGTAATATTTTTGTCCACAAGGCATTCTAAACATCAGTCAGTCTGCAACAGTGGTTCTTTCTCTGAACACTCAACATGTTTAAGCACTGTCATATGAACATGGTCACAAATATTATTATGCCATCAAATGGAGGACAATGTAATGCTTTAAGATTTAAATAGGCTTTAAAATCAGCATGGCCAGGTGCAGTGGCTCACACTTGTAATCCCAGCACGTTGGGAGGTTGAGGTGGAAGGACCACATGAGCACAGGAGTTCTAGACCAGCCTGAGCAACATAATCAGACCTCATCTCTACTAAAATGTTTTGAAAAATAAGCAGGGTGTGGTAGTGCACACCGGTTGTCCCAGCTCTTCCGGATGCTGAGGTGGGAGGATCACTTGAGCCTAGGAAGTCACTGCTGCAATGAACTATGACTGCACCACTGCACTCCAGCCTGGACAACAAAGCAAGAACCCAGCTCTATAAACAAACAAATAAATAAATAAATAAATAAATAAATAAATAAAATCCATTACCTGAAACATTCAGATAACAGTCATCAAAACAGTAAATACCTTTTAGAAAAACAAATTCTGTTCTATATAATTAATTAATGTGTTTATTTTGAGACAGGGTCTTGCTCTGTCGCCCTGGCTGAAGTGCAGTGGTGCAGTCGTAGCTCACTCCCGGGCTTAAGCAATCCTCCCACTTCAACCTCCTGAATAGCTGGGACTACAGGTGTGAGCCACTGGGCCTGGCTGACTCTATTATTTTATTGAGAATCCTAAAGTGGTTGCCATGGGCTGCAACGTGGGTCTCCCCTGTCCCTAGATGTTCATGTCCTGATCTCAGAAACCTGTGAATCTTTTACATTACATGGCAAACAGGACTTTCCAGATTAAGGCTCTTGAGAGGGGAGATTATTCTGGATTATTCAGATGAGCTCAGTGTAACACCAAGCTCCTTGGAAGAGGGCAGCAGCAAGGAGTCGAAGACATGCGATGAAGAAAGCAGAGAGAGACAGACAGAGACAGAGAGACAGAGAAAGAGAAGGAAAGACAGACAGAGACAGAGAGGGACACACAGAGACACACACACACACACACACACACACACACACACACAAAGAGAGAGAGACAGAGACACAGAGACAGAGAGAGACAACGAGAGTTGGAAAAACACAAAGACAGAGAGAGACAGAGACAGAGAGACAGGAAGAGACAAAGAGACACAGGGAAAGAGAGACAGAGAGAAAGAGAGACAGAGAATGGGAGACAGAAAGGCAGAGAGAGGGAGACAGAGGCAGAGGCAGAAAGAGAGACAGAGAGAGGCTGAGACAGACAGAGGCACAAGGAGAGATAGAGAAGAGAGAGGCAGAGACAGACAGAGAAGGGGGAAGTGAAGCAACACTCCTGGTTTTGAAGACAGAGGAAGGAGCCATGAGCCAAGGAATGCAGGCAGCCTCTAGAAGTCAGAAAAAAGCAAGAAACGATTTCCCTGGAGCCTCCCAAAGACAGCAGCCCTGCTGACCCATTTTAGATTCTGACCTCCAGGGTGACTGGGGATGTGTGAGGAGAAGGGAGCAAGGGACAGGAGACCCAAACTCCACAGTGAACAATTGGCTTGCTTGGGAGTGAGCCTGCAGAGGAGTGTGCACTGCTTTTCTAGAAGCTGGTGTTCGTGGCTCACAAATCTTCCTTGACCAATCTCTAAGCTGTCATCTCTAAGCTCTCATCAAGTCGGTTATTCCATGGCATTTGGAGCAGAAACTGGCATTTGATAACTGAAGTCCATTCTCTCGCTCGCTCGCTCGCTCGCTCTCTCTTTTTTTTTTTAGACACAGTTTCACTCTCATCGCCCAGGCTGAAGTGCAGTGGCGCAATCTTGGCTCACTGCAAGCTCCGTCTCCTGGGCTCAAGTGATTCTCCTGCCTCAGCCTCCCAAGTAGCTGGGTCTACAGGTACCTGCCACCACACCCAGCTAATTTTTTTGTAGTTTTTGTAGAGACAGGGTTTTGCCATGTTGCCCAGGCTGATCTTGAACTCCTGGCCTCAAGTGATCCTCCCGCTTCAGCCTCCCAAAGTGTTGGGATTACAAGCCTGCCCTGAAGTCCTTTCTCAAGTGAATTCAAATTTGTTTTGAGGTGGTAATGTTCCAAACTTAACGAGCAAACTATAGTTGCTAGCCTCTCATTCAACTAGTTGGGGCCAAGTAACTAAGTTCAATAGGATTGCAGTAGAAATGTCGTGGGACATTTAGGAAGACTGCAGAGAAAGAGCTAATTCACTTGGCGCAGAGGCCATTTTGTTCCTCACTGCTCCCTCATCTGCTTTCTGGGATGTAGATACAATGGCTGGAGCTTCAGCATTCACACTGAGACATGAGGCAAACTTGAAGATGAAAGTCATGTATTAGGGTGGTAGAAGAGATAAAAGGAAGGAATCTAGTTCCTGAGCATCTTGAAGCCAGATTTTTTTTGGAACATTCTTGTTCCAAGTTGTCTGTAGCTTTCAGTTTTGTTGTTTTTACTTTTGCCTTTTCTGAACCTGAGATTCATCTGTTATTAATTCTCTCAAGAACAACTACCTGGTGCATCTTGCTGAAATATGTGGCTGTCAGTGAATACATACTGTCTCCTTTCTAAAAGTCTTACTCAGTTGTGATTTTTATTTCATAGTCACCATGCTTCTCTAGTTTATTTGCTCTAGATAGTGAACTACTAGTGCAAAGTTGTTATTATTGGAAGAAACCAAAATTTCTATGTTTTAACCCCAAATAGGATCATGTAATTCTTAGTTTATTGAACCCTTTGGTAGATGAATGTGAACTTATTCTACTGATGCACCCATCTGTTTGCATGCATGTTTGGAGTCAGGGGTAAATGAAAAGAGATTCTCCTTCTCTTCCTAGAGCTCTTGGTCACGCTGCCCCAGGGACTGAGCATGAGCATGGAAAGTGTGAGAAAATTAGCATTTCCCCAGCACACTTCCCAGTGTTAACTCTTTGTCTTTACCAGGTACCCTTTTTGAGCATTGTTTCCAAGCTAGGAAGAGTGTAAGCTTCCTGTTCCATTACCACTGCAGATGTCTGCTTCATGCCATCTGCTTTACGACATCAGTTATGGATGACTGATCTTCACCTTTGCTGGAGGGTCAGAAAAATTCACAAGCCTCCTAAGATTACAGTAAACAGTAGCAGTAAAGTTAAGCTGTCATTTTGGGCAAGAAATGCCCTCATATGTGTCTAAATATTTTGAGTGCCAGTGCTACTCATCTTCTAGTTCCTCAGTTTGCTGGGAATTGAAGAAAAAGATTTCTTCCTGTTGGAAGAGTGATGATGATATCCCTGCATTGTGAAACTTCAGCCAAATCAGAAAGGTGAAATCAACAGACAAAATTTTACAAGTTGTATATCATAGGCTATTTTCCCCCTAAATTTACTTTTGGGAGACTGTGGAGCCATGGGGGTTTCTGTAGGATGGTGGAATATGAGGCTGGGTTTAAAAAGGCAAATTGAACAGTGAACAGGGTTGCAAGCCTCAAGTTGCTTTATAGAAATGAATGAATGAAGATGGGGTATCCGTCAGAGCCCCACAGGGAGCACATTTCACCCAGGGTGTCCAAGTGTGGAGATGTTAATCAAAGCACTGATTATGAACGAATGGAAAGAAAAGACAGAAAAAGGAGTTCAGATGAGGCTGACCAGAGAGGCTGATTCTAACCTCTGCCTGTAGGGAAGAGGCAGGAAAAGAAAGTTGTGGAATCTTGTGAGAAATATGATTTGGAGGACATGGACTGCGAGTGAGTGAGAGCTTAGAAAGATGTGGAAGCCACTTTGAGCTTGGGAGAACACGTGGGATATTGTCGGCATGGAAGGATGGTGGGGGTCCCTGTGAGCTTGAAGGATATAGGAGGGCCTGTGAGCCTGGTGTGGTACAGGTTGTTTGCAGGATGAAATCAGAGACTTTCTCGTCCTGCTACCTGATAGCTGTTTTCCTCATTTTCTGTTCATATTAGTCCGTTCTCACATTGTTGACGGCTGTCGTGATACCTTGATTCTTGTCTTCCTAGTTTAAAAGAATTTAAACACAGACACACAGCCAAGGAGATGCAGCATAGAGTAAATTATTGCAAAACAAAAAGAGTATTTTGAAAGTCAGCGGGAGACTAGAGAGTACAACCTGAGAAAGTAGATTCAGGGCAGGCAGCTAGTTAGGGTGACAGAGTATTGATTATTGCTGGAGAAACTCCCTTTATGGGAGTCTTACATGATGATTTATAAGGAGGTGGAAAGAGGTGTTGCTGTTAAGCATGTTCTGGGTGGTCCTCTGGGTGCACATGAGCAGTAGCTGTACGTGCTTTTTCATGCATTGCAGGTCTCATTAACATCTTATATCTCTACCCGCAGGTGTGCTTTTTACTATTAAAATGAGCAAAGGGTCAGTTTGAGGACTGGTAACATCAAAATGCGCATGCTCTCTGTAAGGGAAAGTTCCTACTGAAGAATTGTTTTGCTTGAATGAGTTCAATGACAGTGCAAATGCTGAAGCTTACTGTGTTGACTGTATGGTCATGGTAACCATGGTTGCTGCACACAAAGAACACAGTCATTTTCTTGACTACCTATCCTGCCTCAGCAATGCTGAAAAGAAATACCTGAGACTAGATAATTATGAAGAAAAGAGGTTGAATTGGCTCACAGTTCTGCAGGCTGTACAGGAAACATGGCAGCTTCTGCTTCTGGGGAGGCCTCAGGAACTGACAATCATGGTGGAAGGTGAAGGGGGAGCAGGCATCTTAGTGACTGGAGTAGGAAGAAGAGAGAGAAAGGCGTGGGGAGGTGCTACACACTTCTGAACAAGCAAAAGATTTCGTGATCACTCACTCACTATGATGAGAACAGCACTGAGCAGAAGGTGTTAAACCATTCTTGAAGGACCCACCCCTATGATCCAATCACCTCTCTCCAGACCCCACCTCCAAAACTGGGGAATACAATTTGACATGAGATTTGGTGGGAACACAGATCCAAACCCTATCGCTGACTGTCTTTGAGTGCCTTTCTGATTTGTCCTAAGAAGCTCATTTTATTTCCCTGACCTGGGTAGAGTGGCATCCAGTTGGTGGTGCCCATCTCATATCAGCCAGGGACAAAGCAACCCCTTGTTCCTCCCAGCTTGGCTTTTCATCTGTGCCTATGCCTGGTTCATGCCTTGGACACATTTTTTTTTTAAAAAATGTAAAGCTAATTTTAAGGGATAACAGCATGGCAGAAAAAGGGGTAAATAAATGGAGAATTGGACCACCTATGTAGAATAACCAAGGTAGACCTGGGTAAAAAATTAGAGTTTGCATAAGACAATCAATCATGAAGCCACACACACACACACATGTCCCCCACAAGTGAGGATGACACATGAAAAAGTGACTTTTCCAAATCCTTGGGGAAAAATATGATTCAGAATCCCTCTTCAGAAGTCACTGGTTTTTATTGTGGAGTTGTGAAAGGTCAGTCTGTGCTCTGGAAAATCCTGATGTGAGTGGGACTTGTGTTCAGTTTCCCGTTAACCCTTTTTGGGAGTCTGCCTTCTCCTTTAGCAGATTAAGTCTTGTTAATTCCAGGCTCTCTGCTGCAGTAGGGGGTTTGTCTTTCTTGGAAGTAAATCAGCTGGGTTTTCGAACCTGACAATCCATTTGCTGACAGTGCACTATTTATTAATTCTTACTCAAGTGTCAATGGCTACTTAATTATGGCAACAGGCAAACAGCACTGGCATTTTACCAGACCTAATGTCATAATAGTAGAACACCTACTGAGTGGGAATTTTCATTACACCCAGAAGAGCAAGGGGATGCTATTTTATCTACGAGTTGGCTGTGAGGAGAAACTGTCTGATTTGCTCTTTTGCAAACAGCATTTGTATCTACTCTCTCCCTTTTTTTCCCACTCCAAATTATTCTCTCCTGGTTTCCCACTCTCTGTCAAATTATCTGATATTAACACCCTTTCCTCCCCTCCCCTGTCCTCCCCTCCCCTCCTCTCCTCTCCTCTTTTCCTTTCCTTTCGACAGGATTTTCCTCTGTAACCGAGGCTGGAGTGCAGTGACACATTCATAGCTCACTGCAGCCTCCAACTCCTGGATATATATATTACATATATGACAGTCATTCCTTAAAGATATAATGAATCTGCCCTATACTAATGTACCATTTTTTATTTTATATACCATATTTTTACTGTATATTTTAATGTTTGGATGAGTTTAGATACAGAAATATTTACCATTGTGTTACAATTGTCTACAGTATTCAGTACAGTAACCTGCTATACAGGTTTGTGGCCCAGGAGCCACAGGCTAGACCATATAGCCTAGGTGTGTAGTAGGCTAGACCATCTAGGCTTGTGAAAGTGCATTCTGTGATGTTCACACGATGAGGAAATCACCTAAGGACATAGTTATCAGAATGTATCTCTGTTGTGAAGTGACACATGACTATAGCCTTTGCCACTACTATGGTCTGAATGTTCATGTATTCTCCAAATTTATCCTAACTCCCAAGGTTATAGTATTAGAAATTGGGGCTTTGGGGAGGTGATAAGGTCATAGGGGTGGAGCCCCATAAATGAAATCAGTGCCCTTATAAAAGGGACCCCAGAGAGCTCCCTCACCCCTTCCACTATGTGAGGACATAGCAAGAAGGTGCCATCTACGTACCAGGAAGGAAGTCCACACCAGACACTAAATCTGCCATGTCTTGATCTTGGACTTCCAGAGTCCAGAACTGTGAGCGACAAATATCTGCTGTTTATAAGCCACTCAGTATACTGTATTTTGTTATGGAAGCCCAAGCTGACCAAGACAGTTACAGACTGAGATCTGAGAAATCCCATGGTTTTGTGCGTGAAAAAAAAATTAGAGATAGGACCGGTGGAGGTTTTTTCTTGGAATTTAGTCTAATTTGAGTTCCATTCCAGAGGCCATTTCTTACTGTGATTGGAAACGTCTGGTAGCCTGTGTTCTCTTTCTTTGTATTCCTGCTCTGATCTTATCTTCTAGTCTCCAATCAGGAAGTTTAATCTTGACAGGCACTGACAGAAATAAAGAATGTGACCATTTCCTCCAGGGTAACCGTGTGTTTTAAGTTCTCTGAAAAAAACTAGCATGCACAATTTTGTACATTCTTATTTTTTAAATAAAACCATCTACTTTCAAAGAATAACATGCTATGGATGGAGAAGTCTCTTCACTGCATGGTCTGACTTTTGTTTACTGTAATTTGGTGATTCGATGATAATCAGAGAGGAATCAGAGCATTGATATACCTGCTGGGGACATTAAAATGGGATTGAGACAGAGTTAATTCCCAACTGGGGAACAATGATGCAATGTGTGAGAACCATGCCTGTCTACAACAGCTCTTGGGCTTAGGAAAATCTGCACATAATTTCTTGTAGAAACGGCTGCCTAAGGGCGGTAGGCTGTTGAGGTCTGCAGTTTGTCTGGTCTTCTTCTGACAGTTTATAACAGATTTTTTCTTAGCATATACTGCTTGCACACCCGCATTTGGGTAGGCAGATGTCTGCAGGTGGAAGGTGACATTTTGCTTAAAGGATACTGTGCAAACAGTGCCTCATCTTGCATACAGCCAGGAAATATATATCTGTAACTGTGACCACATGTGTATGTTATTTAGTGATGTCATGAAAGAGTTGCTTATGCTGTAGTCAGAAAAAAACGGGTGAGGTTAACGGGCTTGGGGAATTTTAATCTTGGACAGCCTAACACTTTGGTGAACATAAAGGCAGTCTGGATAACCCATTGAGACTATATATTTTTTGTTGCAGAAAAGCATCTATATGCTTGAAATACACATCTTTGTTACACATATGGAGAATGTGAAGGCTTTCTTTCTTCCCAAGCATGTACAGCTAAGGCTACGTTTTCTAAATCCCAGATAAATTGAGTGCAAAAAACTCCAGTAGTAAGAAATGCCACTAAAGGAACAAGACACGTCCTCTACAGCATATGCTATGTTCTTCTTCTGCTTAGTCTTGCTAAAGCAAATAATTTTAATTCACAGGTGGATAGTCTCGAAGGTATCTTCTTTGTTTATAGACTGAGGTTTACAGAAACTAAACAAATGTAAACATTGTTGTTATCTACAAATAAAATCAAAGATGATAAATTCAGATTAACTGTAATTATCTGGATGTTTTATGCCAAAATGTCTTTCTTTTGAAACAACCCAACATCAGAAAGCAAAGCATGAACTATAATTAGATTATCTCAGTATAGACCTAGTTTCCCATTTTACTGGCACTGTACTAAGTTGTCTAATAGGTGAATTACTCATGATATGCTGGGTTTGATTTTTTATCTTTTCAGGATAGAATTATAATGTTTTTTTAAATTTTTATTTTTATTCTATTTTATTTTTTGAGATGAGGTCTTGCTATGTCGCCCAGGCTGGTCTTGAACTCCTGGGCTCAAGCAATCCTCCCACCTTGGCATCCCAAAGTGCTGGGATTACTGGTGTGAGCCACCATGCCCGGCCTACAATGATTTTTTTAAAGTCCATCAAACTGTATTTGCATTCTTTTGTTCCCCTCAAAATATTAGATGGAATATTGCATAATATATCTAACTTTTTAAAAGAAGTCATTTAAAACTCAATAGTGTAAATCTGACAGTGTTTGAGCTGGCTCAAAGTTTTGCATTAAATAGAAAACAGCCCGACACACACTCCAAACATCTTACATTAGGGTTTCAAGGGATAGAAGCAAGAGTTGACCCAACTGTGTTTGAAAATTTCCAGAATCTCTTATCGCAAAGGTATGCCGCTTTGATGTTTTGACAATTCTGATGGCGAGATGCTTTCTAGTAGGTTGATTTATGATTGGGCTGTTCTCTCAGCTCCATCTCCTCAACTCGGGGAGTTTTCCAGGCTTCTCTTAGTTTCTGCCTTCCAGTCATAGCCTGGAAATGCTCTCAAGGCAGTGAGCTGGGGCCACCATAGGTCTCACTTTGTTTTTCTGCTTCTAGAGAATCACCGTCCTTTTTTTTTTTTCTCTTTTGAAAATTTATTTATTTTCCCTTTATTTTAAAAATTAATCTTCTTTTGAGAATCACTATCCTTAACTGCCTGGTATCCAGTCTTGAAAATAGTTCTCCCTTAAATGGTTGACTCTTTACTTTTTGGTCATTTGAGGCTGGAGGGAAAACTCTGTTTTTGTTACTCCATCTTGACCGGAAGCATAAGTATGGTGGCCGGCTTACACTGGTTTGCCTGTGGTTTTCTTGGTTTTAGCTTGAATGTCCACATCCCAGGGTGTGTTCAGCACTGAACCCCTAAGTTCTGAGTCAACTAGATGGTTGGCCACCCTCGGTGGATGTCCAGATAACATTCTTGCACTCTACTTCCTTGATCTCTCTGGTTTTCTAGTAATGGTAGACAGTCCAAGTTATTCTGTTTCTTTGTTAAACTTATATAAAATGCATGCTATTCCTAATGTCTGAGAGCTAAAAGTGCTGTCTTTATTCAATGGACATCCTTATTAAGTTTATAATTTTTTACGGTTTGTGAACTGAAAAAAATGACACCTAAGAAGTGACCAATTAAGTAACATGAAACTGTGTGTGTGTGTCTGTACATATTATTATATATATAAACGACATCAGACAAATCTGGCTCAACTTTCATGTAGCAAAATTGTGATTTGTTCTTCAGTTGCCATGAACCCCCACATTGAGGATCATGTAACCTGAATGTGCCCAGATGAACCAAGCATGCAACTTGAGAGAAAGCTAACTGAGGAGCAGGGACTGAACTAAGAAGCAGACACCACGTGTCAAGATTCAGGATCCAATCAGATTGAACCCTGTTGTCACCCTATGGCAAGATCCAATCAGATCATGCCTCATGGCATCACTTCATTGCAAGGTCCAATTAGATCTTGTCTAATTACCTTGTGCTTATAAAACCTGACCCAAAGCCCAGCTCACAGAGACAGATTTGAGCATTACCTCCTGTCTCTTTGCCAGCTGACTCACGATAAAGCTTTTCTTTTGTCAAAAGCCAGTGTCATGGTATTAGTCTCTATGTGCATTGAGCAGCGAGCTCATTGATTGTTTGGTCATCTATAGCTCTATCTATAGCTATAGATACTCATCTACAGAAACATCAGGCCTATGTAATGATAGTAATGATGCCAAACATGTGCTATAAGACCATAAGGTCTTTACGGGTTCTCTGATCACCATAATCCAATATAAAATGTTCTTTTTTGAAGTTGAGCAGAAAGAGAGATGAGCAGAAATCACTTAGTGGGTTGAGGAGAGTAATGCAAAAGATATTTGGAGAGTAGGAGGAGGAAGTGGGCTGGATAAACACAGTAGGGACTACATGTTGGCCGCTTCCATAGAGACTGTTTCTGAGGTGAATGCACTCATGCCAGGAAACAAAAATAAAGAGATATTTTAGTTTATGAGTGTATCTACTTTCCTAATGTGCAGCTGTTTATTAACATTAATGGATGTCTGGGTTTTTCTTCACTCCATCCAAATTTAAAGCTTCATAGAATCCTAAACTTCAGTGTTGGAAGCAGCCCTAAACCCAATCACCCCACTTCTTTCAAGCAGAGCTCTTATCCAGGATTAGAAATCAAAATCCCAGGGAGAACATTATCAAAATTCATGCACCCTATCCTTTTTCAGTAGGTCTGGGGGAGGGGAGAAAATCTTAACTACCTAGTAAAAAAAATTCCCAGATGGATCTTCCTGATGTGTACCCTTAAAGAGTCACCATTATATGGCAAAAGAGTACCTTAAAAATAGTTGCATTTTCCACTTGATCATGCCCAACAATTATGTGAATGAGAAAATGACATATTTTGCAACTAACCAGCCAAGCTGAAAAGATTTTTTCCTTCTGTATGTTCATTAGCAAATTGGGACAATTTAACTCGCATCCTAGCCAATTTCTGCAGAAGCCGGGGCTGCGTGTCTTTAGCTGGTTTGCAATGATACAAGCAGCTGTATCTCCACTGGATGGAATGTACTGTCTAACACGTGGCATGCAAAACAGGATATGAGAGCATTTTGGCAAGCAAAGGGACTCAGCTTTAAGGAGCTCTGGGGCCTTTCAGCATCCACTCTGCCCCCACTACCTGCTGACAACTCACATCGATGCCTGGATGTATGGATCTTGCTGAAAAATCAAAATGTAACTGGGAAATAGAAATGCAGAGATTCAATATTGTGCAAGGTAGGAGGAAGGCAGGAAGGAGACTTGCCAATAAGATAAATGTTGAATGAATAACTGTAGATAATCTGCCTATGGTTGGGCTGATAGTAGAAAGTATGAAGGAAGTTTGCTTAGACTGATTCCTCAACCTGACATTGAAGCAAGCGCATGGTGGCATTCATGGGTGGAATGGTGTTGAAAACAAGTCAAACACAGAGCAAACTTGTCCTGTCTCTACTTGGGTTCATACCCTTTCCCTTTGCAAAACTGAGCTGTGGTTCTTCAATTCTTTCCAGACTTACCCTTCTGTGGAACAAGGTTTTGTGTCTAATCCATTATGGGGAGAGTGACCTTAACATTTTTATCTTTCTCCCTTTTTCCTTACTCTTTCTCCTCTTCTTCCTTCTCTTTCCTCCTCTACCTTCATCTCCTGCTTTTCCTCTTTTCCTTCTCCCTTTTCTCCTCCTCCTTATTCTTCAGGGCTTACCCTTTGTGTTAATGCCCAAACAATATGATTTGAGTCTAACTTAGACACTGGGGAAAAGTTTATTCCTTGTGGGTGCCTTCACTAGTACTTATGATATCAATACACAGCATCCAAAATATGACATAAGCCTCTACCTTAATTCTCCAAATGCAGTTAAATCTAGGTGGTGACATATACCGCAATCTTAATGCGTTGGCTAATGACGGGCAGAACAAGCCAAAAAGAAAAGAAAAGGAGAGAACCTTAATTTGGAAACTGCCAATGACAACTTTTATGGTCCATTGCCATAATCCCCGCTGGTAGGTTCTTGAAGGCACTCTTGATATGATACAATGAACGTGGCATTTTACTTCCGTGGTTTTCCTCACCAAAACCTGTAAGCCCAGTCTGATCATGAAAAAAAAAAAAAAAAACTGACAGATCCTAACTGAGGGATATCCTAGAAAATACTTGCCAAGTGTCTTCAATACTGTCAAGGTCATCAAAAACAAGGAATGTCTAAGAAAATGTCTCATCCAAGAGGAGCATAAAGAGATGTCATAACTAAATGTAACGTAAGATCTTGGAAGATGCTGGAACAGAAAGAGGATATTGGGGAAAACCAAAGAGACCTAAATAAAGTAGAAAATTTAGATGATGATGATGGCGATGGTGATGGTGATGGTGATGGTGATGATGGTGTTGGTGATGATAGTCATGATGATGGTGATGACCATGATGGTGACGGTGATGGTGGTGATGGTGATGGTGATGGTGGTGATGGTGATGGTGGTGGTGATGGTGATGGTGGTGATGGTGATGGTGATGGTGGTGATGGTGATGATGATGGTGGTGGTGGTGATGGTGATGGTGGTGGTGGTGGTGATGGTGATGGTGGTGATGGTGATGGTGATGGTGGTGATGGTGGTGGTGATGATGGTGATGGTGATGGTGGTGGTGGTGATGGTGGTGGTGGTGATGGTGGTGGTGGTGATGGTGATGGTGGTGGTGGTGATGGTGGTAGTGGTGATAGTGATGGTGATGGTGGTGGTGATGGTGGTGATGGTGATGGTGGTGATGGTGGTGATGGTGATGGTGATGGTGGTGGTGATGGTGATGGTGGTGATGGTGATGGTGATGGTGGTGATGGTGATGGTGATGATGGTGTTGGTGATGATAGTCATGATGATGGTGATGGTGATGGTGATGATGATGGTGAAGGTGATGATGATGATGGTGATATAAGCTTCCAATGAGAGATAAATTTGTTTCTAAGTATAGGTCCGATGTGGCTTAGTAGGTACACAGGAAAGTCTTTTCAGGGAACCTAGCTCTCATTGCTGTCTTTGCTATACCAAAGAGTGTTATACATGCTCAGCAAACAATATCTACAGGAACTAGCCCTCAGGAAAGTAAAAAAAAAAAAAAAAAAGGGCAGCAGAGGGCCAGCCCATTCTTCTCATAGCTCACTGATACACTTGGTCACATTCTGCCACTACCTGCAAGGGAGGCTGCGGAAAGGTATCCCTACAGAGGCAGACGTGCCCAGCAAAAACTTTGGCCGGTGGGGGGACACTCCATGACAAAAAATACAAAGGAGAGAATGGGAGTTACCAGTGTCTGTCTTAGCCTTCAGAGAGATGATGATTTGAACCAGGAAAACAGCAGAGGGACTAAGGAGAAAGGGAAAGATTGGAGAGGGAAGTTATCCACAGACTTGGTGGAACATTTTGCCAGGTCTGATGTGAGGATAACGATTGGACATGGAAGCTAAAAAATGTGGCCATGATTTCTCATTTGGATAAACAGATAGTGACTCCTTGAGATATGACATGTAATGGTGGTGCAGTGGGGATGAAGGGAATGCTATGGTTTGAAGGTTTTTGTCCCCTCCAAAATGCATGTGTTGGATACATAACTTCCAATGCAACAGTTTTGGGAGGCGGAGACTAATGGGAGGTGTTTAGGTCATGAGGGCTCCACCTCATGAGTGCATTAAAGCAGCCAGAAGAAGAGCTTGGGTGGGAGTGGGTTCTCCTCTCTCTCTCTTCCTCTGTCTCTCCCCACAACAAGCCCCCATGTTCCTTTGCTACACGAAGACACAACCTTTCTCCCCTCTGGAAGGCCCAGCATTCAAGGCAGCATTCTGTAGACTCTAGGAGAATAAGTCCTGACCCATGGTACCTTGTTTTTGGACTTCCCAGACTCCAGAACTGTGAGAGAATAAATTTCTTTGCTTCATAAGTTAACCAGTCTGTGGTAATTTGTGATGCAGCATAAAATTGACTAAGATGAGGTGAGGGGCTAAGAAATATGAGTTTGAGTTAAATAGAGGCATCCAAGTAAACAAATTCAGTAGATCAATGACAATTTGAGTCTCACCAGGGAAAGGCTAAAGACCCGGGGAGCCATGTGTGTATGGGAGATATTTAATGGAGCAGAAGTAGATGAGGTCTCAGAGAAAAAGAAAGGGACCAAGTGTAAACTCTTACAAATATGGGTATGTGGAGGAGAGAAAACAATAAAATATAATGATAGATATGGGAAGTATGAGCGCTACCAGGAAGAGGAAAGGAGGACACTGTGGAAACCAGGGGAGGTTTCAGAATAAATTTCAGAAGAGAGAGACAAGGCAGAAGCCCAAAGAAGATAAACTCTTGAGAATGAGTTCCTGGGTTGGAAATGAGATCTCAACCATGTTTCCAAGGGCAGCATCACAGAGTAATGAAGACGGCGGGAGCCATAACCCATGGGAGAAAATGAGCGTAGACTATGGGTGAAGATATTTGGTAGTGACGGGAAGAAGAGAGAGTAGACGATAGCTTTTGGGAAAGAGCAAGTTAAGAGAAAACTTCTTAGTGAAGGCAGGAAAGTTTGAGAACATCTTCCATGTGTTTTTTTTTCCTTCTAAAAATGTCTAGCACCATCTGGCATCTTTGATTCATGTAAAGTTGTTGAAAGAAAAGGAGAAGAGAGAGTGAGCAGGAGGAGGAGAACATGAGTGTTAGCCTAGTCAGGTGGTGTCTGTGGTCAAGACATGACCAACGAAGAGGCCAACAGGGAGATTAGAATGGGTGAGCGGAGCAGGGTTTTGGGAGGGAGGAATGAACCCAACACCCTGGAGATAACGATTCCCCTGAGGATATGAAAATAGCCTTGTATCTAAGATGAATGTGGCTTGCCATGGGTGATGCTACACATTCCATCACAATAACACCATACATATAAGCTGTCTCAGTTCTTATTAGTTATTGCCTCATGTCCCCTGACATAATGAAAAGAGATTCTTATTAATGGTCTTTTATTCTCTTCTCTCTGTTCCCCTTGATGTAAATTATGGTTCTGAGTAAACTGTAAGGCTCTCTCTCTCTCTCTCTTTTTTTTTTGTCTAACTGCACTGAACTCCCAAATCCCATCATTCCACAGGAATCGGATTGATGTCATCTAAACCTCAGCATATGTTTTTTGTTAATGATGGAAAGTTTCTCTCACCATCACCAAGGGAGTTTGCTGAGACCTAAGGGTGTAAGCTAAACTCTCTTTATCATTTAAAAAACAAAACAAAACAGAATTACCAATGTCATTGGGGGAAACTATCTGGAAATATGAAAAATATAGAAAACATTAATACAAAGGGAATTCATACAGTCTATCTCAAATGCCCCCACGCTATGATATAATTTATTTTTATCAAGCTATGAAAAGAATCATATGATGTTTAATGGCAGCACCTTGATTGCATACGGATATGCTGAACATGTGTCAATTATTTTTTTTAGATGCTAAATTGACAGAATTTGAAAGCTCCAGATGTGAAAAGTTAAAGAAAAAAGTTGATCCCCTTGAGTTTTGTTGGAATTCTCTCGTGTTTATTCATGTTTCTTACATTAGTAAGAGTACTTATTTGCTCGTTTGGGAGAAGCTAGTTATGTCAAGGGTTTCTTGTTACCGATGTTTAAATAGCTGTAAAACATTCTTTCTCTACTTGGAGAGCTGAGATTTGCTTTTTTTTCCCCTTATACATTAGTACTTTGGAACCACTTGAATATGAGCTTGTTCAGGAGTCTTTTGCCTCTTGAGTGGGGTCTACTTCAAGCTGGTATGGCTGTCCTCCTGCAAAAGACTCCAAAGGCTCCTCAAGCACAGCCCATGGGTCAGGACCTGGGCTGGCAAGAAAGCCAACAATTCACATGCAGTAAAGGCTCATTCTGTCTTCCAGGAGGGGGAAGAACAGAACAAACATGGAAGAGAGGATAATTGACGAGAATTTGGCTACAGTAAAAGATAATTTAATTTTCTCTTGGTCAGGCAGCATGGGTGGAGGAGATGCTGGTGGGGTGGGGGTTGGCCCCATTCGGTCCTTCTGACCTCCCAAGGACCTGGCTGAGATATTTGTAAGCTCTAAGGGGAAGATTCCCAAGATCTCTTTCAGTTTTAACACCACTTCTTTATTTTCCAGCAGAGAAACAGCATTACACTGCTGACCACAATGTAACCACACTCCCAGTCTTTCCCAGGGATACTTGGGACAGACATCAATTTAAAAATTCATCGTTCCTGGCAACAAGAGACACCAGGGATTACTAGAGCAGGGAGGGAGGGATAGCAGCAAGGGTTGAAAAAGTACTTAGTGGGTGCTAATGCTCACTACGTGGGTGACAGCATCAGTTATACCCCAGACCTCAGCATCACTCAATGTACCCAGGAAAAAAACCTGCACAAATATCCCCTGAATCTGAAATAAAAGTTGAAATTGTTTTTGAAAAATGCATCCTTCCAAAATGGCGACATCCCATTCCCAGCCATAGTCTGAATAATGTTCCCCAAACAGATCAGCTGTTCCTCTCTACACCCTGTGAATGGAACCTTATTTGGAAAAAAGAATTTTTGCAGATGTGTGTAAGGTACAAATCTTGAGATGGGCAGATAATCCTGCCTGTAGGGGGAAACAACTAGATGATTAATAAATGAGTTGTGGCTTTGTGCACTGAATCTAGAGATCTGACACATTTGCAAAATTATTTTTGGGGGACTGACCTCACTCATCTGGGCCGGCCTTGGCAGAGGCTGTGGGGGAGATGCTGGTTCCACTCAACTAGATATGCCAGATGGAAAAAAAGTAAAAGTACTTTCAACAAACCGAGCAGTGGTGACTCCTAAATTGCCAGACATGGATCCTAATGTGAAGAAGACACAAGGAGACCTGACACACCCACAGAGGAGAAGATGGTGCGAGATGGAGCACAGAGAGAATTCAGAGAGGCTGGCCTTGAGGATCGGAGTGATGACGATGGAGCCGCCAGAAGCTGGAGGAGGTAAGGAAGGATCCTCCCCACAGGCTTTCCAAGGGAGCACAACCATGGAGATAACCTTGACTTCAGCTTGGTAGTATTGATTCAGGACTTCCAACTTCCAGAACCGTGAGAGTATGTACTAGGTTGGTGCGAAAGTAATGGCAGGTTCAATATGTGTGTTGTTGGAAGCCCCTACATTGGTGGCAATTTGTTACCGCAGCCCTAAGGAATAAATGCATTCCCCTAACAAATGAGTGTCAAAGGAAAGGATATTAGAAAAAACCAGGTCTGGGAGTGGTGGCTCATGCCTGTAAACCCAGCACTTTGGGAAGCCAAGGCAGGAGGATAGCTTGAGCCCAGGAGTTTGAGACCAGCCTAGGCAACATAGTAAGACCCCGTCTCTACAAAAATTTAAAAAATAAAATAGCCGGGTGTGCTGCTGCACACCTGCAGTTCCATCTACTCGGGAGGCTGAGGTGGGAGGATCACTTGAGTCCACGAGGTCGAGGCTACAATGAGCTGGGATTATATCACTGCATTCTAGCCTGGACAACAGAGCGAGACTCTGTCTCAAAAACAAAAAACCAAAACCCAGATGTTCCACTATATTCAAGATACTCAGTATCCTGAATACTCATCCCTCATCCTTTTTCTGTTTGTGGAATTGGGCAAGAGCTTTCTTTGTCAGAGCTCACCCTTGCTTGTAAATGCATTTACTCAAGTGAAAAGCAGAGAATGGTGGCCGGGTGTGGTGACTCATGCCTGTAATCACAGCATTTTGGGAGGCCGATGCATGTAGATTGCTTGAGCTTAGGGGTTCGAGATCAGCCTGGGCAACGTAACAAAACCCTGTCTCTACAAAAAATGCAAATCAATTAGCCAGGCATATGATGGTTTGCGCCTGTAGTCTCAGCTGGTCCGGAGGCTGAGGCGGGAGGATGGCTTGACCCTAGGAGGTCAAAGCTGCAGTGAGCTGAGATCGTGCCACTGCACTCCTGAGCGACAGAGTAACACTCTCTCTCTCTCTCTCTCTCACACACACACACACACACAGCAGAGAATGAAGACCTGCAGCAGAAGTTGGAGTGCAATCCTCTTCTAACTCACGCTGAGGGTGGAGTGATACAATTACCGAACACCCGCCCCCCTGTCTGATTCCTGAATCATTATCTCCCAGGCAAGCCCTGTCCTTCCAGAACCCCGCCTTTGCCAGGGCTGTGCCTCAGAACGGGAAGGCTCTGACCAATGACAGAGTGAAGTGAGTCACCAGCGGACACTGGAAACAAATGCTCATTCTTTATGTCTGGGTCACCGCTTCTCGGTTTGTTGAAAGTACTTTTATTTTTTTCCATGTGGCATATCTATGTGAGCAGAACCAGCATCTAACCACAGCCTCTGCCAAGGCCGGCACAGATGAGTGAGGTCAGCTTCAAAAATAATTTTCCAAAAGTGTCGGATCTCCAGATTCAGCGCACAAAGCTAAAACTCATTGATTTATAACATAGTTGTTTCCCCCATAAGCAAACAAAGAGAACAAAATCATTAGTTCGAGGCAAATGAGAGCCCCAAAGAGTGCCTATTTCCAGGGAACGCAGTGGAGAAGTTTCCTCTCTCACAGAGGCTGGGGGTTTCTCTCAACTGCATCATTACTCTCGAGAAATTATTTGGAATTGGAGGGTTGTGAGTTCTTTTTAACTCAGGATTCTGGTGAATTGAGAATTTTAAAAGGATTAGGTTATTTAGAATTTGGCTTATGACACTTAAATACACAAAGTACAATTGTAATTCAGTACAAATTGCTAACATCTAACTATTCCTCTACACGCAAACCTCAACTGTGTGGATGTAAGTATGAATTCATATCATATGTAATAGCTATTAGATTTATTAGTTTAGCTATCATTGTCTATCTCGTATCTATCTCTATCTCTTCCATTTTTATCCATCTATCTACTCATCCATCTATCAAGCTTTCTATGTAACTACTTCCCTACCTATTCAACTCTCATGTCTCTCTGTATCCATCTATGTATCTATTTATTATCTATCCATTTATCTCATCTTATCCATTTATCTGTTATCTTATGTGTCTATCATCTGTCTCATCTATCATCTCTCTATTCATCTACATCCATCTATCATCTATCATCATCTATGTCTTCTACCTTTATCAATCCATCGCTTATCTATCTACTCATCCATCATCTACCTACTTTCCTACCTATCAAAATCTCATCTCTATCATCTACCTACCTATCCATCTATTATCTATCTATCTATCGGCTATCAATTATCTATCTAATCTATCTATCCATCATCTATCTCTCTATCTATTCATTCATCCATTGAGCATATTAGCTAAGAAAGTTCAAATATTCTGCTCTTATCATTTTTCATATGAAAACCACATGAGAGTTTCTTCAGGAAGAAGCTATAGCTATAAGAGATGGAGCAGAGACATAGCATCTTCTGTTTCTTTCATTACAGATGTGCTATTTCCAAATCATGGTTACATTATACCCAGCTCGAGTCACTATTGCACATATTTACTTTTATATTTAATTGTGTTCAAATTTGTTATTGTTCTATACACTATCTCACAGTAACTCAGAATGATCATTATAGGTGTCCATTGCATTGGATACTTAATTCTACTCAACCTTATAATGGTTGTGTAGAATGCCTGCAACACACCTTTTAAGCAGATTCTTGGGATTTGTTTAATTGTTCTTTCAGATGAAGGACAGAAGACAAATTTCACCTGCATGAGCTTCCCAATCACAGGAATTTTGAGTGAGTGGGAATTTACAGTAGAGTCACCTTCTTGTTAAACCCATTGCAATGAGTCTTTTCATACTTGCCTCTGTGAGATTCACCAGTTTTTTGTCATGGCTAAATTTGGCTCTTTATTGAGCTGGTGATGTGGTCATCCAATACGATCTGACACGTACTAAACTGTTCCGGCTCCTTTTAGGAGTTGAGGCCGAAATTAATTGATGTCACCATGGGAAATAGCCCAGGGGTCAGAATCCCTGTTTCCACAGCAGGTAAGAGAGAGGAGGTGAATAATTCTGTACCTTCTCCAACACTCAGAGTATTACAACAACAAACACACCCCAAGAGTATATTAATGTATAGTAGACTCTTGAACAATGTGGGAGTTAGGGGTTCCAACCCACCATGCAGTCAAAAATCCACCTGTAGGCTGAGCATGGTGGCTCACGCCTGTAATCCCAGCACTTTGGGAGGCTGAGGTGGGTGGATCACCTGAGGTCAGAAGTTCAAGACCAGCCTGGCCAACATAGTGAAACCCTGTCTCTACTAAAAATACAAAAATTAGCCAAGCGTGGTGGCGTGTGCCTGTAATCCCAGCTACTCGGGAGGCTGAGGCAGAAGAATCACTTGGACCCGGGAGGCGGAGTTTGCAGTGAGCAGAGATCGAGTCACTGCACTCCAGCCTGGGCAACAAGAGTGAAACTCCGTCTCCAAAAAAAAAAAAAAAAAAAAAAATCCACTTGTAACTTTTGACTCTCCCAAAACATAACTAATAAGAACCTACTTTTGAGTGGAAGCCTTCCTGATAACATAAACAGTCGATTAGCACATATTTTATATGTCATGCATATTAAATACTGTATTCTTACAATAAAGCAAGCTAAAGAAAATAAAATGTCATTAAGAAAACAATAAGGAACAGAAAATACATTTACTATTCATTGAGTGGAAGTGGAGCATCATAAAAATGTGCATCCTCATTGTCTTCACGTTGAGGAGGTTGAGGAGGAAGAGAATGGTTGGTATTGCTGACTCGCTGGTGCCAGAGGTGGAAGAGGATCCAATCCCCTTCTAAGTGGACCACATAGTTCAAACCCGTGTTGTTCAAAGGTCAACCGTACTATAATTAAGTGATGAATCAATGGACAGTGTTTCCTACAATGAAGCCATTGTCCTAACAGTGGCTTCTGATAAAATTTTGAGAATACATATAATTATTTTTAGCAGATGGTCACCAAGATGAAATGAGTGTACGCACAGGAAATCCATACAGTGGTTCTGGCTATTTTAAGTTATCTTTTGCATAAAATGGATCCTCATTCTTCACAAAGAGACTGCATTGCTCAATCCATGTTCTTTGTGATAGAAATATTTCTGTGGTTGGGACCAGTGACTTCTATGTTTTCCTTGGACACACTTCCTATAATAAAATTATCTAACTATATTGCCCAAGGGAGCAGAAGATTGGAGATTTGATGTGTGTGTGTGTATGTGTGTGTGTGTGCGCGTGTGTGTGTATAGGAGATGGAAATACAAAGATAGACGTAGAGAACAGAGACAGAAAAAAATAGATAGATGATACATACATAATAGAAAGAAAGAAGATAGAGAGATAATAGGTGATAGGTAGACAAATAGATAGATGATACATGATAGAAAGATAGATAAAAACATGATAGATGATAGATGATGGATAGAAACACAGATAGATAGATAGAAATACAGATATAGATAGATAGAAATACAGATAGATAGATATAGCTAGAAATACAGAGATAGATATAGATAGAAATACAGATTAGGTAGATAGATGATAGATAGATAGATAGATAGATAGATAGATAGATAGATAGATAGATGATAGATAGATAGGAGTGTAGAGGACTTTCATTTTTAAGAAACATATTAGCTGCACTGAGGGAAGCCCAGCAGCCATTCTGCCATGAACCTTCCTTTGCAGGGTTGTAACCACGCTCTTCTCATCCTCGATCATTAGGGTTGATGCACATGCCCTTAAACAACCGCAGAAAAATGCAGGTTGTCCATGCTTCTGCCAGACGATATGATCCTAAAATGCAATTACTTGAGAGACACGCTATTGGAGGAGCATGTTTTGAAGGACTCATGGTCCTGGATAGCATAGATTTTATTTACAGTAAAGTAAAATCTGGACCATCCAAAAGCTGAGTTCTTAGACCACTTCTGCTGTAGTTCTCCACAGAATTGCTACTGCTGAGCAGTACTTTCTTATTGTGCACTGAGCTCTAAAATGAGAATATTTGTAACAGATTGCACTTTTAAGTTGTGATCCTGTCTTTTCTGTGGGGGTACTGTTGAAGACGCTTTTGGTATGAATGACTCAGATATGACTGGAAAAGCTTTGCTTAATTTCTTACCAAAGAATTGTATTAATCATAACACAGAAGATGTCTCATTTTTTCCTTTGGATTCCAGGAAGCTCATCGCTATGTGATTTGTGATTATTACTAATTTTATTTTTTAATTTTAATTAATTAATTATTTATTTTTTTGAGATGGAGTCTTCCCTTGTCGCCCAGGCTGGAGTGCGGTGGCACGATCTTGGCTCACTGCAACCTCTGCCTCCCGGGTTCAAGCGATTCGCCTGCCTCAGCCTCCCAAGTAGCTGGGATTACAGGCACCCACCACCATGCCCAGCTATTATTTCATAGCACTTTCTAAGTTCATCCCCAGTATCTTATTTTATGTGAGTTTTTGGATGATGTGTGACTCCGAGGACAGGGATCATGTCCTCTTGGTGCTATTGCTGCTTCAAATATAAGCACAATAGATCTTGGTTAAATATTAATAGGAAAATGCATTCTGTCTTTCCACCTGTGCCCAATAAGATAGGTCAATTCCATCCGGAGCTTAATAACAACAGCCTTTTGACATCACATCCGATAACAATTTTGATTTTGTGTTTTGAAGTCATCATTATTGATAAAAATTTCATTATTTATTATATTGTGTATTATATACAATTATTTGTATATGTACGTTATATATAATAAATTGCTGTTGAAATTTAATGTTATCTATAAATAATATGTAATATTTTAAATGTATAAAGAGTAATATATAATATAAATACTATAAAATAGTATAAATAATAATAAAATAAATAATATAATCATAAAATGATATAAAATGTTATATATGATATAAGATATATTTATAAAATATAACTATATATTATATATAATTTACATCATTTTATATAATATATAACTATATTATCTATTACATAATTTATAATACTATACCTTATGTAATATATGACACCTAACACTATATAATATATGACATATCATATATTATATAATGTATATGATATATATTACATATAACATAATTATAATATAATATACTACATAGTATATAATATAAATTGCATAGTATATAATGTATATAACATACATAGACATAACACCATATGTTATATGATATATAACACCTTATACTGTATAATATATGACATATACATTATATTATGTATATGATATATATTACGTATAACATATTTAATTATAATATATATTACATGGTATATAATATATTACATAGAATATAATATATATTACATAGTATATTACATATAATATACATAGACATACAATGGTATGTTATGTATCATATAGTTATATAGTACATATTAGGTTGGTGCAAAAGTAATTGGGGTTTCTGCCATTAAGAGTAATGGCAATTTAATATATAATATGAAATAAACAATATGCAATTTGTGTTTTATTATAATAATATCATATTTGAAATACTATATATTACATATAGTATTTAAGTATTATATATTATAATAATATTTAAGATATTACATTATTATAATATATATTATATATAACACACCTATTATACATAATATATAATTTATACCTCCAGATCCAAAGTATATTCAATTTGACTAACACTTACAAGGCATCTTCAGCATTCAAGGTATTCTGAGGCCATTTCCTGCCATTTTGATTGGGTGAATTTTTGGCGCTCATTTGTTGATTCCCAGTGGTGTCCCTGCTTCTAATCTTTTCCTGTCTAGAGGACCCCAAACCACAGGCCAACTTCTGTCTGAGCAGCTCATCTCTACTCACGCCTCTCTCATGCTCAAAATCCTTCAAATCCTTCCAGCTATCCCAGGAAAAGGGAAAGCCAGACTCCTTTGCCTCATTCTCAGTGCATCCCCTCATCGGCCATTTGCTCGTATTTCAGCCTTCTTTGCAGTATAACATACCAGGAGAGTTAAGTTTGGGGCTGGAAGAAAACCCTTCATGTCCTGGCATCCTTTGCCCAGAATTCCATCCGCCCAGGGTGCTTCTGAGCAAAGCAATGCTTATGACCCCAGAGAAGCCCTTCCTTCCCATGGACGCTCCCACCCTTTGGAGCTCATGGTGAGCTTAGGACCAAATGCTTTGCAGAAGAGTGAAGCATGAAATACGTCAAAAAACCCCCGTGAAATTGGATGGTGTGCAAACTAAACATCAGGCGCCCCACAAACCCTAGCCAAAATCGAGCTTGACTTCTTGCACAGGGAGTTACGGGTTTAAGGACCATACCAGATACTTGAAGAAACTGAGAATTTTTTGAGAAACTTGCTTGCATTTACCTTTTTTCTATTATTGATACATACTATTTTACATATCTATGGGGAACATGTGACAGTTTGTTGCTTGCATAGAATGTGTAGTGATCAGGCCACATTATTTGGAATATCTGTCACCTTGAGAATTAATCATTTCCATGTGTTGGGAACATTTCAAGTCTTCTCTTCTAGCTATTTTAAAATACACAATACATTATTGCTAACTATAGGCACCTTACCCTGCTATCAAATATTAGAACTATGTCTTTTATGCAACTGTATAAAATTAGGGTTTGATGACCATCTATGATATATGCCAGCAACAGAATATCAGGCTGATGCTTTTACATCTCTGCCCTACAGGGTCTTTTGATGTACATTGGGAACAATAATCTTTATATTACAGAGATTTGGGGAGACAGATTAGAAATGATATATGTTAAAACAGGGGTCCCCACGTGGCCCGTTAGGAACTGGGCCGCACAGCAGGAGGTGAGTAGCAGGTGGGCGAGCAAAGCTTCATCTGTATTGACAGCTGCTCCCCATCACTCACTTTACCTCCTGAGCTCCACCTCCTGGCAGATCAGCGGTGGTATTAGATCCTCATAGGAGCGTGAACCCTTTTGTGAACTGCACATGCGCGGGATCTAGGTTGGCGCTCCTTATGAGAGTGGAATGCCTGATGATCTGTCGCTGTCTCCCATCCCCCACTAGATGGGATTGTCTAGTTGCAGGAAAACAAGCTCAGGGCTCCCACTGATTCCACATGATGGTGAGTTGTAAAATTATTTCATTGTATCTTACAATGTAATAATAATAGAAATACAGTGCACAATAAATGCAATGTGCTTGAATCATCCTGAAACCATCCTGCTCCCAACCCCAGCCATGGAAAAGTTGTCTTCCACGAAACCTGTCCCTGGTGCCAAAAAGGTTGGGGACTGCTGCGTTTGAACACTGTTTGCTTTGCTCAGCAAACTATCATGGAGTTTTCTGTGATATTAACGTGACCATGGAGAAAGCTCTCAATAAATGCACCAATTATGTTTTTGATGAAAATGAACATATTTTTCTTGGGTTTCCTAGAAGCACCATTCTAACTCTGGAATGACACTCTCATAATACCAAGAAGAAAGACAAGCCAAAGATTGCATACTGAAATTATTTTAACAGCTTAAGTTTCTCTTATACGGGCCACTCTTTTGCAAACACCCATTAGAAGAGAAAACAAACAGCACATTTGAGGCCTCATTCTTGTCATCCTCCTCTTCAATTTCCTTTATCCTCCTAATTCACAAATGTAGCCACTTGGATGTGGCAGCTTCCTATTGCAATTTCCTTTTTTTTTTTTTTTTGAGACAGATTCTCGTTCTGTCACCCAGGCTGGAGTGTAGTGGCACGACCTTGGCTCACTGCAACTTCTGCCTCATGGGTTCAAGTGATTCTCATGCCTCAGCCTCCCGAGTTGCTGGGATTACAGGCGCGTATGACTACACCTGGACATTTGTTGTATTTTTAGTAGAGACGGGGTTTCGCCATGTTGGCCAGGCTGGTCTTGAACCCCTGACCTCCAGTGATCCACCTGCCTCAGCTTCCCAAAGTGCTGGGATTACAGCCGTGAGCCACTGTGCCCAGCCACAATTTCTTGGATTACAGTTGGAGGTTCTTCTTCTTCTTCTTTTTTTTTTTCATCTAAGAGAATTGTATGAGTAAAAGAAGAATTAAAATAAGAACATGATGTACTTGAGGGTGCTTTTCAGATTATTATAACGGAATTTGATTTTCCTGTTGTAAAAACTATTATTACATTGAAAATCTAAAATGAACTTTCAGGGTTTAGTGGTTAAGGCTAGTTTTATACTTTAGGTAAAGAACTTTATTTGTGAGACTCTACTCATAGTTATTACCCTGAGAAAAATACACACGAGAGATGGAATGCATTTTTATGAAATAGGGTCCTACCATTTTAAAGGAAGGTGATTTACCCTGAGATATGGGAGAGAAAATAATGCTTGCTATGTTAGTTTGCTAGGGCTGCATAACCAGGTCCCCCAGAATGCTTGGCTTAAACAACAGACATTGATTCTCCCATGGTCCTGGAGGCTGGAAGTCTGGGATCAAGGTGTGGGCAGGGATGGTTCCTCCTGAGGCTTCTCTCTTCGGCTTGGAGGTGCCGTCTTCTCCCTGTGTCCTCACAGGGTCGTCCCTCTGTGTGTGTCTGTGTCCTTATCCCCTCTTCTTATGAGATGTCTTAGTTCATTTCAGGCTGCTATCACAGAATACCACAGACTGGGAGGCTTATAAACAACAGACAATGATTCTCCCACAGTCCTGGAAGCTGAAGTCTGAGATCAAGGTGTGGGCAGGGCTGGTTCCTCCTGAGGCCTCTCTCCTTGGCTTGTAGATGCTGTCTTCTCCCTGTGTCCTCACGTAATCAAACTTCTGTGTATGTCTGTGTCCCGATACAATTGGAAAACAAAAATGTTTTAAAAAATACCAAATGTCTGCAGAAAATACTGAAATACTAATTCAATAAAAATGGTAAAACGAAAAATAAAATAAAATGGTTACTTGTAGTTCTTAATGAAGTACTATTTGCAATGAAAAATATATTTGAATAATATGAAATTCAGTGATTTCCTTGATTCTCAGCTTCCGGTACTGATTAAAAGAAGCCCCTGGAGTCTCCAGAAGAAGCCTGGAGTTCAGATAATTTGCAATTACTAAACAAGCATGTGATTAGGCAGACACGAGCTTGGATTTCCTGGTGGAAATTAGGTCTTAGTTATGGTAGATCCTGCACTGCGTTTCTGTCTGCATGAATATGTACTTATTCATAACGATGCCTCTTTAAACAATCTCCAGAGTATCATAAAAATGCATTATGCAGAAAATACATTTTGAGTGAAATTTCATTATTTTTTGATTTGCAATCAAATGCAAATTTCCTAGTATTTCCCAGGACACATTGACATAATCTCATTTGTGATGGAAAAAAATGCCTATCTAAGTATATTAAAACATGAACATTCATCAGGGGATCCAAGTACAAACTTTATCACTCCTGTCTTCTCGTTTAAAATCGAAATAAGCTAACACATGAAATGGAACAAATTGGAAAGTCTTCATGAATTGTTCCTTAAAAATATTTATTTATTTATTTATTTTTTGAGACAGTCTCACTCTGTCAGCCGGGCTGGAGTGCAGTGGTGCAATCACAGCTTACTGTAGCCTCAACCTCCTGGGCTCAAGTGATCCTCCTGCCTCAGCCTCCCAGGTAGATGGGACCACAGTCATGAGCCACCATGCCCAACTAATTTTTTAATTTTTTATAGAGACAGGTAGGGGCAATAATCTTCCCCTGGAGTTCGGCCACCCCGCAGCCAGACTCTTCTCTGACCTCCCGGGCCGAACTCCCGTCGGTGTCCGGATGTGCCCCTGCCTTCTCTCTTTCTCTGCCGCATAGTTCCGCCATCGCTTGTCTGCTGGTCTGCTCCTCTCGATGTTCAGCCGCTTGTGTGTGTGCCCACTAAGGTCTCAAGTTTATATGGGGCACAGAATGGGGGGCATGGCGGGCCAGAGTGATCTTGGGAAATGCAGCATTTGGGCACGAAAACAGGGGTGCCTATTCTCATTTAGGTCCATGGGCACAGGCCTGAGGGTGGAGACCTCACCAGGGACTGTGCCCTTCTCCACCCAGTATTTCCCTGTCCCCTGTCCATATCAGTATCAAAAGGGTGGGTGGAGTCTCTGAAAAGGATGGTACCCTTAGTTAAATACTCCTCAGCATAAATAACGTGGAAATAAAGTTGGGGATTGCAAATCTTCTGTTATCACCTCTGCTTTTAAACTCAGTGGTGGAAAAGTCAAAAAGGTTTTGTATCACTTAGTAGTTTATACAAGAGCCTTCCCACTCTGGACCCAAACTGGCTGTACTGGGTTTATTATTATTAATAATTTCCATCCATCTGTAACCTCAGAATGTGACCTATTTGGAAATAAGGTCTTGCACGTGCACACGAATATTCACTGCCACATTATTCACAATCACAAAGACATGGAATCTACCTAAATTCCCATCAGTAACATACTGGATAAAGAAAATGTGGTACATACACACCATAGAATACTATGCAGCCATAAAAAAGGATGAGATCATGTTTTTGAAGGAACATGGATGGAACTGGAGGCCATTATCCTTAGCCAACTAACACAGGAATGGAAAAACAAATACTGCATATTCGTCCTGATAAGTGGGAGCTAAATGATGAGAACACATGGACACATAGAGGGGACCAACAGTGATATGGTTTGGCTGTGTCCCCACCCAAATCTCATCTTGAATTGTAGCTCCCATAATTCCCATGTGTTGTGGGAGGAACCTGGTGGGAGGTAATTGAATCATGGGGGCAATTTCCCCCATACTGTTCTCCTGGTAGTGAATAAGTCTCATGAGATCTGATGGTTTTATAAATGGTTTCCCCTCTCACTTGGCTCTCATTCTCTCTTGTCTGCCGCCATGTAAGATGTGGCTTTCACCTTCTGCCATGATTGTGAGGCCTCCCCAGCCATGTGGAACTGTGAGTCCATGAAACCTCTTTTTCTTTATAAATTACCCAGTCTCGGGTATGTCTTTATCAGCAGTGTGAAAACGGACTAATACAAACAGACACTGGGGCCTGGAAGGTAGAGGATGAGGACGAGGGGGAGGATCAGGACAAATAACTAATGGGTACTAGGCTTAATAGCAGGGTGACAAAATAATCTGTACAACAAACCCCTGTGACACAAGTTTACCCAAATAACAAACCTGCACATGCACCCCTGAACTTAAAATTAAGCAAGGAAAAAAAAAAGGAAATAAGGACTTGCCAGATATAACGAATTTGCAGTAAGTTGACGTCTTACTGGACTAGGGTGGACCATAAATCCAATGATAGGTGTCCTTATAAGAAGAGTAGAAAAGACAGACACACAGAGAGGGGAAGTTCTTGGAACTGCAGAGGCAGACACTGGAGGATGCCACCCCAAGCAAACAAACACCAGGGATTGCCAACAAACATGCAAACTGAGAAGGAGGCAAAGGATTTTTCCCTTGAGCTTTGAGAGACAGCATGGTTCCACTTTCACCTCGCTTTCTGACTTGCATCCCCTCAAACTGAAAGGGAATAAATTTGTTGTTGCAAGCCACCTGCTTTGCCGTAATGTGTTATGGTGGCACAGGAAACTCCTAAAGCTCCTTTCGCAGAAATTCTCTGCCTGCACTCCCTACCTCCATGGATCTTTGCCAAATATAACATTTTCTTTAGTCCTGACACACAAGAGAATATCATCTGTCCACATTCATCCTGGTCATTCATGAGCTGTGATAGTTTTGCACAGGCTCTTTTCCTTTGCGTGGGAGACCTTGCCTCTCTCTCTCTTTTTCTCTCCCTCTCTCCCTCCTACACCCCTGCCCCTACTTCTGGCAAACAATGACCCATTGTTTGAGATCTTGGTTAAAGGCTCACTCTCTGGGGGCACCTTTCCTAAGAGTTACCCAGCCCTTACTCTGTACTTCATGACACCTCCTGTGACACCCATGGGTGAATTGTTGGTTTCTGAGGCTGTTTCTCTCGAGCCCAGGAACTACATCTTCAGGATGTGTATCCCTAGTAATAATCACAGTACATATCATATAGTACATTTTCTATCCCTTGTATATGGGGATATAATCCTAGTACCTGTCATATAGTAGATTTTATATGCCTAGTATGTAGGGCTATAATCCTAGTGCCCATCACGTAGTAGATTTTATATGCCTGGCATATAGGGATATAATCCCAGTACCTGTCATACAGTGGATTTTCCATCCCTACCATATAGGGATATAATTCTAGTACCCGTGACACAGTCGATTTTCTATCCCCAGTATATAGGGAGATAATGCCAGTACCCATCACATAGTCAATTTTATGTCCCCAGTATATAGGCATATTATCCCAATCCCTGTCATAGAGTCGATTTTCTATCCCCACCATATAAGGATAGAATCCCAGTACCCGTCACACAGTCGATTTTACATCTCTCGCACATAGGGATATAATCACAGTACCTGTAACATAGTAGATATTATATCCCTAGTATTTAGGGATAGAATCCCAGTACCCATTGCATAGTCGATTTTCTATCCCTAGTAGATGGGGATATAATCACAGTATCCATCACATAGTAGATACTATATCCTTGGCATGTAGGGATAGAATCCTAGTACCTGTCATATAGTAGATTTTCTATTCCTAGCATATAGGGATATAATCTCAGTACCCATCCCAGAGTCGATTTGATATCCCCAATGTATAGGGATATTATTCCAGTACCCATCACAGAGTCGATTTTAGATCCCTAGTATACAGGAATATAATCCCGGTACCTGTCATATAGTAGATATCATATCCCTAGTATATAGGGATATAATTTTAGCATCCATTATATAGTAGATATTATGTCCCTAATATACAGGATATAATCATGGTACCTGTGATATAGTAGATGTTTCATATAGACTCATTTTTCAAAAGGAGGGGATTTTCAAAAATTAATTTTTTAATTGATAAATAAAAATGGTGTATATTTATGAGGCACAACTTTTTTTTTTTTTTTTTTTTTTTTGCTTTTATTTGAGACAGGGTCTCTCTCTGTCACCCAGGCTGGAGTGCAGTGGTGTCGTCATAGCTCACTGCAGCCTTGACCTTCTGGGCTCAAGCAATCCTCCTGCCCCAGCCTTCCCAGTAGCTGGGACTACAGTCCTGCGCCACCATGCCTGGTTAATTTTTTAAATTTATTGTAAAGATGGGGGTCTCACTATATTGCCCAGGCTGGTCTGAACTTCTGGCCTCAAGTAATCCTCCAGCCTGGGACTCCTAAATGCTGAGATTAGAGGTGTGAGCCACCGCATGAACTCAGTAACGTCATGATGCTTTGATATGTGTTTCCACTGAAAAATGGCCAAATGACACTAGTTAACATAAACATCACCTCACCAACTTCTCATTTTTTGGTGGAGAGAACGTTTAAAATCTACTCTTTTAGCAATTTTTAAGTATGTGATCCATTGTTGTTTATTTTAGTCATCATGTGGTATAATAGAACCCCTGAACTTATCCTTCCTCTCATATAGACTTATTTAATAAGGAAATGTACTCCAGGTGTATTTAATAGAGAAATACACCCCAGAACCACTTTTGACCAAAGAATTATCAATATATTCACTGTATGGTTTTAAACTTTGTAGAATATCTCCAGATAAAATCTATCTTTGTATTCATTCTTGAATCAGATATAGGAAAACACCATACACAATACGAAGATAGTTGGCTAAATAAATAAATAAGGCAACACAGCGAGACCTCATCTCTACCAAAAAATACAAAAATGAGCTGGGTGTGGTGGTGCACATCTGCAGTCCCAGCTACTCAGGAGGCTGAGGTGAGAGGATTGCTTGAGCCCGGGAAGTCGAGGCTGCAGTAAGCCATGATCACACCACTGCATTCCAACCTAAGCTATGGAGCGAGACTTGACCTAAAAACAAACAAACAAAAATCAATGATCTGAAAAGATCTGTGTTTTTTCAGGCTCCAGGCAGATTAGACCTATCTTCTGACCTTTTTTTTTCCCTAGGAAGATAAGGCAAGGAAATTTAAAAAAAAAAAATTCAAGGATACTTACAAATGGCAAAGGAAGGATACAGAATAAATGAGTTTTGTCCAATGTGTGTCTTTCCCCATCAACAGTAAAATAAATCAGTGTTATGTGAAAAACCCAATCTTACCCAATCTACTCTATGGGGCCAAACTTGAAATTCCAAAATTCTGACCTCATTTGTAGTTCTGAACATACGGGAAACTCTTCACGCAGAATCTACCAGGGACAAAGTAAAAACACACAAAAAATCATGATGTGATTCACTCAAAAATTGACAATTACCGGTGTTGGCCCCCTTGATCTGTATAAGCAACATGACAGCCCATTTTGCAACATAAATTCTCACCATGCACCAACCTACAAGAGAAAATACTACATCCTGTTAGAAGTACCCCCCGCCTACCCCCTGCTCCCTGGCCCAAGATGGAGTCTTGCTCTTTGGCTCAGGCTGGAGTGCTGTGGTGTGATCTCGGCTCACTGCAACCTCCACCTCCCGGGTTCAAGCAATTCTCCTGCCTCAGCCTCCTGAGTAGCTGGGATTACAGGCACCCACACAATGCCCAACTAATTTTTGTACTTTTAGTAGAGACTGGGTTTCAACGTGTTGGCCAGGCTGGTTTTGAACTGGCTGGTCTTGAACTCCTGACCCTGTGATCCGCCTGCCTCGGCCTCCCAACGTGTTGGGATTACAGGTGTGAGCCACTGCAACTGGCCCTGTTAGAAGTTTTATAGAAAGTGGACTGCTGGTGGTGTTTGGTCTGCATGTTGTTCAATTAGGTACCATTGGATAAAGGAGCAGAAAATCAAAGCAACTATTAATAAGAGTTGTAATAATAATATACTGGATTCTTCTTTTTGAAAATGAGACTGGGTCTCCGTCTATCACCCAGGCTGGAGTGCAGTGAACTCTTGCTTCTCCTTGCCTTCTGCCATGATTCTGAGGCCTCCCCAGCCATGTGGAACTATAAGTCCCTTAAACCTCTTTCTTTTGTAAATTGCCCAGTCTTGGGTATGTCTTTATCAGCAGCATGAAAACGAACTAATATACTTTATTTTAATCTTTCTCTCTTTATATACATATCTCCTGTTGGTTCTGTTTCTCCAGAGAACCCTGACTAATACATAGCCCACACAAGGCAAAACAAGCAATGACACCACATAGTACAACAAAACACTTGAAACCGCACCTCGAGATCACCAAGAGAGCAAACCATCCCAGACACCTCATTGGGTGGTTCTGTGTAGATACCACTCAAACAAGGCAAAACATGCCACGGCACAACACAACACAATGCCCAGAACCAACCTGGTTCCAGGACAGAGTTTTTATTTTTTATTTTTTATATTTCCATAGATTTTTGGGGAACAGGTGGTGTTTGGTTACATGAGCAAGTTCTTTAGTGGTGATTTGTGAGATTTTGATGCACCCATCACCCAAGCAGTGTCCACTGCACCCTATTTGTAGTCTTTTATCCCTCGCTCCCCTTCCAGCCTTCCTCCCAAGTCCCCAAAGTCCATTGTGTCACTCTTATGCCTTCGAATCCTCATAGCTTAGCTCCCGCTTATGTGTGAGAATACGACGATTGGTTTTCCATTCCCGAATTACTTCACTTAGAATAATACGACGTTTGGTTAAACACATACGATGTTTGGTTTTCCATTCCTGAGTTACTTCATTTAGAATAATAGTCTCCAATCTCATCCAGGCCGCTGCAAATGCCGTTAATTCATTCCTTTTTATGGCTGAGTAGTATTTCACTGTATATATATGCCAGGGTTTCTTCATCCACTCGTTGATTGATGGGCATTTGGGTTGGTTCCACGATTTTGCAATTGTGAGTTGTGCTGCTATAAACATGCGTGTGCAAGCATCTTTTTCAAATAATGATTTTCTTTTCCTCTGGGTAGATACCCAGTAGTGGGATTGCTGGATCAAATCGTAGTTCTACTTTTAGCTCTTTAAGGAATCTCCACACTGTTTTCCATAGTGGCGGTACTAGTTTACATCCCACCAGCAGTTTAGAAGTGTTCCTGTTCACCACATCTACTGTTTTTTGAGTTTTTGATTATGGCCATTCTTGCAGGAGTAAGGTGGTATTGCATTGTGGTTTTGATTTGCATTTCCCTGGTCATTAGTGATATTGAGCATTTTTTCATATGTTTGTTGGCCATATGTATATCTTCTTTTGAGAATTGTCTATTCATGTCCTTAGCCCACTTTTTGATGGGATTGTTTGTTTTGTTCTTTCTGATTTGTTTGAGTTCGTTGTAGATTCTGGATATTAGTCCTTTGTTAGATGTATAGATTGGGAAGGTTTTCTCCCACCCTGTGGGTTGTCTGTTTACCTTGCTGACTGTTCCTTTTGCCAGGCAAAAGCGCTTTAGTTTAATTAAGTCCCACATATTTATCTTTGTCTTTATTGCATTTGCTTTTGGGTTCTTGATCATGACATCCTTGCCTAAGCCAATGTCAAGAAGGGTTTTTCCAATGTTATCTTCTAGAATTTTTATAGTTTTAGGTCTTAGATTTAATCCCTTGATCCATCTTGAGCTGATTTTTGTATAAGATGAGAGATGAGGATCCAGTTTCATTCTCCTGCATGTGGCTAGCCAATTATCCCAGCACCCTTTGTTGAAAAGGGTGAGGACAAAGTTAATTCACATGATCTCGGTGACAGAGTTGAACCATTTCTGTAATATTTAGCCCACTGCAAAACTGGAGGGCGCCATGTCTGAACATGTCTTTGATTTCCCGCATCTGAGCAAAGCCCACTGCACACGTGTATGAGATTTTTCTGGCAGTCCCTTTTTGTACAATATTCTAAATACCTGTGGTTTCTTAACTAGGAGGTCAAGACAAATGACTTTTGTTAAGAAGGGAGTCGAAACCTCAGACGCTGAGCTGAGTTTTTCAGGCTATGACATCAGGTCTCGGACTGACAGCAGCATCATGAGACTGGCGGAGGCTGATAATCCATGCAACTAAAAAAAATTCCTTAACGTTTTATTTTTTCCCCCTGAGATTTTTTTTTTGCATTCGTCACAGCTCAAACAACTCAACAGGTGCTCATTTTGGAAATGAGCAGGGAAGCAGTCGCTTTTCGCCAGGTGAGGATCTCTGTGGCGAATGCAACTCCCCGGAGGCACAGCTCTGCCGAGGCATTTCTGAGAACCCTGGACATGTTTTCCCGCTTGTTCTGGGAGTCTCATTGGTTTGGTCATGCAGCAAGCTCTGTGGGCGGTGGTGCAGGCTGTCTGCATTCTTCACGACAGCCGCCTGGGTTTTGTTGCTATTGCCTAGCAATCCGACAGGACAGCTGCACACTTCATTAATTTGCTTCATCCATCCATATGCCTCCATCTCGCACATTTATGATTCAGAAATGAAAGCAAGTGTGACCTTCCTGCGATGTTTTTCCTTAGGCGTGGTTGTCTTGCGGCCCCTGACATCCTCATGGATTTGCCCTGCTACTTTCTACCCGGCTGTCTGTTCCCAAGGTGTTGCACCCTGATGACAAACCTGACCCAACGAGGCAGACTTCATGCAAAGTCTCCATGAAATTCCAGTCTCCCGGCAGCTCTATGCCACCCAGAACCATGGGAGAGGCCCAGCTTGTTCCCAGCACTTCCTTCTGCTGGATCCTCATGCTGTTTCCTTGCTCCACTCGGAATTTTCAAAGATGCCTAAGTAGATAATGATGTCTGGAAAATGCTGTTTCTCATCCATCCATATTGATCGAGTGGTTTTCAATTTGGGAAATATAAACAACCTCCCTACTCACCCCTCATCCTATTCTTTTCTGAACTCAGGAGAATGATTTTTCCTTTTCTTTTTTTTGAGACAGAGTCTCACTCTATCACCCAGACTGGAGTGCAGTGGCACGATCTCAGCTCACTGCAGCCTCTGTCTTCTGGGTTCAAGTGATTCTCTTGCCTCAGCCTCTCTAGTAGCTGGGATTACAGGTATGCACTGCCACGCCTAGCTAATTTTTGTATTTTTAGTAGAGATGGGGTTTCGCCATGTTGACCAGGCTGGTCTCGAGCTCCTGACCTCAGGTGATCCACCCGCCTCAGCCTCCCAAAGTGCTGGGATTACAGGCATAAGCTACCGTGTCAAGCCAAGAATAATTTTTTTCAACAAAATTTTATTACCTTTTATTTTTTAAAAATAGAATTTATATTTTAGAGGAGTTTTAGGTTTACAGCAAAATTGAGAGTATGGTACAGAGATTTCGCATATAGTCCCTGCTCCCCTACCTCAACCTCCCCCATTATCAATATCCCCACCAGAGTGGTGCATTTGTTGTAATGAACCAACATGGACACATCATTATTGATATGGTTTGTCTCTGTGTCCACACCCAAATCTCATGTTGAATTATAATCCCCAGTGTTGGGGGAGGGACCTGATGGGAGGTGATTGGATCATGGGGGTGGATTTTCCCCTTGCTGTTCTCGTAGTAGTGAGTGAGTTCTCATGAGATCTGGTTGTTTGAAAAATGTATACCTCCTCCTCACTACAGTCTCTCTCTCCTGCTCCTTTATATGAAGATGTGCCTGCGTCCCCATTCGCCTTCTGCTCTGCCATGATTGTAAGTTTCCTGAGGCCTCCCCAGCCATGCTTCCTAAACAGCCTGCAGAACTGTGAGTCAATTAAACCTCTTTCCTCTGTAAATTAGCCATCTCTGGTATGTCTTTATAGCAGCATGAGAACAAACTGATACAATTATCACCAGAGTTCATAGTTCACATAGGGCTCACCCTTGGTGTTGTACATTCTAAGGGTTTGGACAAACGTATAATGGCATGGATCCAGCATCCTAGTACCACACAGAGTAGTTTCACTCCCCTAAAAATCCTCTGCATTCTCTCTCCCACTCTCAAGACCTGCCAATCACTGATTTTCTTTTTCACCGTCTCCATAGTTTTGTCTTCTCCAGAATGTCATAGAGTTGGAATCATACGGCATGCAGCCTTTCAGATACCCTTTCAGATGCATGGTACCCTTCACTTAGTACCATGCATCTAAAATTTCTCCATGACTTTTCATGACTTGATAGCTCATTTCATTTTAGTGTTTGTGAAAGAGAAAGAAATCTTGGGGCCCCCAAATCACTAAGCTAACGGTAAAATTCAAGCTGGGAACTGCTTAGGGCCAACCTGCCTCCTATTCTATCCAAAGTGCCCCCTCCGCTTACTGAGATAAATGCATATCTGATTGCCTCCTTTGGAGAAGCTATCAGAAACTCACAAGAATACAACCATTTGTCTCTTAACTACCTATGACTTGGAAGCCTCCTCACCCGCTTGGAGTCTTCCCACCTTTGCTTCGAGTTGTCCCATGTTTCTGGACTGAACCAATGTGCGTCTTACGCATATTGATTGATGTCTCATATCTCCCTAAAATGTAGAAAACCAAGCTATGTCACGACCACTTTGTGCACATGTTGTCAGGACCTCCTGAGCCTGTGTCACGGGGATCTGTCCTCAACCTTAGCAAAATAAACTTTCTAAATTAACTGAGACCTCTCTCAAATTTTCGAGGTTCACATGCTGAATAATATTCTATGATCAGGTTGTATCATCCTTTATTTATCCATTCACTGCCTGAAGCACATCTTTGTAACCTCCAAGTTTTATCCACCCCCATAATCTAATCACCCCCCACCAGGTCCCTCCCCAACATTGGGGATTACAATTCAACATGAGGTTTGGGCAGAGACACAGAGACAAACCATATCAATAATGATGTGTCTATGTAGGTTCCTTAGAACAAACGTACCTCTCCGGTGGGGATATTGATAATGGGGGAAGTTGGGGTAAGGGAGCAGGGACTATATGAGAAATCTCTGTACCTTTTTCTCAATTTTTCTGTAAACCCAAAACTCCTCTAAAATATAAACACTATTTTCTTAAATAAAGGGAAATACAATTTTGTTGAAATAGTTTTGATAATTGCGACTAAAGCTGCCATATAAACATTTGTGTGCACAGGTTTGTGTGGACATACATTTTCAACTCCTTTGGTACCACATACTAAGGAGTGAGATTGCTGGATCGATTGGTGATAGTGTGTATGCATTTAAGCTTCCTTTTCCATGTACTTTTAAGATTATAGTATCCCCTGAGTTTCAGAGGACAAGGAAAAGAGCAAGTTGTGCATGCGCCCATCTATAGAAATGCTTTTAAACATTTTAGGATCTACCACGTTCTTATTTTGCTTTCCCTGAAGTCACCTCCCCCAGCTATCATCAACCAAAAATCACTTTGCTCTTGTACTTAAATTTTTTAGTTTTTATTTTAGGAGACGGGGTTTTGCTCTGTTGCCCAGGCAGGGGTGCAGTGGCACCATGATAGCTCACTTCAGCCTTGACCTCCCTGGGCTCAAGTGATCCTCCCACCTCAGCCTCCTGAGTAGCTGGGATTATGGGTGTGTTGCAGCACGCTGACTATTTTATTTTATTTTGTTTATTTTAGAGATGGGGTTCTCACTGTGTTGTGAGGCTGGTGTTGAACTCCTGTCTTAAATCAATCCTCTCTCATTAGCCTCCCAAAGCACTGGGATTATAGCTGTGGGCCACCATGCCCAGCTCTTCGTACACTTACATTTCTAAAGACTCATATGTTCCAAATGTGGCAGCTAGGCAGACATGCATACGTGCAAATATTTATATGCCGTCATCACCCACAACGTCTCACCTCACTCCACGATTATTTCTCAATGTCTAGCCTCTTCATAAAATATACAGGAATGGGGACTCACCCAAGTCACTGTTTTGGAAATGTTCTGTAAGTGTTAGAAAGCATGCCTTGCCAGTACCCATTCTTCCAGGCTCAGCTCACAAAATCCCCTCATCTCTTCCAAGAACCCGCCCTGGACTCACCCTACTGGCAGATGCTGCTTTTCTGTGTTCCCACGGTCTGCTGGCTCAAACCTGACATATGCCACCTCCATTACAAAACACAACAATGTCTACGAACCATGGAACCATTTGGGGAAGGAATTCTTGGGAGTCATTCTAAGTGTCCTGGGGTCTGAGAAAATGGCGTATCGACCAACGTCCAACACTCTCAGATAATGGCAGAATCCTAACGGTAACTTGGTCACAGGGTGTGCAAATTGGACTGTAAACAGCTTCAGCCATCTGATGATACCTAATATCTTCCTTGGCTCCTTGACCTGGGGATGATGGAATGCCACTTGCTTTCTGAGAACAAATGGGCTCAAATGGCAACAAGAGAACAACCAGGCAATATGTGAAAGATTTTCACAGTGGTTGACAAAGAGAAAAAAAGCAAGATGAGGCCAGGGCCAATGGTCATGCCTGTAATCCCAGCACTTTGGGAGGCCAAGGCAGGAGAATCACTTGAAGCGGGGGTTCGAGACCAGCCTGGGCAACACAGCAAGACCCTGTTTCTAAAAAAATACAAAAATTGGCTGGGCATGGTGGTGTGTGCCTGTAGTCCCAGCTAGTCAGGAGGCTGAGGTGGGAGGATTGCTTGAGCCCAGGAGGTTGAGGCTGCAGTGGGCTATGATTTCACCACTGAACTGCAGCTTGGGTGACAGAGTGAGACCCTGTCTCTAAGAAAAAGGCAAGATGCAAATGGTGGTTCATGTAACGCTCTCAAACCTGAACATGCTCTCGAATGAGTCTGATGCAGTAAGTCCTGAGCAGGACCTGGGAAATTCCATTTCTAGCTGCACTCCAGGTGAAGTGTTGCTGCTTGACCTTTTCAATGGCAAGTTCCTGTAGATCTGGGGTGTTGTCCAACATCATACCCCTAGACGCCTGTGGATAATTACATTCAAATTTAAAGGATTTAAAATAAAATAGGAATAAGAATTCACTTCCATCTGTACACCTAGTATGTACCCACAAATATTAAAATTAAAAATTAAATAATAGAATCACTTCCATGGTCTCACTAGCTGCATTTCAGTGCTCAGTAGTCCCAAATGGCTAGAGGCTACCACCTTGGCAGCCCAGGATAGAACATTTCCATTATTACAGAAAATTATACGAGAATTTGCTAATGTAGAGTTCTGGCTATCACCCAGGAACATTCAATGACAAGGAAGTAAAAGTAATTTGGAATTGCTCTTTTTTGCTTATAAGGTTCTGATCCATGCAAATTTCTGTGCAACTGGTATAACACTCTTCACAGTCAGGGCACAAATATACATACTTCCTTCATTATGTGCAGCTCTGTGGATATTCTTAAAAGCCCTGAAATAAAAGAAACCTTAAATTAAACAATTCCTAAAATTGCCATGTTTCTGAACACATTTGTGCCTGTATGCCCATATTCTATACGCATGATAACTATAAAAGTCTACAAATATTGATGTATACATACTCACATATTTTCATCTTTTCTCACAATTATTTTTACAGTCTTTCAATGAGCAAAGGTCAAAAAGTGTAGGGCTTTCTAACAGAGGAACTATGAGAGCTGAGTAACCCAGTGACAATTTGGCCAATCACACTAGAAAATCAGAAATGCATGTTGCCACCAGAGAACGCCGTCATTTTAGATGCGCAAGGTTGATCCCATTCAGAATCCCGGAGTAATGCTCACCAATAGAAAAAAGGCAGCACAGGATTTTATTGGCTTAACACAATCATAGTTTATTTTTCCTACTTTACTAGCCCTTTGCAAGTGTTCTTGCTTGGGTAGATTTTCTCCAAGTGGTGAGTGAGAGACTCAGGTTTATTGCCAAATTGGTACTCTGCCATCTCCAACACCTGCCTTGCAAGGTATCCCTGTTTTTGTTTGTTGATTTTTTTGGCCACTGTTTCAGTTTTATCAACTCCAAGGAAAAAGCTCATGGAAGCTCACCCGTGGGAGATTTCCATGGGACACACGCTTATACTCACATTTCCTTGGCCAGAACTCAACCAAACACACACTGAATTCCAGGAGCAGATGGAAAATGTGGTCAGGCTCTAAAGAGGGAAAAACTGGTTTGGTGTCAGCGAGCAGCATGTAATTATGGCTAAATCTGTCTGCTAATGTACATGTCAAACAATGAGAACATTCACCCACTGCTGCTGGGACCATAAATCAGTACAACCATATTGGAGATCCCTTTGGCACCATCCTTTAAATCAGAACACGACCCACCAATTCCCCTCGCTGGTATACACTTTAGAGGAACTCTTGCATACTCTTGTACATAGATAAGCATGGCCTTAGCAGAAATGTTTGTAACGGTAAAACCCTGCAACAACTCAGATGTTCACCGTCAGGGGGATGGATCTGTAAAGTGTGAAATAGTTACATAGTGAAAGATTGTACAAAGGCAAAACGAATAAACTAAATCTATGTGCAGAGTCATGGCTGAATCTCAGAAATTTCAAATTGTTGGAAGGGAAAAAATACAGACTATGCAGTGTGCTCCCAGTGAATATGATTCAAATGCTAGCCTAAGTAAACCATAATATATTGATTAGGAAAACAGAGCTCTTAGGCAAAATTGTTATGTTTTTATTACACAAAAAATTCAGGAACATATTTAACTTTGACTGTGGGATTTTCAAGGCAGTAGAGAAGCAAGCCTTGAAAGCAACAATGAATGAGAAATATTCTCCATTTTTTATGTGGGTTGTTGGATCCATGCTTATTTTATTGGCTTGCTTCTTAACATGCTTTGCATATTCATCCTTTCACACCATTGCATATTTTCCTTTGAAGATACCCAACACTTCACACACAATATAAATTAGTTTTAGGTACAGTGAATCCTTCCTGCATAGTTTCCTATCTCCAATGATTCTTTAGCCCTTAATGGATCTCGCTGACGTAAGAGTGGATTCTCTACGACTGCACTATGCTGTCACCACCATTTTCTGGTTTTATGCCTCAAAGGGTGGAGACCTCATTCAAGCTAGGTCAGTAAGATGGACCCTGGAAGGAAGAGGCAATTGGAATTTTTTCAGACTAATTGCTTTCAATCCCAATTTGATCCCTCTCCCCTCACTGCTATTTTCTTAAAAATCCTGTCTCCTTGGTACTCTCTTAAGACTAAGAAAACATGGATGAACCCAGAGGACATCATGCCAGGGGAAATAAGCCAGGCACAGAAAAACACCCTATGATCTCACTTATATGTGGAATCTAAAAAATTGAGCTCATGGAAACAGACAGCAGAACAGTGGTTCCCAGGGGCTTCGGGGTTGGAGATCGGGAAGATGGTGATCAAAGGGTACAAAGTTTTAGTTAGAGAGGAAGAATAAGTCTTAGGGATGTATTCTACAGCATGGTGACCATAGTTAATAATAAGGTAATGTATATTTCATAGTGGCTAAGAGAGTGGATTTTAAATGCTCTCACCACATATACAGAAATAATAAGTAGTTGATGTGATGAATACAGCAATTCGCCCAATTTAATCATCCCACAAGTCCGGGCAGGGTGGCTCATGCCTGTAATCCCAGCACTTTGGGAGGCCGAGGCGGGCAGATCACTTGAGGTCAGGAGTTCAAGAGAAGCCTGGCCAACATGGTGAAACCCCGTCTCTACTGAAAATACAAAAATTAGCCAGGCATGGTGGTGCAGACCTGTAATCCCAGCTACTTGGGAGGCTGGGACAGGAGAATAGCTTGAACCCGTGAGGCAGATATTGCAGTGAGCCGAGATCCCACCACTGCGCTCTAGCCTGGGCAACAGAGCAGGACTCTGTCTCAAAAAAAGCAACTAAAAATCAAAGTGGCTGAGAGAGTGGATTTTTAAATGTTCTCACCACACACACAAAACGAATAAGTAGGTGAAGCAATGAATATGGCAATTAGCTCAATTTAATCCTTCCACAAGGTATGCATATTTCAAAATATCACACTGTACTCCATACATACATACATACATTGATTGTTTGTAAATTAAAAATTAAATTTATCTGGGTGCATTAAATTTTATGGTTCACTTTTGCTCACTTTTGAATCATAGTTATTGCTAACATAGCACATCCTCTCCTATATATTTTTTTCTGCCAATTTTGAATTTCTAAGATTCACCCATAATGCTGCCTGTAGATTTAGTTATTAAGCCTGGAGACCCAGGAAGGCGGATGGTATGAGTTCCAGTCTGAAGGTCTGAGACCCAGAAGAGCCAAGGGTGTGACTTTCAGTCTGAGTCTGAAGGTCTAAGACCTGAGAAAGCCAAGGATGTGAGTTCCATTCTGAGTCTGAAGTCCTGAGACCCAGGAGAGCCAATGGTGTGAGTTCCAGTGTGACAGCCTGAGATCCAGGAAAGCTGATGGTTTGAGTTCCAGTGTGATGACCTGAGACCCAGGAGAGCTGATGGTGTGAGTTCCTGTGTGAAGGCCTGAGACTGAGAAGAGTTGATGATGTGAGTTCCAGTCTGAGCATGGAGGCCTGAGACCCAGGAGAGCTGATGATGAGAGTTCCAGTCTGAGTCTGAAGGTCTGAGACCCAGGAGAGCTGAGGGTGTGAGTTCCTGTGTGAAGGCCTGAGACTGAGAAGAGCTGATGACATGAGTTCCAGTCTGAGTATGGAGGCCTGAGACCCAGGAGAACTGATGGTGAGAGTTCCAGTCTGAGTTTGAAGGTCTGAGTCCCAGGAGAGCTGAGGGTGTGAGTTCCAGTCTGAGTCTGAAGGCCCAAGACCCAGAAGAGCTGATGGTGAGAGCTCCAGTCTGACTCTGAAGGTCTGAGACCCAGGAGAGCCAATGGTAAGAGTTGCAGCCTGAGTCTAATGTGGAGTCAGGAGTAAAACTATTGTCCCAGCTTGAAGACAGGCAGAGAGAGCAAATTCTTTGTTACTCCATTTTTTTCTTTGTTCTATGTCCACCCTCATAACAGAGGACAATCCTTTTTCATATAATGACTTCTTTTCTTCTGGATAGATACCCAGGAGTGGGGTTGCTGGATCGAATGGTAGTTCTACTTTTAGTTATTTAAGGAATCTCCACACTGTTTTCCACAGTGGCCAACAACTTTTCTGTTTTCTTGTCTTTCCTCCCTGTTCCCTAATGACACCACCGTTGAACCAATTGCTCTGTTACCCACATAACAGAAGACAATCCACTCTACTAAGTCTACTGATTGATTCATTAATCTCAACCAGAATAATATTCATAAACACATCTAGAGTAACATTTGACCAAATATGTGGGAACCCCATGGCGCAGCCAGGTTGACACATATAATTAGCCATGACAATGCCTATGTATGTACTTGTTTGTGTGTGTATGTATGTATGTATGCATGACTCTTACTATGCATTAAGCACTGAACTAGCACAGAATAAAAAATATTATACCTTTTGCTGGAAAACATTCACTGTAGTAATATTCTGTGGTCATCTGAAAACAGTGTTTGCTGTTTCCAAATACAAATGAAAGAATGAAGGATCAGAAAAAAATAAATAATGTAGCCATTTAGTCAGCAATATGGAATGGATAACTGTGATTCCATGTAAAAAATCCATGCTTAAACATTGATAAAAGACTAATGCAGCCACTCTCTAAGGTGTTTCTGTGTTTTCTGGGCCCCTCATTGCTCAGAACAGGATGCCCCTCTGGTCATCCTGCTCTGCCCATGGCATTTGGAGCACCTTCCTCCTGGTAGCCTTGCTGCTAGAAGGGGTAACTGAGACTGCTTCCTCCGTCACGTCCCTCTCTTGAAAACTTGTGTTCCCTGTTTATTTATTTGTCACAATATTTGGTCATGTTTACATATTGCTTAAAGATTCTTTGCACCTTCTGCAGGGTGGATTCAAACTCAGCTTCCTTGGCAAAGGTGACAGCCCTTGGCAAAATGCATTTATTTGTTTTAAATAAGTTTTTCCTCTCCACCACCAATGAAACTGTCAGCCTCACCAATCAGGTCCCATTCACCCAACGTGGGAGACGATGCATTCTCGCTCCGTTTCATGAAGATGCAATTGCTACTGTCACTTCACCCAGGCATTCTTTTCACACTGGAAAGGCGATGGTTTGTAAAATTGTCTCTGAATTCATAGAAACTACCAAATAACCTTTAACTTGGCAGAAGATCAAAGACATAACAATCTATTAACCCAAAAGGCACAAGTGGCAAAGAATCTTTATGCTGTATATCAACATGCCCAAATATTGCAATAAATATTATGCAAAACATATGCCTTTGGGCTGGTATGTTTTTGAGAAGCAAGCTTTGCTATGGCTCTAATATTTCAAACCACAGTAGAATTTCCCTTTGACGGGGTCACCCAGGCATCTTATCTGTCAAAATTCGATGAGGCAAACAAACAGGGCATGTCTCATCATCTGCGAAATCCAAATACGCGTATTTCCCACTAATGAATCCCTAATTAGGTCTAATAAAATGTTATCCTGGTCAACAATCCCATGGTAAGACATACCATGAAGTGACTCAACACAGCTTGCTCCTGTTTTCTGTCGAGAAACCAACAATTAATTTCAGCTATGGAACTTTGCATTTAAAGCTGGGCAGAGAAAATTTATAATAGGAGTAGGCTTTTTTTTTTTTTTCTTGAGATGGAGTCTCGTTCTATCACCCAGGCTGGAGTGCAGTGGTGCAATCTCGGCTCCCTGCAAGCTCTGCCTCCCGGGTTCACACCATTCTCCTGCCTCAGCCTCCTGAGTAGCTGGGACTATAGGTGCCCGCCATCTCGCCCGGCTAATTTTTTTGTATTTTTAGTAGAGACGGGGTTTCACTGTGTTAGCCAGCATGGTCTCGATCTCCTGACCTTGTGATCTGCCAGCCTCGGCCTTCCAAAGTGCTGGGATTACAGGCGTAAGCCACCCGCGTCCAGCCAGGAGTAGACTTTTAAACTCAATTTGACAAGCACCATTTGGTCTTTTTCTTGAATACTAGATTGATAGTTAATGAGCTGGAGTCTTCCCTCATCCTGACTTTTGGGTAGGTCATTCAGTTGTAAAGAACTTGCCTCCATGTTTACAATAGTCATAGCTCATGAATGCATGAATAATAATAAGTATTGAGACATTAGTATTAGTAGGTAGTGTCTGTCGTAATAGACGAATCACTTGTTTAGGTTGATTATGGTATGCCCATTCTAAACTCATATTTGCCATATGAAATATTGATGAGTATTGGTGCTGACAAGATAGAGACGGTAAAGAGTAGAGAGTGGTCCAAGAAGGCTACATGCACCAGCTAACAACCAGCTCCTTCCTGTTGGATTATTTCTGTACACTCTACTTCACCTTCCACTCTGTATTGCAGTGGTCCCCAACCTTTTTGGCACCAAGGACAGGTTTCATGTCAGACAATTTTTACAGGGATCTGGGGCAGGACAATGGCATCGGGATGATTCAAGCACATTACATTGATTGTGCACTTTATTTCTATTACTGTTACATTGGAATACATAATGAAATAATTCTACAACTTACCATAATGTAGAATCAGTGGGAGCCCTGAGCTTGTTTTCCTGCAACTGGAAGGTCCCATCTGGGGGTGATGGGAGACAATGACAGATCATCAGGCATTAGATTATCTTAAGGAGCATCAACCTAGATCCCTTGCATGGGTAGTTCACAGTAGGGTTCATGCTCCTATGAGAATCTAATGCCACTACTGATCTGACAGGAGGCGGAACTCATGTGGTTATGTGAGCGATGGGGAATGGCTGTCAGTACAGATGAAGCTTTGCTTGCTCGCCCACCTGCTGATCACTTCCTGTCGTGTGGCTCGCTTTGTAACAGGCGGTGGACTGGTACTGGTCCATGGCCTGGGGGTTGGGGACCCCTGTTTTATTGGATGGGAATAAATATTACCAAAGTGACCATAGAGAGAGAGATTGGATGCCAGGTCTACAAGCAAAGAACACCAAGGGATTAATGAAATTCACCAAAAGCGAACACAGCGGCAGATTTTTTCAGAGCCTCCAGAAAGAACCAACTGTGCCGACACCTTGATTTCAGACTTCTGCTCTTCAGAGCCGTAAGGCAATAAATTTATGTTGTTTTAAACCACTCGTCATACAGAATTTGGTGATAGCAGCCCTAGCAAAAGAAAAAATGCACCCAACTTTTTTGGTAAATTGTGTCGTGGAGAGAGTGGAAGTTTTGGGAATTTTACAACCCATCAGACACAGGGGGAGATTGTCCTAAACATTATGAAATGCATCCCAACATTGCAGTTGCCCGGAAATACTTACCAGCAGTACCAAGGATTGCTTGCTCTTACTGACTCCTTAACATTCTGTCCAGCCTTATAATTCAGTTATGATGATGTTTTATGATTTATTATTATTATAAGTCTTGTTATAATAAGCAAAAGGGCCAATCAAAATATCTGCATCCAAAGCCTTGCAAAATTACAGTATCACACAAGCTCAAAAACATGTAAACATTAGCTCTGCGCTCCGAAAATTTGCTGCCAAACACGAAAGATAAATTATTCCTGAGTGTGGGCCCATACGCAGTCATCAGCCAATTAGACTTTATCTTGCATTTCTTCCACTGCCAAAAGGTTTCTTAGTAGCAATTAAGGTTCAGTTCCTCCAGTGAACGTTGCAGGGAGGGGACTTCAAGAACCTTTTCCAGGATGAGAGCAGGGGATAAGAGTTCATGCTTTCATGGAGGCACTGTCATGGATGCCAACGTCCAGACGGATTCGTGCACTACAGGATGAGGTGTGGTCTTCACTGCTCTCACCTCCCCTGTCCTATCTGTTTTGTGTGTGCATGTTCTCAGCCACTCTTCCTGAGTTCATGCCAGTCAGCCTTTGTTCCCATTGACTGCATCATCATGATTGCAGTGGGGACTCCTCTGACTCAAATGGCCGTGAAGGCAGTAGACCTTTCTTCCTCCTCCTCCTTCTCCTCTGCCGCTTCCTTTTCCTTTTTCTTCTCCTCTCTTCATCTTCCTTCTCCTCTTCCTCTCTTCCTCCTCCCTCTGCTCTTCTTTCTCCTCCTCTCTTCTCTTCCTCTCTCCCTCTGCCTCCTCTCTTCCTCCTTCTCCTCCTCCTCTTCTCTTCCTCTCTCCCTCTGCCTCCTCTCTTCCTCCTTCTCCTCCTTCTCATCTTTCTCCTCCTCCTCCTCCTTCTCCTCCTACAGTGATACCCTGCAGTTTTTCTTCTAATCAATCTTCCTACTTTATCCTTCGTAAAGCCATCTTGTCTGTTAAATGTTGCGACTGAATTTTAAATATGCTCCAAAGAAGACTTACAACAATAATGCAAACCCTCATGGGTCCACCATTCAGCTTAAGTGATAGAAGCTTTCTAGTCTCCGAGAGAATGCTGGCATTTTCATGTCCCCCCTGGAGCAATCCCAAGCTTCCCTTGTGTTTCTAACTCATCTCTCTCTACCTGAAGCCATCCACACCTACAATTTCAATGACCACTTATGCATAAATGATTCATATATGTACCCATAGAAATATATTTATATATACACATGCATATATGTAAGTGATATATATAGTCTGTATAATATACATTTTATATTATGTAATGATTATATATTACATTATATAATATATTTTATTGATATATAAAAACATATTTATATAATTATATATTATATTAATATATAATATACATCATCATATGTTATATATCATATTTATATATGATAATATATTATATATTACATATTATTATGTATATCATATAATATTGCCTTGTGTGAATATTATATATTTACATATATTATGTAATATATAATAAATTTAAATATATTAAATATATTAAATATATTTAATATAATAAAAATTTAATACATTATGCAAATAATATATTATATAGTACATATATTATGCATAATATATGTAATGTATAATATATGATATATGATATTTTAATTGCAAAACATAATTAATAAATGTATGCATAATGTCTCAGTTTTTCTGTCTAATATAATAAATATTGACAAGTGTAAGCTCCATCAGTAAAACCTCTTTGAGGTCCTTGCTAATTTTTTAGAGTGCAAAGAGTGCTTGAGACCAAAAGAGCTTGAGAACCAGGGTTTGAAGACGTGCAAGGAAAGCTAGGAAAAGGCTATTCCAAGGATGGTACAAAGCACAGGGGGAAGGTTTTCTGGATATATTATGTAATATGTATAATATTATACAATGTTATATAATGTATAATAAAATATATTTTATGTTTTATATAATTTATATGTAGTATATAAATATATTATGTACAATATTTATTTTATATATAGCATATAAATATATGTTATATATTATGTTATGTGAAAATATTATATATAATTATATAAAATGATAGATATAATATATAATAATCATAAAATATAAATATATTATATGAGTATTATTATATGGTATATACTATATATGATTATTATATAGTATATATTATATATTTTATATTATATATAATATAATAATAATATACAACATACGATATATAATTTATGAAAAATAAATATATAAAATATAAATATATTAGTAATATATCATCATATATAATACATAGCATATAATATTGCCTTGTGTAAATATATAATATATTATATATAATATGATATATAATATAATATATAATACATATTACATATAAATGTATATTATACATTATGTATATATACATTACATATATAATATGTATTATATAATGTATTATATACATTACATATATAATGTATTATATATTATATATTATATAATAATATAGTGTATATATATAAAAAATATATTATTATGCATAATATATCATAATATATGCAATATATAAAATATATTCATAATATATTATTATGCATATATTATATATATTGTTATTATGCATAATATATGTAATATAATGTTATGCATGCATAATATATGTAATATATAAAATATATTTTTGCATAATATATGTAATAGATTATATTATATACAATAATATATTTTATATAACAATAATATATTATATATTATTGTACATAATATATTATATATTATTGTACATAATATATTATATATTATTGTACATAATAATATATTATATATTATTGTACATAATAATATATTATATATTATTGTACATAATAATATATATTATATACAATAGTATATTATATAAAATAATAATATATTATATATTATTGCACATAGTAATATATATTCTATATTATATATAATAATATGTTATATATAATTATACATAATATATTATATATAATTGGACATAACATATTATATAGAATACATAATATATAATATATATTATACATAATATATAATATATAATACATAATATATAATATACATTATACATAATATATGTAATATATTATATGGTTACCCAAGGCAATATTATATGTTATGTATTATATAAGATGATATATTATTAATATATTTATATTTTATATTTTTTTCATAAATTATATTTTGTATGTTGTATATTAATAATATATTATATATAATATAAAAATATATAATATATACTATATAATAATCATATATAGTATATAATATATAATAGTACTCATAATATATTTATATATTTTATGATTATATATTATATCTATTATTTTATATAATTATATATAATATTTTCATATAACATATATAGCATATATTTATGTTATATATAAAATAAATATTGTGCATAATATATTTATATACTACATATAAATTATATAAAACATAAAATATATTTTATTATACATTATATAACATTGTATAATATTATACATATTACATAATATATCCAGAAAACCTTCCCCCTGTGCTTTGTACCATCCTTGGAATAGCCTTTTCCTAGCTTTCCTTGCACGTCTTCAAACCCTGGTTCTCAAGCTCTTTTGGTCTCAAGCACTCTTTGCACTCTAAAAAATTAGCAAGGACCTCAAAGAGGTTTTACTGATGGAGCTTACACTTGTCAATATTTATTATATTAGACAGAAAAACTGAGACATTATACATACATTTATTAATTCACTTCAACATCACAAAATCCCTTATGCATTTTATACAATTCACATTTTGAAATAAAAAGTTATATTTTCCAAAACAGAAGAAAAGAGTTAGCAGAATGGCATGCCAGTGAGCTCTACAATGGGATGAAGACAGAGTTTATGAAGGGACCTCAGTGCTGTCTGTAAAATCCAGGGTTCTGGAGAAGATGCAGCAAAGACCCGCTTCAGTTCTACACGCGCGCAGTGAAGAAGCAGAAGTCCAACTCATGCACATCCAGGTTGGACGTGAACAGCAAGCGGTTCTTGGTCATTTTGAGTCAGAGACCTCAGTGAACCCTTGCAAATCCGTCCACTTTTGACCAGATCAAGCCCTGCTACCCACCACCTCAAAGTTTAGAGTCCATTCATGGCTTGAGAGTGTATTCACCCTCAAGTCTATTCACCCTTGACCTTGCGGAAGTGATACCTGGTGGGGATTCCCTCTGCATCCCCTGCCGGAGGAGGAGAGGGTTGCAATGACCTGGGAGGGCTTTGGCAGAGCTTAGGAGCAGGACCGAGACAGGGAGCTGAGAACCCAGAGTGGCCCCTGACTGCACTGCTGGCATTCTTCCCCCGATTCTCAGGAGCCTGGGAATTAATCACATTCCATCTCATTCGCCTAGGATCCTCTGCATCCCACTCAGAGGGAGGTCATAATAGGCAAAATTAAAGACGGCATATGATGACAATTTGAAAATAAAATATAACTTATACAAGACAAGTAAAACTGCTTGGGGAAACATTTGTCCATTTTCATGCAAAAATTTGCCATTTTTTTTTCTTCCAGGCAAACCTTAGCAAATGCGCTCTGAAAGTTTTAGTCTATATCTATATCAAAGAAGCGTAACCACTATATGGTTTAAATCAATCCCAAATTTACTTGGTTATTGTAGCATCTACTAGATTGCACTGTTCAACATGGAAAGTGAGATTTCGACTCAAAAAACCACCTTCTTTTGTACTTCTGTGGATTTAAAGGGAAGGAAAAAGAGAGCTGAAATAACAGTATCTGTAATCGTGCAGTGTTTTAAAAGGAAGTAAACTTTTCATAGAATCTTGCATTAGTTTTGCAGTCATGAAAGTTCTTTTAACTTTTGTGGGAAATTAACTATAAACATGAGGATTGCGAACATATTTCCATAGCTCTCTATGTGGAATCATTGCAGGGAATAGATCCAGGAAGCTCAAATCCAGGGAAGGCATAAATAATAGGGAAATTTTCTTTCCTGAAACTCTCATTTTTCATATTGAAAACTTCTCTTAAAAGTTTCTGAAAAATATTTGGTGCAGAAAAACCCATATTGAGTATTCAAAAAATAATCTCCAAATCTCAGCAAATTAGTACAAAAAAACCTATGTTTTGCTCCCAGGAAGTCCAGTGGCATATTCTTCATTGGGTGGGTCTCTTGGGAATACTTTGGGGCCATCAATAGAGGGTTTCCCTGCAACTTCATGAGACACCTGCCCCAGAAACATCCAGCTAAGCCTCTCCAAGAATCCTGATCTTTGGAAATTGCATGATATAATAAATGTCTGTTCTTTGAAGCTGCTAAATTTTGGGGTGATGTGTTACAGAACAAGGGATAACCAGTACATCTTTCAAGCAATAAATCAGGAAAGTAACTTATTCCATTTGGGGACACCACCATTTAAGCCTCTCATTGTTGGCAGAGAAGGGACAAGATCAGTGGTATATCTACTATATCTGACACCGGGAGTCAATTATATTAAAATACCCCTTTCTTTATAAAACAAAAGAATTTTCAACAATTGTTATAGAATTAGAGGAAGAATAATAAGGACAGGAAAGAAACATAGTGAAGATTGTCATTTATGGGACTGGTAGGTATGGTCATGTCAGTAAAAATAATAAAAATATAATAACACAGGTAACAAAAGCAAAAATAGACATATAGGATTGCATCAAACTAAAACAGTTCTGCACAGCCACTGAAACAATTAACACAGTGAATAGACATAGACAACCTGTGGATTGAAAGATAATATTTGGCTGGGCATGGTGGCTCACGCTTGTCATCCCAGAACTTTGGGAAGCTGAGGCAGGAGGATCACATGAGCCCAGGAGTTCAAAATCAGTCTTGGTGACATAGGGAGACTCTTGTCTCTACAAAAAATAAAAAAAACTTTAGGCAGGCATGGTGGTGCATGCCTGTGGTCCCAGTTATGGGAGGCTGAGGTGGGAGGATTGCTTGAGCCCAGGAGGTAGAGGCTGCAGGGAGCCGTGATCACAGAACTGCACTGTAGCCTTGGCACCTGAGGAAAACCCTGTCTCAAAGAAAAAAGAGAAGAAGAAAGAAAGAAAGAAAGAAAGAAAGAAAGAAAGAAAGAAAGAAAGAAAGAAAGAAGAAGGAAAGAAAGGAAGAAAGAAAGGAAGGAAGGAAAGAAAAGAAGAAAGGAAAGAAGGAAAGAAAGAAGAAAGAAAGAAAGAAGGAAAGAAAGGAAGAAAGAAAGGAAGGAAGGAAAGAAAAGAAGAAAGGAAGGAAGGAAAGAAAAGAAGAAAGGAAAGAAGGAAAGAAAGAAAGAAGAAAGAAAAGAAAGGAAGAGAGAAAGAAAGAAGGAAAGAAAGGAAGAAAGGAAGGAAGGAAAGAAAAGAAGAAAGGAAAGAAGGAAAGAAAGAAAGAAGAAAGAAAGAAAGAAAGAAAGAAAGAGAGAGAAAGGGAAAGAAGAAAGAAAATATTTGCAAACCATACATCTGATAAGAAGTGAATATCAAAAATACATAAGAAACTCAAAAGCTCAACAGCAGGAAAACAAATAATCCAATTTAAAAATGAGCCAAGGACCTGAATAGGTGTCTCTCAAAAACAGACACACAAATGGCCAACAGATACATGAAAAAATGCTCCACATCACTAATCATCAGAAATGCAAATGAAAACCACAGTGAGATAAGGTGATATAAAGTGAGATAAGTGATATAAGGTGAGATAAGTGATATAAGGTGGTAACCTTATACCTGTCAGAATGGCTACTTTCAAGAAGATAAAATATAAGTATTGGTGGGGATGCAGAAAAGAGGGGACCCTTGCACACTGTTGGTGAGAACGTAAATTAGTATAGCTATTATGGAAAACAGTATGGAGTTCTCTCAAAAAATTAAAAATAGAAGTACCCTATGGCCCATCAATCCCACTGATAAATATATAGCCAAAGGAATTGAAATTAGTGTGGTTAAGAGATATCTGCACTCCCATGTTTATTACAATGTTATTCATAATAGCCAAGATATGGAATCAACCCAAATGCCATCAACAGATGAGTGCATAAAGAGAATGTGGTACACATACACAATGAATTACTACACAGCCATAAAAAAGAATAAAATTCTGCCAGGTGCAGTGGCTCATGCCTGTAATCCCAGCACTTTGGGAGGCTGAGGCGGGCAGATCACCTGAGGTCAGAAGTTCAAGACCAGCCTGGCCAACATGGTGAAACCCCATCTCTACAAAAATGCAAAAATTAGCCAGGTATGATGGCAGGTGCCTGTAATCACAGCTACTCTGGAGGCTGAGGCGAGAGTATTGCTTGAACCCAGGAGGCAGAGGTTGCAGTGAGCTGAGATCACGCCATTGCACTCCAGCCTGGGTGACAGAGTGAGACTGTCTCAAAAAAAAAAAAAAAAAAAAAAAAAAGAGAAGAAAAAAGAATAAAATTCTTTCCTCTGCAGTCTGCAGTCGCATGGATGGAACTGGAGGACATTATGTTAAGTGAAATAAACGAGGTACAGAAAAACAATCATCACACGATCTCAGTTCTATGTGGGATCTAAAGAAGGAAGTCCTAGAAGTAGAGAGTAGAATGGTGGTTCCCATGAGCTGGGGAGTGAGGTAGGGAATTAGGGAAGATGTTGGTCAGGGGATGCAAAATCTCAGCGACACAGGAGGAATACGTTCAGGAGATCTACTGTACAACGTGGTGACTACGGTTAATAGCATGGTATACTTGAAAATGGATAAGAGAATAACAAATTTTAAAATATTCTCACTACCGATACAAAAATATGTCAGGTGATAAATAAGTAGCTCGATTTAATCATCCTGCAATGTGAGCAAATATCAAAACATCATATTGTGCCTCATAAATCTCTACAATAAAATTAATATTACTGTATAAAGGGAAAAGTAATGGATTAATACATTCTAATTATGTCAATTTTTTGAGAAAAGGGAAAAGCCACATGCAGAAATGCTTGCAAATAAGTGAACTCTACATGGTTCAAAGATTAACTTGGGCCGGGCGTGGTGGCTCACACCTGTAATCCCAGCACTTTGGGAGGCCAAGGCGGGCGGATCACCTGAGGTCAGGAGTTTGAGATCAGCCTGACCAACATGGCGTCTCTAGTAAAAATACAAAAATTAGCCAGGTGTGGTGGTGCACACCTGTAGTCTCAGCTACTCCGGAGGCTGAGGTAGAAGAATTACTTGAACCTGGGAGGCGGAGGTTGCAGTGAGCCAAAATCACGCCACTGCACTCCAGCCTGGGTGACATAGCAGTTCTCTGTCTCAAAAAAAAAAAAAAAAAAAAAAAATTGGACCCTAACCGCTGTTATTTTTTCATTACCTTTATCAGTGTTGCTTTCCAGTCCACACTTCAAACCCGAGAGTATTTACAAGCATGGGGAATAGAGACCTAAAATGAAGATTCTGCACTCGTGCAAATCTATTCTCAAAAAGAGCACGTGTCTTTGAGCCTGTCTGTGTTGCCGGTTGACTGTGACAGTTCCCTGAATCTTCCTGTGGAACGCAAGGCTCATCGAAAGACAACAAATATCTTGATGCTCTCATATACAATATTATTATTAAAACGCAAAAGCAGCTGTATCATTTTGCAATAATATCAGCTTTGTACTTTGTAAATAAAGTTGTGAAGAATGACCGATGCGTGGTGATAACTACAAACAAGCCCACTTGGGTTTGTTTTAATATTATGTTAAAATTCCCTATAGATATGGATCTGCTTCTTACCTATTTGTGGAACAGAGGGCTGCACCCTTAGGATACACCCTTAGGATGCCACTGGTTGGGAGAGACTTGGTTATTTTTTTGTTTTGTTTTCATTTTTTGGGGGGCAGATTCAGGATACACACACACACACACACAGATATATGTGTATATATCTCATTATGTATACATATTATAATATATATATTTAATTTTAATTTAAAAATAAGGCCGGGCATGGTGGCTCATGCCTGTATAATCCTAGCACTTTGGGAGGCTGAGGTGGGTGGATCACCTGAGGTCAGGAGTTCAAGACCAGCCTGGCCAACGTGGTGAAACCCCGTCTCTACTAAAAATATAAAAATTAGCCGGGTGTGGTGGCAGGTGCCTGTAATCCCAGCTACTCAGGAGAATCACTTGAACGCAGGAGGCGGAGGTTGCAGTGAGCTGAGATCGTGCTACTACACTCCAGCCTGGCAACAGAGCAAGACCCTGTCTAAAAAACGAACAAAAAATTGACAAATAACAACAGCACACATTCATGGGGTACATAGTGATGATTCAATACATATAATGCACAGTGACCAAATTAGGGTAATTAGCATATCAAAAGTGATTTATTTTTAATGAGGAAGGTCTTGTAGCCAAACTCCATTGGCATTAATTAGGTCCTGACAACTTGGTCCTGACTGCAGGTTTGGGGCCAGGGGTGGTGGGTCTAAATTGTGTGTGGTTTTCCGGTGTGCCCAGGACAAGAATGCATTTTTTATGTGTGAATTCCCCAAATTCTTATTCATCGGAACTCTCATATCTATGCAAGATTTCACGTTTTGATCAAGAAGATATATTTTCAAATTCTGCACACAATCCTCTTGCCTTTTATTAAAAATCAGAGTTTCTGGCCAGGCTTGATGGCTCATGCCTATAATCCCAACATTTTGGGAGGCCAACATGGGAGAAAGGCTTGAGCCCAGGAGTTCCAGACCAGCATGGGCAACATAGCAAGACCCCATATCTTAAAAAAAAAAAAAAGAAAAAAGAATTAGCTGGCCATGGTGACACGCACCTGTAGTCCCAGCTACTTGTGAGGCTGAGGTGGGAGGATCACTTGATCCCAGGAGGTCAAGGCTGCAGTGAGCCATGATTGTGCCACTGCACTCCAGCCTGAGTGACACAGTGAGACTCTCAAAAAAAAAAAAATCTGGTTTTCTAAATATTACATTACTTTGGGATTCAGAGTCAATGGTGCTTCAAAATATTAAATGCCTGCTACTTCTCAGGGGCATTTTATTATTAGGATAATCAGAATACATTTCCTGTTTTTAGGAACTCAAGTGCCTTGTGTATATTCCAAAATTCAGATTCAAATTCCCAATCAATTTCATAATTTAGATGACATTAGATTATGAGGAGATCTTTCAGGCTAGTCGAACATAATGATGTAATTGTTTTGGGACCAGGCGTGGTGTCTTACCCCTGTAATCCCAGCACTTTGGAAAGCCAAAGCAGGAGGATTGCTTGAGTCTAGGAGTTCGAGACCATCCTGGACAACAAAGTGAAACCCCTCTATCTCTACTAAAAAAAAAAAAAATTGTTCTGGGAAAATTTTACATATTGAAAAGCAAATAATAACTACCACTTTAATTAATGAGGATTATCCTATAAGTTTTCTATTTTTTTTCCACCTTTATATCATTTAGAAATGTCCATCACAGAAGAAGTTCAGATCAATGATTGCTTTGCAGAAATTGAAGTTACAGTTGGAAAAGCCGCCTTAACTCCAACTGTGAGGTTAAGTCTAGGTCTTGTTCTCAGTAGTGCTGCCATTGTGTTTTTGCCAGCAGACGTTCTGGTAGAGGAGAGTGAAGGCTGTTACATTCAGGCCAAACACAAAAACCGAACAGTGAATTCCTTATTCCTTATTTCTCCATAAAAACAGCTTTCCCCCATACTGTTTCAATCAGGCATTTGCACAGTAAATGACGTATCATACTAAGTTAAATATTTGGGTGAATGTGTTAGTAAATTTCCTCCTAGAAATATAGACAACCTCTTAAAATCCATGTTGCTCTATGGACGTACATATTTGAGTGATTTACAATTGTCAGATCATCGGTTTCTCCACGGCCTGGCATCACAGTGTCTACAACAAATACTAATGAAGTGGTACAAAGCACTTCAACCCAGCTTCTGTAAGATTTTGCACAAGAAATTGTGGTTGGACTTCTTCCAACTCCCTCTCTGTTTTTTTTTTTTAACATACAACCATGCTTTATTTATCCATTCAACAGCCTTACAATAACAAAGCAGAAACTGAATTTGTGTGATACATTTTTAAGCAATAAACAGGTTGATTTATTTGTTTAGTGAGTTGTATGATGCTATATGCTATTTCTTGCTAAGAAAAGAGGTTACATTTTCCTCTATATCCAAATAATCAAAATATTATAGATGGTACAAAAATGGAAAACACAGCATAACACAAAGAGATTTAAAGCTCTGACCCGCAAGGCAAACTTTCTATTCTCCTAATTGAAAAGTTTCAATTTACTCTAATGCATAGGCTGCACTGTATTTATTCCATTGTCACTGGTTTGAAAGACTTCTTGTGGCTCCACTGGAAAATATCCCAGGTCATGCATTTATCTCCATTTTTCTTCCATGTTAAATTTATTCTGCGTCATTTTACTGTTGAGGGAGGAAGGAGGCATAGCTCTTATTCTCATTTGCAATTCTGGCCATTCCTGTGGGGAAAGATGGAGAAGGAAGATCAAAGGGATAGTTTTGTATGATCCTCAGGTCTTTCTTATGTTTACTACCCTAAATCCAGTTTTTACTTCGTTAGATTTTCTTAGATTGACTTTGTTAGTTTTACTTAGATTGTTAAGATGTATCACTGCCCAGTAAATACAAAGGGATGATGTCATTATTGCTGATACTACAAGAATATATAATTGAACTCCTTAGCTTTTGGTAGTAGAGTTTTATTCTTTCCATTACAAGAGATTTTCCTAAACATAAACTCCAGTTCGGAAATTTAGGTGCTTAGAAGAGCATGGCATAAGAGAATAGAATAGATCAGAAGCAAAATAGCCTCCTACAATGTTATTAGAAAGCAACTCACATGAAATTGAGTGAGCAATCCTCTTATGTCTGCAGAACACAGTTTTCTCACTGTAATTTTCCACTTTCCAGTATAGTGAAAATAATACTACCATACACTGAGATTATGGCGTACCGTTAGTGGTAAAATGAACAGAGATTTGACTGTAAAAATCCTGAATAATGGGGCTTTTTTTTCCTTTTCACTATAACCAGCAACTATATGAGTGTCTCTATTCTGGGAAAATTAATGGCCATCGGAAACCTGGTTTATTTGATGCAAACTAGAGAAAACACGGGTAATAGTCACAAAACCCATTTTGCCTTTGATGAGAAATTTATTGTCCGCATTTACTCAATGAAAAAGCTCCTTCTGGAAATCTGTCAAAGCAAGGAATAGAAAGCAAACAGAACGTTTTGCTGTGGATCTTTGGTCTGAGGTAAAAGCTAGGCTCTAGGAGCTAGCCAAGAGTATTCCACTCTTCAGCTTCTACGAGAGTCCAGATTTCCATCCACATGAGAAATGAGGTGTGATGTCCCTGTTTTCCTTTCACTGCAATGTTGTCACTTTGCAATAGGCTCTCCCAGTCAAATATGCAACTCCAGATGTTTTCAGCTCAGAGCTCAGAGCTCTTTGCCATAGAGAAAGGGCCACAGCAGAGCAGCCCCCTTCACTTTACGGGTTGATTGAAGCTCCAGGAGTCTGACAGCGAGCAGTTGTTTGTGAGGCAAACAAGAACTGTAGAATGTGGCATGATTGGAAGACATGGACTTCCAATGATGTGCTTTATTACAAAAGCAGAGGCATAAACATCAGCAAGGAGTCATGGTAACTACCTCCTCCTGACCTCACTGTGGATGGAAACGGTGTGCTGAAAGACCATGGGAAGATGGGGCCGTGGAGGAGAGAGGGAAAATGATTTTGCTCTAGGTGAGCAATGGAAAGAAAAAAAAAACATTATAGTGGAATGGGAGGGGCACAATAGCATAAATTCATAGTCATATTTGAGGGTGGAAAACGGAGTGACACTATTCACAATGGCAAAAACATGGAATCAACCTAGATGCCCATCAGTGGTGGACTGGATACAGAAAATGTGGTACATAGACACCCTGGAATACTATGCAGCCATGAAAAAGAATGAAATCATGTGCTTTGCGGCAACATGGATGCAGCTAGAGGCCGTTATCCTGAGTGAATCAATGTAGGAACACTAAACCAAGTACTGCTTGTTTTCACTTCTAAGTAGGAGCTAAACCTTGGGTACTCATGGACATAAAGTTGGGAATGACAGACACTGGGGGCTACTTGAGGGTGCATGCGGGAAGGAGGGAGAGGATTGAAAAACTACCTACTGGGTACTATGCTTCCTACCTGGATGATGAAATAATCTGTACACCAAACCCCCTCGACATGCAATTTACCCATGTAACAAACGTGCACGTGGACATTCTGAGCCTAAAATAAAAGTTGGAAAGAAAAAAGAAGAGAAGGAAAATGGAGTGACAAGGTGCAGGAAGACAGCCATGTAGTGGGGTTGGAAGCTGTGTCTTGAATTGGAAGGAGCATGGTGGATGCTGTGCAGTGTAGCATTAGAGAAGCTCACTAGGGTGGAAATGGCTGTGTATTGGTGGCGTCCTTAAGTGACCATGGGAGTGATTGATGCTCACCTGGACTGAAGAATCTCTACTGCATGGTCTCAACTCTTGCCTCTTCCAACTGTGACAGTTTCCCTCGTTTTGCTCATTTTATAGAAGATAAATTAGGGCTTTGAGTTTTGGATGAAGAAGCTGAGACTAATCAAAGTTCTATAAGTTTTCCAAGATGACGTACCCTCAAAGTAGAATAGTGAGAATCGGCTTGGCCTTGGTAGATATTTGGTTACCAAAAAGCATTGCACTTCCAAATTTTATGTAGGTCATTCGATTTTCTACTTTCCTCCTCCTCCTCCTCCTTCTTCTTTCTTCCCTCCTCCTCATCTTCCTTTTCCTCCTCCTTCTTCTCCTCCTCCTCCTCTTCTTCTTCTCCTTCTCCTCCTCCTCCTTCTTATTCTTCCTTCTTCCTCATCTTCTTCATTTTTTAGAGACAAGGTCTTGCTCTGTTGCCCAGGCTGGAGTGCCGTGGCATGATCATAACTCACTGCAGTGTTGAATTCCTGGGCTCAAGCAATATACTCCCACTTTTGCCTCCTGAGTAACTGGGGACTACAAGCACATGCCATGATGCCCAACTCATTTAAAAACTTTTTTTTAAGAGATGGGGTCTAGCTGTGTTGCCCAGGCTGCTCTCGAACACCTGGCCTCAGGTGATCCTCCTGCCCTGGCCTCTGAAAGTTCTGGGATTACAGGCATGAGCCACCAGGGCTGGACAAGCACATTTTCTTTATCCATTCATCTGCACATGGACATTGGCGTGGTGTCCACATCTCACCTATTGTAAATAATGCTTCAGTGAACATGAGAGTGCAGATATCTCTTCAACACACTCATTTCAATTATTTTGGATCTGTACCCAGAAGTGGGATGGCTGGATTATATGTGTAAGGGTGTTAAACAGAGCGTGGCTTCTAATACATCACAATCTCAGCCTCAGGACTCAATGAGGACTCAGGGAAATAAATATTTGTCAAGTGGAGATGTAACTGCATGATGGGTTCTTTCTGACCCCCTGCACAGACAAAACCAATTTGCCGAGACCATGACATTGAAATAAAGCAAGAGCTTAATAGACACAAAGTTAACCATGCCACATGGGAGACAAAGTTATTACTGAAAAATTGGAGGCTAGGGTTTTTTAAAGGTAGTTTGGGGAAGGAGTCTGGGTGGCTAGGCAATAGGTGCCTGCTGCTGATTGGTTGTGTCAGAGATGAAATCATAGGGAGCTGAAGCTGTCCTCCCGGGCTGAGTTGCTCCTGGGTGGGGCTACAGGAGTGTGGAGCCCTCAGTTGGTGGGTTCAGGTGTTGCCATGGGTGTCAGACATGCAAAAACACCTGAAAAGACATCTCAAAAGTCCAGTCCTTTGGTTCTGCAATGGTGATGTTATCTGCAGGAGTAATTGGGGAAGTTGCATAGCTTGTGACCTCTGGAATAATGGCTGCCAACCATTTATGTCTGCACTTTAGCAGAATTCAGACTTCTCTGGCCTAGCCTGGTGGTCTCTCATTAGCTTTACAGAGGCGGTTGAGTTTTGCGGAAGTCCTATTATCACTTAAACTATAAGCTAAATGTCTTGCAGGTTGGAGGCTAAAGGCATGAGGCGGGTTGGCTAGATCAGATCTCCCCCACTGCCGTAATTTTTTTCACTGATATAATTTTTGCAAAGGCAGTTTCAGAAAGCTGAGGTGTCATTCTCTTTAAACCTTCCATTTCCATTCTATGATTTCATCATCTGTTCCTATGAGTTTTTACTTGATCTTTCTTTTCTTTCTTTTTTTTTCCCTTTTGAGACAAGGTCTCCTTCTATCACCCAGGCTGGGGTGCAGTGGCATGATCAGGGCTCACTGCATCCTCAACCTTCTGGGCTAAAGTGATCCTCCCATCTCAGCCCCACCCCCCGAGTAGCTGGGACTACAGGTGTGCACCACCATACCTGGCTATTTTTTTTTTTAAAATTTATTGTAGAGATGGCAGTCTTGCTATGTTGCCCAGGCTGGTCTTGAACTCCTAAACTCAAATGATCCTCCTGCCTCAGCCTCCCAAAGTGCTGGGATTACAGGCATAAGCCACCACATCTGGCTGGTCTTTCTTCAAGACCCTTTTTGTTTCTATAGTATTTATCAATAGAGTTACACCCAGAAGTTCACTCTTCTCTATTTTACTAGCAATCATGCCATGGAATGCTTCTTAATACCCTGTTTTCCTAATTTGCTTTTAGTACTTATTGCTCATAAAAGCATTCCTGACTTTAATCACCTTTTTTCCATCTTCCCTAAATGGGCTTACTTCACAATGTTTTCTTCCAAAATGACTTCAATATCACTTCTAACAGGATAACTTGTAAACCTAAATCTCTAGCCCTACCAATTTTTCTACATACAAACCCACATTTGAACACAATTATTTGCTGCCATTGTTACATAATAGCCAATCTTGCTCATTGATTGAGATTGATCTTGTTGATCAATAATGCAAGGTGATACGTTATGGGATTTGGGGGAATAGGAGTATAGAGGAAACAATAAAACTGTCAGGCCTCTGAGCCCAAGCTAAGCCATCATAACCCCAGTGACCTGCACGTATACATCCAGATGGCCTGAAGCAACTGAAGATCCACAAAAGAAGTGAAAATAGCCTTAACTGATGACATTCCACCATTGTAATTTGTTTCTGCCCCACCCTAACTGATCAATGTACTTTGTAATCTCCCCCACCCTTAAGAAGGTTCTTTATAATTCTCCCCACCCTTGAGAATGTACTTTGTGAGATCCACCCCCTGCCTGCAAAACATTGCTCCAAACTCCACTGCCTATCCCAAAACCTATAAGAACTAATGATAATCCCACCACCCTTTGCCAACTCCTTTTTCGGACTCAGCCCGCCTGCACCCAGGTGAAATAAACAGCCATGTTGCTCACACAAAGCCTGTTTGGTGGTCTCTTCACACGGACACGTGAGACATTTGGTGCCGAAGACCCGGGTCAGCGGGACTCCTTCGGGAGACCAGTCCCCTGTCCTCACCCTCACTCTGTGAAGAGATCCACCTATGACCTTGGGTCCTCAGACCAAGCAGCCCAAGGAACATCTTAAGCGGCCTCTTTTTACTCTCTTCTCCAACCTCTCTCACTATCCCTCAACCTCTTTCTCCTTTCAATCTTGGTGCCACCCTTCAATCTCTCCCTTCTCTTAATTTCAATTCCTGTCATTGCTAAAACATTAATGTGCCATTGTAAGCCAAAAATAAAATTATAAGACTCCTCAAATACCTGAATGGACTTCGTCCTCCAGGGCACTTTAAAATTTAACCCAGGCTGGGCGTGGTGGCTCACACCTGTAATCCCAGCACTTTGGGGGGCTGACGCAGATGGATCACTTGAGGTCAGGAGTTCAAGACCAGCCTGGCCAACATAGTGAAATCCCATCTTTACTAAAAATACAAAAATTAGCCAGGTGCGGTGGCACATGCCTGTAGTCCCAGCTACTCAGGAAGCTGAGGCAGGAGAATTGCTTGAATCTGGAAGGCGGAGGTTGCAGTGAGCCAAGATCATTCCACTGCACTCCAGCCTGGGCAACAGAGCGAGACAACGTCTCAAAATAAACAAAGTAAAATAAAATAAAATAAAATTTAACCTGAAAGACTGGTTCAAGCCATGATGGGAAGTGGGGGTTAGACATGTCTCAGTATAGACCTCCAGCATTAACATCAAAACAGGCCTTACTTCTGATAAGAAACATTTACAATCTATTCTCTCTGAAGCCTGCTACCTGGGGGGTTCATCTGCATAATAAACTTCAGTCTCACATCCCCTATCTTAATCTAGATATTTCCTTTCTATTGATCCCAGGTCTTTAGATAAACTCAACCAACTGCCAATCAGAAAAATTTTAAATGTACCTATAACATGAAAGTCCCCTGACTCCTAGCCCACTTCAAGTTGTCTTGCCTTTCTGGGTACAACCTTAAATGTATTTGACCAAAGTCTCATGTCTCCCTAAAATGTATAAAACCAAGCTGTGTCCTGATCACCTTGGGCACATGTTCTCAGGATCTCCTGAAAGCTGTGTTATGGGTCATGGTCATGCATATTTGGCTCAAAGTAAATCTCTTCAAATAATTTTGCAGAGTTTGACAGTTTTTGTTGACCCATTTTTGAGAAATGTAGTGTTATGTAATTTTCCACTACTTAAAAATATGCTCCAGTTGTCACTGAGTTAATGATTCTCCAGTTGCATGTTTCTCTGCTCCCAATTCCCTCAGATGCATGATTCCACGAGAAAACACACTTAACCCAGCTCTATTAAAAATCTGTGGTCATGGAGGTTGAATTGGCATTAAATGTTTTGTAAACATCCTCCTTGAAAGGAGAACCCCTGGCCTCAGAATGTCCAGAATCCATTCTTTAAGGGGAGCATTTCATGAGTGAAGTGACATATACATCACTTTCAAGGGAAGATGGAAGATTCTGAAAATATTTAAGAACTAGCAAATTGGTTTTCCAGAATAATTTCTACTCTACTGGAAGGACAAAGAGGCATAGCTGACTCGAACAAAGCCAAACCAAACATACACGTGTGCATAAAAAGAATCATTTTCTAGAACAAATGCATTGGATATGCTAAATCCTCTAGCATTGAAGAGAACACTTGCAAAGCCTGTACATTATTCCAGAGTTAACATCCTTGACAAGGATTGAGTAACATGGCCCCTATCAAGTTAATTACTAAAGGATGCTCAACAGCAGAGAGAGAGGGCCACCAATTGCTCCTCATCTGCACCATCTGCCCAAGGGATTCAACATTTTGATGATGACGACACATTCACCTTTAATGCATGGAATACTTTAGACCAAAACACTTGGGCCTTGATGTCTTGAATCCCCATGCAAGATCATACTCATCCTAAATTGCATTCCATAGGCAATTTCTCAGCCATCTCTCTCCTTTCTGTTGATCAAAGGCCAATGTGAGATAATTCCTAAAAGAACTCTATAAAATCTCCAGGATATAACTTCAGCATTGCTCAGATCACATTGTTTTGTGATTCCCAGCTTAATTAGTTGTGCGTTCTCTACTCCACGAAGACTGAGAAGTGTTTGACCACAGGGATGTTGCATCACACATATTTGTGATGAGAAGCAGTTTATATAGAAATATATTCAGATGCTTTTTCATACCCTATGAATGCTCTTTCTCTCGGGCCTTAGAATGCATGGAGGCAAAGAATTCCAGAGCTTCAAGAGATGGGTGGACACTCCCTTAGAAAAAAGCAATATTCCTCTGCTTTGACTCTCGAATTATTATTATGTTTTTGTTTGAATCCCTTTCAAGATAGTTGGCTTGAAAGCCAGCATTTATAGAGGAAAAAAATGTCGAATATCTTTGTGTATATTGAGACCAAGATGCAGTGAACTGATCCATACATTTCTTTAATCTTCGAAACTTTTAAGAACTTTAAAAAATTAACCTTTTAAATTTGAGATAGTTTTAGGTTTACACATAGTTGTAAGAAATAACACAGGGATTTGGGAGGCCAAGGCAGGTGGATTATTTGAAGTCAAGAGTTTGAGACCAGCCTGGACAACATGGTGAAACCCTGTCTCTACTGAAAATACAAAAATTAGCCGGGCGGTAGTGGTGCGCTCCTGTAATCCCAGCTACTCGGGAGGCTGAGGCAGGAGAATCACTTGAGCCTGGGAGGCAGAGGTTGCGGTGAGCCGAGATTGCACCATTGCACTCCAGTCTGGGCAAGAGAGTGAGACCTTCTCTCAAAAAAAAGAAAAAAGAAAAAGAAAAGAAAAGAAATAACACAGGGAGATCCCTGGTACTCTTTACTTTTCCCCCAGGGGTAATATCTTGCAAAACTGTTACCAAAAAGGGGTCTCAATCCAGGCCCCCAAGAGAGGGTTCTTGGATCTTGTGCAAGAAAGAATTCAAGGCGAATCCATAAAGTTAGAGCAAGTTTATTAAGAAAGTGAAAGCATAAAAGAATGGGTATTTCACAGGCAGAGCAGCCCTAAGGGCTGCTGGTTGGCTATTTTTATGGTTATTTCCTGATTATAGGCAAAGCAAGGGGTGGATTATCCATGAGTTTTCTGGGAAAGGGGTGGGCAATTCCGTATAATGAGCAATGAGGACGATCAGAGGTCACTCTTGTCGTCATCTTGGTTTTGGTGTGTTTGGCCGGCTTCTTTACCGCAACCTGTTTTATCAGCAAGGTCTTTATGACCTGTATCTTGTGCCGACCTCCTATCTCATCCTGTGACTAATAAAGCCTAACCTCCTGGGAATGCAGCCCAGCAGGTCTCAGCCTCATGTTACCCAGCCCCTATTCAAGATAAAGTCACTCTGGTTTGAAGGCCTCTGATAAAACTACAGTACAATCTCACACCAGGATATTGACCTTGGTACGGTCAAGGAACAGAACATTTCCATCACCACAAGATCTACCATGTTGTCCTTCTAATATAACCACATACACTGCCATGCTTGATGACAGGCTTTAGGACCCAATGAATGAGGCAAAAAATCCCACTTCTCAGAGCCAGCTGAGCTCAGATAAATGTTTGCAAGAGATTGCTCCAACACTTGTGCTTATAGGGGATGGCATTGACTTTGGGTTTGATATCTGTCTTAGTCTGTTCTGGCTGCTATAACAAAATGCCTTAGCCTATAATATGCTTTGGCTGTGTCCCCACCCAATTCTCATCTTGAATTGGAGCTCCCACAATTCCCATGTGTCATGGGAAAGACCCGGTGGGGCAGGAGGTAATTGAATCATGGGGGTGGGTCTTTCCTGTGCTGTTCTCATGGTAGTGAATAAGTCTTACAATATCTGATGCTTATATAAGGAGGAGTTTCCCTGCTCAAGCTTACTTCTTGTCTGCAGCCATGTAAGATGTCCCTTGCTCTTTCATCATGATTGTGAGGCCTCCCCAGCCATGTGGAGCTATAAGTCAATTAAACCTCTTTCCTTCATAAATTACCTAGGTTTGGATATGTCTTTATTAGCAGCATGACAGCAGACTAATACAGCCTGGGTGGCTTACAAACAACAGGCATTTATTGCTCACAGCTCTGGAGGCTGGAAGTCCAAGGTCAAGGCATGGCAGATTTAGTGTCACTCTCTGCTTCCAAGATTGTGCTTTCTTGCTGCATCTTTACACTGTGGAAGGCAGTCTCTTTTATAAGGGCGCTAATCCCATTCATAAGGCTGGAGGCCTCATGATTTAACCCCTTCTCATAGGCTTCACCTTTCCATACTATCACATTGCAGATTTGTATTAGTCAGGGTTCTCTAGAGGGACAAGACTAATAGGATAGATGTGTCTATGAAAGGGAGTTTATTAAAAAGTGTTGACTTACCTGATCACAAGGTGAAGTCCCACAAAAGGTTATCTGCAAGCTGAGGAGCAAAAAAGCCAGTTCAAGTCCCAAACCCCCAAAAGTAGGGTAGCCAATGGTGCAGCCTTCAGTCTGTTGCCGAAGGCCTGAAAGCGCCTGGCAAACCACTGGTGTTAAGTCCAAGAGTCCAAAAGCTGAAGAACTTGGAGTCTGATGTTTGAGGGCAGGAAGCACCCAGCACAAGAGAAAGATGGCAGCCAGAAGACTCAGCCAGCCTAGTCTTTCCACATTCCTCTGCCTACTTTTATTCTGGCTGTACTGGTGGTCTGATTAAATTGTGCCCACCCAGATTGATGGTAGGTCTGCCTCTCTCAGTCCACTGACTCACAGCCATACCCAGAACAATACTTTGCATCCTTCAATCCAATCAAGTTGACACTCACTATTAACCATCACAGGATTCAATTGCAACATGTGCATTTGGGAGAGGACACAGACATTCAGACTGTAGTAATATCACTGCAGGAATGTTCAATCGCTTCCTTTTCCCTTTCTCAGTCAGAGAACAAGGGGATCTGGAAGGCTGCAGAGCTTGACGTGCAAGGCAGCAAAACACCCGGAAGGTACAATACACATTCATGAGCTCCATTCCCTTATGGGGCATCAGCCCTGTGGACCTAGAGCTGGTGGTGGTAGGCAGGTTATCATGAAGAGCTTGTCTTCCCTCTTAGGTTCCACAATCAAGTCTTGGCTTACACCTCTTTGGGTTGTGCAAGATGCAGCAGCGGAAATTACCTGGGACCAGGGGTGTTCAATGTCTTTGGAGTAAGAGCTTCAGTCTTGATGGGGTGGAGGGCGTGGGGACCTCATATGTTCATTTGAATGTGGATCTGTTTGGTGAGTGGGATCTGCAGCAGCAGCAAACACAGAATGTGCCTGAGAAGCATGGATGTGATGGCACCAAACAAAGGGGCTGGCACCAACCACGTGCCCACGGATTCATTCTAAAGCCACATTCATGCTGGAGCCCTTGCTGTGGTGTGAATTGCTCATGTCTGGGATATGTGTATTAGGGCTGGCTCTGTCTTCAAGAATATCTCCACTCCACATTTAGTTTCTCTATGTATCCCTTGGGCTGCCACCATTCTCCATGTGACAGTTGTCACAGCCTGGACCATGCAATTGCTCAGCTCAGTTCTGGAGAAGTCAAATGAAAGCATTAGCCCTTCACTGCCATTCCTGAGGAGGACAGATGAATTTTAGTGCAGATTTTCTGATGCTCTAAGAACTTAGAGATGTTCATGAATTCAGCACAGCATTCCTACTGGAGAGGTTGCTTTGTATTTGAAGGATCGCCTCTCAGTTTAGTGACATTTTCTTAGGGTCCATCCTGCATATTTGCAACAGGTCTGGCCCAGAGCGGAACTGGAAAGAAGTCAGGATCTGGAGCAGTAAGGTCTGCAGATATCTGGGCAGTCTGCTGGAACACAACTGGGGTCATGTCTGCAAATTCCAGGGACGAGGTATCCCCCTGGCCAAGCTCAACCAAAGTGCCTGAGCTTGGTCTCTCATGGTTCAGCCCAGGCGGACATCCAAGCACTGGTAGAATGGTGAGGATTTTGCCCCCTTTCCACAAATTCCTGGAATTGGGATAATTCTAAAAAAATTATTTTATCAAACACTGGGGCTTATACTCACCAACCTTTCTTTATTCTGCCTCCCACCCACACACCCTTTCCAGCCTCTGGAACCTATCATACTGCTCTCTATCTCCATGAGGTCATTTTTTTTTTTTTTTTTTTTTTTTTTGAGACAGGGTCTTGCTCTGTCGCCCAGGCTGGAGGGCAGTGGCACAATCACAGCTCACTGCAACCTCGACCTCCCCAAGGCTTAAGTGATCCTCCCATCATGAGGTCAATTTTTAAAGTTACCACATATGAGTAAAAACAAGAGGCATCTGTCTTGCAGAGTGGGGTGACTGTATTTAGCAATAATATATTGTATATTTCAAAGTAGCTGGAAGGGGAGATGATATGTTACCAACACAGGGCTGGGCCCAGTGGCCCACACCTGTAATCCCAGCCATTTGGGAGGCTGACATGGGAAGATCCCTTGAACCCAGGAATTCAAGACCAGCCTGAGCAACAGAGCAAGACCCTCATCTTTACAAAAAATTCTTTTTAAAATTAGCTGGGTGTGGTGGTGCACATCTGCAGTTCCAGCTACTCAGGAGGCTGAGGCAAGAGGATCACTTGAGCCCAGGAGGTAGAGGCTGCAGTGAGCTGTGATTGAACCACTGCACTCCAGCTTGTGCAACAAAGTGAGACCCTGTCTCAAAAAAAAAAAAAAAAAAAAAAAGAAATAAAAAATACTCCAGGTGATGGATACCCCAAATACTCTGACTTAATCATTATACATCAATATGAAAATTTAAAAAATTGAAACTTGCTTTTTCAAACGTGAAAAACATGTGAGCCTTGTACCCATTTTTTGACTTTGTTTCTTGCAACCTTGCAGAGCCCATCCACACATGGCAAAAAAATCTCACAATGAGTTCCCATCCACAGCCTCAGCAAAGGGCAGGTGTGTCCCCAGAGAACGTCAGCTGATTGGGCAGCAGTCTGCAGCAGAAGGTGAAACCCCTAATCTGGAAGGAATTGAAACATGAAAAGATGCTGAGTTCACAATGAAAACAGAGACAAAGTCCTCTGGGGAAAAAATATTGAAAAGGGGAGATATGCAAAGAACACAACATTTCAGTTATAGGAAGAATACGTTCAGGAGATCTGTTATACAACATGGGGATGCTAGTTAATAACGATGCATGGTACATTTGGAAATTGCTACAGGAACACCCTTTAAAGATTTCCACCCTTCCCTTGAATGATAAGTATGAAAGGTGATGAATGTATTTCTTGGCTTGATGTAGCCGTTCCACAGTGTGTACATATATCAAAACATCATGTTGTATCCCATAAATATGTATCTTTTAAATTTGTTAATTGAAATAATAAATAATAAAGAACAGTGGGATTTTTAAAATAATCAAGTGTATTTGTAAATATATAGGTATATATGTATATACACATATGTATTTATAAATTATATGTATGTATACTTATATATCAGTATAAACACATATGTACATACATACTGACAAATACACATATTTGTATAATGCATATACATACATATTTGTAAATATGCAGGCATATATATTTACATAAGCATATAAACATAAGTATTAACATATGTACACATGCTTACAAATACACATATATGTATATATGTAAACATACATATGTATTTCTAAATATATAGATCATGTAAGTATATATACACATATATTTACAAATACTGATATGTCTAAATGTACAAATACATGTATTTGTAAATATATGTATATATACTTATATAAGCATATCATACAAGTATATATATACATATGTACATATACACATATATACATATATACTTAGAAATACACGTGTAGATATGTACACATACCTATATGTTTGTAAACATATATATATATTTAAATGATCATATAAACATATGAGTATATATACACTTATGCACATGTATATTTACAAATACACGTGTGTGTCTGTGTGTATATATTTTTGTGTACACACACACATATTTGTTGAAATAACCAAATAACCCAAAGGATTACTTGAACCAAAAAAGCAATTCAGAGGCCAGGAGATAATTCCAAGCTCCAAGAAGTTCTGACATGGCAAATTGAAAATGAGTTTCAAAGCCGCAGAACAAAGGAGGTGGTGTCGCCAAAACTTTTACTCAATGCCCCTAAGGGCTGTTTGGAGAGGACAGGGCTCAGCCATATTTAAACAAACAATGGTTGATTATTTTCTCAGCTCCTCCACAGAATTTCTTTCTTCCAGTAAAAGAGTATAAGTAAAAGCCAATACACAATACTCAGGAAAAATATGGGAGCCCCCAAAACAAAGAAAAATCCTTTAAATAGCCAGACAGGTGGCCCCCAGACACCCTGCATGACCTGGAGAAGACACCCCAGCAGGGTTGGGAGGGCCCTGGGAACAATGGGAAAAGGTCTTCAGAGCCCTCAAGGGGAATTCCTGACTGCGGACAGCTCTACACTGAGCTCGGCTCTTCCGGAGTAAGCAGGAAATAAATGCACCACTTTGGAGCCAGAGTGTTTTCCACTTACTTCGACTCACTGTTGGAACTACTCAAAGATGCTCTATAGGGAGAGAGGTACCAAAGCTGGAGGAAGGCAGAAGATGCAGGAAATACGGGGCATCCATGGAATCAACCTGATGTAGCTTGGCCCTGTGTCCCCACCCAAATCTCACCTCGAACTGTAAACCCCATAATTCCCACGTGCAGAGAGAGAGCCCTGGAGGAGGTAACTGGATCATGACGGCGGTTTCCCCCATGCTGTTCCCATGATAGTGAAGAAGTTCTTATGGGATCTGATGGTTTAAAAGTGGCAGTTATCCGGCCAGGCGCAGTGGCTCACGCCTGTCATCCCAGCACTTTGGGAGGTCGAGGCAGGCGGATCACTTGAGGTCAGGAGATCGTAACCAGCCTGAGCAACATGGTGAAACCCCGTCTCTACTAAAAATACAAAAATTAGATGGGCTTGGTGGTGGGCGCCTGTAGTCCCAGCTACTCAGGAGGCTGAGGCAGGAGAATCGCTTGAACCCGGGAAGCGGAGGTTGCAGTGAGCCGAGATCGCACCATTGCACTCCAGCCTGGGCACAAGAGAAAAACTTTCTCAAGAAAAAAAAAAAAGTGGTAGTTTTCCCTGCACTCTCTCTTTCCTGCCGCCTTGTGAAGAAGGTGCCCTGCTTCCCCTTTGCCTTCCGCCATGATTGTAAGTTTCCTGAGGTCTCCCCAGCCATGTGGAACTATGAGTCAATTAAACCTCTTTCCTTTATAAATTACCCACTCTCAGGGAAGTTCTTTATAGCAATGTGAAAACGGAGTAATACACAACCTAAATGCCCATCAATGATAGACTGAATTCAGAACCAGATCATGTCCTTTGTGGGATCATGAATGGAGCTGGAGGCCATTATCCTTAACAAACTAATGCAGGAACAGAAAACAAAATACTGCATGTTCTCACTTACAAGTGGGAGCTAAATGATGAGAATTCATGGACACATAGAGGGGAACAACGGACACTAGGTCCTTTTGGTGGGTGAAGAGTGGGAGGAGGGAGAGGATCAGGAAAAACAACTAATGGCTACCAGGCTTAGTACCTGGGTGACAACAAATCCCTATGACAGAAGTTCACCTATATAGCAAACCTGCACTTGTACACCTGTACTTAAAATACAAGTTAAGTAATAAAAAAAATTACTGGTCATCAGAAAAATAGAGGAACCGGAGTTAAATCAAAACTAGTGTCAGCCATATAAAACACCATCACCATCCAGCACCAATAATAAAAGGATACCTCCATGGAGGGTCCGTTTTTTATTTTATTTTATTTTTTATTTTTTCAGATGGAGTCTCACTCTGTCACCCAGGCTGGAGTGCAGTGGCACAATTTCGGCTCACTGCAACCTCCACCTCCCGGGTTCAAGTGATTCTCTATTGAGGGTCTAAAAGGAAGGTGGAACTAAAATTAAAGGTCACAATAGCTTGTAGGAGAAAAATGCAATGGTCAGAGCTAAAACAAGTTATTTCTTTGTTTGGAAGGAGAGTATAAATATTAGCTTTATTTTATTTCCTGTGAATGTTACTATGCATATTAAATTTATTGCCAGTCCGTAAAAGAATACAAACTGAAAACAGCTTTCTCAAAAAAGAAAAAAAACTTTTAAAAAAACCCCACTTAGGTATCAGAAAATAGAAATTATCGAAACAAAGAAAATGAATGGTTAATAGAATGTATAAAATTGAAGACAAGAAATACATTGTAAAACTGTTATCAACTGTAATAAATATAAATGGCCTGAAAATATATCTTAGTAGACATGAACTCTCAGATGAGATTGAAAAAAATCCAGGTCTTTGCTGTTTCCAAGGGTCTGAAGGCCCAAACAGAAAAAGGCCAAGATCAAAGGTATGGAGAAAAAAATAACATAGTAAGTAAATACAACATTTCTGTAGTTTGGTTAACAAGAAGCAGAAAAGAAAGGAAAAAGGCCCAGGGGTTTCAGACCAGCTTGGGCAACATAGTAAGACCTCATCTCTACAAATAATTTAAAAAAATTAGCTGGGCATAATGGCACACACTTGTAGTCCCAGTTACTTGTGAGGCTGAGACAGGAGGATCTCTTGAGCCTGGGAGGTCAAGGCTGCAGTAAGCCATGATCACACCACTACATTCCAGCATGGGCAACAGTGGGAGATTCTGTCTCAAAAAAAAAAAGAAAGAAAAGAAAAGAAAAGTAAAGAAGGTTGTGGTTAAGTTATAAAAAATTTTGTCAAAAATAATTATAAAATGCTGAACTTTATAAAATTATAAAATAAGATTATAAAAATGTTGAACTTTTTTTCAGCTAGTAGCATAGCATCCAAATTCATAAAGCAACATTTGGGAGAATTAGAACACATTATCAAGTCCAGAGCCCCATCTTCTGCAGATCTCTGCCTATGGGGAGCTAGCTTTGAAAAAAATGAGAAAACTTGTATTTGTGTGTGTGTGTGTGTGTGTGTGTGTGTGTGTGTGGGCACATGCATTTGCAGCTAAACTTAAATTCCTTCCTGTATTTATCTTCCTAAATTAATGTAATAGTCTTGAATACCTGCAGCTTGTCCATATCTCCTCAAATTCCTATTTTGAAACATTAACTCCAAAGGTACTAGGAGGTGAGGCATGGGGAAGTGATGAGGTCATGAGCATGGAGCCTCACGAATGGGATCAGTGCCCTCATAAAATGCACCCCAGAGAGCTCCCTCGCCCCTTCCACCATTTGAAGACACAGTGAGAAGGTGCCGTCTGTGAACCAGGAAGCCCTCACCAGACACTGAAACTGCCACACCTTGGTCTTGGACCTCCAGCCTCCAGAACTGTGAGCAATAAACGCCTGTTGTTTATAAGCCCTGACTGTGGTATTCTGTTACAGCAGCCTGAAATGAACTAAGACAGCTTCCCTCTGTGCTTGAGAAGAGGAAAAACTTAAGTCTAATTATTGTAAAGATTAATATTTCAGATGCAGTATAAACTGAATAAAGCTTGTATTTATTTTTACTGATTGACTTTTCGGGCACTCCTTGCAAATCTAAAGAACTTGCTATGCTAAGTCAAGCCTGGGGTTGGGGGAATGGGGAACTGATACTACTCCAAGTTCCGTCTTAGTGCTATGAAATATTGATACCTTAGCCACACTACAACACGTGGGATCAATTAAGAAAGATTTTTGCAAGCGTCTGAACAAAGTAGGAGACAGAGGGTTTCTATCATCGATGCATTTTTAGAGAACCATGCGACACGGTTTCAGGGATGACCACCAGGACATTGGAAAAAGGGTTGCATCAATTAAAATGTTTCACCCACTGGCCGCTTTGAAAACGAAAGCTACCAGAGGGAAAGAAAAATACAGACCCAAATCAAAACCAGATGTATGCAGCTTTGAGGATTTCTCAGCCCTTCGTTTTCTCTCCATTTTATTTCACATGTCTTCTAAAATGGATGCGACTTCTGAAGAGGACTTTGCATAGCAAGGTCCCTCCTTTGTTTGGGAAAACCCAGTTAAATAGGCAAATAAACAAACTGCCTGATGATGAGTCAGTGGGGGGAGATTGAAGTATATTGTTTGTTCAAGGAAATGTCTGGAAGAAATTAGACAAATTGATTTGTTTCTAAGTAATACCCATTCAGGCAGTAGCTTAAGAGAAATTTATGCACCCACAACCCCGCCCCAATTCTTCTCTGTCTTGGGCAACCCCACCCAGTGTAAATCTTTAACCCAGTCAGCAAGCCCTAGAATTTATGCATTTGACACTTTTGTGAGATTTAGCTCATCTTGTCTTTCCGTTGTTCTAGAAGATGGCTTGCTGGATAGATAGCAATATATCCACTCTATAAAAATCATTAATCGAATTAGACGTCAGCAGGGGACATCTTATTTTCAGTTTTTTTTATGTTTCTGGGCATGCATACTTATGTAACATTTGTTTTGAAAATCAAGTTAAATGAAAGGATACTGTAGTTTCCACAGGCAGGAAAGTACTTTAGACAAACCCTGAGCGGCACACATTTAGATTCAACTCTGGGGTTTGACACTTACCTGTGTAATTTCAGCTTTCTCACCTGTAAAACCAAGAACAAGAAAGAGAACACACTGGTTTGCTGCGAGGATCCCATGAAAAAAATATAAGGACATAAAGCACCCAGCCCTCTGAAGAAATGTTTGCTCTTTCAGTTTGTGCAAAAACAAACAAACAAACATGCAAAAGAGCGTTCCTTCTAAAATAGTCCTCATATTATGATCTACCTGATGTGCTTCCATTTTCTTAGCTCTGAGGAAAGTTGACATAATTTATAACATGTTTTCCTTTAAAAATAAAGTAATCCAATGATACACTCATACAGCTCCATCATTTTAGCTTTGCTTTAATAAAAGGCAGCTGTCAGGCAAACAGAAACTTATTTTAATGACATTGCTTTGATGTTATTTTCTTTGTTAGTCAAAGTCCATTGTCCAGGGTGGCCCAATTTTCATGACAATAAAAATATTTTAATAGTACTATAAAGCCAGGAACAAAAGTGAATGCATTATAGAGTTGATGTTGCCTAGTCTCTTGAGGGAAATCCAGTTTAGCCACAACCCTTGTAAATAAGAAACATATCTTGTTTGGGGATGCTAGAAAATTATGACCACCATATTTATTTTACCTCATGTGAACTTCCAACTTGTTCTTCAGTTTATGAAGAACTTCAAAAAAATCACAGAGAAAGAAAACAATGGTGAAGTACAGACGTAGTAAACTTGTGGCCAGAAGTTTTTCTCAGAAGCTTCATCAGAGTTCACCAAAAGAAATTCCGTTCACCTAATTTAGAAAGGGATCGGTTAATATTCCCAAATTATAGATTAGTTGGTGGTTTTTAAGAATGCTTCAGATGCTAAATGATTTACAGTTATATTCATGAATCTGTGGATGAAATAGTGACACTCCATTTGCAGAAATTGAGTTTAATTTTACAGGGTGCTATAATAAAATGGAAAAACCTTGGCATTTCTCAAAGCAAAGCATAAAAAGGAATACCTATCTGATTGATTCCACTGCTTCTTTCATGAGGAGTAAAACTGTTTTGCAAGAAATTCTTCTTTAAAGGGATCTAAGAGGATTTTGTTTTCCCCTTTTTTCTATCATATTTTAGAAACTGTGCTGCGTAATTTCACTCTTTCAATTATAGGAACTTAGCTCTTAGCTTGATCTGTGTGTTGCTGTTGCTGAGAAGCTATAGAGATGCTCAACTTCCCCATGCCCTGCAGCCAAGGTATTGCCACAGCCCAGAGGAATTTGTTCTAATCCTACTTGCCGTTGGAGTCACTGAACTTTTCTTTCCCTGGCCCCTAGCAATTGCTCTCTAAAGGCAATTTCCATTACCACACCGTCAAATGCACCAACATCCACTGAAACATAAAGTACATTCCATGGTGGCATATTAATATATATTGACCTTGGCAGTCCATCTGATTCCATCGTCAAATCCAACAGGGAAGAAAAGGAAGAACCAGTTTTCTGACTGCAAACCCCAGCAACAAAGCAGCAGGAAGTCAGAGAAAAAGGAACTATTCCTTTGCTACGTTCCCATTTTAGTTTGGTGTTCCAGGAACTCTGAATTTTCTGTTTATTGCCTGCATATCCATGAAGTAAGGGACATGCTGAGCTGAAGATGAAATGTGTGATAGCTTTGAGCCATTTATGCCTAGCGTTCCAATGGAACGCTGAGCACGTCGGAGTTATTTATATCCTACTGCTCAGGTCATCGCCAAGGTCTGATTGCAAAAATTCAAAATATTGTAACCTCAAGCATAAATGGGTTAAGTTTTGGGGTTTTTCTTTGGAAATGGCCAGCTCATCTCTTCTGTGACATGTATTATTGAGTTTATTTGCATGTGTGAGATCCTACCAAGGCTCTAAATGCAAACACGAATGCTGTTGCAAACAACGCTGTTGTTATTAAATCTCCCATCATACTAAAGGAGCAAGATGGAGATTTGCAAATGATAAATAATTATTTCTTGATTATTATTGTCTGGTGAGCAGAGAACACAGTTAAGTAATTCTTGATTTTTACCAGAGCTTTGCCCTGATATATTCTTTTCTCCCTCAGCACAAAACCCTGACTTTGCAACCCTGGGACTCTTCAGAGTCTTTTTTTTCTTTTAGGTTTTAAATTTATTTTCTAAATTAATTCTTTAAAATTGATATATCATAGTTGTACCTATTTCAGAGGTACATGGGATATTTTGATACAGGAATACGATGTGTAATGATCAAATCAGAATGATTGGGATGCCCAGAACCTCACACGTCTATCTTTTCTTTCCGTCGGGAGCATTCAAATTCTTCTTTTCCAGCTATTTTGAAATATACGATAAGTTATTGTTAATTCTACTTTCTCTAGTGTACTATTGGACACTACAACTTAGTTTTTCTATCTAGCAGAATTTTCTTATGTTACTATGCCTGCACCCCACCTGCATTATGAGATATGTAAATCTCATTTTTTTCAAGGGACTAGATTGGTCTTTCTTCAGCTGGTTTTAATTGGGTGAGCTTACAAAGCCTGCTGTAAAATCCAGTCATCCAAGTTACTAGTCAACATACTTAACGATCCAGGAGTGAGGTCGTTTAAGTTTTCCTAGGCTGTTTGTAAAGACAGAACCCACAAAGAGGACTTCGTTACAAACTCGATATGGGATCTAAACTGTCTAGATAGAACCAGGCATTCATTTGCTCATGTGTTTGCCTACAACCTACTTAGAAATACCCTGCTTTAATGTACCTTTAAACATAGAGACAAAAAATAGATTAGTGCTATGCAGGGGTTGCAGGGAGAGGAGGATGGGGAGTGACTGCTTAACAGGTATAGCTTTGGGGTGATCAAAATGTTCTGAAACCAGATAATGGTGATGGGTGCATCATGTTGTACAGGCACCAAAGTGCTGGTGAATTGTACAATTTAAAATGGTTATGATAGTATTATGGGTCAAATTGCATCTCCCACCAAATTTATATATGAAATTCCCAACCTCCTGTGCCTAAGGATATGACTTTATTTGGGAATACAGTTGTTGTAGACATAACTAAGTTATACTGGAGCACGGTGAGCACCTAATTTAATATGACTGATGTCCTTAGAAAAGTGGGAAACTTGGACACAGAGAAATGCGCACCTAGAGAGAGTACCATGTGAAGGTGAAGGCAGACACTAGGGTGGGTGATGATCTATAAGCCAACAGACAGATACCAAGGATTTCCAGCAGGCTCTGGAAGCTGGGAGAGAGGCATGGAACAGATTCCCCGTTACAGCCTCCACAAGGATTCTCCCCCAGAGCCTCTGAAGTGAGCATAATCCTGCTACAACCTTGATTTCAGACATCTGGCCTCTAAAACTGCAAGATAATAGATTTCTGTTGTGTTAAGCCACTCAATTGGTGGCTCTGTGTTATGACATCCCTACGAAACTAATAGAGACAGTAAAACTAATAACATTTCTTCATTGATGGATGTGAAAGGGAAGAGTGAATATTGATTCCAGGTATTTGACCAGAGAATGGGGAAGGGTGGAAGGGAGACATTTTCAAAGGTAGGCCAGGGGTTTAGTTCTTGACATGCTGAATTGGAGATGTCCATGAACAAGGATATAAATGATGTGTCCACTAAGCACTTAAGTGGAGGTGTTGAAGTGGGTGGTTGAATATATGCAAGTCTGGAGTTTGGCAGAGGAATCAAAGTTAATGATATAAATTTGAGGGTTGTTGGCCAACGAAAATATTTAAAGACATGAGATTACATAGTTCCCCTAAGGAGTAGCAAAGATAGAAAAGAACAGGCTGAGCCTGGGACTCTTCAAGAGTAGGATGACATTGAGGAGATTTGGAAGATAAGACTGAAGGTGTGTAAACTGTATTAGTAGAAAAGCAAGAAGAGTCAGTGTCCTGAAATCAAATGAACACAAAACCAAAAAAGAGGGAGGGACCCATTGTGTGGGGTAACGTATCATCCCCATTTGCCTGGGACTAATGGGGTTCCCAGGACACAAGACTAAAGCCAGGACAGTTATGGGCATACCAGGATGGGTGGTCCTCCAACCAGTGTGTCCACGGTCACTTAGAGATTGCTCAAGTAAGATGCAGTGTAAGAACAGATCACTGAGTTTTTCCAACATAGACTTACTGGGTGTACTTGACTTCAGTAATTGATCTCATGCAACAGAGATATCACACAGACAGGACTTCAATCTCCCCAGTTTCTAGGATGTCTTAGTCAATTTTGTACTGCTATCACAGAGTATCTGAGATGGAGGTAATGTGGAAAGAATAGATATTCATTTCCTACAGTTCTGAAGGCTGGGAAGTCCAAGGGTGAGGGGGTTGTGTCTGGTGAAGGCATTCTTGCTATGCCATCCCATGGTGGAAAGCATAAGAAAAAGAGAACAGGCACAGGCTGGGGGGGGGGGAGAGAGAGAGAGAGAGAGAGACAGTGAGAGACAGAGAGAGAGAGAGAGAGAGAGAGAGAGAGAGAAAACACCAAACTGTTTTATAACCAGCTAACAAGTCCGCTCTGGAGATAACTAACTCCCTTCCGCCATAATGACAATCCATTTATGAAGGCAGAGCCCTCAAGACCTAATTATCTCCTATTGTGCCCAACTTTCCAACACTATTGCACCGGGGATGAAGCTTCCAACACACGAATTTAAGGGGATGGATTCAAACAATAGAACAGGAATTTATAACTTATAAACCACTTTCACATGCAAAACTATATATCCCTCACTTGAAAGCTGAGGAGGTGTAAAAAAAATTAGAGAAGTAAATAAGCTATCACTTTTATTTTGTAGAGTTTTCTTGCATCTCTCAAAAGTAGAGAAATTGAATTCTTTGTGGTGTCTTTTCTTAAACAAACTGCGGATTAAGAATATTAGCAATAAAGACATTTACACAGGACTGACAACATGTGAGACTCTTCTTCCTAAGTACATTGTGCATATCTATTTATTCAGAAGACATTATCTATTGGCTACTATCTCCATTTTGTTGATACTCACACAGAGGGAAAAGAACTTGGTGCCAGAGATGCAGATGACAAGTGAGCCGAACTAGATGTGAATATGGATGTCTTCAGTTCACACTCCTAAAAGTGACAACATCTCCCTATCCTGGGCTTGCTTTTACTGACAGCATTGGAGCATCTTGGTTTTTCTGTGGTGCATGTGCAAAAAGAAAAGTCCACAATTCTGAAAGCAAATAGTAAACAGATTTACTGCAAGCGTAAATATAAAATTCTTCTGAAAGCAAATAGTAAACAGATCCTGCAAGTGTAAACATTATGACAGATGCTTATGTCCTGAAATACATAATAGATTGTGTTCTAGGTTCCCTAGATTAAGCCTGCCACTCTGCCATTCACATGTTTATCTCAGGAAATTCCTTCATAATACAATTCATCATAGTAATATCAGACTCCTTCAATTGCAACCTCACTGAGCACAATGCACTAGAAATACATTATATTTAAAGAAAAGGAAAGAGTACATTTGGATTTATATCCAAGAGTTCCATACCCACGGATTCAACCAACTGCCCATTGAAAATATTTGAAAAAATATCACATCCACGTTGAACACGTACAAGCTTTTTTGTGTCATTATTCTCCAAACAATACAGTATAATCACTATTTGTGTAGCATGTTCACTGTTTTCAGTATTTTAAGTAATTTAGAGACAATTCAAAGTATATGGGAGGATGTGCATAGATTATATGCAAATACTACATCATTTTATGTAAGGAACTTGAACATCTGTGGATTTGGGTATCTACAGGAGGTCCTGGAACCAGTCCTTCATGGATACCTAGAGACAACTGTATATATCCTGCCACCAACAAAATATAGCACTATAGTTCTATCATGCTCAAGGATAAGAATCCCCTAGTTTTATTTATAATCAATAGAAAATAAAAAAGCAACTTTATGTGTGGCCTTTTCCACCCTTAGCTATTTTTCCTTTCTAATTAATCTTTACCATTTTGAAGGCAAGATTGTATGATTTTCAAGAAATAAACAGATTAAAAAATTTGAACCAGTTGAGAAGTCATCAATACAGATTTTTATTTCACAGTGGTAAGAGAGAACCACTGAAACAATTTCAAACTTTTCCTTTGTGGTGAGTTTTACATTTTCTGAAGCACTTTTATTATACTTTATCTCTGTAAACCTGGTGGCATCCTTCTTGGAAAGCTGAGGATATGAAATCACAGAGAAATTCATAAACTTGCTCAAGATCATTCACACTGCCAGTCTGCAAACCCCACTTCTAATATCTGAATGTGTTGAGAGAAGGGACAGTGCCTATTTCAGTCTCAGGCTCTCATAGAATGTTGACTTATGAAGTATAAGTTAGCTATTGCTGTCTAACAAATTATCACCTACTTAGAAGCTTATAAAACATATGTCTTTTAACTCACAGTGTCTTTGAGTTGGTAAAATTGGTACAATTCAAATGGGGTATGTCCTGGGGCTGGGGTTTCATCTGAAGGCTGAAATGGGGCAAAATCTACTTTCAAGGTAATTCATGTGGTTGTTGGCAAGATTCAGATTCTCATAGGTTTTTGGACCGAGAATCTCCATTCCTAGAGACTGCCTTTAATTCCTCATTATGTTGACTTCTTCATAGGGCAGCTCACAACATGGCAGCTTGTTTACCGTACCCAGCAAGGGAAAGAGTCAACACAGAGAGGCTGCTAGGAAGATGAAACTCACAATCTCCTGTAGTGTAATCACAGAGGGGACATCCCATTGCCTTTGTCATATCGGATTGATTAGAAGCAAGCCATGGACCCCACGGACACTCAAGGAGAGGCGATTATGTAATAGCATAAATATCAGGACATGAGCATTACTGGAGCCATCTAAGAGTCTGTCTGGCCCCTGGAGGAGCAATAATACATGTTTTCTGAAGAAAAAAAACCAAAACAAAACAATTATTGCTAATTGAAAAACTGAGACTGAACCTGGCTTTCTGAATTGGAGGTTAGAGTTCTTCCAGCACCAGCTTCTGTGCTGACAGAAAGGTATCAGAAGAGAAATGGACCCTAGTGGACAGCTTGAGGAAGTGGGGTTAGAGGACAAAAGGATGCAATGCAAGGTGGGTGCACACAGCACTCAACCTTGACTATCCCTCTGTCATTTTTAGACCATGCTAGTATGCCTTCTAACCCAATCTGGCCCATTGTTTTACAACCCCTAATATAAAATTAGCCATGATGTTCTTCAGTTCAACACTTGGCTTTAAAAATATCTGGGATTATTGTTTTCTACATCATAGGAAAACAGAACTTGTGGGGCTTTTTTCCCCAGTCTTTGTTATATTATAAACAGCAAACTCAGAAGGATTCAGTAGGACCCACACCTTTCTTGAGCCCCAAGCTAAGGGCAATGTGGCTTCCAAGGCAGAAACAGACTTGAAATGTCAGATCCACTTTAGATGTTATTTATTCAGCTGGAGAATAAATATTCCTTCAGTGAACTTCAAAAACAATGGGGATTAAAACCTTCCATACCCTTGAAATAAGTTAATTGACCTCTATTTTTCAAACCAGATAGAAACAGAAGTCAAGAGCAAACTCTAAAAACTAAATTATGGATTAATGATTTTAACATACGTCTGAGAAATGTTACTCCCAACTAACTTGCCTTTTTAGAAACTCTTTTAAATGTATATATTCCCACTGTAATTTTAAAAATCTTGACTGAAAAATATTTGCTTTAGACTAAGGTTTCTCAACAAGAGAAACAAGACATTTGGGACCAGATGATTCTGTGGTGGGGCTGTCCTATGCACTGTAGGGTGTTGACCAACGTCCCTGGGATCCACCCACTAGATGCCAGGAGCACCCCTTCACTCACTGAGACAAGTGAATATGTCCTCAGATATTACCCCATGTGCCCTGGGGAGAAAACTCCCCCCATTTGAAATCCACTGTCATAGATAGATAAATGGCAGAGATAGCCAGATAGATATAGATAGATGATAGATAGATAGATAGATATAGATAATTGATAAATAGATATAGATGCCAGACAGATAGATGATTGATAGATGGATGATAGATAGATAAATAATAATGATGATAGATAGTGGATAGATAATAGATGGATAGGTATATAGACGACAAACAGACAGAAATAGATACATGGAAATATAGATTATAGATAGATTGATAGATGTAAATGATAGATGGATGGATGATAGATGGGTAGACAGATACATAGATGATGGATAGATAGATGGATAGGTAGATAGAGGTGATGTATGAATAGATGATAGATACACAGATAGATGATAGATTGATAGATGATAGATATGATAGATGATAGATAAATATGATAGATGACACATAGATGACAGATAAATAGATGATAGATATGATAGATTATAGATAGATAAATATGTTAGATGATATATATGATAGATGACAGACAAATAGGTGATATATATGATAGATAATAGATATGTAGATGATAGACATGACAGATGATAGATGACAGATAAATATGATAGCTGATAGATATGATAAATATAGATGGTAGTTACATAGATGTGATAGATGATAGATAGATAGATAGATAGATAGATAGATAGATAGATAGATAGATAGATGTGATAGCTGACAGATAGATATGGATAGATGTTAGGTGTGATAGATGACAGAAAAATGGATAGATAGATAGATAGATAGATAGATAGATAGATAGATAGATGAAGAATCTCATGGTCAGGCAGTGTTTCTCAGCCTCAGCCCTATTGAAATTTGGGGCTGGATGATTCTCTGTGGTGGGGCCGTTTTGTTCACTGTAGGTTGTTGAACACCATCCCGGGCCTCCACCCACTAGATGCCAGTAGGACCACCCAGTTGTGATAGCCAAAAAGTTTCCAGACATTTCCCAATGTCCTCTAGAGGTGTCTTAGAAAATAGATAGAAGACTATTCAGAAGAACAACATGCCCTCCCTGGACTGCTGCATCTTTTGCAAGCATATCTCCGCAGCACTTTGGAAATGGGAGAGGCATCTCTCTATGACATTAGCTGCGATTCTGGATGTCCACAGAAAACACAGACCTTTGTATGAAAGGCAGAAATGATCTTATGGACTTCAAGCAATCATTTTTTTCCCTGAATATTTTGTTTCCTTGGCAAAACCTTAAATATATATATACTTTTTTTTTTTTTTTTCAGTGAGACGTCTTCAGTGTCAAAGCAGTACCAGCATATTCTCCTCACGGAATATTTGGAGAGAAGCCAATTCCTGTTCGAGGAGCAGCTGCAACTAAGGACGTGACATGGCTTACCGTCAATGCTTACCAGATGCTATGATACAGCATCTATGTTTCTGTCATGTGATACAGGAAACATCCACAGACTCCTTTAAAAATAGAAATTCATGGGTTTAAGGTTATGCCTGTTAGAAGCAGTAGAAGCGTGAACATGTTAGTTCACACGTGTTAGAATAATTCTGGCAACGTGTTCATATTGATGCTATCAGGGCTCATTAAAATTTGCTAGTACACCTATAAACACACTCAAATATCCAACAAGATTAGGATAGTCTGTAGTTTACAGACATCATTCTGATAGTTCCACAACATTTAACCAATGGCAACATGTGTGCAGGTATGTGCATGGAAGACATGTTCAAACGCTAATTGAAAGAGATTTTTCTTCCACAGAATTATATAATAGATAAGAAAGTGGCTTCCCTAAGAAGGGAAGAGGTTACAGGAAGGCAGGAAAAAACAGGAACTGGGAGAAGGAGGGAAGAAGCACATTTATTTGATTTATAAGGCTTTAAAGCAAAATAATTGGCAAGTCATATAATTGGCTAGAGAGATTGGGTCTTGCCAGTGATTAATTAGGACCTGTCTTTGTGTGAATCACCTGGTTTCCTGCCAAAGATGAAGATGAAACATTTCCATGAGCAGGCAATTCAGTCTGAGTGTGTCTAATGTTATTTTCAGATGAGGAGACTCCATGTGCATGGTTGCAGCAGGCATTCTTGGGAGCTCATGAGCTGAATTTCAGGAAAAGCCCAAGAAGATTCCACATTTCCCTCAGGATATCCTCAGGAAAATGTCCGCAGGCCTGGAAACACTTAGCCATCACTTGCTTACTTGAGAGAAGTCAAAAAGGATTATGGAAACAGATTGGAATGTCGAACCACATTTATAAATGTTCCTAAGCTGTTTCCATTAACCAAAAAAGATGCTGAATAAACAGAAAAAAAAAAAGATCAGGCTGGGAAATATCACTAGGACTGGCCCCCCACAAAGGAGGAAAATGGCTGTGAATATTTAGTGGAAGAGAAAATGGTACACAATGACAACCAAGGGAGTGAAGAAGATAACTTGTCAAAGGGAAGTGTTAGAAAATTAACTTTCTTAGAGGGCTGAAATAAAACAGATATGAAAAAGAAAAAAAAAAGTAAGTCCTTAATCCATTTTATTTTGATTGTTGTATATGGTAAGAGACAGGGGTCTAGTTTTATTCTTCCATATGTGGATATCCAGTTTTCCCAGCACCATTTATTGAAGAGATTGTCTTTTCCTCAAAGTATGTTTGTGGCACCTTTGTGAAAAATGAGTTCGCTTTAGATCTGTGGATTTATTTCTGGGTGCTCTAGTCTGTTCCATTGGTCTGTGTGTCTGGTTTTATATCGGTACCTTGCTGTTTTGGTTACTATAGCTCTGTAGGAAATTTTGAAGTACTCCATAAATACATTAAAAAAAATCCAACCGAGGACTCTTATCAGTTATGATATCATTGGGTAAAGGTAAAATGCGTTCATTCATGAAGCAAAGACACTGTTTGAGTGCCTGGTGTATACCAGTCAATGTGCTAGGTGTGGGCCGAGTATAGTGAGAATGGAAATGTGTGAAGAAGGAAAGAAAGAGAGCATGAATTCTTTGACACTGTGGGAGAGAGAGCACAATGATCTTGTCTGCTTGGAAATAGGAGATAGTTTTAAGGTACAATATTGAGTCATTCTTTTGGACAGAATTCTGCAAAGGTGGTAGGCCAGATATCCTTCTTGGTTCTGCCCTCCTCATTCATGAAGACTTTTTAAATTATGATTTTTGAGTATGGGTAACTCCAGCTGTTACCAAGACTACCAGGAAAAGGGAAATAATAGGGAATCTGGTGAAGACAATGAGAAAGTTATAAGATTGGAAGCTATGAATTCATGCCTGCACAGACATGAAAGCAGAAAATGGGGTGAAAGATGAATAGAAGCAACTATCCAAGTGTAAGAAAAGTCAAGCTAAATGAGATGACATTGATGCCACGATGTTGGCCAAGCCACGAATGGAGACTATTTCCCTGAGGTCACAGAAGGATATCTTGTTATTGATGTGTGTCCTCTACATTGGGGACTTCTTAGGATAACAATAGATTCCTCCGCTTTTTGGCTCAGAGAAATTCCACTAATCCTTTTCTTGTGAACTTTCATGATTTTACAGAAATATCTCAGGCTGTAGCCAAGGGCATTGCAACTTTTTGGATGCAATTAGATTTGGGTCAATTAGGAAATAAAATGCTGTAATTACCTCATATTCTGAGGTTACTCAAGTTGCCCAAAGTTACACAATAGAGAAAAATGTGGAAGTCTATCCAGAGCGAATGTCTGGCTGAGATATTTTCTCAGGGAAGCCGAGAGGGCCCTACCCAAGGGGAGTCTAAGCTCCCCATCCCAACCCCAAGAGCTCTACATGAACTCAATCAAGATAAGGGTCCTCAAATGTCAGACAAGGCGCTTGCAAGCAAAGTCTCCAGTGGAGGAAGAAAGTGCACATGGAAGAAAAACTTTCTATTAGGAGAAAGGTCAGATACTGATTCTTAAAAGCCTCAAATCACATTCACTCCTCTTGTCTTTCCGACACCTCTGCTTCAACCTAACTATGAGTGAGGTAAGAACTTTCCTGAATCGCAAGCATACCTAGCAATTTCCCAGAGAGCAAAAAGCATAATTTCTACTCTCCCCAATCAGAGGAGTATAAAGCAATTTTATTTAGATGTCGTTCCTGTGGCCTGGGTCCCAGAGAGTTCTAAAGGTGTGGTTCCTTCCCACCATTGTTAGGGAGAGGATATTTGGTGGACGTATACCAAAACTCACAACAATTCAGGCATTGCTTCTTTGCAATGCTGAACTATATATTCCAGTATATATTTTTCCCCAAATGCATTGGTTTAAATATAGTTGTTTGTCTGATACATGGAAATCTGCTTAAGCTAAATAACAGACTCGTCTCTTCCTTGACAGGAAGCTCTTATTTCCTGCACGCACTGGGAAGGCCATTGTTTGCCTCACTCTTGCTCCTGAATGACATATTTCAGCCCATGCAGTAGCATCAATGGTAGGAAATTTATGGAGGTACCTGCTTATTAGATGTGCTGCGTTATCATCAACTGGATTCATACAAATGGCCAGATGGCAAAGAGAATGTGAGCCTACACGACTGTTCCTGGAGTTTCAAAGAGAGCCCAAGACACACCTCTGTGTAATTGGCTATTTAGCGTCTGGCCTAAACAAAGCAGGGATAAGAGCTTGAGTTTCCACATTCCTTTCCTTATACCTGGGAATATCCAGGATTGACCTCGAATCCTTTGAAATCACTCACAATGTACCCCTCAGAGTGCTGAACCCAAATGAAATCTGTGCATGGGGAAGCTCTGATTGAGTACACACTGAAGCACATTTCCATAGTAGGAATAGTTAGAGAGAGAGAGATGATGGATAGATAAATAGATAGATGATAGATGAATAGATAGATAGGTAATAGATTTTATATAGATAGATAGATGATAGATAGATAATGGATAGATAAATAGATGGGTGATAGATGATAGAGACGTGGATAGATAGGTGACAGATGATAAATACATAGAGAAATAGATGATGGATAGACAGATGATGGATAGATAGATGAATAGATAGATATAGATGGATAGATGGGTGGGTGATAGATGATAGATAGATAGATAGATAGATAGATAGATAGATAGATAGATAGATAAATAGATGATACATAGATAAATGACAGATGTCCACCATGAGGTTCTGGCTCTCAGTGGTTCCCCAGAACCCTCTGTTTATGACTCTGTCTTCCAGCACAGTTAATCTGTCAAATGTCAATTCCAGGAGCATTTTACCAGAAAGTTCCCCACCCTGTCAGCAAAGCACGAGCCCTTCCCCTACGAGGCCACACTGCCACCAGTAGCAGGGCTGGCTGGGCCCACACAGGTGTACACACTCAGGGAGCATTACTCAACCCAGAGCCTATGCAGAAGAAATCAGTGAGGAACAAATTGTTTCCCGTGTCCCTTCTGCCATCTTGGCAAAAATAAATGCTGAAGAATTAAAACGCTGCCTACACATGTACCCATGTGCTTCCTCTGGGTCCTGGTGATGGGAAGTGGGAGCTGTACCTTAACGACCATAGTAGGATCCTCTGGCTGACCTCTTCAGCTGGCCGATGTCCAGTTGCTTCCTTTGGAGGCCTATCACTCAACCATATTGCAGATTGTATGATCCATTTGACCTAGCAATAGATAAGTGAGGGGTTAGACACCCAGAGATGGTCTCTTAGCTCAGGATGCTCAACAAAGTGTGATAGCCTTGGGGGCTTAGACCACAGATGTTTATTGCTCACAATTCTGAATGCTGGATGTCCAAGACCAAGGCATGGCAGATTCAATGTCTGGTGAGGACTTGGTTCTTTGTTCATAGACAGTGCCTCCTTGCTGGTTCCTCACATGGTGGAGAGGGTGAGATGGACAGAGTGAGGGAGGGAGGGAGGGAAGGAAGGAGAGAAACATATATATAGAGAGAGATTGAGACAGAGAGAGAGAGAGTGAACTCCCCAGAGTGTCTTCTTATAAGGACACTAATCCTACCGGATCAGGTCTCCATCCTTATGACATTGGTATTAGTTTGTTCTCAGGCTGCTAATAAAGACATACCCAAGACTGGGTAATTTATAAAGAAAAAGAAGTTTAATGGACTCACAGTTCCACATGGCTGGGGAGGCCTCACAATCATGGCAGAAGCCAAGGAGGAGCAAAGTCCTGTCTTACATGGCAGCAGCCAAGAGAGCATGCGCAGGGGAACGCCTCTTTACAAAACCATCAGATCTGGTGAGACTTATTCACTACCACAAGAACAGCATGGGAAAGACCCACCTTTATGATTCAATTACCTCCTACTCGGTCCCTCCCATGACGTGGGGATTATGGGAGCTACAGTTCAAGATGAGATTCAGGTGGGGACACATCCAAACCATAATATCATTGAATCTTAATTACATCTTGTTAAATTAAGTTTAGCCTAAAGCTGCCTCCTCACATATTTTAAGTTCAACCTCAAAGCTTCTCTGCACACAGTGCACTGTAACCTAACTGGATGTGCAAACATGCAAATGGACTGGAATCCACTCCTGTGCCAACCACCAAGTTTTGACCAGTCAAAGGTGGCCAATGGTACAAATTGTGTTCAAATAAGGTAAATGCCAAGCTGTAACCAATCCAGCTGTTTCTGTACCTCACTTTCATTTTTCTGTCCATAAATCTTTGACCATGCAGCAAAGCCAGAGATTGAACCTATTCTGGTTTTGGGGGGCTGCCTGATTTGGGAATCATTCTTTGCTCAATTAACCTCTGTTAAATTTAATTTGTCTAAGGTTTTTCTTTTAACAGACATTATTCCAAATACACCCACACTGGCAGTTAGAACTTTGTCATATGGATTTGGGGGGAAGGGAAAGAAACATTGAGACTTGAACAGATGGACATATCCAACAGCCAGTATTCTGTGTGTTGAAGGTAGGGCTCCCCACTTCCATTAATTAGCCTAATAAATGGTTTGGTGAAATATTTCCCAAAAGTAAAAAGAAAAAAAAAAGAAAATAATCACCTGTATCAGGTGGTCCTTCTCGAGTTTTATGTTTTCAGTTTTTTTTTTTTTTTTTTTTTTTTTGCACATGGATGAAATGTAGAATGCAGTCCTACAAATAAGCTTACTCTTTTGCCAGCACTGGGCTCTTTTCCAGGTGGGCATATGGGCTAGTTTAGTATTCCCACCTAGTCAGAGCTCAATAAAAATTAAAATAGAAAAAGTGCTGAATCGACACAGATGGTTACAGTGGTGCATGGTTATGGTAGTGAGATAAAAGCCAAATTTGCAAATGCAATTTGATAGAGCCCTTGGCGGTCATCGTTTGTCACTGTTAACATTAGCTGTCCTTCCTGGACCACAACTGTCCTTCCTGGACCACCCTGATGGATTGGGTGTCAAAGGTTACTGAACTCACTTTTAGGCATGCAAACTGCAAAATGTGCACACTTAGTATCTGTTCGCTAATCTGAAGGGCTGCAAATCTCCCACTAAGCTGGAAGAATGGGGTGGAGTAAATTCAGTGCAAAGCAGAGACCCTCTTGGTGTGTCCATAGGTTCATGGTTCCTTCTGGGGAAATGCATGGCCTGTTCTTCATGTCTTGCCGTCAGCCATCATCACCAAGAGCTTCTTCAAGCTGAGGTCTGGAAGTGAAATGTGGGGAGCAAACTACATCCTAGCCATGGAGAGAAGGCCTTGAGTTAAGGGAGGCTCAGCAGAAGAATAGCTGTGCTGCTGCTTGAGCCTTGTCTGGCTTCATCCACCTGCATGCTGCTGGCACTGGGGCTGGAGCCTGCAGCCTGTGTACCTGGGGTTTTGGCCTGATCAGGGCTCCATTGCCACCCATATGGACCCTTTGAGTCTCAGCTATGTCCCCCATCTGGCCCTGACCTGGGTGACTCCCCTTGAGACTCTGTATGTTTATGTGTCTGTATGCGTATGTTCTGTATGAACTTGTGTACGCACATGTATTTCTGTGTGTTCATGTTTGTATGTGTAGATGCACAAATGCATGCATTTCTGCATGAGTGTATTATGTATGTGTGTTTGTATATGCACATGTGTTCCCATGTATGAGTGCATGGGTGTACATTCATGCAGGCATATGTATGCACGAGTTTCTGTATGATTTTATGTATGCATGCATTTGTGTGTATATATGTGCATTCATGCAGGTGTATGTATTCATGGGTTTCTGCATAAGTTTATGTGTGCATGTGTTTTTGTGTATAAATGTGCATGCAAGCAGTTGTATGTATGCATGGGTTTCTGCTTGAGTTTATGTACGCACGTGTTTGTGTGTATATATGTGCATGCATACAAATTTAAGTATGCATTAGTTTCTGCATAAGTTTATCTATGCATGTGTTTGTGTGTATATATGTACATGCATGCAGTTGTATGTATGCATGTGTTTAAGTGTAAGCATGTGTTTGTGTCTGCTTGTATATGTACTTGTGTCTGTGTGTGTCCTCCAAAGCAATCCTCTCTTTCCTCTCATCTCCATTTTCTTCTGCATTCTTTCTTGCTCCCTAAGTTGCAATTCCCAACAAGAATGCAGAGATCCAGCTCATTAGAACATCCTTTCTTTATAGAGTAAATCGCGCATCCAAATGGCAGTTATTTTTATGTTGGTAACAGAGAGTTTTGAATGGGTGACATAAGACATAGGAGGTTAATGTTGAAATTAGTCCTGAGTTACAACACACCATCAAACAGGCTTTCAACAGAAAAAAATTTCACCAAGCTAAAATTCTGACCGATAAGTGTGAGATTGCTTAAATAGCGAAAGATCAAGTCCCAAAATGGATTCAACAAACACATCCACATCTGTGTGTCACATGTATCAATGGGACACGACGGATAATGGCAAAGGATTTCTCTTCAGAGCATGAACATTTTATTGAATATTTTCACTGATACCCCAGTGAATGTAGCTCAAAAGCCTATACTGTCTCAAATGCACAGATAAACACATACAGATTCTTGAAGCCTCTGAGAAAGTTCCATGCTTCCAAATTTTACATATGATTAAAGTCCAAGCCAGGAGGTGAATGGATGGTTCTCTCCCCCAGAATAGCATAGCTTTTATTATAAATGCACTCTCTGGCCAGAGATAGGTTTCAGGGTAACACAATTTGGCTCCCTAAGGATTAGAACAGGAAAAATATTGATATGGTTTGGCTGTGTCCCCACCAAAATCTCATCTTGAATTGTAGCTCCCACAGTTTTCACATGTTGTGGGAGGGAGCCAGTGGGAGGTAATTGAATCATGGGAGTGGGTCTTTCTTGTGCTGTTCCCATGATAGTGAATAAGTCTCATGGGATCTGATGGTTTTATAAGGTGGAATTCCCCTGAACAAGCTCTCTCACCTGCCACCATGTAAGATGTGCCTTTGTGTCCTTCACCTTCTGCTGTAATTGTGAGGTCTCCCCAGCCATGTGGAACTGTGAGTCCATTAAGCCTCTTTTTCTTTATAACTTACCCAGTCTTGGGTATGTCTTTATTAGTAGTGTGAGAACAGACTAATACAAATGTCACTGTGACAACTACTGTGCATGAAGCACCTATCTGATTAGGGCAACTGAGGAATGCATGCCTCAGAAGCCCTTGCCACAACCAGGAAATCATCCATAAAAGTATAGCAGAGAAATAAGTCCTTCCCTGGGCCCATAGAAGCAGCCGGTGCAGGTATTAGGCATGAGAACTGCTGACATGCTGCTCGATTTATAATCCTGGAAGATGTCTGTGCTGTGCTCTGGGACTCTGGGCAGACAGCTGTGCCTCAATCCTTCCATGGGCTGACATCAGCGGTCTGGAACCTGCAGGCGAAAGCTGAAAGCTGTGGGGATGAGAAACTGCCCTGTCTGTGGACATTTGGGAGGGTATCTTAGATCCTTTACTGGCTTTATCTGTCACCTTTCCCCCCACCAAAAGCCCTCTGATGGGCTATTTGTAGCATCCCTGCTAATTCTCCATATGTCACCATCTGGAGAAGAGAAAAAAAAAAGCACCTTCTTGAAAAATGTTATCTTTGCAGGCACTTACTTTCTGATTATGACCTCTTGCAGCTACAAAGAGACTCTCATCAGGAGGCCAGATTGACAGACTTTTGTTTGAGAAAAAAAATTGGAAAAGATAATGAAAAAACAGGAAATTTTCTCAAAGTGAGCCTTGGAAAGTTTGGCATTGTTGACGGTTAATGCATTGGGCTATTCTTAGGATATTACCGGTGAAGCCACTTGGATGTGAAGGGCCAGCCAGCAACACCAGTGGAGATGGTCGGCTGGAGAAAGCCACTGACTTCACTTGTGTGCTTTTGCCAAATTGGCTTGTCTCTCGCCCTCCTGGAAAATGCAGTCTTTTTGGCAGGGGCCCACCTTCTGCAGAGGTACAGATGGGGCGAAGGCGCCATTGCACTCAGCTGTCTGGATGGCTGACTGCATCCAGAAAATCCAGAGCGGAGAAAGGCCCAACAAGATCTCGTGTTTTCCACTCTCCATGTATATTAGATGGTCTAGAAAAAGTTTTGGAAATTTATGATAATTTGTTGGCAATGCCACGAAAGACACAGGCAACAAAAGGAAAAAAAAAAAAACAGGTAAACTGGACTGCACCAAAAACAACAACAACAACTTTTGTTCATCAGAAGACACAGGCAAAAGGGTGAAAAAACAAACCACAGAATGAAAAGATATATTTGCCTATCATGTATCTGATAAGGGATATATTTGTTAGAGTTCTCCAGAAAAATAGAAGCAATAGGACAGACAGCTATAGCTATAGCTATAGCTATAGATACAGATGATATTTATTATGGGAATTGGCTCATGTGATTATGGAGGCTAAGTCCCACCCACCATATTCTACAAGTTGAAGACCTAGATAAGGTGATTGATATGGGTTTTCTGTGTCCCCACCCAAATCTCATCTTGAACTGTAGCTGCCATATAATTCCCATGTGTTGTGGGAGGGACCTGGTGGGAGATAATTGAATCATGGGGGCAGTTTCCCCCAGACTGTTCTCGTGGTAGTGAATAAGTTTCATGAGATCTGATGGTTTGGTAAGGGGAACCCCTTTTGCTTGGCTCTCATTCTCGCTTGCCTGCTGCCATGTAAGATGTGCCTTTCGCCTTCTGCCATGATTGTCAGACCTCCCCAGCCACATGGAGCTTTGAGTCCATTAAACCTCTTTTTCTTTCTAAATTTCCCAGTCTCGGGTATGTCTTTATCAGCAGCATGAAAACGGACTAATACACCTGTGGTGTAAGTCAATCGAAATCCTAAGGGCTAAGAACAAGGGGTGCCCTTGGTACAACTCCCAATCCTAAATGGTCCTTACCAAAAGTATTTAGTGAAAGCACAACCCAACCCTACTTCACCCTCAGCAATCACTCAAGGAATAAAATGACAGGCTTTACACGACTTTTCACATCCACATTAGGAAAGAATATTTCTAAATGGTCTCAGCTTCCAATCACACGAACGTTTCATTAAAGAAAGACGCGGGGGCGGGGCCAAGATGGCCGACTAGAAGCTGCCGCGTTCAGAGGCTCCCATTGAGAAAACCATAAAAAGCATACAAATCCTTCACCAACAACCAAGGCATCCAGGTTCCCTCATCAAAATTGACTAGAAGGCCGGGGTGACCCACGAAGAGAAGGAAGAATAGTATGGTGTGGTGGCCCACCTGAGAGTCACACAGGGAAGGGGAACCCCTTCCCCTCAGCCAAGGGAGGTGGTGAGTGAGCCTGCTACCCAGCCCGGGAAACTGTGCTTTCTCCATGGAACTATGCAACCCATGGATCGGAAGATCCCACTCATGATCCCAAAACCCATGCCACCAGGACCTAGTGTCCCAACCCCAGAACACGCAGATTCTTACAGCCTCTCAGCTGGAATCTGCTTAAGCCTAGCGAACTCCTGGGGGGAGAGGCGACCAGCACCAGCTGTGGCTGCCTGCTGTCTAGGCTGCCTGCTGTCTAAGCCCTTTGAGCTCTTTGGCGGAGGGGCAGCAGCCAGCATTGTGACTGCCTAACATGCTAAGCTCCCTGGGCAGGGGAAGGGTGTCATCCATTTCTATAGCTCCAGGCTGTGCTTTCCCCCTGTTGGAGCCAGGGAGGCTGGATGGCTTGGTCCCAATACTTGTCCCCACAGCCCAACACACTGGCTGTGGCAATCTGTGGCCAGAGTGCCTCTTCAGGCCTAACCCTGACCCATCCTTCCTCAATGGTCAGGGCTTTCCTTCAGGATCTCCAATAACTCCATCCAGAGGCTCAGGGACAGAATTTGGATCTCCCTGGGCCTTAGCACCTAGTGGGAGGGGTGGCCACAGTCTATGTGGACCAGCAGACTTAGTCTCTCCTCCTAGTAACTATAAGGAATCCAGAAGCCCAGATGAGTGAATTTCCCCCCAGTGAAGCACACCCCCTCAAGCAAGGGACAAAGTGCTTCGTTCAATGGGGCCTGCTCCCCATGCCACCCAACAGGGTGAGACCCTCCAACAGGGGTTGTCAGACGCCCTATATAGGAGGGATCCTACTGGCATCAGGTTGGTGCCCCTGAAGGACAGAGGTCCCAGAAGAAGGAGCAGGCACCCATCTTTGCTCTTATCCAGCCTCCTTGAGTGACATCTCCAGGCATGTGCGTGAATCAGATGAATAGAGCCTGAAGTGAACCCCCAGCAAACTGCAGCAGCCCTACAGAAGAGGGACCTGACTTTTGAAAGCAAAACAAACAAGCAGAAAGTGACAACAACAGCATCAACAACAACAACAACAAAGCCCCCACAAAAACCCCATCCAAGGGTCAGCGGCCACAAAGATCGAAGCTAGACCAACTCATGAAGATGAGAAAGAATAACAAAAAAAATGCTGAAAACCCAAAAGGCCAGAGTGCCTCTTCTCCTCCAAATGATCACAACACAGAACTGGACGGAGGATCAGATGGATGAATTAACAGCAGTAGGCTTCAGAAGATGGGTAATAAAAAACTACACTGAGCTAAAAGAGCATGTTCTAACCCAATGCAAAGAAGCTAAGAACCTTGAAAAAAGGTTCGATGAATTGCTAACTAGAATAATCAGTTTAGAGAGGAACATAAATGACCTAATGGAGCTGAAGAACACAGCACAAGAACTTCATGAAGCATACACAAGTATCAACAGCTGAATCAACTAAGCAGAAGAAAGGATATCAGAGTTGGAAGACCACCTTACTGAAATAAGACATGCAGACAAGAATAGAGAAAAGAGAATGAAAAGGAATGAACAAAGCCTCCAAGAAATATGGGACTTCATAAAAAGACCAAACCTATGATTGATTGGAGTACCAGAAGGAGATGGGAGAATGGAAACAAGCTGGAAAACACACTTCAGGATATTATCCAGGAGAACTTCCTCAACCTAGAAAGACAGGCCAACTTGCAAATTCAGGAAATACAGAGAACATCATTAAGATACTCCAGGAGAAGATCAACCCCAAGACACATAATCATCAGATTCCCCAAGGTTGAAATGAAGAAAAAATGTTAAGGGCAGCCAGAGAGAAAGGTCAGGTCACCTACAAAGGGAATCCCATCAGACTAACAGTGGACTTCTCAGCAGGAACTCTACAAGCCGGAAGAGATTGGGGACCAATATTCAACAATCTTTTCTTTTTTTTTTTTTTTTTTTTTTTGAGACGGAGTCTCACTCTATCGCCCAGGCTGGAGTGCAGTGGCGTGATCTCGGCTCACTCCAAGCTCCGCCTCCCGGGTTCATGCCATTCTCCTGCCTCAGCCTCCCGAGTAGCTGGGACTACAGGCGCCTGCCACCACACCCGGCTAAGTTTTTGTGTTTTTAGTAGAGACGGGGTTTCACTGTGTTAGCCCGGATGGTCTCGATCTCCTGACCTCGTGATCCGCCCCCCTCGGCCTCCCAAAGTGCTGGGATTACAAGCGTGAGCCACTGAGCCCAGCCTCAACATTCTTAAAGAAAAGGATTTTCAACCCAGAATTTCATATCCAGCCAAACTAAGCTTCACAAGGGAAGGAGAAATAAAATCTTTTCCAGACAAGCAAATGCTGAGGGATTTCGTTACTACCAGGCCTGCCCTGCAAGAGCTCCTGAAAGAAGCACTAAGTATGGAAGGGAAAAATAGGTACCAGTCACTGCAAAAACCCACCAAAATATAAAGACCAATGACACTATGAAGAAACTGCATCAACGAGCGTGCATCGAGTAGAATGTCCTCCAGGTTCATCTATGTTGCGGCAAACGACAGAATCTCCTTTTTCCCGTCTTTGTTTATTAACACATTTCCTGTTTAGAAAAAAAATGCATCTCACTGCCTGGGCAGTATTCTCAGGACAAAGGAGAAATGCTTTAAAGCTGAATAATATTCCATCGTGTGCATAGAGCACACTTTCTTCATTCATCTATCCATGGACACTTTGCTTGTTTCCATAGCTTGGCTATTGTGAAGCCCCCAGCATTTCTGCTCCATTGGGTCTGGAGCGGAGTCTGGGGATCTTTGTTGCTAGGATGGGCATAGGTGATGCTGAGGCTGTTGTTGCAGAGGCCACAGTTGCAGATCCACTGGTTTGGATGCCGCCCTCTCTGCTGAGCAGGTGCAGTGAGAATCCATGCTCGTTTTGATTGCTGGTAAAATGAGTGGGTTGAGTCATGAAAACAACAAACCAGCCAAACTCCTCTGCCTCCTTAAACCCTTCTAGGAAGTCCTGAGTTATGGAATTTGGACCATGCCTTGCAGACCCGTGCGTCCTCCTGGAGTGCTGGGCTCACATGCAGGTACCTGCCTGAGACAGATGCATCCAGGCACAGAGCATCACTAAGAAAATCCCTCGTGGGCAAGGCAGCGTTTGTCTAGCTGGACTGCATGTCCCAGCAACTCAAGCATTAGAGGTTAAGAACCGCCTTGCGTGTGGTTCCTCCTCTCATCTCCTGGGGCTCACTCGTCAGCAGGTAACGCTGATCTGCAAGCATCCGCCTCCTCTTGTGTTTCTTCTTATGGGTTCCAGGGGTGAGCAGGGCAAGTGCACATGGAATCCAGCCACAAGCTTCATCACAGTAGCCCAGGGTAGAGTGAAAGCCCAGCCACTGATGCATGCACATGCACACACACAGACACACACTCCAACATGCCCAGGCACACACACAGGTATCTATACACACAGACAGACGTGCACAGACTTACATATACACACACACGCACAGAGACACACTCCAACATGCCCAGGCACACACACACACAGACAGACGTGAACGGACTTACTTATACAGACACACATATGCAAACACACACACACAGACACACTCAGACATGCCCAGGCACACACACAGGTATCTATATGCACACAGACAGATGTGCACACACCTCCATATACAGATAACACCAACAAACACACACACAGATGTGCACACACCTCCATATACAGATACACCAACAAACACACACACACACACACTCCAACATGCCCAGGCACACACACAGGTATCTATACACACACAGACAGATGTGCCCGGACTTACGTATACAGACCCACATATACAAACACACACACACACACAGAGACACACTCAGACATGCTGAGGCACACACACAGGTATCTATACACACACAGACGTGCACAGACTTACGTATACAGACACACATACATACACACACACACAGAGGCACACACACACAAAGACACTCAGACATGCCCGGGCACACAGGTATCTATACACAGACAGTATGCACAGACTTACATATACAGACACACATACACACACACACACACACAGGCAAACAGACACTCTCAGACATGCTTGGGCACATACACAGGTATCTATAAACACACAGAAACACACATACTTACATATACAGACACACATATACAGACAAACACATGCACACAGAGACACACAGGCAGACAAACACACAGACACTCAAACACACTTGGGTACACACACGGACATCTTCATACACACACAGACACACAGAGACATATATACACACATGCATATATACACAAACACATATGCAAAACCACAGACATACATAGAACACATATGCACATACTCATCCACACATACAGGCATACACACAGAGACACACATAAAACACACAGTACACTAGCACAATGCGTACTTACCCACAGACACACATGAATACATACAGAAACAAACATACACACATACATACATGTGCACACATAAATACACAGGACACAGACACACATACACAGAGAGACACACGAGACACAGACACTCTCAGACGCACTTGGGCACACATACAGGCATCTATATAGGCACAGACACACAGAGACATGTATATATATATATATACACACATACCTGTATCACAGACACATATGCACAGACACACAGAGAACATATATGCACATACTCATACACACATAGATGTGTATACACAGAGACATATGTAAAACACACAGCACACCTATTACAGTGCACACCCATACACAGACACACATGAATACATACAAGAATACACACACACATGTGCATGCATGCAGACACACACATACACAAGACGCACACATACATGCTCACAGAGACATACAGGGGCATATACACAGACATACAGAACACATCTATACACACATACACACATGCATACACACACCAAACCACACAGATACACACAGAACAGACACCGAGGCACACAGACACCCACACCCAGCCACTCACCATCTTTGCTAAGGGGAACAGTACTTTCAGAGTCTTCAGGCCTACTTACAGCCGCATCCCTCCTTACATGAACTGGATCCCACATGCCGCCGATACACCCAGCCCTGTGACCATCAGAGGCCCTGTCTCCCCTTTCTTGAGGGAGCCACCCCCTACCTGGCTCTCAAACTCATTCTCTACCTGGAAAACATAAAGCTCTTCTATGACCGTCCACACCATCGTCCAGCAAGCCTACTGGACACACAACCGCACTTTAGCGTCCAGCTCCTTCCGGAACCTCCCTAAAGGAATCTAAACAAGGACCACTCCAAGCCGCAGCGTGGAAAGCGGCCGTGATGCTACCACGCGCCACCGTGGTCCGTCTCCCATGTGGCGTCCACAGTCCGTTGAGACTCCGGCAGGAAGCCTCGTCCCTGGCAGTAGACAGAGCCTTTTCCCCAAGCTTTCCTGGCTGCGGACATCCCACTGCTTGGTGTCCACCGCCCTCTGCTTGGGAGGGAGATGAGAGCCCGGCCAGCGAGCTACCGCACATGGCTCCTGGGTCCCGCACGCTGGCCGGGAAAGGAAGCACCTTAATTAAACACACTCTGCGCTCATCTGAAATCAGCTTCACACATTCACAGGGAGAGGTCTTCATGAAGAAGAAATCGTGTGCCTGTAGAAGAGCAGCCACCGCCACAACAGCGTATTCAAGTATTTCCTTTTCCGAAAACAAAAAATAGTTATTTGCATGGAAGGAGAAGAGAGATCTCGGGTTTGGAGACCAAGGTCTGAGCAGAAGTGGATTTAGGATGAGGAGGAGCTCTGGAGAGAAGAGAATTTCAGAGCTCAACTGGGGCCTGTGTATTTTGTGTAGGCCACTGCATCAAATCTTCTAGGAGTACGGACAGATCTGTGCTGTCTAGAGATTGGATGGATTTTTATCAATTATGCAGAGCTGGGAACAGGATACACCTCATCCCTGTTTCTGGGCCAGAAATCTCTCTATGAACCTATCTGCTCTAAATTGACCACACCTGTTTAATCCCACCTGCTTAAAATAGACCACACCTGATTGACCCTGCCTGCTTTGAATAGGCCACAACGCAGCGATTCCGCCTGCTTTAAATACACCGCACCTGATTGACCCTGCCTGCTTTATGTAGACATATCTGATCAATCCCACTACTTTAAACAGACCACACCTGCTTTATTTCCCCTGCTTTAAATAGACCATGCCTGCTATATCTCACCTTCTTTAAATAGAGCATACCTAATTGACCTTGCCTGCTTAATGTAGACCACACCTGCGTTAAATCACCCATACCTGATTGACTACATGTTCTACATAAACCACGCCTGATCAATCCCACCTGCTTTAAATAGACCATCCCTGATTGACCCTGCCTGCTTAATGTACACCACACCTGCTTTATCCCACCTGCTTTAAATACACCACACTTGATTGACTCTACATGCTCTAAATAAACCACACCTGATCAATCCCATCTGCTTTAAATAGACCGCACCTGATTGACCCTGCCTGCTTTGAATAGCCCGCATCTCAGTGATTCCACCAATATGCCGTACCTGATTGATCCTGCCTGCTTTATGCAGACACATCTGATCAATCCCACTGCTTTAAATAGACCACGCCTGCTTTATCTCAACTGCTTTAAATAGACCACGCCTGCTTTATCTCAACTGCTTTAAATAGACCATGCCTGCTTTATCTCATCTACTTTAAACCATCCATACCTGATTGACTCTACATAAACGCTACATAAACCACACCTGATTAATCCCACCTGCTTTAAATACACCATCTCTGATCAACCCTGCCTGCTTTGAATAGACCACATCTCAATGATTGCACCTGCTTTAAATACACCACACCTGATTGACCCTGGCTGCTTTATGTAGACACATCTGATCAATCCCACTGCTTTAAACAGACCACATCTGCTTTATCCCACCTGCTTTAAATCATCCATACATGACTGACTCTACATGCTCTAAATAAACCACACCTGATCAATTCCACCTGCTTTAAATAGACCATGCCTGATTGGTACACACCTGCTTTAAAGGCCACACCCAATTGACCCCCACATGCTGTAAATCAACCACAACTGATGAAGTCTACCTGCTTTAAATTGACCACATCTGATTTATCTGATTTTCTTGGAACCACACCTCTTTTAAATAGACCACATCTAATTGACCCCAATGCTCTAAATAAGCGACACCTGATTGACGCCGCATGCTGTAACTAGATCACACCTCATTTTTCCCACCAGCTTTAAATGAACTACACCCACTATGGAAAACAATGTGGAGATTCCTTAAACAACTAAAAGTAGATATACCATTTGATCCAGCAATCCCACTCCTGGGTATCTACCCAGAGGAAAAGAAGGCATTGTATGAAAAAGACTTGCCCACGCATGTTTATAGCAGCATAATTTGCAATTGCAAAAATATGGAACCAGCCCAAATGCCCATCAATCAACAGGTGGATAAAGAAAATGTGATAGATAGATAGATAGATAGATAGATAGATAGATAGACACCATGGAATACTACTCAGTCATAATGGCATTTGCAGCAACCTAGATGGAATTGGAGACCATTATTCTAAGTGAAGTAACTCAGGAATGGAAAACCAAAGATCATATGTTCTCGCTCATAAGTGGGAGCTAAGCTATGAGAATGCAAAAGCATAGGAATGATACAATGGACTTTGGTGACTCAGGGGAAAGTGTGGGAGTGGGGTGAGGGATCAAAGACGGCACATTGGGTAGAGTGGACACTGCTCGGGTGATGGGTGCACCAAAATCTCAGAAATCACCACTAAAGAACTTATCCATGTAACCAAACACCACCTGCTCCCCAATACTTATTGAAATAAAATAAATAAACCATACCTGATTGAGGGCACCTGCTTTAAATCATCTTCCCAAACATTCTTAGACATACTCAGCCCTGGTTCTGAGGAGAACAGCTCGAGGGCCCACACAATCTGAAAGGGAACTAGAGAACTCAGTCAGTACTTGTTCTCTTTCCTCGTTAAGGTCATGGCGGAAGAACCACAGCTGCGTCTGCAAGATGGATCTAGAAACTCAATCCCACTCTTTTTCTTCCCTCATTAATTATAGTCCATTCTGCATTAAGGGGACAGATGTGTTCCCCTAAATCACTGTGCTATGCAAAAAACACTCAGTAATAACCACAGGGCTTATGGAAAAACCGTGGTGTGGAGCAGCCCTCAAAGATGTTATCACTGATGCAAAGAATATACAATTTGTCAATTAAAAATGAATAAATAGGGTCCAGTGCAGTGGCATCCCAGCACTTTGGGAGGCTGAGGCAAGTTGATCTCTTGAACCCAGGAGTTTGAGACCAGCCTGGGCAACATAGCAAAACCCTGTCTCTACAAAAAATACATGAAATTAGCCAGGCATATTGGGGCGCACCTGTAGTCTCAACTACTCAGGAGGCAGAGGTGGGAGGATCGCCTGAGCCCGGTAGGTCAAAGCTGCAGTGAGCTGAGATCACACCACTGCACTTCAGTCTGGGTGACGGAGCAAGACCCTCTCTCAAAAAGAAAAAGAAAAAAAAAAGAATAAATAAATAAACAAGGAGATAAAAGACTGTTAAAATGGTAACAGTTTTGCATGTGCTTATTTGTTAAGGCATATGTAAACTTTACAATATATGTCAGCAGACCTTACCCAGAAAAAGACCTGATATTGGCTGGTGCACATGGGCCTCAGAAGTGTAGCCACTTGGGAGATATTGTAAAGTTGAGGAAGGCAGTGCTATGGTCTAAACGTTTGTATCACCCCCAAAATTCCTGCATTGAAACCCTCACCCCCAAGGTGCTGGTGTTAGGAGGTGGGATCTTTGGGAAGTGATGAGGTCGTGAGGGTGAAGCCTTATGGATGGGATTAACGCCCTTATAAAAGAGACCCAGAGAGCTCCCTTGTCCCTTCCACCATGTGGGGACACAGCAAGAAAGCACCATCTATGAACCAAAAAGCCAATCCTCCCCAGACACTGAATCTGCCACAACTTGATCTTGAACTTCCAGCCTGCAGAACTGTGACCAATAAACGTCTGTTGTTTAAACCACTCAGACTGTGGTATTTTGTTATAGCAGCCTGAATGCAGTAAAACAGGCAGGTTGTCTAAAAATGGATGGGCAGTTTTCACCCTGGTCAGGAATGGGTGCATGCTGCTCCTAAGACACCTGTAAACTGAGGAAGTGGGTATATGTTTGAGGTGTGGAAATGTGTGCTTTTTCTTTATTCAGGTGAAGTTTTCTGGTAATGCAATTCTCTTTGCTCACCTGTGGTTTTGTTGATGTTGTCTTACTTTTTTGTGTGTGGAGAAAGTTATGCAAAATCCAGTGCAAAATGTGCAGTATGTTCAAGTGTGCCCTCATATGTCAATTGCATTGGAACCCATTTGTGTTTTCCAAACAAGTGTTATAGAACAATTGAGTGTTCATTACGTGTGTATGTGTGTGTGTGTGTGTGTGTGTGTGCGCGCGCCTGTGTGAGTGAAAGACAGAGACAGAGTTAAATCCACCTATTTCTTTTTCTTCCACATGTCAAGGACAATATTAAGCTTTAACAATTCAATGCAATACAATAACATGCAAAATATAATGCAATGTACAAGATAACACAAGGTAACACAGTACACTACACTACAGATGACTCCTCCCAGGTTTGAGTGGTATTCTCCTTCCCCTACAATGGGTCTATGCTTGTCTTCTAACTGAATACGTGTGCGCAGATACGCACGCACACACACATACATGCATTTCCCCCCCTCCCCCCAGGGAGAAGATACATTACTTTTCTTTTCTTTTCTTCTTCTTCCTTTTTTTTTTTTGAGATGGAGTCTCACTCTGTCGTCCAGGCTGCAGTACAGTGGCATGTTTTCAGCTCACTGCAGCCTCTGCCTCCTGGGTTCAAGCAATTCTCCTGCCTCAGCCTCCTGAGTAGCTGGGATTACAGGTGCCCACCACTACACCTGACCAATTTTTGTATTTTTAGTAGAGACGGGGTTTCACCACGTTGGTCAGGCTGGTCTCAAACTCCTGACCTCAGGTGATCCGCCTGCCTCGGCCTCCCAAAGTGCTGGGATTACAGGTGTGAGCCACTGTGTCCAGCCACATGTCTTTTCTGATACCTTTTATATTGCTTACGTATTTCTTATTTTCATTCAAAAGTGCCCTCCTTTTGTCTGGAGCAGTTAGCTGATGATTGAATAGTTGTAGAATGAAAACGCACTTGAAGGCGTTGTCAGGAAGTCCTACCAAGGCTGTTTTCTTTGGCGGTGACCAACTTTTTCTCCCCTGAGAGACAAGCAGGGCCAAGAAGTCAAGGATATTTTGGGAACTTCAAGGAGAAAACTGAGTGGAAGATGGTGAGAGAATTCTTCCTACCCAGAGGGATTTGGAGAAGGTGAGAATCATGGGACCATAGCCTGTTGCACAGGAATGAAGAGTCCTGGGTGGTGTTGAAGTTGGCCAAGTATATGTGTCCTGAAAGTTAAATATTGAGCCAAAAATGCATTAACAGCCCCTTCCATTAGGGGTGTGTGTGTGTGTGTGTGTGTGTGTGTGTGTCCAGGGTTGGTGGAAATTTAAGCAGGATGCACAGGAAGTTGCTGTTTATAAGGGGGCTGTATTCATCTCCTAGGGCTGCCATGACAAAGAGCCACAGACTGGGTGGCTTGAACAACAGAAATTTATTTCCCCACTGTCCTGGAGGCTGGAAGTCTGAGATGAAGGTGTGGGAAGCGCTGGTTCCTCCTAAGTCCTCTCTCCTTAGCGAGAATCTCCTTGGGGATTCCAAAAGCAGGAAGGGAGAGAGGAGAAGAAGGGTTGAAAATGTATTTATTGGGTACCAGGCTCACTACCTGGATGACAGGTTCATTAGGAGCCCCAGCCTCAGCATCATGCAATATACCCAGGTCAGAAACTTACACATGTACCCCCTGAATCTAAAATAAAATAAGTATCAATAAAAGATAAGGTGAAACTTCAAGGATACCTACACTGGCACAGATCAAGGGGATACTTGGGACTACATTTTCAGATTCCGGGAGAATATAATCTTTCCCTGCTATGTGCATTTGCATACATTGGCTTCTTATGAGATGCCACATATCTTGAACACTTACGTATCCCATTCATGGTTAAGTTTTATCAACTGAAAAGCAGGAACTCTATACCCATCTTGCCAATGGCTATGAGAATAAGTGGTACTTGCTGTGATGCAATTAACCCCAGCCTGACCCATGCCCAGCACTCGCTTGGGGTGGTTATTACTACATTTCTCTCCAAATGGAAAGAAGAATGTGGACCTCTCCTAAATCACTTGGCTTGTTGGTCCTGCCTTCTCATGTTAGACTTAAACAATTATTGAAGCTTTAGCCTAGAGTAGAATGATTTTGTATTAGTCCGTTCTCATGCTGCTAATAAAGGCATACCCAAGAGTGGGTAATTTATAAAGAAAAAAGATGTCCAATGGACTTACAGTTTCACATGGCTGAGGAGGCCTCACAATCATGGCAGAAAATGAAGGAAGAGCAAAGGGACTTCTTACATGGTGACGGGCAAAAGAGAGAGGACTTGTGCTGGGGAACTCCTCTTTATAAACCCATCAGATCTTGTGAGACTTATTCACTATCATGAGAGCAGCATGGGAAAGACCCGTGCCTATGATCCAGTTACTTCCCACCGGGTCCCTTCCACGACATGTGGGAATTGTAGGAGCTACAATTCAAGATGAGATTTGGGTGGGGACACAGCCAAACCATATCACAATTCTTTTGCGAAATTTCTTATTCATCAAAGCACTTAAAGAGATTTGTGTCTTAAAATACATTTTTTTAAAATAATTTCAGTTTAGGGCCAATCACATCTTTTGCTAAGCAAATGGTGCTGAATTAATTTTCCTACAACAGATGCATTTGTATTCCTAACTGATATCTCTTAAAGTGAGTTTAATTTGGGACTGGTATTGAATTGCTTTTAATGCTTTATTATTATTTCCTTGAGCCTAAAGGATTTGTTTGCAAATGTAGCAGTTTCAAGATAAATATACAAAGACCATCTTTCCATCGCCTCTCAAATAATTTTTAATACTTTTTAAAAATTAAGGTAAGAATAGTCTTGATTCTTTTCAATACTACTGTTTTTTAGATTATGCATGTTCCTTCAGAATGCTTCATTTTCATCAGATTAGTCAGCAATTGGCAAATGACTAAAATTTTGATCAAAAGCATTTACTCAATGGCTCAGACACATTTTTAAACTACAGGAATATGGTCATCTTTTGTACTGTTTTGTTTTACTTCATGGATTAATGTTCACAGTGTTGAGTGATTCCAGGACATGAAATATGGCCTCCTTCCTCTTCCTGGCTTTTATTCTTTTCTCTCTTCCAAGAGTAGACACATTCCTGGAAGTGAGTGGGAGTGAAGCCCACAGCATTTCGTATGCTGTGGTGGGGACCCTCCCAGCTACTATCAATAGACTATTTCAGTGTCATCCAATTTCTCTTCTGTAATGACTCATGGAGTCCTTGTTCTGAACCATGAGCCTCGTTGTCTATAAAGAGGTTTTGTCCACCCTGGTCTATTGGCCAAGACCTACATGGTTTACCATCAGCTCTTTCAAATAGCTTAAAAAAGTATGCTAGTCACGGCCCTTCTGCTTTTCAAGTTCCTTCCAGGATGATGTTCATGGATACCATATGACCTGTGTTGGTCTGAGCTAAAATTATCAAACCATCAAGTTGAACATGGATGCACTTGAACACCTCAGGTACTTCCCTGCATATCTTTTTTCCTACCTGGTGCATCTTGTTCAGGTAGCTAGAATAGAATTCTCAGGAGATCATTTTTGTCTGTTCAAGGTGGTTCATGTAACAACCTTCCCTCAGTGGTCAGCTCTATTAACTGTTTGCTGCTGTTAGAACATAATAAGATGATGCAAAACAACTCGCAAAAGCCAAAACGATTCCCAGACACAGATTCTAGATCCTTCTGATGGCCTCGAAGATCCGGAGAACCTACAATGGATTAGACATAGTGAGAAGCACTATGTGTATATTATCTCAATTAATCCTTATGACCTATGATAGTGGCCACTATTCATTTGTGCCACTGCCTGGCCTCTCTAGAAAACAGTACCCTTGGGGAAGTGGTGGAGATTTTGATCTCAGGGAAACAGGAATAAAGGAAGAGGGGAAAGTGCTGGGAAAGAAGGCAAGAAAGCCAGTGGGAGGGAGGGCGCCCTGATCTGTCCCTGGCTTTGTAGATAATTCAGCTGACTGTGTTGTCTCTTGAGAAGACCCTTTGGAATCACGGTGCACCTGCGATGTTCCAACAAATGGGGGTGGAAAGTAGAGTTTTTCCCACCAATTTCCTTCCATCTCCTGAGCCATTTGGCCAAAGGTTGCCCTGTGGCCAGTTAAGTCCATCCTTTGAGTAGCATCCCCAGGTTCCTCCAGGAACCATTGGGAAAATAAGATTCACGATCCAAGGCTTGGTGCGACATCTGAGTCAGGAGGCATTGGGAAGAGCCCAGGGCCTCTCCCTGGCTGGAGCCTGTAGGGGCCAAGGGAAAAAGTCTCCTTTGCCCTCTGAAGGTTCACTGAAAAATCAACAAAGGGTGGATGAATAGGAGCAAAGGCATACAAATATATTAACTTACACATGGACACATGGAGGAGAATCACAGAGTGATGACCCCAATTTCCCAATGAAGTGTAGAAGCTTACACACCATCTTGAGGTTACAGAAAGAAGGGGGACTCAGATCATGGTCAAAAACCGGTTATAGTGGTGAATCAGGTTATGATGGCCAGGCAGGTTATGGGAGAGGGAGAAGAGGAGGTCTGGCTAGCAAAGAGGATCATGTTATGTAGATGAAAAAATCACAGGTAACAGCCCCAAGAGAGAATAAATGGCAAATGTTTCATTGCGACTTGAGAGTATTAGAGTCTCAGTTCATCTTTTTCAGGCCCAGACAAGGTAAGTCCTCAGAAAAGGCCTGTTTACATCAATGCTGATTCTCTACAGGTGCAAATCTCCCCACTAAATACAGCTTTGCAGGGCTGCTTCTGTTTGCTGTCCCTCTGACTGCCATCCCAAAATATGTCAAAGAAGTATATTTTGGTGTAAAATATTTTGATTTCCTTCAGGCCTTAGCATTAAAACAAGCCTGGCCCATGTGGAATCTGTCAAGCAGTGGCCACTGGGGCAGAATGATTCTCCAGGGACCCTGAAGATGAGCAAGACAGGAGGATGGGAGGCCAATCATTAGAAGAATCAGATCCAGACTCCCTTTTTCAGACGTGGAAACTAAACAAGTGACAAGCCGACCCTACCAATCATCATTATCATCATCATGGCCACCATCACCATTGCCATCACCATCATAACTCACCATCATCACCATCACCATCACCATCATCACCATCATTATCACCACCATCATTATCACATTATCATCATTATCATTACTATCACCATCATCATTATCACCACCACCATTACCATCATCACCATCATCACCATCACCACCACCATCATCACCATTACTATCATCACCACCATCACCACCACCATCATCATCATCACCATCATCATCACCACCATCATCATCACTACCACCATCATCATCATCACCACTGTTATCACCATCATCGTCATCACCATCATCATCATCACTGTCATCAACATCATCGTCATCACCATCATCATCATCACTGTCATCAACATCATTGTCATCACCATCATCATCATCACTGTCATCAACATCATCATCACCATCACCACCAGCACTATCATCACCATCATCATCACCATCACCACCATCATTATCACCATCATCACCATCACCACCAGCACTATCATCACCATCATCATCATCACCACCATCACCATGACTATCATCAGCATCATCACCATAACCACCACCATCATCATCAGTAGCATCACCACCACCACCACCATTATCACCATCACCAGCATCATCATCATCACCATCACAATCATCATCAACATTGGCAAATGGTGACTTGGACTCAGAACTGTCTCAGCTGAAGACTCAGCAGTTTCAGAGACCTAATGTAACAGAGTAAAATGATGCCTCAGTTTCCTTATATAACTGACATAGGCACTTGGATTCAGGAACAAAGCATTTCCTTTTCACATTGTAAGGTCTTTAATGTACTGATTTAAAAAATCCTCTAATTCCTTCTATCTCTCCATCCTCCATTTCTTTCCATTTCTCTATAGCAGCAGCTTTCCAATCCCTAAAACTGCCCTGGTAAAATTGATCCTCCATTATATAGTTATTTATGGCCTACCATGAGATAGTCCCTTCCCATCCCATAAGACAGCAGGAGGGATACCTGTATCTTTTCCTTCCCTGGGTCAAGCAGCCAATCCCAAATTCACTACAGTTAATCTGCTAAACACATTTTATTGTATACATTATTGCTCATGGAGTCCCAGCTCTTCTTACTTTATCACAGTAGACCCACATCTAGCAGATTTGTAACAAAATAGTAAGAGTGATCCACTCATTTAAAACTCATTGTTTCAGAATTTTAGCAGATGCCTTTCAACTTGTTTCATTAACCTTCCACAAAGTTCTGTGAAGTAAATGAAATTGAACAACTATTTCACACATGCACACACATACACACACAGAGAGAATGAAGGCACAGAAACTTAGCAAAGATCGCACAGCAAAACATAAGAGAAAAACAGAGATGGAAATTCACAGGACTGCATGCCTATTATAGGGACCTCCTAGCAAGCTTAATTCAGGCCCTATAAAGTGATTTTGGAACAAGATATCTATAAAGGTATGACCTACTTTAGCTCCTTAGATTTCTGTACCAGAAATGTTTATAATGATTTGCCCAATACTGAGCTTATCTGATGCCCACAGTCTTTGAGGTAACTAAAAAAACTCGTTTTAGAGCCAGGATCTCTTGACTTGCAAACATGCATGATCGATTTGGGTTCACTCTTTTCCTGAGTCGTGAGGTTGGCTTCATCCTTGTGGGCTTAGACACGCCTCCAGCCTTAGACAGATGAAGAAAACTCACTCGGATTGACAGAAGAGAACCCGGTCATCTGGCTTTTCTCATCTCTGAGGGTCCCCTAACCACACAGTGCTTATCATGAGTGCTGGGTTTGCCTTCCAATTATGTGGAAAGACAAAAGCCATTACCTGGGTTGATTTATGATTCTTTCCCCCTGAAAATTCTTGACTCTGTTCCAACTCACACTCTGACCTTGAAGGAAATTACAGCAGCCCCTTCATGCCTAAATCTGTCCAAGCTGCAGCACCAGAGAGGGCTCGTTGACTTGTGTAGACACAAACCCTACTGCTTCCGTGGATGTTGGAAGCCCATTTCTCCTGGGGAGGCCTTTCAGCAAACACACAATTACCTTTCTAGCTTATAAAAACACACACCCTGGAGGAACGTCAGCTTATATGCTGTTGGTAGGAATGTAAATTAGTACAACCTCTACAAAAAATAGTGTGGAGCCATCTCAAAGAACTAAACATAGAAGTACCATTTGATCCAGCAATCCCACTACCCAAAGGGGAAAAAAAATCATACCAAAAAATACCTGCACGTGTGTGTTTATCACAGCACCATTCACAAAAGCAAATTCATGGAACCAACCTAAGTGTCCATCAGTGGATGAGAAGAGAAAGAAACTGTGGGATATATATAATACACAATGAACTACTCTTCAGCCATAGGAAGAATGAAGTCATGTCTTTTGAAGTAACATGGATGGAATGAGGAGCGTTATCCTTAGTGAAATGACTCAGAAACAAAATGTCAAATACTGCATGTTGTCACTTATAAGTAGGAGATAAACAATGTGTACACATGGACATAGAGTGTGGGATAATAGACACTGGAGACCGGGAAAGATGGGAGGGTTGTGTGTGAGGGATGAGAAATTACTTATAGGTGCAATGTAGATTATTCAGGTGATCGATGCACTAAAAGTCCTCCTCCACCACTATGCAACATGCCCATGCAACATCACTGCACTTGTACTTCCTAAATTTATATAATTTTTTTTTCTTGAGACTGAGTCTTGCTCTGTCACCCAGGCTGGAGAGCAGTGGTGCAAACTTGGCTCACTGTATGCTCTGCCTCTCGGGTTTAAATGATTCTCATGCCTCAGCCTCCCAAGTAGCTGGGATTACAGGTGTATACCACCACACCTGGCTAATTTTGGTATATTTAGTAGAGACAGGGTTTTACCATGTGTGTCAGGCTGGTCTCGAATTCCTGACCTCAAGTGATCTGCCTGCCTCGGCCTCTCAAAGTGCTGGGATTACAGATGTGAGCCACTGCGCCCAGCTGAAATTTAATTTAATCTCTTTTTTTTTTTTGAGATGGAGTTTCACTCTTGTCACACAGGCTGGAGTGCAGTGGTGCGATCTTGACTCACTGCAACCTCTGCCTCCCAGGTTCAAGTGATTCTCCTGCCTCAGCCTCCCAAGCAGCCGAGATTACAGGCACCGCCACCATGCCCAGCTAATTTTTATATTTTTAGTAGAGACAGGGTTTTACCATGTTGGCCAGGCTGGTGTCGAACTCCTGACCTCGGGTGATCCACCCACCTCAGCCTCCCAAAGTGCTGGGATTACAGGCGTGAGCCACTGCGCCTGGCTTAAAAATTGTTATTTTAATAGATTTGGTTAACATAAAGGACACACTGAAGAGATTTAAGGTTTAGTGTATGCTTATATTTACATATTCAATGCATAATTTATACATACTTAAGGCAATTTATATGTGGTTTATAAATTATAACACATGCAATTTAATACATAACACATTCTTTCCATACAGAAGAAAGAAGGAAATCATGTCTTTTGCAGCAACATAGATGGAACTGGAGGCCATTATCTTAAGTGAAACAATTCAGAAGGTCAAACACCACATGTTCTCACTTATAAGTGCGAGCTGAATAATGGGGCACACACAAATGCAGAGAATGGAATAATAGACAATGAAGACTCAGAAGGGTGGGAGGGTAGGGGGGGTGAGGGATGAGAAATCACTTAATGGGTACAATGTTAACTATTCAGTTGGTGGGTTTACTAAAAGCCCGGATTTCTCTACTGTGCAATAAATATACCCATGCAAGAAAACTGCACTTGTACCTCTTACATTCTTACCAAAAAGCCAGGGCTTCCTTGAATTTGTAATGTGTGTGGATAAAAACAATATCACTTTGTAACTTCTACATTCAGACATGAAAGCTTGTGAATGATGAGTTTAAACTCATCTCCTTCACAAAACAACACCCACCTCATTTCCACCTGGGCTCCCTGGAGCTCCCCATTTCTCCCCATGGACACCATCTGAAGCTACTTTGTGATTTTTCTGAAATGCAGGATGCTGTGTTTATAATATATATCTCGTTACACAAATTATAAGACCAAAGAATGCTGACATTTCAGCGGAAATATTCTGTTAAAATGATTCTCTTAGCAGTTGTTCATAAAGTCCAACGTCAGTGCCAAGATGGGGAAAGAGCATTTTCATCGTTTCTTGTTGCTTTTGACTTCTGCTAAGAGCAGATTAAAAAAAAATAAAGTACTCTTTTCTCTTTGAATTGTAATGCTTTACTAAAAATCTAAATTTAAAATGTTAAGTGTAGATTAAATATATAAAATTATTTCTTTTTTCTTTTTTTTTTTTTTTTTTTTGAGATGGAGTCTCGCTCTGTTGCCCACGCTGGAGTGCAGTGGCACGATCTTGGCTCACTGCAACCTCCGCCTCCTGGGTTCAAGCCATTTTCATTCCTCAGCCTCCTGAGTAGCTGGGATTATAGGTGTGCGCCACCATACTTGACTAATTTTTTATATTTTTGGTAGAGACAGGGTTTTGCCATGTTGGCCAGGCTTGTCTCGAACTCCTGACCTCAAGTTATCCACCCGCCTCTGCCTCCCAAAGTGCTGGGATTACAGGCATGAGCCACAGTGCCTGGCCTATAGGCGGTGGCTCACACCTGTAATCCCATCACTTTGGGAGGTTGAGACAGGCGGATTGCTTGAGCTCAGGAGTTCAAGACCAACCTGGGCAACATGATGAAACCCCGTCTCTACTAAAAATACAAAAAACATTCGCCGGGTGTGGTGGCACGTGGACTTGTGGTCCCAGCTACTCAAGAGGGTGAGGTGGAAGGATTGCTTGAACCTGGGACATCAAGGCTGCAGTGAACAGTAATCACGCCACTGCACTCTAGCCTGGGCAACAGAGCAAGACTCTGTCTCAAAAAAAAAAGTATATTAAATTGCATGTGTTATAATTTATAAAGCATATAATGTCTTAAATATGTATAAATTGTGCATTGAATATGTAAATACAAGCATACATGAAACCTTAAATCTCCTTAGTGTGCCTTTCTTGTTAACCAAATCTATTAAAATAATAATTTTCTAAAAAATTCATATAAATGTAGGAGGTACAAGTGCAAAAATCTGCACATAACTGTTGGCTCCCCAAAACTTAACTACCAATAGCCTACTACTGATTGGAAGCCTTACTGATAGCATAAGCAGTTGATTGACATGTATTTTGTATGTTATGTTCATTATATACTGTGTTCTTTCAATAAAACAAGCTAGATAAAAGGAAATCATAACGAAGGGAAAGTATATTTGCTATTCATTAAATAGAAGTGGATCATCGTGTTGCGTGGGTATATTATGTAGTGGTAAAGTGTGGGCCGTTAGTGTATCTAGCACCCAAATAATGCACATTGTACCTATAAGTAATTTCTCATCCCTCACCCCTGACCCTCTCATCCTTCCCAGGCTCCAAAGTCTATGATTCCACACTCTATGTCCATGTGTACAAGTTGTTTATCTCCTACTTATCAGTGAGAACGTGCAATATTTGACTCTTTGTTTCGGAGTCATTTACTAAGGATAACAGCCTCCTGTTCCATCCATGCTGCTGCAGATGACAAGATTTCATTCTTTTCTTTGTATGGCTGAGTAATTTTCTTTATCTAATCATTCAATGATGGACACTGAGGTTGATTCCACATCTTTGCAATTGTGAATAGTGCTGTGATAAACATAGGAGTGCAGGTAATTTTTTGATAGAATGATTTCTTTCTCTTTGGGTCAATACCCAGTCATGGGACAAAATGACAATTTTTGAACTTGTTTGTTTAGCAATCTATTTTTCCAGCCATCCAAGAAAAGTATTGTGATGTTTTAACCTTATGATGTGCTATTTTTAATTCTGTTGTTTTTTTCTCAAGAAACAAAGTCAAAGTATTCCTTTAAAATAGGAATATGGTGAATTCCTTTCTTTTCAAACAATTATTATCATGGTGGCTTCATGAGATCTTTGTTGTGCTGTTACAAATACTTTTTTTTTTTTTTTGAGACAGGGCCTTGCTCTATTGCCCAGGCTGGAGTATAGTGGCGTGATGTCAGCTCACTGCAACCTCCGCCTCCCAGATTCAAGCAATTCTCTTGCCTCAGCCTCCTGAGTAGCTGGGCTTACAGGCGCATGCCACCACTCCTGGCTGATTTTTGTATTTTTAGTAGAGACAGGGTTTCGCCATGTTGGCCAGGCTAGTGTTGAACTCCTGGCCTCAAGTGATTCGCCCACCTCAGCCTCCCAAAGGGTTGGGATTACAGGCGTGAGCCACCGTGCCGGGCCAAAATACTCTTATAATGAAAGAGAATCCATGCCCATTCAGACACAGTGTCAATTGAGCCCTTCCAGGTTCCTAACAAACAGAATTTAACAAATGACATTTTAAATTGTATTCCCTCGTAGCACCAGCCATGGCTGACATGCTGCACAACTAACTGGCTGCCCTGTTATCTCCTAGTCTACCCACATGGGACTTGCAACAATTGCAGCTTCCAAGACCCAGGGTCAGGTTGCAAAACTGCATTCATGTGTGATGTCATCCTTCTACCTTGTCTCTCAGTGACGAGCATCCTTTAAAATTCTGCGAATGCAATGGCAATGTTTTTCTTTTTACCTGACAACCTTTAGCTGGCTCTAGCTCACATCCATCAGCAAAGAATGGGAAAGCAGAACATTGAATAAAAACCCAGATCAGACTCTTGATGAAAAATTCCTCTTCTCAAAACACTTACACACTGTTGGTGGGACTGTAAATCAGTTCAACCATTGTGGAGAGCAGTGTGGTGATTCCTCAAGAGTTAAAAGCAGGCTGGGCGTGGTGGTTCCTGCCTGTAATCCCAGCACTTTGGGAGGCCGAGGAGGGTTGATCACTTGAGGTCACGAGTTCGAGACCAGCTTGGTCAACATGGCAAAATCCCGTCTCTACTCAAAAAATACAAAAATTAGCTGGTCATGGTGGCGGGTGCCTGTAATCCTAGCTTCTCAGGAGGCTGAGGCATGAGAGTTGTTTGAACCCGCAAGGCAGAGGTTGTAGTGAGCTTAGATCGTGCCACTACGCTCCAGCCTGGGCAGAGTGAGACTCCGTCTCAAATAAATAAATAAATAGAACTAAAAGCAGAATTACTATGTGACCCAGGAATCCCATTACTGTGTATATAAGCAGAGGAATTAAAATCATTCTACCATAAAGATACATACATGCAAATGTTCATTGCAACACTTCACAATAGCAAAGACATGGAATCAACCTAAATGCCCGTCAATGACAGATTGGATAAAGAAAAAGAATACTGTGCAGCCACAAAAAGGAATGAGTTCATGTCTTTTGCAGGAACATGGATCCAGCGGGAGGCCATTATCCTTGGCAAACTAACACAGAAATGGAAAACCAAATACCACATGCTCTCACTTATAAATGGGGGCTAAATGATGAGAACTTATAAACACAAAGAAGGAAACAGCAGACACCGGGGTCTGCTTGAAGGGGGAGGGTGGGAGGAGGGAGAGGAGCAGAAAATATAATTATTGGGTGCTGAGTTTAATACCTGGGTGATGAAACAATCTGTACAAGAATCACCCATGGACATCTGTCTACCTATGTAGCAAACCTTCATGTGTACTGAAAATAAGAGTTTTTTTAAAAAAGAAAAATAAGAGTTTTGTTTTTGTTTTTGTTTTTTTTAAAGAAAAATTCCTCTTCTTTAAAAGAGAGGAATCTGGCAGGGATGTTTTTGAGGTCCTATAGAGAAAACCAAGTGTATTTACAAAGTGTCATCAAACTTTTACTGAGCACTTGCTGTGTTCTGAAAGCTCTATTAGATACTTGCTATTTACAACAACCCCAGGAAGTGTTTTTATCTTCATCCCCATTTTTTTCGGGGAGATAAAGGGGTGCAGAAGCTGAGGCTTAACCAGGTAAAACCACACACTTAAGCTGACATAGCTCAGAGGCATTGACCTTTAGTACCCAGGAATTCACCTCCAGTATTAACAGCTTCAGGAATTATCTATCTGAACCCTTTTTAAATATTTTTAATTTAATTTGATTTAATTTTTTTTGAGACAGTCTCACTATGTGGCCCAGGCTGGAGTGTAGTGGCATGATCTTGGCTTGTTGCAGCCTCGACTTCCCCAGGCTCAGGTGACCCTCCCGCCTCAGCTTCCTGAGTAGCTGGGACTGTAGGCACGCACCACCATGTCTGGCTAATTTTTGCATTTTTTGTAGAGATAGGGTTTTGTCATGTTGTCCAGGCTGGTTTCCAACTTCTGGGCTCAAGCAATCTGCCTGCCTCGACCCCCCAAAGTGCTGGGATTATAGGTATGAGCCACAGCGCCTAACCTCTATCTGAACTCTTAAAACCAGAAACAGAGCACGGCAGTGTAAAAATACAAAACAAACATTGACAGGAGGAGTAGAGACAGGAGACCTGTGGAGGTTGTTCTGTCCCCAATGTCTTGCCATAATATCTGTCTTGCATATGGATAGAAACCCGTAAAATACAAAGATTGTAGGTGTAGCATGAGGAGATGTCATGTGGCCAATGACGGGGAAATTCTGTCTTTCCCTTCATTAATTGGGCTATTGTGCATGATCTGTTTTGGTTTGCTGAAACTCAGGTTAGAGATAGGAAGCTTGAGCATGTTGGAAGAGCTTTAAACATTCTCGGACCCAGACATCACTCACCTGGTGTCTGGGGTTCACCTTCATACTCCAGGTCATGAAGCAGTTCTGTCCAACGGAACATTCTGCAGTCATGGAAATGTGCTATAATCTGCACAGTCCAATAGCTGGCTAGCTGCTATTGAACACTGAAAACATGGTGGCTAGTGGTGAATAAGGAACTGGATTTTTTTATTTTATTTAATGTTAATTCACTTAAGTCACTTAAATCTAAATAGCTACATGCCATTAGTGGTTATCCTGTTACACACTGCAATCCTAGGACCTGTGGGTTTCTGAAATCCTATGCAAAGTCTTTGCAAATATGAGGATTCAAAGTATATCCTGGGCTCTTGATCAATGAGGATGTGAGCATCTCCAAAACAGAATGATCCCTGCTGGAAACAAGTGAAATGACTTTATCTGTACAGTTGACCCTTGAACAACATAGGTTAGATCTGCATAAGTCCACTAATATGTGGATTTTCTTCCACCTCTGCCACTGCTGAGACAGCAAGACCAACCTCTCCTCTTCCTCCTCCTCGTCAACCTACTCAACATGAAGACATTGACGATAAAGACCTTTATGTTGATCCACTTCTATTTAATGAATAGCAAATATACTTTCCCTTCATTATGATTTCCTTTTATCTAGCTTGCTTTATTGAAACAATACAGTATATAATGAACATAACATACAAAATACATGTTAATCAACTGCTTATGTTATCAGTAAGGCTTCCAATCAGTAGTAGGCTATTGGTAGTTAAGTTTTGGGGAGCCAACAGTTAAGTGCAGATTTTTGACTGGGCAGGGGATCAGTGGCCCTAACCCACATATTGTTAGAGGGTCAACCATACTTGCCAACAGAAGATTGGCCTTATTTTTCTGTGCACCCAGATGGCTTCCCCTCCCCCCAACCCGGAACCTGAATTCGTGGGTTTTATTTTAGAAAATACATCTAATTTTAAAAACTCACACACAAACTGAAAAATCTCTCTTGTGGAATGCATTGGAAAGATTCAAGAGCAGGAACTATGTTACTGTCTGTCTTATGTTCCCAATGTGGTGTCTGAGGCATAGTAGAAGCTTAGTAGCTATAGAGGAAATGAAGGAAGGAAGGAAGGAAGGAAGGAAGGAAGGAAGGAAGGAAGGAAGAGATGGAGGGAGGAAGGAAGGAAGGAAGAAAGGGAGGGAGAAAGGTAGGAAGAAAGAAAGGGAGGAAGGAAGAAAGAAAAGAAGGAAGGAAGGGAGGAAGGAAGAATAGAAGGGAGAGAGAAAGGAAGGAGGAAAGGGAAGGAGAAAGGGAGGAAGGAAGGAAGAAAGGGAAGGAGAAAGGAAGGAAGGAAGAGAAGGAAGGAAATAACAGAGATTCAATGAAATAGGCATCTTGATGTGGTGGTTAACTTTATGGGTTAACTTGACTGAACTACAAAGTGCCCAGAATTTAGTTAAACATTATTTCTGGATGTGTCTGTGAAAATGTTTGCAGATAAGATTAGCAGTTGGTGGACTGCGTGAAGCAGGTTGCCCTCACAGGTGTAGATAGGCATGATTTAATCCATTGAAGGTCTAAATATAATAAAAAGAAGAAAGAAGGGAGAATTCACTCTTTCTACCTGACTGCTTGAGCTGGGACGTCAGTCTTCTCCTGCTCTCAGACTAAAACTCAAACCATTGGCCCTTCTGGAGCTGAGGCCTCTCCACTTGGACTGGAACCCACACCTTCAGCTCTCCTGGGTCTCAGGCCTTCAGACTCAGACTGGAACTCACACCCTTGGCTCTCCTGGGTCTCAGGCCTGTCTCTTATTTAAGCTGCCCAGTCTATGGTATTCTGTTACAGCAGCCCAAAATGGACTAAGACATCTCATAAGAAGAGGAGATGAGGACACACACACACACACACACAGAGGGACGACCACAGGAGGACACATGGAGAAGACGGAGTCTACAAGCCCAGGAGAGAGGCCTCAGGAGCAACCAGCCTTGCCCACACCTTGATCTTGGACTTCCATCCTCCACGATGGTGGGAAAATAAATGTCTGTTGTTGAAGCTCCCCAGCCTTGGGTATTTTATTATGATGCCTCAAGCAGACTGATAAACCATCCATTGTTTGTGGTCCAGTGGGGATTCCAAGTGATGGTTTTGCTTTGTGTAGAATGAAAGAGCCAAGTCCAGGCAAGAAAGTAAATGAGACAATCTCAAGGTCCTAATGGAACATGGGTTCAATTTCTGTCCCATGGATGAAAGGCCTCTGGAGGGCATGTGTCAGATTTGGGGGACGGCACAGGATTCTGCTTCTGAGATGGGTTCTGGGTGTGGAATCCATGAATGAGGGGGTGGAGAAGAAGAGACAGAGTCTGACAGGGCTGACCTGGAACCACTAAAGTAGGCTGAGCTCACCCTTAAGCATCCCTGAGCACTCCAAAATTTTGTCTGTGAAGGAGGCATTTACGCCTATGCTAGCAGACTTGCTGGTCTTAGTGAGATTTAGCTACTGCATCCTGTGAGGAAATATTTACTGTGATTAATCTTTTAATAACACTCCATTTTGATTATACCACCTGAAGCAACTTGCCTCCCAAAACTGTCCTTGTAACCACAGGGTTTATTTATATTTGAAGAATTAAACTAGAATTAAACTAGACAGATTCACACATTCCTGCCTTTGTTGCCTCCTGGATTAAAAATATACTGAGAGCAAAACTATTTCTCCAAAGACTGGAAGTGTCAAAGTTCATGTGCATTCACTTATTGCAAATGGAATCCAAACACTGGATTTTCATCATTCTTTGCTATTTTTGATTAGTTTTTGGCTTGACTTTGCCCCTTTCCTCCCCAACTATCCCAATTTTTTTTTTATTTCTGAAGGCACAACCAAAAAGTAAAAGCAGAAAATGATTTAACAAGATTTCCCTCCTAAGGTATTTTTGTGATCCGAAGTGTCACTGCAGTCATTTTAAATTTATATATTTTCATGAAGAAAAATATATCTTCTTCCATGCATATTAAGATATACTTACAGCCAAATCATAAACTGTGTCTGCTCCAAATGCCAGAGGAATGAAGAAAACAGATTCTTCCCTCTCCAGTAATGTACAAATGCATTACGTTATTTTTATGACTTCTTTTAGCCAACTTTAAAATGACGACATGCAAAGGATATTCAAGTTGGGTAATTAAAATTCTAATAGGTTTGAAGTTTATAGAACTCGTGCATGATACTATTAAGTCATCTTTGACCTACTGAACTCCAAACACGCCTTATCTTCACTTCTCTCAATTTCTTCCCTGCAGTGATCATACCTACATTTGCTGTCATCACTGTATCTGGAATAGTGGCTTTCAGAATTCACTAAGACTCTGGGTCCTTCCAACTCACTTTCTCTAGGGTCTTCACTGTGCCATCTGGGTGCAGACGCATGGACCAAACCACTTTTATTTCAATGTCTTGGTTGGAAACCACAATACTACCCTGCAAACACCTTTAGTGCTCTGGTTCTTTCTCTGATAACAGGATGCAACCTCAATTCTACTTCAACCCCGCCTACCAACTCACCTGAGCTAGATGTTTCTGGAAAAAAATAACACCATGGTGCCAATTTGTCTGTAGTATCATTCTCCCTTAGTAAATTTATTTTTCCCACTTTCTAAAATCATTACAGTAGCCCCTTCTTATCCTTGGTTTTGCTTTCCACAGTTTCAGTTACCTGCGGTCAACCACAGTCTAAAAATATTAAAAGGAATATTCCAGAAATGAACAATGCATAAGTTGTAAAATGAACGCTGTTATGAGAAGCATGATGAAGTTTCACGCCATCTTGCTCTGTGGCCGCAGGGACAGGAATCATCCCTTTGCCAGCACATCCACGCTGTACATGCTACCTTCCTGTTACTCACTTAGGAGCAAAGAGATCACATTCACATAGTCTTCATTACAGCATACTGTTATAATTGTTCCATTTTATTATGTGTTACCTCTATTAATCTCTCACTGTGCCTAATTTATAAATTAACCTTTATCATAAGTATGTATTGTATAGAAAAAAACGTAGTATGTAAAGGGTTATGTACTATCTCCTGGTTCAAGCATACACAGTGGGTTGGGGAAGAGGTCTTTGAATGTATCCCACATAGATAAGAGGTGAACTACTGTCTTTACATCTCCTCCGGGTTGGGGTAGAGGTACATTTGCCAGCCCTGGCTCTCACTTCTGGTCTCAGGTATCATTCTTAGTGCTCTCTGGCACTCTCCACAGCGTCTTGGTTGGAAACACACATTCCTAGTCCATTCTAGGAAGAGTGGGTCCCTCTGGAAATAGCAGTAGTGAATACAAGACAGAGATGCAGTTGCAAGGAGAGCCATCCGGTGCTCACAAACTGAGACAATCGGCAACATTAACTGCATTTGCAAGCTTCATTCCCCTTTGATGTCTAACCAAGTCTATTCACATGTTCCAGGGATTGCAACGTGCACATCCTTGGTGGGTCTTATTCTGCCTACCACCAAGCTAAATGCCCTAAGATCTGATGAGCTAAAGATGGAATTACATGCTGAGAAGCACTGCTTTATTTCTGTTTTAACTTTTGGGTCCAGCCCCTGTTTGGTTCCTCTGAGAGCCAGAAAAAAGCTTACCTCAAAACAGGAAGGCTGGGAAAATCTCACTTAATCAGGACATTTGTCTCAGTGGTAGACAGAATAACACTCACTGAGGATGTTGTTTTAGTGTGTTTTCACACTGCTATAAAGAATTGCCTGAGACTGGGTAATTTATAAAGGAAAGAGGTTTAATTGATTCACAGTTCCACATGGCTGGGGAGGCCTCAGGAAACTTACAGTCATGGTGAATGGTGAAGGAGAACCAAGACACGTCTAAATGGTGGCAAGCAAGAGACAGTCAAAAAGGAGAAAGTGCCACTTATAAGACCATGAGATCTTGAGAGAACCCACTATCACAAGACAGCATGGGGCAAATCACCCCAAGATCTAATCACCTTCCACCAGGTCACTCCCTCAACACCTGGAGATTACAATTCAAGATGACATCTGGGTGGGAACAAAGAGCCAAGCCATATCAGATGTGCACATCACAATCCCTGGAACATGTTAACAGACTTAATTAGATGTCAAGGGGAATGAAGGCTGCAGATGCAATAAAAGTTGCTAATTGGCTGACTTTAAAAAGTGGGAGTTTTATCCTGGAATATCCAGGTAGATTCACTGTCATTAAAAGAGTCCTTAAAAGTGGAAGAGGGAGAAAGAAGAGAGTGCAAAGGAGATTTGACTACCCAAAAAAGGCACAGAGAGATGCACCTTGCAGGCTTTGAAGATGGAGGAAGAAGATCTCTAGAAGCTGAAAAAGGGAAGAAAAAGGATTCTCCCCTAACGTAGAGCATAGCCCTGCTGACACCTTGATTTTAGTCCACTAAGACTCAAGTCAGACTTCTGACCTCCATATCTGCCAGACTAAACTGGTGTTGTTTTGAACCAGTAAGTTTGTAGCGATTTGTTACAGCAGCAAATAGGAGACTTATACACTCGCTTTCATTTCCATTTTTGCAGTTGACATCTAAGTGGTCTCTCTGCATTCTTGCATGTTGCTATTGGGTTAAGTTTTCTTAATGCATGGCTTTTCTTGTTCTCATTCTCAACAACAAAGCAATACAAATCACTTTCAATGGCTTGGAAGGCATGAATTTTCCACAACCTTCTTAGCTGGGCATCCAGTATCCCCAACTGTATTACCATGACCTCCACTTCTAGTGTTATTTCTTACTTCTTCCTTGCACATTTTCTGTGTGTTCCTGGCAGACTGGACAATTTTCTATTCCTCAAACCTGCTCAAGTTTCTGTAAACCAAAAAGTATTTGACATAGATCCCAATCAGCTTAGAAGTTTCTTTTGCCAAGGTTAAGGACATGCCCAGAAGGAATAAACATGGAATCAGAGAAACAGTCTCTGGTCTGTGCCATTCTCCAAAGATGATTCTGAAGCCTTCAGTGTTTAAAGGGGAGAAGTGGGCTTGAAGGGAAAAAGGGCAGGTATGGTCACATTACTGAATCGAAATTGCAAGAGAAAGGGAGCAAGAGGGGCAGTAGTCAAGCATATATTTGTCTCATGTTTAGGAAATTAGCACTTTGCATAAGGTGAACCTAGCTTATGTAGCTACCTGTGGAGATGTTTAACCCTTTATCTGTAGCTATCTGCTTAGGAATGAAAGGAAAGGCATCTTCTTGCATGATTCGACTTTCACCTTGTTCTTTCCTTTTGGAAGAGTGAATTGAGGTCCTGAGTTTTTATGTTTTCTTTCACATTTCATTATGTCCGTGTCTATGTCTGTACCTCCTATATGGCTGGTATTGCCTTTGAATTCTATCTTTTCATAACAAATGTCTATTCATTGATTCATTTCAAGAGGAGTGTAAGGCTATTGTCTCTCACTGTTTTACAGTAACGGCTGTTGTTTTACCTTGCGGTACAGTGTGTGTACATGCCTATGTGTTTATGTACATGCCTGTGGGTTTATGCACATGTGTTATAATGCCATGCCCATTTGACAGTAAACTCTTATAGGATCCTGGGAGATGCATCAGATCTTTAGTAATAAGACACACATGTCAGCTTACATTTCCAAAAGAAGGAAATAAAATGAACATCACATTTCATGTGATGCAATCTTTTTATCCTTAATCCTTGAAAAAAGCCTACCAGCAGATGGAAACATCTCTATTTTCAGAGTGATGAAGCCGGCATCCACAATGTATGTGTACCGTTTAGGACTCATGATCTAGTGAGTGATCAGGGTCAGACTCAAACCCGGTGTTTTGAGTCTGAGCTTTTGGTTGCACCACTTTTTTTATACATAATGAGCCCCGAGGAAATATTCTTAGATTGGTTTGTTTCATCAGGTAAATCTCAGCCATTCTGAAAAAAGTTCAGGGCAAGTTATTGAAAGCCTGTCCTTGTTCTGTCCACTAGGATTGAGTCAGAAAGGAAAAAAAATGTGATGGGCTTAATTGTATCCCCCTAAAATTCATATATTGAAGTCCTCAACTCCAGGACATCAAAATGTGGCTGTATTTGGAGACAGGGTCTTTAAAGAGGTGATTAAGGTAAAACGAAGTCATTAGGGTGAACCCTGATCCAATGTGACTGGTGTCCTCATAAGAGGAGGAGATGAGGACACAGACACACACAGATGGACGACCACGTGAGGACACAGGGAGAAGATGGCATCTACAAGCCCAGGAGAGAGGCCTCAGGAGGAACCAGCCCTGCCCAAACCTTGATCTCCAACTTCCAGCCTCCAGGGCTGTGCGAGAATAAATGTCTGTTGTTTAAGCCACCCAGTCTATGCTATTCTGTGATAGCAGCCTGAAATGGACTAAGACATCTCATTAGAAGAGGCAATGAGGACACAGACACACACGGAGAGATGACCCTGTGAGGGCCCAGAGAGAAGACGGTGTCTACGAACCAAGGAAAGAAGTCTCAGGAGGAACCAGCCCTGCCCACACCTTGATCTCACACCTCCAGCCTCCAGGACTGTGGGAGAATAAATGTCTGTTTCTTAAGCCCCCTGGTCTGTGGACCTTTGTTACAATGGCCTCAGCTGACTCATACAATGGTCTTGTGTGGCCCTGTACTCAGGACAGCTAGGGTCTGTGGTATCTTTACAGAGAGAGAACTGTTTACAGACTGCATAGCCAGTCCTGAACTCATTCACTGCTTTACTTAGGTTACTTGCCACTGTCTTTGTTTTGGGAAACAAAAAATCACAGAGGTGACTTTACTGAAACCTCAGTGCAAACTGTTTGCAAATGGTCTCTTACTGGGTAATTGACAGGACTCAGCATAAATGGGAAATAGAAAGTCTCTGACACATGAGCCACTTTTGGCTAACGTTTCTAGCTCTGGCCATCTGGGAATTCCAGGGGGCATCAGAATAATCTTGGGGAGGGTGCCCTGGTAGAGTAATTGATCCCAAAGTCTTGGCTGGGTCCTGAGAGACTTTAAAACTGGCAAGCCACCTAGATGCAGAATCGTTATTATAAAACTGAAAATGGAATTAATTATCAATGGTATGCACTCAAGACATACTTAGAGTGCCCTTCAATTAGTGGCAAATATTTTGCTTAAATTTCTGTCCAAAATGTGGATTGCCTTCTGGAATGTGGGAGGGATGAGAGTTACAAATGCGTAGTTGTGTCCATGCTCACATCCTACACAATCATTAGCTGATCAGACAGAGAATTAGCTTTCCAGACTTCCTAAATTTTTCAATAGGACTCTAAAAATACAGAAAGCCCACATGTATTTTCATTCTTATGGAATGTTATCCTTTTGAAAAGTATTGCCCAAGAGTGGAGGCAGCAGAATGACTGACTTCTGGAAAACAGGCGCCTCTAGCAGGGTAGTTTTTCATCGACTGTGACTTCTTCATGGCTGCCCTGTCTCCACCTGGAATTCATGGAGAGCCCACGTGGCTTTAACTTCACCATCATAAACCATAAGGCACAGACATCCCTAATGCAGTCTCGTCACATGGAAAAAACCATGTGAGAGGATGGATATATTACATTTGTATTTTAATAATATCTATATGTATCCCATAACAGCATGTTGTAAACCTCACATATACACAATCAAATTTATTTAAAGAATTTTAAATGAGAACATTTGGTATTTGGTTTTCATGTGGATAACCTTTCCCTAGAAACAAAGGTGGAAAATGTGAGTTGAACAGACAAAGAATTCTGTGAGGCTATTTTGAGAAATAACTGAATGGCTGCATCTGTTGCAACATTGCCACCTTTAATTTTATCGATTAGTTACTTTTTTTTTTTTTTGAGACAGAGTCTTTCTCTGTTGCCCAGGCTGGAGTGCATTGGCATGATCTTGGCTCACTGCAACCTCTGCTTCTCAGGTTCAAGTGATTCTCCTGCCTCAGCCTCCTGTGTAGCTGTGATTACAGGCGCACGCCACCACGCCTGGATAATTTTTGTATTTTTAGTACAGACGGGATTTCGCCATGTTGGCCAGGCTGCTCTCAAACTCCTGACCTCAAGTGATCTGCCCACCTCGTCCTCCCAAAGTGCTAGGATTACAGGCATGAACCACTGTGCCTAGCCGATTAGTTACTTTTGAAGCTTGATATTCAAATGTATATACCATATAATACTTAGAAATAATAAACTACTTAGAAAAATAAAATAAAAAGAGGAACTGGCCGTTAGGTGTCTACAAGCATTTGCAAATGTCACAACAGTCTCTGTAGTGTTACTGGTTTGGTGACCATCTTAAATCAAGATATCCCAGAGGATGGAGTGAGCTTCAATTGTGAATGCAGCTAGAATCTCCAAACCTAAAAAAGAATATCACTAACTTGAGAGGTCCTATGTATCCCAATGGACATTTGGATCTGTGTGTGTGTGTGTGTGTGTGTGTGTGTGTGTGTGTGTGTGTGTGTATGGGTGTGGGTGGGTAGATGTATGTCTGAGTTCTAGGGAGCAAGGATGATAACATGGTTGGTGAAGGAACTTATTATGGGCTGAATTCTGTCCCTAGAAATTCATATGCTGAAGTCCTAATTCCTAGTGCCATGGAAGATGGTTGTATTTGGGGATTGGGTCTTTCACGAGGTAATTAAGTTACATGAGGTCATTAGGCTGGACCCTAATTCAATACGACTCTTGGCCTTATGGTATCGTCTAAATGTTTGTGTCCCCCTAAGATTCAACGTTGGAATTCTTACTCCCAGGGCTCAAGAAGAGCCTCATGAATGGAATGAGTACCCTTACAAAAGGGACCTCGGAGAGCTCCCTCGCCCCTTCCACCATGTGAGGACCCATGAGAAGGTGCCGTCTATGAACCAGGAAGTGGGGCCTCACCAGACGCTGAATCCGCCATGCTTTTAACTTGGATTTCAAGCCTCAAGAATGGCAAGCAATAAATGTCTGTTGTTTATAAGCCTCCCAGTCTACAGTGTTCTGTTGTAGGAGCCTGAAATGGACTAATACACTTTATGAGAAGAGAAGATGAGGACACAGACACACACAGAGAGACGACCTGGTGAGGACACAGGGAGAAGATGGAGTCTACAAGCTCAGGACAAAGGCCTCAGGAGGAGCCAGTCTTGCTCACACTTTTATCTCAGACTTCCAGCCTCCAGAACTGTGAGAGAATAAATGTCTGTTGTTTATAATCCACCCGGTCTATGGTATTCTGTGATAGCAGCCTGAAATGGACTAAGACATCTCATAAGAGGAGGAGATGAGGACACAGACACACACAGAAGGTTGACCCTGTGAGGACACAGGGAGAAGACGGTGTAGGCAAGTCCAGGAGAGAGGCCTCAGGAGGAGCCAGCCCCACCCACACCTTCCTCTGGGACTTCCAGACTCCAGGACTGTGAGAAATAAATGTCTGTTTTTTAAGCTTCCCAGTTTATGGTTCTTTGTTATGTAAGCCTGAGCAAAGTAATACAAAGCAGATGGTTTTTGTGACACAAAATACTGATGGCAATGATCTTGCTATTAATGAAGGGATCAGGAGGATGAATACGATAAATATTGTTTGATGTTTCAGCTTCCGGATATTAGTGGCATGCAGATTTAGACAAAGCGTGTTTTCTTTAGCATTTTGGCCCCATCTTTTATAGGAGGCACAGTTTCCAAAGAGGGATAAAGAGGATGAATGGGAGGAAAAGGAGGGAAGCAGGAATAATTGAGAAAAAAGCAAAAGCTGGCAGAAGAAGAGATGTAAGGAGAGAGAATCTATAGTTCAATTGTATTCTTACAACTGGATAATTGAGCTATTTTCCAAATGCAATGTTATTTATATGTAATGGAGAAAAACAAGAAAAAAGCGTTCCAAGATTAAGTGGCATTCCTCATTGCCCATAAAAAAATAAATTAGAGATAGCTTTGATAGATACCAGGATACTGTACCACCCTTCACCCACCATTTGGGACTTACTGCTTATAGTAGTTGACAGCTTTAAGATCATTTCAGCTACCAGGATCTAATTTGTCTGTCTGGGATAACTTTTTCCTAGAAAACAGATGGAAAATGTGAGTTTCACAAACAGTAAATCTGTGAGCTTCTTTGAAAACTCACTGAATTGATGCTTCTATTGCAACATTGCTACTTTCAATTTTATTGATTAGTAACTTTTGAAGCTGGATATTCAAACGTACATGCCATATGATACTTTACATGGGAAACGTGGGGAGCCAATAATTTCATTTATGAAGTTAATATTTACTGAAAAATGAAAATGTATGGTCTTAGGCCAACAGTTGCTATGCTCAGTCTCACTTGCCATTAACGAAGGGATCAGGATGAATACTATAAATACTGTTTGATGTTTGAGCTTCCAGATATTACTAGCGTGCGGAGTAAAATATTTTTTATTGTTATCCTTAACAATACACTTTGTTAAAGTCTAATTTCAATTTGCAACATATTTTCAAACTTCTGCCTTTTTTATGATGAAAATTTTACACTTAAATATTTATGTCTCAATATTCTATAAGAAGAAAAATAAGGATTAAAGATAAAGCAGATAAGAAAAGGCATAAATTCAAAGATTCATGATTTACTTTACTCAAAACTGCTCAGGAAATGGAATTATACAAATACTAATATATACTGTCGTATGTTGTCTGAGCTACTATAACAAAATACCACAGACTGAGAGGCTTATAAACAAAAGACACTTATTGCTTACATTTTTGGAGGCTGGAAGTCCCAGATCAAGGTGTGGTAGATTCAGTGTCTAGTGAGGGTTTCCTGGTTCCTAGATGGAGCCTTCTTGCTGTGTTCTCACATGGTGGAAGGGGCGAGGGAGCTATCTGGGATCCCTTTTATGAGGGCACTTATCCCATTCATGAAGCCCCACCCTCACGACCTCATCACCTTCCAAAGGCCCCGCCTCCCAACACCATCACCTTGGAGATGAGGGTTCAACACATGAATTTTGGGGAGATACATTCAGTCCATAGCATGTACCCACATAAACAAATATATATGTTTATATGTATATATGTGTATTCACATCTTATAGACATATGAAATAAATGTTATGTATATGTGTATGTGCTATGTGTGTGTGCATATATATAACATAAAGGGTATATTCCAAAATATTGCCCAATTTTTATACATAAAAATTATATTGAATCAAATTTAAAGAACATTCTTCTACATTGTTTAGTATAAATTAAATATTTTAAAATTAAAAGAAACAGATCAATTTTAGTTAAAATAACAAAATCTTCCCCAAAGGTGACCTCTATGTGATGTGGGCGGGCTTGTGGGAAAACACATATTTATGGCACAGATTTTTCTATCCATGTGGCTCTGCATACACCCCTACTGAGCCCAGAGATACTTGGTCTTGCTGGTATACCAATGGATTATCTCTAAAATCTCCATTTCTTTGACTCTTTCCTTGAGAGCAAGGAAAGTAAGCTATCTGTTTATCTGTTTATTGGTTGCTTTTTCAGTTCAACGATATTATAAATGACCATAAAGGATCCCAGGAACTTATTATTTGTTCATGCGATCTATAGGGCATTTAATAGCTCCTGCCTGATATTCCTGCAGACTCTATTTTTGGTATTCTTGGAAGACAGAAAGTTCATTTTTCTCTTTTATTGAAAAGTTCTATCGAAATCCTTTTACGTGCATTTTTCCTTTGTAAGACCAATAAAAGGTAGATTTATTATTCTACCCGCTTTTTCCCAGCACAGTACAACAACAAAAGTTGTACCAACAGTTAACATTAAAGCCACAGGCCTATTTTAGGGAAAACTGCAGAATATCTCTTTCAGTCCTTGTGGGTGGGATGGGAAGGGGCCAAGTAGTTTTCTCTTTTGTCAAAAAGAGATTTTCTTTACAGAGACATTAGATCATTCAAATCAACCATTTTGGAACACTGAATTTGCTTTTAATGAAAAACAAGTTTTTGTTTGTTTTCATTGTTAACTGATGTGGTAAATGAATTTGGCATCCCCTTTGGGCAAAGTGGAAGATTGGCACATGGTACCAATAAGTGAGTTAATAAATGATTTTTAAAATGTAAATGAGTAAATAAATTAATCCAGAAACATCATTATTTGTCAATGTTCCTGTTAGTAAGTCTTCAACAACCATATGTTCACTGAAACCAATGCTGAATTATTCTCTGGGGAAATTTTTTCCCCACCAGAGGTATCCCCAGTCCCTTTTCTTGCAAGATTGCGTGGTGGTATCCATTAGATGCAACATTTTGCTAGAGAATTCCATTTTCATGAGAAGACACAATGCTAACTTTTGCTGTCTTAGTTGTCGTCAATATCTGGACTAGGTTCTTGCTGAAGATGCTAACTTTGAAATTTCTACTCTTCAATCTTCTTTAGACTCTAAGGTAAACTACATTAGTAATGAAGGGTTGTATGAGGGATACTCAGTCTCTCTATATACATATTCTAAATTTTACCCTGGAGTCAACTCATAACATTAAAAGGCTTTAGAGTTAAGAAAAAAGCTTCAGACATGGAATTCAATGTTTCTAAGTCACTCTAGCATCTAATAAGACATTTCTTTTGCAAAGTTTAAGCTACCTGTAGTTGGATATTGACTTCAATTTGAATAATTTTTTTTAAACATCTAAGGAACTTGCTGGGTTTGGGACAGGATTCATTAATATGCTGTATGCTGCAACCTTGGCCCATGTATGCATACATATTATCCTTATATCCATCTGTCTTAGGGTTTAACATGGTGTTCACTGATGACTTAAATGAGTCTACTTTCATGTTATGGAGTTATAGCCAAGCTAAATACAGAGACAAACATTTATCCTAGTGTTGGTGGAATTCTACATACAAGTGTGCGCATGCACGCACACACACACACATACACCACTCTCCTTTTTAGGTACTCTGTCTTACAGGAATCTCTCTGTGACTTTGTCATTGCTGCAATTGGGAAAATAGAATAATTAATACACATAATTTAAGGAGTTCAACAGTAGCATCGGTTGATCAAAGTATCTCCCATTTCCAAATTAATCATTGCCCTTGAGCAGAGAAGAAATGCTCCTTAGTGTTTTCCAACTGCCCCATTCCCTGCCAAGCATCTTGACCCCAAGTCTTGGTGGCTTGAGGAAAAACATGACAGCTTGCTTCACAGGCTGAGGTCATACAATGAATAACACAATTATTAGGGTGAATGTAATTGGAGGTAAGAAATGCATTGAGAAGAATCATTTACTCTCAGACTTTCAGTGTACAGAAGTGATAAAAACCTGAGTAGTAGAACATTATTCAATTAAACATGGTCCCATGAGCTACATAAGGAACCTCTTCAGACATATTCATGCACTGTGCTGTGTGAGTCACTCAAGCACATGCTTTGCTTTTCAGAATCAGTAGGAGAAGCCAGAATGGAAACTCCTGAGGGATAGAGTTTCCTATTTAACATTCTCATCCAAGACAAGCTTCCTAGCTGCTAAGTCTGTAGATAGCTCAGCAGTTGTGGTGCTCATATCCATTTGTTCATGGGTATGGGTGATGTGCCGATGCTCTTCCAGGCAGAATACTCAATGAAGGCAATAAGGGAGTGAACAAAATGAACAAAGCATGCTCCTGGAATGCATGGTTTAGTGGAGGCAGACAGTAATTAAAAAAATCAGACAAATAGCTGTATCATTATAGACTGTGGTAGGTACTATGAGGGAAATAAATATGATGCCAGGAGAAATTGTAACAAAGGGAATGAACTAGTTCAGGAGGTCACAGATAAATTCTGCATGCTCCAAGTAGAAGACACAGCATGGCAAAGGGTCTGCAGCAGGGGTAGGTAGGGCTAGAGAAAATCTAGGTTTTCAGGGAAGGTGAAAAGTAGAGAGAAGTGAGAGCCAAAACCAGGCAAAGCAGAGCATCTTGAGGGCCATCAAGAATGACATCCATTGTAAGAGCAATGGCAAGCAGTTAAAAGGATGAAGGCACACCTGTAATCCTAGCACTTTGAGAGGCCGAGGCAGGTGGATCACCTAAGGTCAGGAGTTCGAGACCAGCCTGGCCAACATGGTGAAAGCCCGTCTCTACTAAAAATACAAAAAAAATTAGCTGGGCGTGGTGGCATGTGCCTGTAATCCCAGCCACTTGGGAGGCTGAGACAGGAGAATCACTTGAACCTGGGAGGCGGAGGTTGCAGTGAGCAGAGATCGTGCCACTGCACTCCAGCCTGGGCAACAAGAGTGCAAACTCTTCGAGATGTAAAATAGATAAATAAATAAATAAATAAATAAATAAATGGATGAAGGAAGGAGGAATACCAGGTCTACAGGTGGCCATTTAGGAAGCAGATGAAGCGTCCAGGTCAGAGGCCAAGGTAGTTTCCACCAGATGGTTGGTGATAGAAAAGGAGAAATGCAGACAAATGAGAAACATCTATGAGGATTGGAGATAGATTGATTGCAAGGAGAAAATGAAGACCTCTAGATTCTTGACTTGTGGAACTGGACGTGAAAGGCTGGGACACAAGTTTGTTCTTTGTTCTTGTGTTAGTCTGTTTTGCATTACTGTGGAGGAATACCTGAGGCTGGGTGGTTTAAAGAAAAGAGGTTTATTTGGCTCACAGTTCTGCAGACTACAAGAAGCTTGGCACTGACATCTACTTCTGGTGAGGACTTCAGGCATCTTCCCGTCATGACAGAAGGCAAGGGGAGCTGGTGTGTGTATAGAACACATGGCAAGACAAGAAGCCAGATACAGATACCAGGCTCCCTTAAACAACCAGCTCTCACATGAACCAACAGAGCCAAAACTCACTCATTACCAGGGAATGGCACCAAGGCATTTATGAGGAATCCACCCCTGTGACCCAAATACCTCTCACTCAGCCCCACCTCCAACATTGGAGATGAAATTTCAACATGAGATTTGGAAGGGAAAAATACCCAAAGAGTATTAGGCATTGATAAGTGCAATGACCTTTGAGATATCTGAGAGGAAATGTTGAAAGGACTTGGATATATGGGTCTGGAGTATGTAGACAAGATCTGAACTGGAAACATACATTTGGAGTGACTGATCTACACACGTTGATAGAAGTCAGGGGCAGAGATGGAAAAACTTACAAAAGGTGAATAAAATAAGAGGAAATAGTCCAGGAGAAGGTTTTGAGGTGCTCCAACATTCAATTGTCTGTTGAATTGTGAAGGTCAATTGCATCCAGTGGATTGAGTGATTTAATTGAATTATGGTGAGCTTGCAGAGAGCTGCGATTAAGTCATAGGATAGATTTCAGACTGAAATTGCCTTCGCAACATTATAACTGAGGGAAATTATGACAATGAAAGAGATCAGACCTAAATGACTCCATCTTGCTTCTAACCTTTAAATTGTCCTCGTTCATTTCTGGGCATAGACTGAACTAACTTTGGGAAGGAATTCAGTTCATGGTTTGAATCTGAAATAAAATTGAAAATAGCCTTTTCCCCAAAAAGACCCCCTTCTTGATTGGGGACCAGTCTGCCTTTGCAGGACTAACAAATTAGCTACAAGATTAGAAATTACAGTTTAGGGGTCATGCAGCTTCTGGCTCCAAGAGTCTGAACCTCCCCACATTGCCTCTGGGGGTAACATCACTATTGTCAAACCTGAGATCAGTGCTTGAGATATTTTGCAGCCCCTACACTTGATGCATCGGCTGACACCACCCAGACTAGTAATCTGGCTCAACCAGTTCTGCCATCCCACCCAGGAACAGAAAACAGCAAGAAAACCTCACTTTGACCCACTACAATTCCATCTCCTGACCAATAAGCACTCTCCACTTCCCAAGGCCCAGCTGACCAAATTATCTTTAAAAACTCTGATCCCCGAGGTTGCAGTGAGCTGAGATTGCGCCACTGCACTTCAGTCTAGGCAACAGAGTGAGACTCTCTCTCAAGAAAAAAAAAAAAAGGGATAAAGGAAGCATTTTGGGATACGGATATGTTCATGACCTTGATTGTGGTGATGATTTAATGGGTGCAAAAATTATCTAATTGTACATTTTAAATATATGCAGTTTCGTGTATGTCCATTATACCTCAATAAATTTTTTTTTTAAATAAACAACTCTGATCCCCAAATGCTCAGGGAAACTGATTTGAGTAATAATAAAACTCTGGTCTCCCACATGGCCGGCTCTGCATGAATTACTCTTTCTCCATTTCAATTCCCCTGTCTTAATAAATCGTCTCTGTCTAGGCAGCGGGCAAGGTGAACCCATTGGGAAGTTACAAGATTAGAGTGAGCCAGAAATAAAGGGAATGGAGACTTCAAGTATCCACAACTCAAAGAATATTGCTAATGTTCATTTCTTCTGTTTCCCCATCATCTTATGTCATTTACATTTGGTATCTCATATCTTATATCATCAGAAAGAAACTGCTTGCTTCTTATTATTTTTCTTACCTGTATATATATTATTGATGAAAAGAGTCAAACTCTGTAAAATATTTGAAGAGATTTATTCTGAGCCAAATATGAGTGGCCAATGGCCAGTGACACAGCCCCAGGAGATCCTGAGAACATTGCCCAAGGTGGTCAGGCTACAGCTTGGTTTTATACATTTTAGGGAGATATGAGACATCAATCAATACATGTAAGATGTACATTGATTTTGTTTGGAAAGGTGGGACAACTGGAAGTGGTGGCTTCGAGGTTATAGCAGGAAGATTCAAAGGTTTTCTGATTGGCAATTGGTTGAAAGAGTTCATCTAAAGACCTGGAATCAATAGAAAGGAAATGTCTGGGTTAAGATAAGGAGTCCTGGAAAAGGGAAAGAGATTCTCTACAGAATGTAGATTTTCCCTCACAAGAGACAGCTTTGCAGGGCTATTTCAAGATATGGCAAAGAAACATATTTGGGGTTAAAATATTTTGATTTCCTTTCTTAACTGTCATATGATATTATGCCAGAGTCAGGTTGGAAAGTAAGCCACGTTATACAGCGTTAAATAAAACCCCTCTCAGGAGACTTTATGATTTGTAGGGCATGACTCCCGAGACCCCTTAGATAGGAATTTTGGCAAGAGAAGAAAAAAGGTCAGAGTTTTGTCTTCAATAAGGTTTCAATTCAGTAAGAAATTGTGCATTACATTTCACCGACTGAAGTACAATCTAGATATCTCTTATCTCCCCCCAAAAGAGTTTTTTGTTGTTGTTGTCCTTGAAAGCCTGGAAGAGAGATAATTAATACGCAAAGATAGATAACGTCCATTTTCTAAGAATTTCCAAAAGTCACCAAGCCTATGAAAAGCAGAACCATTCCTGAAAATACATATTCAAAATGTTGGAAAAAGAATTATAATAGATTCCAGAAGAAGTCAGGAGAATCCCCTGCCACCCAAACAAGCCTGTTCAGCTGCCCAGCTTGCATGTGGGAAGCAGTTTTGTTTCTCTGGATGTCAGCATTTCTCTGCACATAGGCCTAGCTGCAAAAGCCATTTCCGCCCTCAGCTGGATGAAAGGGCCAGACCACGTTGAAGGACATCTCCTCCAGATACTCCGGCCACCGTCCTGGGTGTTCAGTGTGTGGTCAATAGTCAATCTTCCTGGGCGAGGGAAAGGAGACAGACAGTGTGAACTAGCCAGGTGAGAGCAGGGAGGAGTCCCACAGAAGGTGGTGACAGGCTCTTCTTTCCTGAAGGAACACAGCTAGGCTGAGATTTTTACCTAGTGGTCGGTTGGTTTCTCGGAGGCCACCGGAAATGTTGCAGGTGAGAATTTGGCTGCTGCTGGAGGGAGCAAGTTTCTGGAGAGGAAATTGCCCTCCCACGTGGGGGATAAAGGATGGAAGGAAGTGTATCAGAAGCCCCAGGGGCTGGCTGAGGAGGAAGAACTCTAACAGCAGGGCAGGAAATCTGCAGTCAGAATTGCAGTTGGTTTCTCCCCGATCTTCTCTCTCTTCCTACTCTTGTTCTATCACCTCCTTGGCCCCAAAGCCTCTCTGCCTTGTCATTTCCCATCCTTCCCTCCCATGCCCTCTTCTCCCACATCGCTTGCTCAACAATCTATCCATCGTCCTTGCCTTGCTTTCTCAGAGAAACACATTGCGTTCAGTGGATCACTCATTCTGCTTTATCCCTGTGTCCTTTCTGGGAGGATATTTTCTTTAAATACAGGACTGTTAAACCTTGGAAGATTTGTTGCAGGAAAAGGGTCCTCATCCAGACCCCAAGAGAGGGTTCTTGGATCTCATGCAAGAAAGAATTCGGGACAAGTTCATAGAGTACAGTGAAACCAAGTTTATTAGCAAAGTAAAGGAATAGAAGAATGGCTACTTGGTAATGGATATGCTAAACGAGGGGTGGATTATTCATGCCTCCCCTTTTTAGACCATGTAGGGTCTTCCTGAGGTTGCCGTGGCGTTTGTAAACTGTCACGGTGCTGGTGGGAGTGTAGCAGTGAGGACAACTAGAGGTCACTCTCGTGGCCATCTTGGGTTTGGTGGGATTTGGCTGGCTTCTTTACAGCAACCTGTTTTATCAGCAAGGTCTTTGTGACCTGTATCTTATACTGACCTCCTGTCTCATCCTGTGACTTCTAAGTCTGGGAATGCAGCCCAGTAGGTTTCAGCCTCATTTTACCTAGCTCCTATTCAAGATGGAGTTGCTCTGCTTCACACGTCTCTGACAGAGTCATACTTAGTGAAGTGTCAAGATTTCACAGCTGAGGAGAGAGGTTGTGTGGACTTAGGAAATGTTTCTGGGCAGCTTAAAGGGGCCAGAACAAGTGGCCCCCGAATTGCCCTGAGACCTGGGGCTGGCTCTGTGAGACCCTGAGTAATGTTGAACAGATTTTTACATCGAGATGAATATCAGCACTTCTTCAGGTCGGTCAGAGGTGAGGAGGATGAGAGGATGAATGCATTTCAAGTCTGAGTCATAGCTTTGAGGGCTTCAATTCTATGAACCTTTAATCTAACACAACAGACCTTATTGCTTTAAGACATGGCTCTGAACTCCAATGTTCATGTATGTGTTAGTCTTCTGGGGCTGCCATAATGAAGTCCCACAGAATGGGTGGCTTAAACAAAAGGAATTTATTTTGTCAGGGTCTTAGAGCCTGGAAGTCCCAGACGAAGGTGTGGACAGGGCTGGTTCCTCCTGAGGCCTCTCTCCTTGGCTTGTAGACATCATCTTCTCCCTGTGTCCTCACAGAGTCATTCTTCTGTGTGTGTCTGTGTCCTCATCTCCTCCTCTTATGAGATGTCTTAGTCCATTTCAGGCTGCTATAACAGAATACCATAGACTAGGTGGCTTGTAAACAACAGACATTGATTCTCCCATAGTCCTGGAGGCTGGAAGTCCCAGATCAAGGTGTGGGCAGGGCTGGTTACTCCTGAGGCCTCTCTCCTGGGCTTGGAGACACCATCTTCTCCCTGTGTCCTCCAAGGGGTGTCCTTCTGTGTGTGTCTGTGTCCTTATCTCCTCTTCTTATAAGGACCCCAGTCATATTGAATTAGGGCCCACCCTAATAACCTCATTTTACCTTAATTACCTCTTTGGAAACCCCATTTTCTGATATAGTCACATTTTGAGCAACTAGGGGTTAGGACTTCAACATATAAATTTTGGAGGGACTCAATTCAGCCCATAGCAGTGGACTAATGCCAGCTCAGTACCTCCAAAGCTCTGCAGCCCTAGTTCATTGTGTACATTCTCAAAGCCCCTTTTTCCTTACTTGTAAAATGAGGTTACTCATGGCAATCAATTTAACTCCATAGAACTGTTTGGAAAATTCCTGGATATTAACAAATGTTCAATATATGTTAGCTTTTACTACATCACTAATCAATTTCTTCCAAACACTTATATACTCTTGGTGGGAATGTAAATTAATACAATCTCTGTGGAAAACGATATGGAGATTTCTCAGAGAAGTAAAAATAGAACTACCATTCCATCCAGCAATCTTTCTACTGGGTATCTACCCAAAGGAAAATAGATCATTATATCAAAAAGATACCTGCACTCATATGTTTATCACAGCACTATTGACAAGAGCAAAGTCATGGAATCAACCTAAGTGTCCATCATTGTAGGACTGAATAAAGAAAATGTGGTACACATATATTGTGGAATACTATTCAGCCACAAAAAAGAATGAAATCATGTCTTTTGCAGCAACACAGATGGAATTGGAGGCCACTATCTGTAAGTGAAATAACTCAGAAACAGAAAGTCAAATACTGCACGATCTCTCTAATAAGTGGGAGCTAAACAATGTATACACATGGACATGAAGATGAAAATAATAGATAATAGATACTGGGGACTCCAAAAGGTGGGAAGGTGGGAAGCAAGTGAGGGTTGAAAAACTACCTGTTGTGTACAATGTTTGCTATTTGTGTGATGAGTTCACTAGAAACCCAAGCTCACCATTACATAATATATCCATAAAACAAACCTGAACATGCACCACCTGAATTTAAAAAATTACAAAGGCAAAATAAACCAACAATATTGTATTTTAGTTGGTTTCTTTTTGTAAAGATAGTTAGATGCTTTTTCCTAAAATATCACTGTATTACAAAAACTTACACAGAGAAAAAAAAAAATTCTTCCAAATGCAAGCAAGTCAGCTTCTGCCTGGTGAAAGAAGCTTCTACTTGGTGAAAGAAGCTTTCTCGTTGGCATTTTCCTTGTAGCTATCTATCTGGAGAAGAGTTTTGGTGTATGATATGGTTTGGATCTATGTCCCCATTCAAATCTCTTGTTGAATTGTAATCCCTAGTGTTGGAGGTGGGGCCTGGTGGGAGGCAATTGGATCATGAGGATGGTTTCTAATGGTTTATCACCATCCCTCTAGTGCTGATATGGTTCTCACAAGATCTGGTTTTTTAAAATTATGTAGCATCTCCCCATCTCTTTCTCTCTCTCGCCCTCCTGCTCCAGCCATGTAGAACTTGCCTGCTTCCCCTTCACCTTCCACCATGATTGTAAGTTTCCTGAGGCCTCCTTGGAAGTAGAAGCCAACATGCTTCCTGTACAGCCTGCAGACCCATGAGCCAATTAAACCTCCTTTCTTTATAAATTACCCAGTCTCAGGTAGTTCTTTATGGCAGTGTAAGAACAGACTAATACAGTGTAGTTCTTACACTGCCTAGCAGAACTTGAGTCTATTCTAAGGTCTTTCCATTAGAAAACTCAAGGACCAATTAATGTCTCTGTCCTTTCATGAGAAGATAATAACATCATTGGGTGTTGTTGCATGTTGCTTAGGTTAACACTGGCAAGAAGTGTGATTTTCATTATAAATGGAAGCGGGAAGAGCTCCTAAAAGTTGTGTTAAAGGCTCTGCCATAAATGCAAGTTCATCTTTGCAACTCTAAAATGTATTAAGACCTGATGTAAGAATAAGACTCTTCTGTCTCAGTTCAAATGAGTCACTACTGTAAGATACAAAACATACCAATGCAATTCGGATCATTACCATGCTCAGAATTTACAAAGAAGATATAAACTTTTCCTCCTGGGTGAGATGCAGTCTGTATGGAAGAGAAAACTGGTAATTCATACAAAATATGTATTGAGCCAATTCTTAGAAATAATATCTAGTCACTTAAAGAATTCAAGAGTACATCCAGAAAGATGCAATAGGTTTGGACAGTGGCTCATGCCTGTAATCCCAGTACTTTGGGAGGCTGAGGTGGAAGGATTGCTTGATGCCAGTAGTTTAAGACCAGCTTGGGCAACACAGAAAGACTTTGTCTGCACAAAAAATAAAAAGAATGTTAAAAACTTAGCCAGGTGTGTTGGCATGTGCCTGTAGTCCTAGAGCCTCAGGAGGCTGATGCGGGAGGATCGTTTGAGTGCAGTAGTTTGAGGTTGCAGTGAGCTATGTTTGTGCCACTGCACTCCAGCCTGGGCAACAGACTGAGATTCCCATCTCTGTTAAGAAAAAAAAGGTCCAATAAGAGTGTGGACAATAACATTGCAGAGAATGTTGGCTCAGGGTGACACAGATGGATTCACATGATAACAACTGTGTTAAAAAGAAATAAATATAAAAATTATGAAAAATTTGATTTCTATTGGTGTCTTAGTCCATTTTCTGTTACTTATAACAGAATACCTGAAACTGTGTAATTTATAAGAAAAAGGAATTTACATCTTAAAGTTATGGGGCTGTGAAGTCCAAGGTTGAGGAGGGGCATCTGTTGAGGGCCTTCTTGCTGGTGGGGACTCTCCACAGAGTCCCTGGGGCAGCACAGGGCATAATATGGTGAGAGGACTGAGGGTGCTAGTTCAGGTCTCTCTTCCTTTTCTTAAAAAGCCACCAGTCCCACCCCTGGGAAAACCCGTTAATCTATTAACCCATTAATACATGGATGGTTTAATCTATTTAGGAGGGCAAAGTCCTCATGACTCAATTACCTGTTAAAGATTCCACCTCTCAATACTGCCACATTGGCGATTAAGTTTCAACATGCGTTTTTTTGTTTGTTTGTTTGTTTTGGTGTTTTGTTTCTTAATAGAGACAAGGTCTTGCTCCATTACCCAGGCTGGAGTGCAGTGGTGAATCACAGCTCACTGCAGCCTTGAACTCCTGGGTTCAAGCCATCCTCTCATCTCAGCCTACTTACTAGCTGGGACTATAGGTGCACACCACCACACTTCATTAATTTTTTATTTTAGTTTTTGTAGAGATGAGGGCTCGCTATGTTGGCCAGGCTGGTCTCAAACTCCTGGTCTCAAGCAATCCTCCCACCTCAGCCTCCCAAATTGCCGGGATTCCAGGCATAAGCCACTGTGCCCATCTCCACTTGAGTTTTGGAGAGGACAAATACTCCAGCCATAGCAATCAAAGGCTGGTGGAAAGGGAAGGGAGAATCCATGGTTATGTTTACAGAAACTCCTAAGTCAGGAGCCCTTTTAAAACACAAGGGAAATGGAATACAAAAAGGACAGTGTTTTTAGAGCATCTGAAAAAAAAGCAAACTCAATCAATCAGGTTCAATCCCTACATATGGTTACATTTTGTAAAAATATGCTCAATGATCAATATATAGTGAAGTGATTATTAAGGCCAGACCAACAGAACACGCTAATGGGACAACACACACACAAACACACACACAGACACACACACACCTCAATGTTTCAAGGAGGTGTGACATTTTAGATGCCAAATGAAATGTCTCCGTAATGTAATGATGCTTTCTGCTTCAGAGTTAGTCTACAATGTTTATTGGAGGCAAGATATGGCAGGCATCCTCTGGTGCCCTAGGTCTGCTGCTGGCATTCTTACAAAGCTTCCCTACTGGATATCTAATCAGGAGACTATCTCCATGTCTAGACGGGGAGTTAAGACTGGCAGGGAATTCGCCGCGTTCATGCAGATAGCACAGGCTGGCGTAGCTTACTGAAAGTCTTTGACCACAAAGCCAACGCACAGCTCTGTTGTATAACAAGGGAAATGAACTCCTGCCTCATGAATTGGGTTTTTCAAATTTCAATGGCTATATTAACCTAAGAACCTCCCACACATTATTTACCTAAAATACTGCTTGCTGAGATCATTCTTGGCAGGACCAATGGATAATCATAAATCATTATTTCCTAGTCTTCACATTGCTGTAATAACAACAACTATTATTATTTGCACGTGTTATCTTACAATGCCCTGGGGGTATTTTCACCTCTGGATGCCCCCTACCTTCCTCCTCATATGAGTCTTAAATTATCTTGTGGCTTTGGCACCTTGTCAGTGGATGGTATGTCTGGAATAGAGCAAAGTAAAACCAACAGCTAACATGTGTAAAGTAATGAGAAACACAGCAGTGAACGAACTTCTCTGTTGTAAAGAAATAAAAAGTATATATAATCATCATGATAGTATTTACTGAATGCTTTCTGTGTGCTGGGCTGATTGCTAATTGATTTGCAGACATTATCTTTCTTAAACCAGTGAGTCAGAGCTCATATAATTATCCAAGTGGGAGCTGGACTCTAGATGCAGGGATCTGGCTATGAGTGTGAGTTCTTAACTACTACTCTACCCAACAGCATATTTCAGGACACAGTATGATCATTATATGTGGGTGGTTTTTTTCTTTTTTCCTTCTTCATTCAGGATCTTGGAGTCCTTTCAAAACATAAATAAATGTTTTTTTTTTTTTCTGTAAAATAGAAACATTTTTGCTACAGTTTTTTTCTTTTTTAGTGTTTCCTTTTTAAAATTTTTATTTTTGTACTAATTTCAACTTTTATTTGAGATTCAGGGGGTACACGTGCAGGTTTTTTGCATGGGTGTATTGTGCAATGCTGAGGTTTGGGGTATGATTGATCACCTCACTGAGGTAGTGAGCATAGCACCCAATAGGTAGTTTTTCAACCCTTTCCCTCCACCTCCCTCCCTGTTCTAGTAGTCCCCAGTATCTGTTGTTCTCATCTTTATATCCATGAGTACCCAATGTTTAGCTTCTACTTATAAATGAGAACATGCAGTATTTCATTTTCTGTTTCTGCGTTAATTTACTTAGGAAAATGGCTGCATCCGTGTTGCTGCAAAGGACACGATTTTCTTCTTTTTTATGGCTGCATAGTATTACATGGTATATATGCACCATGGTGTATATGTGCATTTTCTTTAGCCAGTCTATTGTGGATGGGCACCTAGGCCGATTCCATGTCTTTGCTCTTGTGAATTTAACATTTGTTCTATTTAATCTTTCTTCTATCAGAAAAATATAACTAAAGTAAAATGATGATCCCTTCAAATAAGAAATACTCTAAAGCATATTAGGGTGAGAAATATATGAACAATGCTTGCTATTTTATGCCAACTGAAACCAGAAGTGGGGTTGTAGGAGGTTCCACTGCACAGCACCTTCTCAATGTAGAATCGATGACTTCCCTCCAGACATGTTTCATTGATGGTTTCCACAAAGTTGCCAAAAGGATATGCCTCAATGTAAGATTTCCCCACAAGACAATCTGTGCAAACCTGTTTCTCATGTTTTGCTGAATGCCTTGTCATTTTGAAGAAATAAAAATCTCAGAAAGGCAGCAATTTGGACATTCCTGTATATTCCCCGCTGTGCTTATTTGTGACAGGACAATGCAGGTTGATCTTGCAAGCATTTTTCTCTTTAGCCCGGGCTGGGATTTTTTCTTTCCAAAGCTCTGAGCAGAGAGAAGAGCCTGTCTTTTGGAGCTGCCTTCAAAAGGAATAATTGTTCAGGCTGACTGTATTGTCTGCTTTCTGTCAATAGGACTTCAGGCAACGTGTCAATGGCTCTTTAAGAAAGTGCTTTTGTGGTGTGGGCAACATTTAACACCGATAGGGCCTTTTTTTTTTTTTTTTTTTTTTTTTTTTTGAGACGGAGTTCTGCTCTTGTTACCCAGGCTGGAGTGCAATGGTGCGATCTCAGCTCACCGCAACCTCCACCTCCCTGTTTCAAGTGATTCTCCTGCCTCAGACTCCTGAATAGCTGGGATTACAGGCATGTGCCACCATATCCAGCTAATTTTGCATTTTTAGTAGAGACGGGGTTTCTCCATGTTGGTCAGGCTGGTCTTAAACTCCCAACTTCAGGTGATCTGCCCACCTCGGCCTCCCAAAGTGCTGGGATTACAGGCGTGAGCCACTGCACCTTTTAATGAAGTTGAGTGGGCATGTCAGGAAAAGCCAGTGGGCGGGAGAAAGAATGTGAGATATCGACACCATGGCAATCTGGCTTTGCCAAAGGAGTCTGTTTTACAAACTCAAGCCCAAGGAATTCCTGACCAAATCTTCCCCATCTGATCTGTCTCTCTTCTCTCCTCATCCACTTTCCCTGTCACTTTCTGCCTCTCCATCATAGTTCCTCATTTTGCTAACATCACAGCTGCAATATACCCTCTTGCCATTTAAAAAGTGACATCAAACCAAAGGAGGGAGCCGGCCGTGGTGGCTCATGCCTATAATCCCAGCACTTCGAGAGGCCAAGGTGGGCAGATTGCTTGACCTCAGGAGTTCCAGACCAGTTTGGGTAACATGCTGAAACCCTACAAAAAATACAAAAATTAGCTGGGTGTGGTGGCGCATGCCTATAGTCCCAGCTACTCTGGAGGCTGAGGCAGGAGAATTGCTTCAGCCCAGGAGGCAGAGGTTGCAGTGAGCCGAGATCGCACCACTGCACTCCAGCCTGGGCAGTGGAGCAACATCTTGTCTCAAAAAACAAAACAAAACCCAAAATCCCCAAAACCAAAGGAGGAATGGAAAAATATTTTTTGTAATTCAGTTTCCCTTTACTCTTGTATTCATACCTCTTCACTGTTAGCACTTAATTGCTTTTAATCAATTAAAGTTCTTCATACCATATATACTAGAGCAGTGGTCCCCAATCTTTTTGGCACCAGGGACTGATTTCATGGAGGAAAACTTTTCCACTGACACTGGGGAGGGGTGGTTTTGGGATGATTCAAATGCATTACATTTATTGTGCACTTTAGTTTTATAATAACTACATTGTAACATATAATGAAATAATTCTACAACTCACCATCACGTAGGATCAGTGGGAGCCCGGAGCTTGTTTTCCTGCAACTAGATGGTTGTACCTGGAGGTGATGGGACACAGTGACAGATCATCAGGCATTAGATTCTCATAAGGAGCACGCAGCCTTGATCCCTCGCATGCACAGTTCGCTATCGGGTTCACACAGCTATGAGAATCAAATGCCGCCGCTTATCTGACAGGAGGTGGAGCTCAGGCAGTAAGGAGCAATGGGAAATGGCTGTAAATACAGACGAAAGTTCGCTCACCTGCTGCTCACTTCCTGCTGTGCAGCCCAGTTCCTAACAGGCCATGGACCAGGACTGGTCCACTCGGCCACTCAAAGTGCTGGGATTACAGGCATGAGCCACCGTGCCCGGCCACCTCCTTTGGTTTGATGTCACTTTTTAAATCGTAAGAGGGCATCCTGCAGCCATGATGTTAGTAAAAGGAGGAACTATGATGGAGAGACCACTACTGTTCCATGGCCTGGGGGTTTGGGGTCCCCCGCATTAGAGTAATAAAGTGTCAGCTACCAAGACCTAGAGGTCAGGGAAGTAGCCTGTAGTCTTCACGATGCTGCTGTCTTGTAACATGAACTTGGACAACTCTAAGGGATTTTAGGTTTTATTCTCTTCTGGAAAACCCATCTATGAGTGTACATTCATGTTTTTGAATTCTGATTGCATGGTAGCATCCCCTGGGAGTTTAAAAAAGAATCCAGTGCCAGGTTCTGCTCCTGGAGATTGTGACTTACATGTGGTGGGCTGGGGCACAGCCCTTCAGTGTGGTCCATAGGCTCATAGCATCAGCATCACCTGGGAGCTGTTGGAAATGCAGAATTTTGGGTCCCAGCCCCAGCCTGCCACACCAGAATCTTCATTTTAACAGGATCCATATGTACATTGAAGTTTCTGAAGCATTGGTTGTGGGTGATGTCTCATATCTTTCTAGTTTGCTTTTTCTTTATGAATAAAGCCATACATACCCAAATTAGAAAGTACCCATTTTATATTAGGACTCCCTTCCCAGGCAATCCATCCATGAAACACATTCACCTCAGAAACCCTTCGTGTGCCTAAATATGATATACACACTTAATGTTTGAAAAAAGATTTATTTAGTGGCTACTTGCTCTCATAGGCCTTTAATTTAATGCTGGATAAATTTGGAGCCAAGAAGGAATCTTAAACCTCCTTTAAAGTAAATCCTCCGCCTGCTCATCATTTTGTTAATTCTAAACCAAAGCTAAGCCCCCAAAGAACATCTACTCTAATTCCAGGGGCACCATGTGGTATCTTAGAAAGAAATTATATGTTAACAATTTGCAACCACAGATTCCCAGATGACCAGTAACTGGAAGAGTAGGCATAACCCACAAAGAATAAAGAAAAATGGAGACGTTCTTCCAGCGAAGGCTTTATTTTTTTATTTTGGAAATTGCCTTCCTTATTTTGGCATTTTTCTTCCTAGATGTGGAGCAGCAGAATGATGGCTGCTTGCCATGTGCTTCATTCAGTTTTAAACGCTTCTGATCATAATATTTGTGTTTAACTACCACTATTTTCCTCTTTTAATCTACCTGCTTAATGACAGCTCAAATATGCATTTGCTCTAAATTGTTGCAGTTTTCAAGGTCTTTGCTAAAATTATGTAAGTAGATACAGTTGCTCTTCTTTATTGGTTACTTTAAGAAGGTAACAGTCTTAGGCACTGACATACTATAAATCATGCTTATCTTCTTTTCCATTCACCTCTCTTCCCTTTGGAATAACCATGTAGCATTTGCATACTCAGTTAAAATGCTTTATGCTTTGCACTGATGGTATATTCTGTTATAGTAAAATAACTGCTGATTTTTCTTCTGTAAGAAGAGTTCCAATAAAAACATCTTTAAAAATGCCAATTTTTTCCCCTTTGCTGTATAGTTGGATTAAAGATCCAAAGCGTTTATAGATCATCAAAGGTTACTTCTGATTTTAGAGTCAAAATGAAGAAGTTTGAATCTTTTGAACTAATGTCACTTTTATTTCCCAAATGTGAGTCATGTAATAGTTTGCAAATGTGAAGAAACGTATTATAAAAACACCCAGAAAGCATGAGGCTGAAAGTGATCAAAGGAGGATAAGATTAATACTTTAGCATCCCATATGTTAATGAATTTCTAAAAATACATTCTGTCTGCATTGCTACTTTCAAATAAAAGCTTCTGTTGCCTGTGGGCATAAGGGATCATCTGTGAGTCTTCTGACCCAGGGAAGAAGGAAGATGCAGCTCATGGCTAAAGCTCAGGAACCTGACTTGACCTTATCAATCTTATTATTAACTTGTTAACAAGGTGGGATTTGAAGAAAACAGGAAAATCGTCCCAGTAATATATACTGTTCAAATATTGTGACCCTACCTTATCCAATTTTGTTATTCACATAAGTTGGTTCACAAACTTTTATAAAGCAGTTCAAATCCTTAATGAATATCTACATCTACATACACACACACATACATACATGCATCTATATCTAGACAGGCATGAATGCATGCACATACATAAAAGATAGATGATAGATAAGTAATAGGTATATAGATAATAGATAAATAAACGCATAATAGATGACAGATAGATACACAGATGATATAACAGATACATAATAGCTATATGAATGCATGATAGAAAAATAGATGATAGGTAGATAGGTAGAGAATAGATAGATGAATGGATAAATAGATGATGGATGATATATAAATAGAAAGATAGATAACAGATGAATTGGATGGATGGAAGATAGATGAATAGATGGAATAAATATATAACAGCCTGATAGATGGATGTGATAGATAGATACATAGATAGATGATAGGTAGACAGATAATGGATAGATGATAGGTAGATAGTAGATAAAGAAATACATGATAGAATAGATACACAATAGCTAGATGTATAGAAACACACACACACATATATATATACACACATACATACACACACACATATATACACACATACATACACACACATATATAAACACATACACACACACACATATATATACACACATACACACACACACATATATATACACACATACATACACACACACATATATATACACACATACATACACACATATATACACACATACACACACATACATACACATATATATACACACACATACACACACATATATACAAACATACATACACACACATATATACACACATATATACACACATACATACACACACATATATACACATACACACACATATATACACATATACATACACACATATATATACACACATACATACACACACACATATATATACACACATACATACACACACATATGT